>NC_000005.10:40110648-40743173 GCF_000001405.40 Homo sapiens
TTGGCTATTGCCATGTCTGGACTGCGAGTATGGGAAGGTAAAACTATTCTGTCTGTTGTCCCCACTACCGTCCCACTCTCTCTCAGTATCAATGTAGATCCAGACATTCTGCTTTACTTTCCTCCAACCTGACTGTTCCTATACAGAGTAGTGTTAAGCCCCCTTACATGCTGTTAGTGGGAAATATCAAAATTTGGATGAACAATCAAACTGTCCAATGCATTAATTGTCATTTATACACTTGTATTAACTCCCCTTTTGACTCCAGGAAAAGTGTAATGTTGGCTCAAGCTCGAGAAGGAATCTGGATTCTGGTAACTTTACCCAGACCTTGGGAATCCTCCCCCTCAATACATTTAATTAATAAAGTGCTACAGTGAATTCTAAAAAGATCTAAGAGATTTGTTTTCACTTTAATTGCTGTTATCATGGGCCTAATTACTGTCACTGCAATGGCCACCACTGCCAGAATGGCATTACACCAATCCATTCAAACAGCTCATTTTGTTAATGATTGGCAAGCCAATTCCACCCAAATGTGGAAGTCTCAACAAGGCATCTATCAAAAATTGACAAATCAAATTAATGATTTACAAAAGTCTGTTATTTGGCTTGGAGATCGGGTGATGAGTCTCGAACACCACATGCAAATGCAGTGCGATTGGAATACTTTGGATTTCTGTATCACCCCGTATTCCTATAACAAGACTGATCATTCATGGGAAATGGTCAAAGGACACCTTCTGGGTAGGGAACATAATTTATCATTGGACATAACTAAATTAAAGAAACAAATTTTTGAAGCCTCTCAAGCTCACTTATCCATTGTTCTTGGAGCTGAGGCGTTAGATCAGGTGGCAGAAAATCTTTATGGATTAAACCCCATGACTTGGATTAAGTCTACTGGGGGCTCCACTGTAGTAAATTTTGGAATTATGTTTCTCCGTTTAATCGGCTTGTTTTTAGTGTGCTGGACCACTCAAAGAATCCTGCATCAAAATCGAGAGAACAAACAAGCCTTCATCGCCATGGCACATTTATAAAAAAAGAAAGGGAGAGATGTTGTGGGAAGTCAGGGACCCCGAATGGAGGGACCGACTGAAGCCATGGCAGAAGAATGTGGATTGTGAAGATTTCATGGACATTTATTAGTTCCCCAAATTAGTACTTCTTTAATTTCTTATGCCTGTCTTTACTGCAATCTCTAAACATAAATTGTGAAGATTTCATGGACACTTATCACTTCCCCAATCAATACCCTTGTGATTTCCTATGCCTGTCTTTACTTTAATCTCTTAATCCTGTCATCTTGTAAGCCAAGGAGGATGTATGTCACCTCAGGACCCTGTGATGATTGCGTTAACTGCACAAATTGTAGAGCATGTGTGTTTGAACAATATGAAATCTGGGCATCTTGAAAAAAGAACAGGATAACAGCAATGTTCAGGGAACAAGAGAGATAATCTTAAACTCTGACCACCGGTGAGCCAGGTGGAACAGAGCCACATTTCTCTTCTTTCAAAAGCAAATGGGAGAAATATCACTGAATTCTTTTTCTCAGCAAGGAACATCCCTAAGAAAGAGAATGTGCCCCTGAGGGTGGGCCACTAAAATGGCCCCCTTGGGTGTGGCCATCTTCTATGGTTGAGACTGTAGGGACGAAATAAGCCCTAGTCTCCCATAGTGCTCCCAGGCTCATTAGGATGAGGAAATTCCCACCTAATAAATTTTGGTCAGACCGGTTGCTCTCAAACCCTGTCTCCTGATAAGATGTTATCAATGACAATGGTGCCCGAAACTTCGTTAGCAATTTTAATTTTGCCCAGGTCCTGTGGTCCTCTTATCTCACCCTGCCTCCATTTGCCTAGTGATATTCTATTGCCTTGTGAAGCATGTGATCTCTGTGACCCACACCCTATTCGTACACTCCCTCTCCTTTGAAAATCCCTAATAAAAACTTACTGGTTTTGCCAATTGTGGGGCATCACGGAACCTATCAACATGTGATGTCTCCCCCGGATGCCCAGCTTTAAAATTTCCCTCTTTTGTACTCTGTCCCTTTATTTCTCAACCTGGCTGAAGCTTAGGGAAAATAGAAAAGAACCTATGTGAAATATCAGGGGTGAATTTTGCCCAATATCTGGCTGAATTTCCCCTGATATTGTTTAGTTATTTTTTCTCTAGCTCTTCTTCTGTCCACCTTCCCCACTTCCTACTTAGTCCTTTAGAAGTGCAACTGTAGTCTTTTACCTCCTCCTTTACCAGACTCTCCCTACAGGGCAAGTTCATCTGGCTATGTATTCCAAGGCAGGACTCTGGAGAGTTAACAGTAGACTTCCAAACCAAAGCATGCCTGCTAAGGAACTTTCACCCTCCAGAGGGTTGCCTGGAGAGATAATTGCTTTCCCACAAGGAGCCAGCAGTCACCACCATCTGGTAGATAAAGCAATGGAGCTAGCTCCATAATAATTTTGCCAAGTAAGCAATGTAGTATATGCAGTGTTTAATAGTTTGAGCTCTGAAATCAGACTGCTGAATTTTACTCCCATCTCTTCCTCCTATTTGTATAGTCTTAAGAGAGTATCTTCTTTTGAACCCTCTTTTTAACAGAAACTTAAAACTGGAATTAACACTACCAATCTAAAAGATTAGTTGTATAAATTAAAGAGAGAATTCATGGCTTAGCTATAGAACTATGATAGCACTTGGATGTTGAATGAAATTGTGATACAACTATCTTCTTGTCTAGATTGCCAGATTTTCTATAGGAGGTACCATATGTTATTTAGTTTTTTGTCTCAAGCATGATGTATATTTACACAAATATATACTATATATGTAACAAAATGCAATTAGTTTAGGTAAAAAGTGAAGAAATACATCTGATTTTATTTTTTCCATGTTAATTTACATACCAGGATCAATACAAGTTTTTATCTTTTATGAAATATAGTTAATCATATATAAAAATGTGAAGAGAAATATAGTCATCCAACTGTATAGGTAGGACATCTTAGGTTCCAAGAGTGTATACACACACATGCGCACACACACACACACACACACACACACAAACAGTGATAGGCTGAAATAAAAATGGCTTCTTAAAGATATACTCACTTCCTAATTCCAAGGACCTGTAAATATTATATGGCAAATGAGTGAATGTTATACTTTTGTTATACAGCAAAAGATGTGATTAAGAATCTTGAGATGAGGGGCTTATCCTGAATTATCCAGGTCCTGAATGCCAGTACAAGTATCCTTATAAGAGAGATGGAGAGGAGAATTAACATACACAGAGAAGGTGATGTGAAGATGAAGTCAGACAACAGAGTGATATGGCAGCAAACCAAAAAAAAATGGGCATCCGCCAGAAGCTAAAGAGGCAGGAATGAGTTCTCCCCCAGGGACTCTGTAAAGGGTGTGTTCCTGCCTACACTTTAATTTCAACTTGTAGCCCCCAGAACTGTGAGATAATAGATTTCTGTTTTAAGCCACTAAAATGCTGATACTGTGTTAGGCAACCCTAGGAAACTAACACACACACACACACACACACACACACACACACACACACACACTCTCTCTCTCTCTCTCTCTGTCTCTCTCACACACACACACAAACACAAACACACACAGAGTTTCTGGGATCATGATTACATAAACAGCTTTAAAAATACTTGCTAAATATCTGGTTTATGAGTAAAGGGAATTCTCCAGGATTCAAGTGTTCCTGAACCCCTGAAACCCTGGCCAAGAGCTGAGAAATGCTAAAAAAATAGAAACTGTGCATAAGTCATCCCCATCTGTTTAACCCTAGGCAAGGCAGCATGGAGACTTGTACATAGAGAGTTTAGCAATAAAGAGAAGAAAAACACAAAGATTTTCCAAAAAAATTAAAGAAACTTACTTAGGATTTTATAGAGGCATAGAAGAGAAATCTAGAACTGATTTTCTTGGACAGTGGTTCTTATCATTTAATAAAATCAGTAGTAGAGATTTTTTAAGTATAAAGTTAATCAGTTAGTACTCCTGGGGAAAGGGGCCCAGACCTTTGTGTTTTCAGAAGCAGAAGGTTGGATAAAAGAACGGAAGCTACTCCTTTAACTTTTGAAAATAAATTTCTTTCTTTATACTGAGCTGCAGAAAGCTAAGTCTAAGAGTAGGTGCCCTTGAGAAATAGAATGGAAAAAGATAGACTGTATCACAAAATTTCAGTAATATGCCATTTACCCTTTCTTGAAAACCAGGCTTAAGTACAGAATATTCCATAGTCGGCCGGGCGCGGTGGCTCATGCCTGTAATCCCAGCACTTTGGGAGGCCGAGGCGGGCGGATCACGAGGTCAGGAGATCGAGACCATCCCGGCTAAAACGGTGAAACCCCGTCTCTACTAAAAATACAAAAAAAAATTAGCCGGGCGTGGTGGCGGGCGCCTGTAGTCCCAGCTACTTGGGAGGCTGAGGCAGGAGAATGGCGTGAACCCGGGAGGCGGAGCTTGCAGTGAGCCGAGATCCCGCCACTGCACTCCAGCCTGGGCGACAGAGTGAGACTCCGTCTCAAAAAAAAAAAAAAAAAAAGAATATTCCATAGTCATCTCAAACAAAGCCGTGGGTCTCATCAATTTCCCATTTTAGTCCTGCAAAACATCACATAACTTTCTGATCAAAAACATAAGAAGTCTTTTATGGTTAACTGAGAAAATAAAAATGGAAGTACTCTGATTCATTACAAAAGCCTCTTGTCCATAACCAGACTAAATAAAAACTTAACTTTCCTTGTATTAATGATTAAAAATGTAGGAGAAAAAAATCCTTTTTCTCATCACCACATTCTATTTCAATTCAACAGATGTGCCATTGAGACCCTTTTGCTCTTTGTTGATATTTGAACAAACTGATAACAAAATGTATCCTCACTATTTAGTACTAGCAATGAATTAGCCAATTTAACGAGTATTTTGAGAAAAACTTCATTTACTAAGCATCTATGTGTGCATCATGATACTTTAAGCATTGGGCTTTGAAATCAGACAAAATTGGTTTCCAATCCTGGCCTATCTATATGATAGCCATGTGATTTTTGGACAAGTTTTTAAGATATCTTAATCTTAGTTTCTTCTTCATAAAATAGAGATAATTAAATCTCCTTCATTGAATGGAATCATGGATATAAAGCATCTGGTACATAGGTAGCACTCAGGCAAAGTTCTTGTTCCTGTAATAAACTAAGTAAATAAAAGGCTAGTCATCCTACCCAAGATGCTAGGGTAAAAACTGGCAGTCATTGAAAGACTATTAGGTACACTTTCTAAGAACCTAACTAGGCTGAGTTATCATTGTCCAGAGACCACCTATTGGAAGAGCTTAGGTCACAGGATTAACTGGAAACTAAGTTAGTTTAGGAAGTGGACTCCATAGGACACAAAACTAGTGCCAGTTCTGCTGCTTTCTTGGAGATCCAGGAAGACTGCATCAAAATTAGTTTCTTAGTTCAGTCTGATATAACAGAATACCATAGACTTGGTTGTTTATACAACAGAAATTAATTTCTCACAGTTCTGGAGTCTGAGAAGTCCAAGATCAAAATGCCAATAGATTTTATTCCTGTTGAAGACCCACAACCTGGTTTTCAGTGGCCATCTTCTGATTGTAATCTCACATAGCAGAGAGCAGAGAAAGAGAAAGCAATCTCTCTCATGTCTTTTTATAAGGACACTAATCTCACTTATAACTTATTACCTCTGTTGATAAAAAGAGTAAAATTCTGTAAAATATTTGGAGAGATTTAAGCTGAGCCCAATATGAATGACCAAGGACACTAATCTCACTTATGACTTATTACCTTTGTTGATAAAAAGAGTGAAATTCTGTAAAATATTTGAAGAGATTTAAGCTGAGCCCAATATGAATGACCAATGGCCCATAACACAGCCTCAGGAGATCCTGAGAACATGTGCCCAAGGTGGTAGGGATACAGTTTGGCTTTATACATTTTAGGAAGACAAAAGATGTCAATCAATATATGTAAAATGTACATTGGTTTGGTCTGAAAAGGCAGGACAACTGGAAGTGGGGGCTTCCAAGTCATAGGCAGATTCAAAAATTTCCTGATTGTCAATTGGTTGAAAGAATTATTATCAATATAAAGGAATGTCTGGGTTACAATAGGAGGTGGTGGACAACAAGGTTTTATGGTGCAGATGAAGCCTCCATGTGGAAGGCTTCAGAGAGACTAGATTGTAAATTTTTCTTATGAGACTTAAGGAGTCTGTTCTATCAGTAATTCCAAAAGGGAGCAAAGTATAATGAGGCATGTCTGACTTCTGCTTCCCATTATGGCATGAACTACTTTTTTAGGTTAACTTTGAAATGCACTTTCCAAGAGGATGGGTCCACTCAGATGGTTGGGGGGCTTAGAATTTTACTTTCAGTTTACATTCTTCCCCTTCTGGCCAAGATTTGCCAGAGGCAACATCAATGGCCACCAAATTTTCATTTTGTCCCATAGTGTTGCTGGGGTGGCATGGCTGCCTGCCCCAGGTACATCCTGTTCCTCAGTGTGACCCCCTCTCTCATATGGTCAAGGAGCTTAGAGTCAAAAAACTCATAGCCAATTTAAATGTTCTAGGCCAGACAGGAATGGATGTGGGCAGACATTTATTAATACTTAGAAAACAATTTTTTAAAGTAGAAAGCCAAAAAACAAAAAGCCAAGGGCAAGGTTACAAATATGACTAAGCTACTGTAATGTTGGTTTTAGTTATAGACTTATTGCAATTAGCTATACAAAACATAAGTATTGTTAAAACCTTTTAAGCTAAAGAATTTTGGAGACCTTTGTTGTTCTGCAATGCTTTTTGTGCTCTTTTAGTAATTTGTCCTAAGGTGGCTGATTTTTAAAATATATTTCTATCTGTATAAATCTTATAACTAGGAGTATTATTATACCCAGGAGACTTTTTCACAAGGTTTCTTTATATTCTCTCAGTAATAATTTTCTTTTAGTTCTACAGGAAGCAGAAAAGTCTTTATGTTTGGGATGGATGGAAAGGTGTCACATAATAGCTCAGAAGGCAAAGTCCTTTCTTTTACTAGCTGTTTATGCATATGTGTGCCTATCCTTGATTTGGAGGGAGGTTGCTTGTATCATTTTACCAGTAGGATATTTGCAGTGAAAAACAGATCAGCCCAGTGGGATGCCTAATGAGAGAGATTCACATGTCTAGTCTTTAGAATACCATGATTCTGGTTTCCTTGGAAGTAAAACTATGAGAGATAAATAACATTAATATTTTGAAAATCAAAAGAGTATTTGTGCATCAGATCAGCAAATGGAACCTATTCCATTAGGACATCAACTAAACATATGAAGAAAAATTATAATCTGATACCCTTCAGAAGATTATTGTAGCCAAGAAATAATTTATGATTCAATCTGTACTTAAAAACAAATCAGGGCTGAAATCTAGTAACAAATGTTACACTTTTCCTTTGAAACAATTTATCTCTTTCTCTAGCCCTCTTTTTCTGCTGAAGAGAAATTATAGTAGGACCAATATGTGTGCAAAATAAGTTTTAAGCTTACTGTACTTGGCTTAATTATTTGTATAGAACGCAGCAAGTATTGATGGGCTATATAGGCTCTGTTTAAGTTGGCTTTGCTGGAACTTAACCTAAACATATGTTATTCTAGTCAAAGACTAGGTAAAATTTCCCATCTCCAATTGTTCTACCTTAGAAGAAAAGACTCTTATTAAAAGATGCAAATGAGGCCGGGCGCGGTGGCTCACGCCTGTAATCCCAGCACTTTGGGAGGCCGAGGCGGGCGGATCACGAGGTCAGGAGATCGAGACCATCCTGGCTAACACGGTGAAACCCCGTCTCTACTAAAAATACAAAAAATTAGCTGGGCGTGGTAGCGGGCGCCTGTAGTCCCAGCTACTCGGGAGGCTGAGGCAGGAGAATGGCGTGAACCCGGGAGGTGGAGCTTGCAGTGAGCCGAGATCACGCCACTGCACTCCAGCCTGGGCGACAGAGCGAGACTCCGTCTCAAAAAAAAAAAAAAAAAAAAAGATGCAAATGACTATATTGTCATAAAATCATGAACAGTTTACAAATTGGAGGGAACTCAGATAGACAGAAAGGCAAATTTGCTCACAAAAACTTACTTCACCCAAATTCTAAAAACCATAAATAACTCAAAAGATTTCCTTGACTTTTCTTTAACCAGAGCAGCAGCTTTCCAAACAAGATGTCATTTGTTCACCCTGAAACTGTCATTCACAAGCCAAGCAGCTCTTGTCAGATGAGAGCACTGTAGAATCCAGCAGTCACTGTAGAACCTAGTAGCTCCTCATATAGTTAGAATCAGTCCTAGGGGAAAAGAAGACTCCCTACTCATGAGTGTCTCCCTCTTCCATTCCCAGGTAGCAAGATCCAATGTAAATCACTTTTATTTTATCATGTAACTATTTTAGATAACATTATTTCCATTAGCATAGGGATAGCTTCAATTAACATTCCAGAGCAAGGCAGTAAATGCCCCTTAAGTGGAAATTCTTTAGTCCAGTAGTTGTCATTGGAAAGCGTTCACAATCTTTTGCCATAAGCCCCAATAAATATTCTGCAAAGGGCCATGAAGTGGAGGATTTGTCCCAACAAGCACTGCAGCCTCTACCCTGTATTCTGCAGGATCAGGCAATCCTACTAGTTCCCATTTAATGTGTCCAATTAACATTTTTCAAAGGGAAGATTTACATGCCTTCAGTTTTAGAGTATCAGATAGGGGAGATATCCCCCAGTCACATACAGTCCCCATTTTCATAAGACATTTAGGTAAAGGAGTCACAACTGCCATACATAAAGTCTGCTTAAACATCTCAAATTTTATAACCTTATCAAAGTGTACATTTTTTGGTCTGGTCCCAGGAACTTTTCTAGCTTCAAACAATTTTACCTTTTCTGGTGAAAAAAGATTTGGGTTCCCAGCAGAGAGTTGAGTCAAAGACCCTTTTGTCAATCTTTGTCTTAATTTGTCTCAACATTGCTCCATGAAATGTCAGCTTTGTCATTGTAACTTTTGCCTTTGGATTTTTCTTAAATTTCCCCTTCTGGGGCAAATACCCCAAACTGGTGTGGGAACTTTTAATGTTGGGTGATCAGCAGGGGTTCCCTTTGGTCCACACACACAACATTGAATACTGTTGTAAAGACCTTTGTTTTATTTATTTTATTTCTTAATAACCATCTAAAATTTTCCACCACACTTCTGAGGTGAGTCCTTTGATTCCCTTTTGCTTTTCCCATTTTTCTATTTTTTTAATTACCCTAATGTTTTATCAAGTATCTGTAAGACCCATGAGGGAGAGTAAATTTGATAAGGTTTCTCAAATAGTTGTATGATTCTGTGGAAGTAATGTCACCTGAGGTGTCCATGTAAAAGGGGTCCCCTTAACCCCAACATTGACCATGACCTGGGTAACAGGCATATTCAGTGGGAGATTATCTCAGTCATCATAAAGTCAGTCACACATGGCTTGCATATGAAGTGTGAAAGGAAAGTAAATCTCAGGACCTCAAAATCACTAAGCCAAGGGAAAAGTCAATCTGGCAACTGCATCAGTCAAAACCGCCTCCCATTTTATTCCTAAATAAGATAGCTACAAAGATAAAAAGCTACATGCTTCCCTCACAATTTGACCACAAGGAAATTCTTTGTGAACAAAGGACAGACAGAACTCAAAGTCATCCCCCCTGCTCAGGTGATACAAATACATATCTGATTGCTTCCTTTGCCCTATTATTTCACTAAGCCAGACTAAGGCGTGACTGTTCCTGTAAATTTCATATTCAGTAAAAGGCTAATCAGAAACTCAAAATAATTCCAACATTTGTCTTTTTTCCACCTATAACCTGGAAGCTCCCTCTCTGCTTTGAATTGTCCCACTTTTCCAGACTGAACCAATGTACATTTTGGATATATTGACTGATGTCTCATGTCTCTGTAAAATATATAAAACCAAACCAACCCATACCACTGATAGCAACAGGAGTCAAACAAATACGCAGGCAGATGGGGAAGGTCCCCAGGGAAACCGCACCTTCAAGCCAAAAAAACAGGCTGAAGGCAGAAAGGGATGAAAACCATAACCCACAGTGGAAACTTCTGTTCCTCTTTGCCCACTGTTTCTTGATTGAATTTTTCTGAACAGTGATTTAACCAATCAAATGTTGCCTTTTCTGGTACTACCTATGGCCTGCCCCTCCCGTATTCTGAGCTGATAAAAGCCCTGGACTCAGTCACACTAGGGGAATCTTTCCTGTCTTTGAGTAGGGGGACCACCCCCACATCCCCTCTCCGTGGAAAGCTGTTTCATCACTCAATAAAATTCGCTGCCTTGCTCACTCTTCGATTGTCAGTACAGCCTCATTCTTGGACACTGGACAAGAGTTTGGGACCCACCAAGTGCAGGTATCCAGAAAGGCTGTCAAGCTGGACTTTTGCCCTAGCCTGCAGAGGGCAGCCACCCTATGTGGCAGGGCCAGGGGCTGACTGAGCTGCTAACATGCCACTGTCCATTGGGCTGTGGACGGCAGAACTAAAAGAACTAATTTGCATACTAACACCCCCTCTGGGGTTTCAGGGTCACAGGCACCCTTTCACCTGATCTGGCTGCAGGCCCTGCATGGAGCTTGCTCTTATGCTGCACTCAAAGTGGCTTGCCAGATCCAACATGAATCACTCATGTGCTCCCTCCTGCAAGGGGATGAGGAGGGCAGGCCAAGTAGATGGGGCACCCCTGATGCAAGGCCAGAAAAGGGGCCAAGAGAAAACTTCTGAGTCATTTTGGGAGCTCATCCAGGATGCCTGAAAGCTGAGTAAATGTGGACCTAGACCCTTCACTTTTCTTCAGAGGCTTCTTATCCTAAGACTTTATTCTAAAGGCAGATGAAGCACCAAACCTCTGACTACCCAGTTGAAAGTGAACAGTGCAGCTACAAAGGACAGGATGTGACCCTGATACCTCACTCTCTTTTAGGTGAAAGGAATGTTGGCTTTGTTTCCCTTCATGGAGGTCTAGCCATCATGTGGGACCAGAATAATGTCTTGCGGCAACTGAATGCTTCTGGCCATGACTACACCCTTGGTCTGGTCCCAGGAACTTTTCCAGCTTCAGAAAATTTTACCTTTTCTGGTGAAAAAGGTGTTGTCAGAAGACTCTTAGACTTGCTCCATCCCCAACTGCTCATTAGGGCATCAGCCAAGACTCCCAGACTTTTTAATGGTATTTTTCCTTCCTTCTTTCACAGTTTGAATTAGCTCCTATCTGTTCTTTTTTTTTATAATGTTAAGAGTGTTGCTGCAAACTGTGGAGATATTCCTGGGTAGAATGAGCATTTGTCCCAGCCATCAGATATGCAATTCACAACAATGTGGTTTCCATCTTTTGAGGAGGGAACAGTGATTGAGAGTTTTTCTTCTGTTGAAGGAACCCATTTGCATAGAGCAAGAGGCTTTTTCCCCCAGGAATATCCCCCAACCCTGCACTTAAGCTGTTTTTGTTTTCTTTTCTGCATGTCAGTAGTTAACACAGCCCTACAAATACAAGGAGATTTTCTATGCAAAAGTTTTTTTTTTTTCCTTTAGAAGGCATCTTACTAGGTTAGGTCCCCAATTCTCCTTTTCCTTTCCCTTGTTTGAGGAAGACTCAGTTCCACAGCTTCACCTTAGCATTCAGCTTAGATGGGGCCCCCCTGCTGTGAGTCCAGCAAAGGGGCTGAGAGAAAAATCCTGCATCACCACCTTGGGCACATGTTGTCATGACCTCCTGAGGCTATGTCATGGGCACATCCTTAACTTCGGCAAAATAAACTTTCTAAATTAATTGAGACCTGTCGCAGATACTCTTTATTTGCAGAATCATATCAGCTGCTTCATCTGGGGTGCTCCACTCTGCATTTTATAGAGGGAGTTGGGCAGTCCCCTACTAAGAGTAAGCAGATGTTACAGTGGTGTTTATTCAGTACATTGGGCTGGTTGTTCTCTGAGGAATAACCTCCCATGCCCCTGGATCACATATACTTATCAGTGATTGTTTAATCATGGGTCCTGCATCAACCCAAATGTGCTATTTCATTCTGTTGCATTTAAAATTAAGGATACATCCTTAAAGTAGTATTTTTGCAATCCATTGTATAGTAAAGATTTCTCAGGAGGTTGATGATACCAATCTACAAAATGGAAACATTTTTTTATACCTTCTGGTTTTAATAGTTACTGGATTTTTCCCTTCCCCCACATTGACTATTTTTTAATAACAACAGGTCTCAGAGGTAATTTTTGTTGCCCTGGCTTAATTTTTCCTTTTGTGGGTAGCTTTGGGGATAGTGGCCTAAGCTGAGACAAACCCACATCTGAGCTTGGTGCAGCCTTAAGGCCCAACATAGCAATCTTACTTTCATTTTAGCTATTACAGATAACAATAACCATGAGATTAAATATTTTGCTTTTTTCTTATTAGTTTGCATTTCCTTGTACACTCAGTGGAATAACTCCCTGTGAGTATGGGTATGACTTTAAATTAAGTTCGTAACTTTTACCTTTAGTAACTGAATGCAGCCCAGCTGCAGCTCCATAAGATGGGTGACTACGTGGCCACCTAAAAGGCAAGGTTTCTCATTTCCCACTTTTTAATTTTTCATTTTATTCATTTAGATTTATCTATTATAACATTTGCTTTCATTTAAAAGTGACTCAAATAGTCTGTAAACTAGAAAAAATTGCATTTTCATTAGCAAAATCCACATCCTTGTGTTTTTATAAACTTCACCTCCTACTTTTTTTACCCTCCTAATATTTTAACTTTTAGTAACCCAAATTCCAATGGAAAAAAATCCCATTACTTAACATGACTTTAAGATTTTAAACTACTGGAGAGAATTTTGAGATGAAATATACCAGATTAGTCTTACCAAAGATTACCAAGATAATGTGCATAGAAAGGCCGCTGAGCTAGCTTCTATCAACCTCATGAGCACTTACTTTTCTTTCAGGGGTATCTAACCTTTTGGCTTCCCTTGGCTACATTGGAAGGAGAAGAAGAAGAAGAGAAAGAAGAAGAAGGAGGAGGAGGAGGAGGAGAAGAAGAAGAAGAAGAAGAAGAAGAAGAAGAAGAAGAAGAAGAAGAAGAAGAAGGAGGAGGAGGAGGAGGAGGAGGAGGAGGAGAAGGAGGAGGAGGAGGAGGAACTTTCTTGGGCTACACAAAATACACTAACACTAAAATAGCTGATCTAAAAAAAAATCACAAAAAACATACTGTTTAAAGAAAGTTTACAAATTTGTGTTGTGTTACATTCAAAGCCATGCTGGGCCACAAGCATGGGTTGGATAAACTTACTTTAAGCCAATAGATTAGAGCTCTTTCATATAGTTTGGTAGTGAAATATTGCTTCTACATGATACATGCAAACATATAGACAGAACAGACATACAGACAAAGGCAGATCCAACAGATTTTTCATTTGCCTGTTTTCAAGAATTTATCTTCCTTATTTTAGATTATTAATTTAAAAAATAAGTTACAAGAACCAAGAGAGGGTGAAGGAAGAGAGTTACCATCCTCAACCTTTTCAAAAAAGAAAGACCTTAGGCAGCAGGGTACAGTAGAAGGTGAACTTCTAGGATATCAACCTGAAGAATTTAAAAAAGAAACAGATTAGAGAATTTAAAAATTGAAAACTTCTTGCATTAGGAGTAAGCCAGTATTTTCAATAAAATCTTGTTTAACCAATTCTTTTGTTTGTGTTAGTGTATTTTTAATATCAAAGTTCAATTTATAGAAAGACTATTATAATTTCTTTTTAATTATACCTGACTTAATTATATAACTTTTTTCAGAATAAATTCCCTTTTTACTAATTTAATTATGACTTACACTGACCATTCACGGCATGCTTGGACTTTCTATTCTTTTTTCCTAAATCTCTCTCTTTCTTGAACAACGGGTCATTTTATTTTAGGACAAAAAATTCATCACACAATGTTTTTATAAATATCACATTATTTTTCTTTTAACCTGTCTTACCAAAAATACTTCTTTATATCTATAATTTTCCTTGTGTCTAGTATCAGGAATCATTTCCTGATTCCTTTTCCCTTGTTTTATATATAAACTTTTAATCAGAGAAAAATATTTACCTTTTCCATAAGAACACATTTTTCAAAATGTTTTCTTATAATTTTTAAATTGGAAATTACCCAGACATTTAATTAACATCTATATTTAATATAGCCTTAAATTTTAAATTATATGAAAACTGTGTTTATAAGCATTCCATTACATTTACTTGATTAATTTATTTGGTAGTTTACCTATATTATTTATGGAGAATGTGATAGTCATCATTCAAAGTTATTTCCCTGTTAACCATTTTTTAAAATTATAATTTAACTTCTGAGATACATGTGCAGAAGGGGCAGATTTGTTACATAGGTATACATGTGACATGGTGGTGTGCTGCACCTATCAACCAGTCATCTACATTAGGTATTTCTCCTAATGCTATCCCTCCCCTTGTCCCCCACCCCCACTAACAGGCCCCAGTATGTGATGTTCTCCTCCCTGTGCCCATATGTTCTCATTGTTCAACTCCCATTTATGAGTGAGAACATGTGGTGTTTGGTTTTCTATTCCTGTGTTAGTTTGCTGAGAATGATAGTTTCCAGCTTCATCCATGTCCATGCAAAGGAAATAAAATCATACTTTTTTTGGCTGCATAGTATTCCAGGGTGTATGTATGCCACATTTTCTTTATCCAGTCTATCATTGATGGCCATTTGGGTTGGTTCCAAGTATTTGCTATTGTGAATAGTGTTGCAATAACCATACATGTGCATGTGTCTTTACAGTAGAATGATTTATAATCCTCTGGGTATATACCCAGTAATGGGAATGCTGGGTCAAATGGTATTTCTGTTTCTAGATCCTTGAGGTATTGCCACACTGTCTTCTATAATGGTTGAACTAATTTACACTCCCACCAACAGTGTAAAAGCATTCCTATTTCTCCAGATCCTCTCAGCATCTGTTGTTTCCTGACTTTTTAATGTTCACCATACTAACTGGCGTGAGATGGTATCTCTTTCTGGTTTTGATTTGCATTTCTCTAATGACCAGAGATGATGAGCCTTTTTTCATATGTTTGTTGGCTACATAAATGTCTTCTTCTGAAAAGTGTCTGTTCATATCTTTTGAACAATTTTCGATGAGGTTGTTTGTTTTTATTCTTGTAAATTTGTTTAAGTTCCTTGCTGATTCTGGATATTAACCCTCTGTCAGATGGATAGATGGCAAGATTTTTCTCCCATTCTCTAGGTTGCCTGTTCACTCTGATGATAGTTTCTTTTGCTGTGCAGAAGCTCTTCAGTTTAATTAGATCCCATTTGTCAATGTTGGCTTTTGTTGCAATTGCTTTTGGTGTTTTAGTCATGAAGTCTTGCCCATGCATATATCCTGAATGGTACTGCTTAGGTTTTCTTCTAAGGTTTCTATGGTTTTAGGTCTTACGTTTGAATCTTTAATTCATCTTGAGTTAATTTTTGTATAAGGTGTAAGGAACGTGGTCCAGGTTCAGTTTTCTGCATATTGCTAGACAGTTTTCCCAACACCATCTAATAAATGAGGAATCCTTTCCCCATTGCTTGTTTTTGTCAGGTTTATCAAAGATCAGATGGTTGTAGATGTGTAATGTTATTTTTGAGGCCTCTGTTCTGTTCCATTGGTCTATGTATCTGTTTTGGTTCCAGTATCATGCTGTTTTGGTTACCGTAGCCTTGTAGTGTAGTTTGAAGTCAGGTAGCATGATGTCTCCAGCATTGTTCTTTTTGCTTAGGATTGTCTTGGCTATACAGGCTCTTTTTTGGTTCCATATGAAATTTAAAGTAGTTTCTTTCTAAGTCTGTGCAGAAAGTCAATGGTAGCTTGATGGGGATAGCATTGAATCTATAAATTACTTTGGGCAGTGTGGACATTTTCACGATATTGATTCTTCCTATCCATGAACATGGAATGTTTTTCCATTTGTTTGTGTTCTCTCTTATTTCCTTGAACAGTAGTTTGTAGTTCTCCTTGAAGAGGTCCTTCACATCCCTTGTAAGTTGTACTCCTAGGTAATTTATTCTTTTTGTAGCAATTGTGAATGGGAATTCACTCATGATTTGGCTGTTTGTCTATTATTGGTGTGTAGAAATGCTTGTGATGTTTGCATATTGATTTATATCCTGAGACTTTGCTGAAGTTGCTTAACAGCTTAAGGAATTTTTGGGCTGAGAAGATGGGTTTTTCTAAATATACAATCATGTCATCTGAGAGATAATTTGACTTCCTCTCTTCCTACTTGAATACCTTTATTTCTTTCTCTTGCCTGATTGCCCTGGCCAGAACTTCCAATACTATGTTGAATAGGAGTGGTGAGAGGGTATCTTGTCTTGTGCCAGTTTTCAAAGGGAATGCTTCCAGCTTTTGCCCATTCAGTATGATATTGGCTGTGGGTTTGTCACAAATAGCTCTTATTATTTTAGATATGTTCCATCAATACTTAGTTTATTGAGTGTTTTTAGCATGAAGAGGTGTTGAATTTTATCAAAGGCCTTCTCTCCATCTGTTGAGATAATCACGTGGTTTTTGTCATTGGTTCAGTTTATATGATGGATTATGCTTATTGCTTAGTGTATGTTGAACCAGCCTTGCATCCCAGGGATGATGCTGACTTGATTGTGGTGGATAAACTTTTTAATGTGCTGCTGGATTCAGTGTGCCAGTATTTTTCTGAGGATTTTTGCATCCATATTCATCATGGATATTGGCCTGAAATTTTCTTTTTTTGTTGTGTCTCTGCCATGTTTTGGTGTCAGGATGATGCTGCCTTCATAAAATGAGTTAGGGAGGAGTCCCTCTTTTTCTATTGTTTGGA
Source organism: Homo sapiens (assembly GCF_000001405.40). NCBI lineage: Eukaryota > Metazoa > Chordata > Mammalia > Primates > Hominidae > Homo > Homo sapiens. Next base: position 40,127,624 of record NC_000005.10, read on the forward strand.
AGAGTTTCAGAAGAAATGGTACCAGCGTCTCTTTGTACCTCTCATAGAATTTGGCTGTGAATCTGTCTGGTCCTGGGCTTTTTTGGTTGGTAAGCTATTAATTACTGCCTCAACTTTAGAATTTGTTATTTGTCTATTCAGGGATTTGACTTCTGCCCGGTTTAGTCTTGAGAGGATGTATGTGTCCAGGAATTTATCCATTTCTTCTAGATTTTCTAGTGTATTTCCATAGAGGTGTTTATAGTATTCTCTAATGGTAGTTTGTAAATCTGTGGGAACAGTGGTGATCTCTCTTTCATCATTTCTTAGTGTGTCTATTTGATTCTTCTTTCTTTTCTTCTTTATTAGTCTGGCTAGCATTCTATCTATTTGGTTGATCTTTTCAAAAAACCAGCCCCTGGATTCGTTGATATTCTGAATGGCTTTTCATGTCTCTAGCTCTTTCACTTTTGCTCTGATCTTAGTTATTTCTTGTCTTCTGCTGGCTTTTGAATTTGTTTGCTCTTGTTTCTATAGTTCTTTTAATTGTGATGTTAGGGTGTCAGTTTTAGATCTTTCCCACTTCCTGTGGGCATTTAGTGCTATAAATTTCCATCTAAACATTGCTTTAGCTGTGTCCCAGAGATTCTGGTATGTTGTGTCTTTGTTCTCATTGGTTTAAAAGAACTTATTCATTTCTGCCTTAATTTCATTATTTACATAGTAGTCATTCAGGAGGAGGTTATTCAGTTTCTATGTGGTTGTGTGATTTTGAGTGAGTTTCTTAATCCTGATTTCTAATTTAATTGCACTGTGGTCTCAGAGACTGTGTGTTAAGATTTCTGTTCTTTTGCATTTGCTGAGGAGTGTTTTACTTCCCACTATGTGGTCAATTTTAGAATAAGAAGGATGTGGTGCTGAGAATCTAGATTCTGTTGATTTGGGGTGGTGAATTCTGTAGCTATCTATTAGGTCTGCTTGGTCCAGAGCTGAGTTCAAGTCCTGAATATCCTTGTTAATTTTCTGTCTCATTGATCTGTCTAACATTAACAGTGGGGTGTTACAGTCTCCCATTTTTATTGTGTGGGAGTTTAAGTCTCTTTGTAGCTCTCTAAGAACTTCCTGTATGAATTTCAGTGCTCCTGTATTGGGTGAATATATAATTAGGACAGTTACCTCTTCTTGTTGCATTGATCCCTTCCCCATTATGTAATGCCCTTCTTTGTCTTTTTTGATCCTTGTTGGTTTAAAGTCTGTTTTAGCAGAGACTAGGTTGCAACCCCTGATTTTTATTTTTTATTTTTTATTTTTGCTTTCCATTTACTTGGTAAATCTTTCTCTATCCTTTTATTTTGAGCCCATGTGTGTCTTTGCATGTGAGATATGTCTCCTGCATACAGTGCACTGATGAGTCTTGACTCTTTATCCAATTTTCCAGTCTGTGCCTTTTAATTGGGAACATTTAGCCCATTTACATTTAAGGTTAATATTGTTATGTGTGAATTTAATTCTGTCATTATGATGCTAGCTGGTTATTTTGCCCATTAGTTGATGCAGTTTCTTCATAGTGTTGATGGTCTTTACCTTTGGGTATGTTTTTGCAGTGGCTGGTACTGATTTTTCCTTTCCATATTTAGTCCTTCAGGTGCTCTTGTAAGGCAGGCCTGGTGGTGACAAAATCCCTCAGCATTTGCTTGTCTGTAAAGGATTTTATTTCTCCTTCACTTATGAAGCTTAGTTTGGCTGGATTTGAAATTCTGGGTTGAAAATTATTTTATTTAAGAGTATTGAATATTGGCCCCCACTCTCTTCTGGCTTGTAGGGTTTCTGAAGAGAGATCCACTGTTAGTCTGATGGAGTTCCCTTTGTGGGTAACCCGACCTTTCTCTCTGGCTGCCCTTAACATTTTTTTCTTCATTGCAACCTTGGTGAATCTTATGATTATGTGTCTTGGGGTTGTTCTTCTCGAGTATTTTTGTGGTGTTCTCTGTATTTCCTGAATTTGAATGTTGGACTGCCTTGCTAGGTTGGGGAAGAGTGTTTTCCAACTTGGTTGCATTCTCCCTAACACTTTCAGGTACACCATTCAAACATAGGTTTGGCCTTTACACATAGTCCCATATTTCTTGGAGGCTTTGTTCATTCCTTTTAATTCTTTTTTCTGTAATCTTGTCTTCACACTTTATTTCATTAAGTTGATCTTCAATCTCCGATATCCTTTCTTCCATTTGATCAATTCTGCTGTTAATACTTCTGTATGATTCACGAAGTTCTCATGCTGTGTTTTTCAGCTCCATCAGGTCATTTATGTTCTTCTCTAAACTGGTTATTCTAGTTAGCAATTCCTCTAACCTTTTATCAAGGTTCTTAGCTTCCTTGCATTGGGTTAGAACATGCTCCATTAGCTTAGAGGAGTTCGTTATTACCCACCTCCTGAATTCTACTTCTGTCAATTGGTCTAACTCATTTTCTGCCAAGTTTTGTTCCCTTGCTGGCGAGGAGTTGTGATCCTTTGGAGGAGATGAGGTGTCCTGGTTTGTGGAATTTTCATCATTTTTGCACTGTTTTTTCCTCATCTTCATGGATTTATCTACCTTTGGTCATTGCTGTTGGTGACCTTCAGATGGAGTTTTTGTGTGGTCATCCTTGTTATTGATGTTGGTGCTATTGCTTTCTGTTTGTTAGTTTTCCTTCTAAGAGGCCCCTCTTCTGCAGGTTTGATGGAGGTTGCTGGGGGTCTACTTTAGACCCTGTTTGCCTGGGTATCACCAGCAAATTCTGCAGAACAGCAAAGATTGCTGCCTGCTTCTTCCTCTGGAACCTGCATCCCAGAGGGGCACCCACCAGATGCCAGCTGGAGCTCTCCTGTATGAAGTGTCTGTCAACCCCTGCTGGGAGGTGTCTCCCAGTTAGGAGGCACGGTGGTCAGGAACCCACTTGAGGAGGCAGTCTGTCCCTTGGCAGAGCTCAAGCACTGTGCTGGGAGATCCACTGCTCTCTTCAGAGCTGGCAGGCAGGAACACTTAAGTTTGCTGAAGCTGTGCCCACAGCTGCCCCTTCCCCTAGGTGTTCTGTCCGAAGGAGATGGGAGTTTTATCTACAAGCCCCTGACTGGGGCTGCTGCCTTTCTTTCAGAGATGTCCTGGCCAGAGAGGAGGAATCTAGAGAGGCAGTCTGGCTACAGTGGCTTTGCCAAGCTGTGGTGGGTTCTGCCCAGTTTGAAATTCCCAGTGACTTTGTTTACACTGTGAGCATACAACTGCTTACTCAAGCCTCAGTAATGGCAGACACCCCTCCCACCACCAAGCTCAAACATCCCAGGTTGACTTCAGACTGATATGCTGGCAGTAAGAACTTCAAGACAGTGGATCTTAGCTTGCTGGGGCCCATGGGGGTGGGATCCACTGAGCAAGACCAGTTGGCTCCCTGGCTTCAGCCCCCTTTCCAAGGGAGTGAACAGTTCTGTCTTGCTGGCATTCCAGGTGCCACTGGGGTATGAAAAAAAACCGCTGCAGCTAGCTCAGTGTCTGCCCAAATGGCCGCCCAGTTTTGTACTTGAAACCCAGGGCCCTTGTGCTATAGGCACCCAAGGAAATCTCCTGGTCTGTGTGTTGCAAAGACCATGGAAAAGTTTAGTATCTGGGCCAGATAATACCATCCCTCACAGCATAGTCCCTCAAGGTTTCCTTTGGCTAGGGGAAGGAGTTCCCTAACTCCTTGTGCTTCCTGGGTGGGGCAATGCCCCACTCTGCTTCTGCTTGCCCTCCATGGGCTGCGCCCACTGTCTAACCAGTCCCAATGAGATGAACCAGGTACCTTAGTTGGAAATGCAGAAATCACCCACCTTCTGGATTGGTCTTGCTGGGAGCTGCAGACTGGAGCTTTTCCTACTTGGCCATCTTGCTCGGGAATCCCCCCAGTTAACCATTTTTATAGCCCATGAATTTTAGATGTTTACTTAAGTAAGAAACTTAAGGTTAAAATGTGGGTATTTTGCCAATAGCTCAGGATTTAGCTGTTTTCATTAAACCAACAATATTAAATGTTTTATTTATCAAAAATTACACAAGCAAAGATCTTTCTGTTCTGGGCTCAGTTTATTGTTTCATAACCCTCATGGCAACTTTTGACACCTTATAGTATTCTGCAGGGGTAAATATGAACCTTCTTGATCAAAAAATGGAACCAAAAATGCTAACAATTCTTAAGACACTTCTAATATTAATTTACCAATAATTTTGAAGCCAGACTATTTATTAAAGATTTTACTTAAGTCTCATGAAGCTGAAAAACATTTGAACTTATTATTTAATTTGTGAGTACTCTAACTTTAAGATAATTCAGTGCCTTGTGGGCAAAACACATAACAAAATACCTGTACATACATATAAACACATACATGCACACTCGTATTAACAAAGATCCTATAGCTCTTACTTTAGAACTCTAGCCCTGAGATATTAATACAAACTCACTGGTTTGCAAAAATGAACAAACATAAAACAGTTGGATCTCAATAGTGGTTTTTTTTTTTCTCAGTAGAAAAGTAACAGCAGATTTAAAGCAGACATAAAAGAAAACAGAGAAACGAGAAACTCTAAAGTTGCAGGTCAACATTTGGGCTCTGAATTTTTTCTTGCAGCAATTTGTCCATCAGTTTAAAATATGCACAAAATACCATTATATGTCCCTTTTATACAAACACTTGTAAGTAGAGGTGCCATAAAACCAATGGGATACCTGAAAGGTATATTTGTTCCCCATTTCTTTACGTTTCTCCTTTTCTTTTTTCTCTTTCTTTCTTTCTTTCTTTCTTTCTTTCTTTCTTTCTTTCTTTCTTTCTTTCTTTTTTGGAGGTACTGAGCTATGGCCTAGGGTTTATTATAGAGGTACAAGTGTGCTGATTGTAGGTGGGACTTCATAGTGTGTCACCACTGAGTGTTTCACCTGTCTTATGTGTCTCAGTTTCTCTCTTAGGACATCTAGAACCTCAGAGAGGGCTCAAAACATTAAGTGATCAGCTCTTAAATGTGTTTCCTGAACAAGCCTTTATAACTAATTTTGTTGGGGGTTCCCTGTGAGAAAAAGCAATGGAGAAGAACCTTTAGAATGCACCTCTGAACTAGAATTAGGATCCCAAACAACTACTTCCTAGGAGCAAAAAAAGAAAACAATAGCTCAGAATAAATGAAGGACTCTCAACCAACGGGGGGGCCAGGGCTCAGGAGAACTTACCAGTTCCACCAGAGGAGAAGCTCAAAGTCAGGGAGGGCTTTCAGTGGGTCCCTGCTGGTACCTTAGTTACAAATTTGGAGACCTGAGTCTTGCCTAAGACCCCATATGTTTGGTGCCAAATTATTGTCAAGGAAAAGAGTCAAACTGTGTGAAATACTTGAAGAGATTTATTCTGAGCCAAATGTGAGTGACCAATGGCCCATGACACAGCTCTCAGGAGATCCTGAGAACATGTGCTCACGGTGGTTGGGGTACAGCTTGGTTTTATATATTTTGGGAAGACACGAGACATCAGTCAATCCATGTAAGAGGGACATTGGTTTAGTCTGACAAGGCAGAACAACTGGAAGTGGGGGCTTCCAAGTCATAGGCAGATTAAAAAATCCTCTGATTGACAATTGATTGAAAGAGTTACTATCAATAGAAAGGAATGTCTGGGTTACAATAAGGGTTTGTGGAGACTATGGTTTTATTATGCAGGTGAAGCTTCCAGGTAGCAAGCTTCAGAGAAAATAGATTGTAACTATTTCTTATGAGACTCAAGGATTCTGTTCTATTAGTAATTCCAAAAGGGAGGGGAATATACTGAGGCATGTTCAACTCTCCTTTCCATCATGGCTTGAACTAGTATTTTAGGTTAGTTTTGGAATGCCCTTGCCAAGAGGGAGGATCCATTCCGATGGTTGGGGGACTTAGAATTTCAGTTTTGTTTTAGACTTCCCAAAGACCCCACTCTCTAATATAATCACATTGGGGGTTAAGATTTTTGCATATGAATTTTTTGAGGACAAAAACATTCAGTTCATAATATTGAGACAACGGCTCTTGAGAATAATTGGCTACTCAAGATACACCATCTGATCTCATTTATAGAATAAATTACTCTTTGGACTAGTTGATCTTTTAATCTGTGAGTATCAATCATAAAGTAATTTGTAACAGTGAAATCAAGAAAGGATTAAAACTCAAGAACTTCTCCCTCTCACACACACGCAATGTTCAGCTTAATAACTGCAATCCTGAAAACTACTATTTCTAATTTGAAAATATTGTTGGAGAGGAAAATATTGTTATCAATCAAGTAGTAACATAAATATCTTTGGGAAATTCCCTGAAATAAACTATAAGCCATCATTCTCTGTAAATCTTTCTTTTCTCAGAATGATTTTTCCCTCAATTGAAATCTAAACTTGTGTTAGTGAATACCATAAATTTAAAGAATACACAGTTCAAACTCTGAAAGCATGCTCGTCTCCAAACTATAAAAATCTTATAAATATCAAATACCCCTTATGATGATGTAGCAGAATGTGTTATGTGCTGCATTTCCCAGGACAAAGGATTCGGCCAGCTGCACTTCCTTCTTCTTTCAGCTGCCTATCACCTCCCCTTTTCCTCAGAGTCTGTAATGTCTACCTCCTTTACTGGTGTCACAGTCAAATGTAGCAAAACTCTTTCTTTATTGAAACTTTCAAATCACTGAGAAAGAGATGATTTCAAACCCAGCCATGGGAGCCTTTCCTGATTAAGAAGTTTGCTGTCAATTATCAAGTAAATTTTTCAAAAAAAGAAATATGTTGGTGCTGAATCATATATAACCTGTCCCGTGGAGAACTTAGTTCTCTGGGTGGGTATCTATTTTTTTCTAATTTGTTGAAAGTCAAAAAGATCAGTGAAGGTGGACAAGAAAGAAAATGAACAAAGAACATATGTCAGGCCCATGCAAGCAGAAGCTGAGCCTAAGAGCAAGCTCCAGGGGCCTCTACTGTTCCAGCAGAGATGGAGGTTAGGTGAATCAGCAGTCACCCCAGAGAAGGCCTGCAGAGTGACAGCCTAGGGTCTAGTGGGCCACATACAACACACTTACACTATACTCCTTTAGACCAACAGTATGGGGTGACAAAATTGGTTGGATATGAAGTTAGGAGACGTCCAACAAACTGTGAGATTTGGGGCCAATTGCCTAAATTCCATAGGCCTCAGCTTTCTCTGTTAAAAGCAGAGGTCAATAAGAGAAGTGGCTTTGAAACTTTTTAAAAAAATAGCTATTTTCTCCCCAAATGACAGATAGGTAGATGATAGATAGATAGATAGATAGTTTTACTATTTGAAACAGAGAGAAGTGAAGCTATTTAAGGGTACTGGACAGGAGTAACCCGATTCCCTGACTTTCCTCTTCTTGCCCCTTAATCCCAGTGGCTACTGAATCACTTCCATGGAGATTTTAGAGAACACTGGAGCGCAGTTTGGAAGGCCTTGCCAGGAAGCCACCTCAGGTCACATCATTTTAGATTTATTTTTCTAATGTGAAGAAAGTATTCATTAGATAGGGAAAGAAAATAAGAAATTTCTGATAAAAGCAAGCTTGGGCAAAGGTCAGAAATGGCCAATAAGTCATTTTTAAACTGTGTTACTTTCTACAAGCTACAGCCAGTGCATTTTCCCATGACCTAGAAGTCTAAGGAGTTGATGTTATGAAATATGGCTGGGTAAACTGAAAGAACCCAACTCTAGGGTGCTGGCATTAACTGTGATGTTTTGCAAGTTTTCTCACATTCCTATGTTTTCGTTTTTTTATTTGCACAGTCAGACAATATCTACCTCATATAGTTGTTTTGAAAATTTGATGAAGTGATTTATGAGAGTTTAGGGTAGAAGCTGACACACAGTAAGTACTGAGGGAATTATTGTTTTTATTGATGATGTTAATAAAGACATGCTGTGCTATCACTGCAAATATCAGCACAGCTTTTACTTCTGCATGACATTGAGGAGGCCACAAAAACTGACTGAACTCAAAGTCTGGCTACATGGTGGCCCCAAAATAAGGCATGACTGTTATTAAAGTAACAAGGAAAATCATAAGTCAAATAAGGAGTTACATTATCAATATGCAATTCTGCTAATGTTTCTTCTCAAAACTATATTTATTAATGTAATAGGTTTAGGTACCAATTTGAAATTATCATTTTCATATTTTACTGAATATTAAATGTCTTTTGAAATACAAAGGAATGGATTTTCAGAATTGCAGCTCTGAAAATTTCACATTCAGAGAAATTTCACATTCAGAGAAAGGCTAATTCAATTCTCTTGATTTTTCAGATTAATAAACCTATAAGCATTTAATATGCCACTTTAAACACTGTATTATATGAAATAGGCTCACAAGATATGGATGTACAAATTTAGGGTGCTTAAATATTAATTCACAATAAATTTTGTATCAGTTATGGATCTTGACAACCAAGTTAGCATCATCACTGTATTCTTTCTGTCTAAGCAAGTTGGAAAATTAGATAAGAAGTTGAATTCTAATTAAAGAGTTGTTTCAAATGCATGGAAGTTAGGTATAGAACTCAAACATGTGGCTACTCTACTTGGGGAAACTGAATTGTGCAAATTTACCCAGCCTTGGGTTGATAGAACCCTGAGTAGAGCCCACATCTGTTTGACTCCAACAATTATACTCAGTATTAATGACGATGACACTGTACTGGATGTTGTGAAAGATAAAAGAGAAGTATGTTGCCCTCAGAGAGCTTGTAATCCCACTGGGAAGCACCTCTCACATTTATTGTACTATTAGCAAATCATATAAGGCAATATCTAATCAATGCCCAAGGCCCAGGTGTTAATTACAGTAAGAAAAAGTACAATAAAATCCAGAAGAGTCAAGGAAATTCTTCAGAAAGGAGTTAGTCAGAATATAAAAGATGAGAATCCTAGCTAGAGGTCTATCAAAATTGTTTACCTTTGCTCATGTTTGAGTTCACAGCTGCTCGTGAGAAGTTAGAATATAGTTGGTTTGGGGATGCAAGTTTTTGTCATAGTGTAATACGTTTTCATGAGGTTCATTTATATATAGTAGACATTAGCGAAAGTGCTGTACTAGGACACCATCTTCCCAAAAGTACATATCATCAATTATCTTTAATAATAAATGAGTAGCAATTCGCTTGAATTGTCTTGTATTGTTTCTCAATCATAAAACCAGCTGAGAAACAAAAGGTATGTGTAACCTTTCATTGCAGATTAAAATTGCCCTAACACAAAGGTTCCCAATGGAGAAGATTATCACCCTGCAGAGGACATTTGGCAATGTCTGAAGACATGTTTGAGAGTCTCCTTTGGGGTAAAATGAAGTGCCACTGGCAAATAATAGGTTAAAATACAGAGATCTTGATATCCTCCAATGCACAAGACAGCTCCTCTCTATAAGAATTATCCAATATGAAGAATTATCCATCATGCTGAAGTGGGAAAACTAGGCCAAGGCTAAAGAAATATCCTGTATAAGGTTACCAGTGCTCAGCCCCCAGACACATTAAAGGCCCTCTAGTTTGAGATTCCTCTATTTCCCCCTACCACCCTAACCTACACCCTACACCCTAATTCTTAACTTGAATCAAGATTTGTATTCTACAAAAAGAAAAAAAGATTTATATTCCAGGAATTATGGGTTGAACTTCACAGAAAAAATTAAAAGTATGTGTAGCAAAATTTCCATTTTGATCCTTAGCCCATTCTAGTTTTTTTTTAATGTTTGCATAGAATGTATTTTTATCTTGCTATTCACTTTCTCCCTTTCCTTTCCTTTCCTTTCCTTTCCTTTCCTCTCCTCTCCTCTCCTCTCCTCCCCCCTTCCCTTCCCTTTCTGTCCCTTCCCTGCCCTTCCCTTTCCTACATGACACCATACCTTGTTAAGATTTCTTTTTCTTTTTCTTTTTTAAAGTAAAGACGAGGTTTCACTATGTTGCCCAGGCTGGTCTCAAACTCATGGGCTCAAGCAATCCTCTCACTTCAGCCTCTCAAAGTGCTGTGATTACAGACACAAGCCACGGCATCTGGCTATATTCACTTTCAACAGGAAAGTAAATATAAAAAATTAGATTGATCAAAGATGCACATTTTATGCAAATCAAAAAGAGAAGAGGGATAATGTTTCGTGATAAAAACAGTTTTGTAAGAGAAGGAAGCATGTTCAAGTTACAAATGCTAAAATGCATGAATCTAAAGAAAAAATACTTTAATGTTTATATTGTTGTTCAGTTTTTCAACACCTTTTCACACCTATGGTTTTCACTGTGTCCTTGCTGAGATGGACAGAGCAAAGTTATTAGTACTATCGTAAGATGGCAAAAGATGGAAACCAAGAGATCTAAGCAGCATTTCTATGGCCACAGTTCTTTCTTTTATTCCATATCAATTGATGTCTAAAAGTTATTTAGTGATAAGACTTCAGAATCCAGCAATATGCAATAAGAAAAATTCTGAAGAGAAATAAAGCACAAAGTGGTTAAGAAGTATTTTGTGTTCTTATAAATAAAAAGGGAAATGTTATTCATAAGATGAAAAAACGGTCATTTTCCTTCAGGAAGTAGTAAAAAGAGAGCTATAGAGGTATTACTGACAAGGAGTTTGAAAACAAAGGCATGCGATGATTCCAAGACTACTTTCTATAAGGGTGTGAAGCAGAATATAGAAATCACATCTCCCACTTTGTTAATTATTCATTTTGCTGAACAGAAGCTTTTTAGTCTGATGCAACCCCATTTACATATTTTTGCTTTTGGTACCTGTACATTGGGATTATAGCCAAAAAATCATTGCCCAGACCAATGTCATGAAGCTTTTAAGACTCCAAATCATAGCTGCAGTTTTACAACTTCTAGGCATATGTGTTTTATTTTATTGATCAGGATCCTTTTCCACAAAAATGAGACTTACTGGAAAGGCTATTTCAGGGTCAGTATTTGGTAACCTGTCTTAAGTTAATGTGCCAAATATAAGGCACATTAAAAAAAATCTAAGCTCCACAAATGGAAATTAAAATTGGAAACCCCAAAAAGATAAGCTTCATACCAACTCCAAATGATAATGCATCATAATCCTTTAGGAATCATACTGTAAGAAGTTTCTTATTTTTCCATGAATTACATACTCAATATGTCCTTATTTGCTTAATACTTTGAAATGACGAGGAAATCACCCTTTTCAAACAAGTAATAGACTAATTATTGTGGGCATATCTATTCTTTCCCAACATGGACGCAGACCTTCTCTCTCTTACTCCTAAAGCCAAAGTTTACTTAATATTATAATTGATTTGGAAGTGGTTTTCAGAAATTTCTCAATCACTGCGAAGAATTCACAGCAGACCATCAAAGATTCTGCTTTACTTAATCTCTTTCATGTGAAAATAAATGATTTGACTCTCCTAATAGTAAATGTTTATTCTGGGATTTTCACATAAAGTTTAGAAAAAAAAGTCCCAAATATCCTTCATAGCTTTGACTAGCATAGAAAATTCATAGAGGTTTCTGTTTTCCCCAAAAAAACCTGGAGATAACTGTAGAAAATTCTTTTTCAGGTAACGCAGTTTTACAACCTCTCATTTCAAAAGTATGTGAAACACAAATGTTTTAGATGGAATACTTATTGCCACTAAATATGTTCTAGAACATGTTTGTTTCATGGTGTTATTGAATTCTTTTTTATCTAAAGTGTTGTTCTCGCTCTCTCTCTCTTTCGAGCCTTCGAGTCAGTGCAGTTCTAATAGCAGCAGAGGAGCTTCTGATCACTACCCCACCTTGATTGTCTCTGTTGTGTAAATAATTTTGTTTTGAAATTTGAAAATTTATTTTAAACTTTTATTCTTAAGTTAAATAATTTTGAAATTATTTTTCCTAACATGACTCATCCTGAATGTATGAGTTAGGGCAAAGTCCAGGGACAATGGTCCAACTTCATGCTTGCTTATCTTTTTTTCCAGTTCTCTAATTGTTTTCCCATATTTTTGAGTTCTTGGTCTCTCTTTATACATTTGATCATATATGCTTATAGAGAGTATCAGTTCAGGTAACCACTTTTAGTTGTGGTTAACAGAAACCTGTCAGACTTAGGAGATGACAAGTGGCCAGACCATGTGTTGTTATATATTCACAAATGTTAAATCCACTGGGGGATCTAATTCAACCTCAAAAATCAGGTTCAGTACTGTGCATAATCTCCTGATTTAGGTACGTTGCTATCCAAAATAAGTAATGGATGGATCCAAAATCCATTATGGATCCAAAAATAAGTAATGACTTCAATGAATGTACAGATGAGTAGAGGATGAACCGAGATTTCAAATGGCTAGAATACAAGCAAAAGGGTTTAATTAATATCAAAGAAGAGTCACCAAAAAGAGCAATGTGTTTAGAATTTCTAATATATTCTAGGTGTATATATGTGTTATATATAGATGATTGTATTTAATGTTTATATTAAAATAAAATACTGTGTATCGATTTTACAGATTTTTTTTAAAAAATAGAAGGCCAAAAAGAGATATACATTTTTTTCAAAGTTTTGAAATTAGTCATAGGCAGGGTTAGGGTTTGAATTCAGGTCTGTCTGAACCAATAATGTACATCCTCTCTGAAGGCTATTACACCCATAGGAAGTAATGGGAGCACAGGTGGTAAAAGTGGTAGCCAGAAGGAAATCATAAATAAAATGTGACTTGGAATAGTCCATAAAGTAAGGGGCAAGTGGTCATGGAAAGGGTATCTACAAGAGCACGAGCACCAGTGCATGTTTTGGGAAGACCTGCTGTTTGATTTTACCATTTGTGTAGGTCAATACCATGAGAAGACATCAGAAAGCTCTGAATAATCAGTGTTTTAATTATCAAACTAAGAAGTTTTTTTTTTTTAATTCAGGATATACAATATGAGAATTACAGGCTCATAGCAACATGACAGAAACTCTGACAGCAGTATGAAAGAAGATATTTCAAAGGGAGGAGAAAGGGGACAAGGCAGAGAGATGAGTTTTCAGTATTCTGGCAAGAGAAGGTGAGAGTCCAAATTGTGGTGATGAGAATGGGACTGTCAATAAGAGCACAGACATAAGAAAAAGGCACCCATGTGGCGAGTCACTCAGCTGAACTTGGCAGTGGATTGAATGGGATGAGCAAGGGAGATAAAGAAGACCAATATTCCTCAAGATTTCAATCATGGTTTGATCAAGTTAATGGTGATTCAGTTACCTGATATAAGAGGGTGAAAAAAAAAAGGATCTGTCTGAGGTTGGGGCGTGGCAGGGCTGAAGATGATCTGTGAGATTTTTTTAATATGATCCCATTACTGGAATAACACTAGATGGACAAAAACATAAAGTGTTTTACAAGGATTAAATAAATGATTAGGGTAGATAACCATTGCCTGGGCCTCTTAAAAGCTAAAATCATAGTAAAAGATACCTAGAGAAACACATTCCAAGTATATAAATAATTTGTTTATGAGAACGTTCTTTTTTAGATTAAAAAAAAGAATCAGAAGGTCTTTGGGAAATCACTCTCTCACACTTTTTGGTCTCAGTGGTGTTTGAAGTTATTAGGTGTTACTCCTGCAGAATTTGCCTTGATAAGTAGATACTTCCCAGGGGATAAAATCCAAGAATATAATATTAAAAATGAAAAAGGCAAAAAGAGGAAGGGAAAGGCCAAGACACCTGAAAAATCAGTGAAAGGAGAGCTAAAGTTACTTAAAATGTAGTTTGGGAAGTAAGAGTAGCCAGTAAGGAAAACCAACAGAGGGAAGTTTGTGAAATACCTAGAGAATTTCTCCCAATGGCTCTGTGACTTAACTATTCTCTAAGCCTAGGTGCCAGCATTATAAATAGATTTTTAAAATAAAGATGATTAGCTATAATTATTTCCGGTTCTAGAAACGAGGAAATGCTGCTCACAATGAGATTTCCATGATAAAGGACAAGGGCAGGTTACGAGAACTCAAAGGAAGAAAGGCCCATTAGATGGTGCCCAGGAGAGGAGTTAACATGATACTTTGTAGAGAGAAGAAAGAAAAGATTATTTGAAATCTAAGATGCATTTTAAAATATATTTACATTGTTTGGAGTAAATAAGTTTTACACCCATGTAGAAAAAAAGTCACTAAGTTGAACACTAAATTAAATTGTACAGATCAGAAAAAATAATTTCAGCTGGAGTTTCTGGGCTCTATTTTATTTATTCGTTTTACTTAAATTGAATTTAATCAAAGCATTTATATTAAGTCTGTAAGTTCAAATCAAGGGCAGCCTAGAAATATGTGGTACAAATTGATGAGCCTTGCAATAATTTTGCCTGAAAATGATTTCTGTATTTGCCTGCTGCTGACCTGGGAATTCCATTATTATGGATGCAGTCATTTATCTTAACAGTCTCTGAAAGATTTCCTTTCAAAGTGGGAATTTCCCTGAAAGTGCCTTACATACTACTTTTTTATTCACATCACACAAAAGAAAAGTTCTTCAAGGAAAAGCTACACAAAGGGAATGAGGCTTGGGAAATGAATAAGAAATAAGATGGAAAATAAATCCAATAGACTCAGACCAGGACACACAATTTTGTTATTACTTCTTTAAATTCAGTTCCCACTTGTAATTTTTTTCTGAACTATTCTGGGATTAGCCTACATATTCTCTTTTTCTACCACAAAACTTTCTTCCCTGGGGCTCCATCTTCTTAAGAAATGGGGTACTGAAACGTAATTTTTCCCTAGTTCTTTATGTCCTAAGATCAACACATAAATCCTGTTTGTGTTTGCCCGGATTTTCTGGATTTTTTTTTTAACCACAAATAACTTCTGAGGAAAGATAGATTCACGTAATACACCCTGAGGAAGTTACAAAGCATGAGATTTACTAGTTATAGGTAGCCTTATGTTTATCTGAACATGACTGAGGCAAAGCAGCATTGATTTTTAAGATTTTTCATCAGTCTTGCCTAAACCTTCAACTGATCTTGGTAAACTCCAAGCAACCTTTTGTCAATTCTGTACCAATAGCTCACCACCTTCAACACTTTCCAGGAAGATAACCCATTGTCAAGTGTAAAATCAAAGGGAAATTCCAGACTAGTACTGGGAAAGCCTCTGCTTTCCCAAACAGAATTTCATGTTAAACCACTTATTGCCATCTTCTACTTTGTATAAAATACATGAAAAACAAAAGCTCATTTATTTGAATTAAAATCTTTGCCAATCTTCTCATCCTTTGTTTATATTTCCCCTACCTTCACCCCCACCCCATAAACTGCGTTTAAAAATAATGTAAAGCTGTTTTGATCCATCTTTCACTTCAATAAAATATTAGGGCACTTTGACTGGAGGATCTGGAATTTGGGGGTAAAATATGAATTTATTATTCTTTGGACTTACTTCTGTGACCTTATAAAACAATCAGAAAGCAACCCTGTGGTTTGAATGACAGAACAGCAAGCAGGCCCGAAAACATTGATCAAGCTGGTCGTACTTGGGCACAGTTCTGCCTTTTGTTTCCCTTATTAGCTCTGTTAAAAAGACCAGCCTGGACCGTGGGCATGTTGTTGAGAACAGAATGATCACTACTGCCAATTCTCATAGACTTTAATTTTCCTTATTTTCCTGTCTCTTGGGACTTGAAGAGAACTTTTAGATAAATAAAATTCATAAATACATCTGGAAAGTTTATTAATATTGGTAATATTGGTAATGAGAGGGTGCTAAACATAATTTCTGGGCTAAGTCAAACAAATATGGGACTGAAGTAGAAAGTCCTCAACGAGTCACAGAGTGTAACAATGTCTTACCCCAACACCCTTCTCCCTTTCAATTTTTTCTAATGAACCTTTCTTTTGGATTCCTGGGATGGGATGTTTTTGTAAATTATGAGATATTTACCACTCCTCTCCCAAAGTAACAACCTTTGCAAACATATAAATTTTCCGGTATTTAAAAAAAAATCGTCATATTAATGTTTCACAGAGCAAAGGTTAATTCAGGGAGGAGGAAAATAAAGATAAGTGATAGAAAAGGGAGAGAAATTCCACAGGCAAAGTTAGACTGTCTGAGTTTCACTTGTGTCCATCACAGCTACTCCGTCAATAAGAGATATCTCCACTTATGTTAATTAGTGGTGTGATGAACTGGCTCCAAACTGCCTGCAAGAGACCTAAAGATATATATCTCTTCCAAACTTCTAGTTCACTGATTTCACATTTGTATTGTGAAATAAGTCATGGTAGAAGCATTTATGCCATGGGAATCAGAAAATGCTTTAAATCAGACCATTTACTTTTGTAGAGCCCAATTACAAGCTCACTGCTGATTACAATTTACATTAGAGAAAAGAAAATGCAAGAGAAGTCCTATCCAACATACACACAGTGCTCTCCCTGGAAGAACATCTGATTAACATCATTTTTATTTTTCATTTCCAGAGATGTCTTAGTATTCCTTATGTTGTAGTGATTCCTTGATTGGCAGTATCACCATTACCTGAGAACTTGTGAGTCAGAATCTCTGGGTGGTGAGGCAACATTACAGCCTTTCAGGGGTTCTGATGCATGCTAAAGTTTGAGACTTGTACATTGGCATCTAGGTGATTCTTTGTTTCTTTTTTTTTCTTTTTTGAGATGGAGTCTCGCTCTGTCGCCCAGGCTGGAGTGCAGTGGCACGATCTCGGCTCACTGCAAGCTCCGCCTCCCAGGTTCATGCCATTCCCCTGCCTCAGCCTCCTGAGTAGCTGGGACTACAGGTGCCCACCACCACACCCGGCTAATTTTTTGTATTTTTAGTAGAGATGGGGTTTCACCGTGTTAGCCAGGATGGTCTCAATATCCTGACTTCATGATCCGCCCACCTCAGCCTCCCAAAGTGCTGGGATTACAGGCGTGAGCCACCACGCCCGGCCCCAGGTGTTTCTTTCAATCTAGTTGTGTGTGTGTGTATGTGTGTGTGTGTGTGTGTGTGTGTGTGTGTCTGTTATGGTTTGAATATGGTTTGTCCCCACCAAAACTCCAACTGAGGCTTGGTCCCTAATGTGGTTGTGCAGGGAGGCAGTACCTTTAACAGGTGATTAGGTTATTACGATGGATTAGTCTCTTGAGAGACGGGGTTAGGTCTCCCAGGAATGGATTAGTTATCTCAGCAATGGATTGGTTCTCCCAAAAGAGCAAGTTGTTATAAAGCAAGGTTGCCTCTCATATTTAGTTTTTTTTTGTGTACACACCCAGTTCCCCTTCCACTTCTCTGCCATATTGTGTTGAAGCACAAGGCCTTCACCGGAAGACAAGAAGATGCCAGTGCCATGCTCTTGGACTTTCCAACCTCCAGAAAGATGAGCCAAATAAACCTCTTTTCCTTAAAAATTACTCAGTCTCAGAGATTCTATTACAGCAACATTAAGCTAAGACACTGTGTTTTGAGGGGGCAGCAGATGTTAAGGTGCATTATTTAGGGTTTGATTTTAAGATGGGGATATAGTAAAGCTTATTTGTGGTTAATTCTTAAGATTAAAAGGATCCAAGCTAATAGGAAAAAAACTAGCAGCAGGGGCAAGATAGAAGATACAGGATAAGGCAAGTGAAATTCAACCAAATTCCTTGGCAATAGGATTTGGGACCCAAAATACAGATAATGAAACTAATCTTGAACAAAAACAAAGGCACATTTTCCACCTTCTACCAAACCAGTAAGTCTTATTCTTTAGACACTTGCTCCATCTCTACCACCTCCCACCTTTTTCATAATAGGATGCCTACAATATATTTTTTAAGTAAAATTGCTTTTTTTAAAAAGAAAAAAAGCAGATGTGATATGTATTGAGATCTATGAGCAACTGGCTGTCAAACCCTCAGATCTCACAATAAGTTATTTGCATGGAATTTAAATGAAAGCTTTCTCTCACTGACATTACTAGATGAATTAATATATTATGTCATTTATTTGTTATTTGAAGTGGGAAAATGTTTAAAATGGGCAAATATATACACTCAATAAGGGCTATCATGTGCTGAATATTCATTATTTCATTTCTTCATATTTGTATAAGGCAGTTCCCATTAGCTATTTTATCTGGATTGACTAAAATTCAGAGATATTTAAGTTAATTTCTGAAGATACCTGAGTTAATCAATTGCCTACAATTGTCTCATAAATATTTCTTAGTGCAATAGATTCTAAAGCTTACATATTCTGCTTACTTATTTTTATTGACATTACTGGCAGAACTAGCAATCTGAAGGAAATAAAGTACATTTTATAGTAAGTTGATACAATAGTGTCAATAACACGGTAATTTTCAATGAAAATAATTATAGAAAGCTGATTCTTCCTATGACATCAGGAAGAGTAGCTATAAATCATACTGATAAAGATGGTTCTATATTCGCATTGTGCAGGAGCAAAGTAATAGACATGAATATCTTAGAAGAATGTTTATAATCATTTAGTTTGAGAATGAGCAGTTAGCAATACAAAATCATCAGGGATTTTTCATAGGCTTTATTCTAAACCTAACCTATTAACAGGGTACAGATCAGACCTGTCAATGTCTCCTCAACTAAAACATTTCCAGAAATCTCAGGCTTAATTGCTCAGCTGTTTCTATTTTCTGCTCATTAGTTTTTCTTAAAATTATAAGACAGAGCTTTTAATCAACACAAGGCAAGCCTACTACATCAGCCACCTCAGTGTGACCTCTATCATCATAACCACATAGCATTGTCCTTACTTTTCCCATGTTGGCATGCGACTTACACTAGAGAGATGCTAGATCGACTAGACCGCATATATTCTCTTGATCCCAGCTCCACCAACCTTCCAGGAAGCATTTTTTTTTTTTTTTGTCTTTTTTGAAAAGCTGATTTTTTACCCTCCAATCAAACTTGGTTTTAAAGTAATATTATCCTAGTTTAGAGAACGCTACCTTGGCACTATGAATACTCTCTGTTCAACAGAGTAGAACCAAGTAGAACCTTTCCACTGCAAATGAATTATTTTTTATCTTGGTAGGTTTCAATTGCATGAAGGTAGAAAGCTTTTTCATCTGCCTGTGATTTACCTCTTACCTTACGAATTAAACATGAACTGCTATTCTCGAGCTCATTGAACCTTACAGAGAAATTCAAATTATTACAGGACATTCACTCAGTGTTTCCCTGTTAAAGGGCTGCAGCTTCAAGTAGTTTTCCCTTGTTTACAGCTGTCCCTTCAATGAATCACTTTTAAGAAATAAAAAGAACCACATACTCAATATCACAACAATACATTCTACCTATTTTTCTTTCCCAGTTTGAAATCACTTTAATTTTGCCATCAGTGAAAAAGGAAGTGCTGTATTTTCTTTATGTTGCAATAGAAAAATTACATATATATATGTCTGTATATGTGTATATATATGTGTATGTGTGTTGTGTATGTACATATACATATATGTTTCCCACCTTATGAAAACTGGTGATTAAACAACATTCATCAAGTTTTATATATATAAACATATATTATATATACTATATGTGTAAATATATAGTGTATATATATATACAGAATTTATATACAGAATACATATACAAAATCTATATACATATATGTATACACACACATATATATAAACTGATAACATATTACGTGTATTTCTGTAAATGTGTTTATGTGTGTGTCTAGCCATATTATCAATGGAAATTCATAAGATCCAGAGCCACAAATATCATGTGGCTTTGACTAATCAATTGTCTGTAGGTGAGAAAGAGAATAGTCTTTGTTTAGTATGACAATCTGTTGCCATAATTTCCTAAGATGGCATTGTATAGTTAGTATTTTCTAAGCACTTCAAGTGTATTTTGCAAAAAGAATGTTATTTATTCATATATGAAAACATAAAAAACAAATGGGATAACTTCTAAATATAAACATAGAGAAATGAAATCAACTTTAGTAGGTCATAAAGTTAACATGTTTCTAGTTTGTGTAAATAGTGGTTATATATCATATAGCTTGGCTTTTAAAAATTTTGTCCAATGTATTCTTTCTTAGGAAATTATAGTGGAATTCAATTGTCATTGGAGGACTGAACTTGCTTAACCAATTTTATAATGTTCAGCAGTACTTTGTTTTCAGAAAGAATAATTACAACAAGGGATTCTGTGTTTCAAAGTACATATGTATAGTGGGGTGATCTGCTAGAAATGTTATTCTAACATATTAAATATCTCGATGAGTAGAACTAAAACTTTTGGCTTTTAAATATTGTAAGCAGTTTCCTACATCCCAAAGGATAAGATTTTAATGGGCTCTATAGACAGTCCTGTTCCTTTTTCTGGAGAACTTCTTGGATTTGGGTCCTTCAGCTACACAAGCATAAAACATAACTCTTCCCTTAAAGTTTTTATGAGCTACAAAATCACTATCAAATACAAAACCTTCAGTACACAAAGCGTTCACTTGCTAATGTAAACTGTAGCAGATAGTTGAACCAACATTTTGCTTTTAAGGCATTCTAGCTTTCTAATGATGAAGGATTTTTATTTATTTATGCATTATTTGGGTAGAAGAAAGGCCATGAGAGTTTGACAGGGTCAAATAGTTTCCTGGGCTTTGTAAAATTCAGAATGCCTGTTCTTGTGGTATTACGAGTTTTCTTTTTTGAGTAGTTGTTTCAATGAGGTAAGGTGAGATGGAAGGAATAGTAGAGGATACACAGATATGATCTTCCCATTCTAGGGAGGAAAGCTGTGGAACCTGTGAAAAAAAGGAAATAGCTAGACAGGTGGTAGTATGGCACCACGTACACGAGGCTCATGCACAGTCTGAAGCACAAAGACTACGAATTTTGGAAATGCACACAATACTGAATAATGTGCTCTAAAAAAATTCAGTGGGGCACATGGTGAGATCTGAAAGGCGCAGTTTCTCTGAGGGGAGTGAGCATTCCTACTGTCAGATAAGGGAAAATCAGAATAAAAAATTTAAAGTGGCCTAAGATGGCTACAGGTTGGACATATGAGAAATACAAACTAGAGCTATGACCTAAAGCTGAACTCTAAGCTGCAAGGCTGGAATCTGTCAAATATTTCACTGGCCTGTACTGATTACAACTTTTGTCTATCAGATAAATCATAAAGGCAAGGTAGAATCAATCATCCCTCTCCAGACCCTAAGACATAGATATGCTCATTAACATTTTACCCTATATATGTTAACCACATATTTGTTTTATCTCATATACATGACTGAGCACCAGTCAGAATGGCAAGAATGTCATCTTTGCTTCACTACCTACTTCTCCCATTTTCTCTATAACAGAACATGTAAACACCGTGTCTTGCGTAGCACACTCCAGCACACATTCTTAGTTTGATCTGTGTCTGTTTCCTGGGCTATTAGTTTGAACTTGGCTCTGAATAAAACTAATTTTAAATTTCAGTTATAATGCCTGCTATTTAACCTTTCAGTTGACACTACTTTTAATTATTCTGGGGTGGGGGGGAAACCTGCAATAGAAAATAAGACACCACAAGGGGCTCATATACTTGGGTAAGAAAAAAATATTTTATTCCTTCTAGACTTAGGTTTTGAAGCTTAACCACACTTGGAATATACCTAGCATATCCCAACATACATTTAATGAGTACTTATATGTCACTATGAAAATCTCTTAAATTTTTTTCTGTATAAAAAATCCTTATTACATAAGCAAATGCTGCCTTACTATCCTGCACTCTGAAACATCCACTAGGAAACTGGCCAATCAAATTGGCCGAGAAAGTACTATGCAAAAAAATAGCTTTATATTAAGACAAATAATTTAGTAACCACTGAATAAACATGTATGCATGTATGAAAATGTAAATGTATGCATTAGGCATTATCTAGCATAATTTTTTTGATAAAGATGTTTAATATTGAAGATTATGAAGCCTTATTCTTTCTTCCAAGGCATTAAGTTTATATAATAAATACCTGTCACTAGCAGTACTCAGAATTTGAATAATAATGAGATGTGCTTACATGCTTCAGATGCAAAAGATTAAAACATGATGTAACATACCCAACATTTACTTGAAATTCCTTAAACAAAAGCTATTCTACGTATACACCCTGAATTTGTCAGGTGCAGAAAGACTTAAAGAATTCCATTGTGGACACTTCATTTGGAGTGAAGAGTTAAGTATTAGGTCAGCTTTTACTTGACCTAATACTAAATAACAGAATTTATTATATAGAACAAATTTAAGAAAATATCCACAATAACATTAATTTAGTCATTTAATGTATCAGTTTGGATATTCCAGATTATGTTATAGTAATTAATTCTCATCAGGAGGGTTCTCAGTGTAACCTAAACTGTTTTTGTAGTTTCAGATAGATTTCCATAAGCTTAAACTTTTGGGCTTTTTACACACAGCACCAATGGCCTGCATGGCCTGGTGCGATGCTCACACTATGTCTTCTTCTCTTATCCACACAAACATACTTGGTATTCTGTTTATTGGTCTCCCTTTTCTACAACAGGTTCTGAGCTGCTATACAGGGATTCTGAAACAAAACTGTTTCTGATCCCAAATACTCCGAAAGGTTTTTGTTACTGTTGTTTTTTTGTTTGGTTGTCTATTTACCAGTAAGTTAAAGGAATTAAACAATCTTCTAAGTATTTTGAAACTATCAAAAATGTGAAAGAGGACTTGTACAGATTTGTTTTTCATATTTACAATACATGAATTCTTCAAAGAAACATCTGCAAATTAAACCAAAATTAATACATTTAAATTCTACTCACAATAAGTTCATATTTTTCAAATCATTCTGTGGTTTCTTTAGACAATAGGTCTGTTATTCAATAAACCAGATGTCCACAAACTCTGACTTCCAGGTCAACCACTTGATTTTGTACGTAAAATTTTAGTAGAACACAGATATGCTCATTGATTTTAATATTGTCCATGGCTGCTGTCATACTATAGTAGCAGAGATAATAGTTGTTACAGAGACTGAATGGCCCATAAGACTGACATATTTGCTTTCTGAACCTTTAAGAAAAAGTTTACCAAGCCCTGCAGTAGACAAGATTGAAATGCTCCTAGCCAAACATGAAAATAAAATTTTGAAGTAATGCCGATGCTAGCTATTCCTTGGAACCCTTCGCATGCTGAAGATTCTGCACTCGAGTTGATAGTGATTTTCCAGTTTATGGCAAGAGCAAGTATAGCTACTCACTTCCCCTTCCATACCCTGCTCTGTAGAACTGGGGATGGAAGACTGAAGCTGCATTCCACAGACTTCTTGTTGTTTGGCTTCCTAAGTCCAGCTAATGTGAGGCATTGGCAGGAGAACAGAAGATGAGAGAAGAGCTTTCAGTTGCTGATTGACAACAATGGAAGCTGTTAGAAGTTACCATCACAGCAACGGGGCAGGACAACTGCAGACTTCTGTAGCCTAGGCTGCAGCAACAACTTCTGCAGTTTCTGCATTTCCAGCAGTGCAGCAGCAGGGGCAGCCCTGTGGGCTCCAGCCTAGGGCTGTTGGTTGTTTCTTCATCTTAGAGTATCACCCCTTCTTCCTTTTGCTCCTCCAGTCTTTATCTTTTCCTCTCATTTATTCCTAGCCTTTCCAAAACATTGTGACAAAGTTCCTATAGTAAACCCTTCCTTTTTGAAATACCTAGCTGCTTTTCTATGTCCTCAGCCCTGCCCTTGCTGATAGAGTGCCCCACAGCACTCAATGCCATCTCCTTTCTTCCTCTCTTTAAATGACTGCAGTTTATTCACCCCTCCACCCCCAAAACCCACACACTCCACTTATCTATTTTAGGCCTCTAGAATCCTTATTGCTGTTCCCACATTCTGATCATAAATTTGGATAAATTCACTGCTACTCAGGCTTCAAGCTGATATAATGAATAGAGGGAAAATAGGCACCCAAAGTCAATAAGAAGCACAGGTGATGATGCCCCTGTGATTTGTGGGATTGTAAAAATACATTGTCTTCTGTTTTCCCTTTTTGCCCAAATCCAAATTTAGAAGAGAACATTCTGGGAATGTATACGTAAGAACTGCAACATGAAGGAACAAACAATAACCATGATAAAGCAAGCAGGCAAACAAAAAACAGCCCTGTGACTATAACCACAAAGCTGGGCAGCATATAATTCTAATTTAATAGTAGCTGGAAAAGGCTTCTCTCTACTCTATAGTCATGGCCCCCATGCTCAACATGGAACTCCTATATTTTAGCTTTTAAGTCATCATAAAATATTAAGGGGCCCATATTCTTTGACTCCCTAGGTTTCCAGAATTACTTGGATTTTCTGAGGACATTTTCATTTCTTAGTGACACATGCAATGTCAATAGATTTTGGAAAAGTATTTCTCATGTTCCCTATTTACCTACAAAATTCTTCTATGCATCTTTTCTCCAAGAAAGATTTAAGGATGAAGAAATTACTATGATACATTAAGAAAGGCCAAAGGAAGTATACTCTAATATATACCACATTATGTACTTAGGCTAAAAAACGTTTCATTCCTTTGTGATATTTTCTTCCTTCTGTGTAAGCAATTTGTCATATTTTCTAAAACCATGTTTTTAAGATTTTTCTTGGCTACTCTTTAAACTTATTTACTTCTGAAGTATGAAAAACACAGTTCTCTTAGTTTGAGTGCAATGTGCACATACATTAGGGAAAGAACAGCCTATTCAATAAATAATTCTGGGAAAACTGAATATCAACAAGCAGAAAAATGAAGCCAGACCCCTCTCACCATATGCAAAAATCAACTCAAAATGAATTAAAGACTTAAAGCAAGACCCAAAACTATGGAACTGCCAAAATAAGAAACCACAGGGGAAATGTTTTGTGACATTGGTCTGAAAAAGGATTTTTTTTGGATAGGACCTCAAAAGCATAGGCAACAAAAGCAAAAATAAACAAATAAGATGACGTAAAACTACAAAGCTTCTGCTCAGCACAGGAAAAACAAAGTGAAGAGACAATCCACAATATGGAAGAAAATATTTTCAAACTATGCCTCTGACAAGGGGTTTATATCCAGAATATATAGAGAACTCAACTCAACAGCAAAACAAAAAAACAAAAAAACAAATAATTGAACTGGGCAAAAGATTTGAATAGAGATTTCTCAAAAGAAAATATACGAATGACCATCAAACATGAAAAAATGTTCAACATTACTAATCATCAGGGAAATGCAAGTCAAAAATCACAGAGATGTCACCTTACTGTAGTTAGAATGACTATTATCAAAGAGACAAAAAATAGCGAATGCTGGCAAGGATGTGGAGAAATGGGAACTCATACACATTAGTGGGAATGTAAATTAGTACTGCCATTATGGAAAACAGTACGGAGGTTCCTCAGAAAATTAAAAATAGAACTGCCATATGATCCAACAATCCCACTAATGAGATTATATATCCAAAGGAAATGAAATCACTATGTAGAGATATCTGCACCCCTATGTTTATTGCAGCATTATTCACAATAGTCAAGATATGGAACCAATGAATAACTGGATTTTAAAATGAGGCACATATACAGAATAGAATACTATTCAGTTATAATAAAAGAATGAAATCCTGTCATTTGTGACAACTTGGATGAACCTAGAGGACATTATGCTAAGTGAAGTAAGCCAAGCACAGAGGGACAAATACTGCATGATCTCACTCATATGTGGTATCTTAAAAAGTCAATCTCATGGAAGCAGAGAACAGAATAGTGGTTACCAGAGACTGGAGAGGGTATGGGAGAGGAAGGAATGGGGAGAAATTGGTCAGTGGGTATAAAGTTACAGTTAGGATGAATAAATTCTAGTGTTCTAATGCACAGTAGTGTGACTATAGTTAACAATAATGTATTGTATATTTCAAAAAACTAGAAGAGAGGATTTTGAATGCTCTCAGTAGAAAATGATGATAAATGTTTGAGGTGATAAATACGCTATTGCTCTGATTTGGTCATTACACAATGTATATATGTATTGAAATATCACACTGCACCTATAAATATATACTATTACTGTGTCAATTAAAAACAAGAAGAACTTATCCGTACTTCCCCACCCAACAGATGGAGGATAGCTTCTACCACCCCCGATGTGATTAAACAAAATGAGGGATTCTAAACCACATGGTAACAGATTCCTATTAAATAGTTAACAATTCCAGGAATGTGAATCATAACAGAATCTATTTTATTTTATTTGTCATGATTCTATTTCGTTTGTGAACATTAGAATGCAGCATTTTTTAGGCTGGGAGCAGTGCCTCACGCCTGTAATCCCAGCACTTTGGGAGGCCGAAGTGAGCGGGTCACGAGATCAGGAGTTCGAGACCAGCCTGTCCAACATGGTGAAACCCGTCTCTACTGAAGATACAAGAAGTTAGCCAGGTGTGGTGGTGTACACCTGTAATCCCAGCTACTCGGGAGGCTGAGGCAAGCGAATCACTTCAACCCAGGAGGCAGAGGTTGCAGTGAGCTGAGATCACAACATTGCACTCCAGCCTGGGCGACAGAGTGAAACTCTGTCTCAAATAATAATAATAATGATAATGCAGCATTTTTAATAAAAACAAAAACCACCATGCATTCTTTCACACCACTCCTCTTCCTGTTGGATTCTGTTACATTTTGCACATTTACATAATGTTGAAGCTTTGCTCTCTACAGTCAGGTTGACACCAATGTGTTGAAACTCTTGCTGTGAGCCTTACTATCTGCATGGTGTTAGGCAAGTTATTTGACATCTTAATGTTAGTTTTCTTGTCAGCAAAATGAAGAGAAGAATGCTAATAATTCTCTTAGGGCCTTGAATGCTCTAAGTTGTCTGTAATTGGTACGTATATATGTAAATGTTTATTTGAAAAATCAATACTTTGAAAGCAAAGAAAAATGGAGAAATCCCATACAAAAAGCATTGGGCTGAACAGGGAGCATGAGTTTAACCTAACCACTGGGACACTGAGCCAAGACTTTGCTGCTGCTTAAGCCCGTAAGACAAAGGTTGGAGAAAAACTTCACAAAGGGCTCCTCCAGGTGTAAAATTATTTCACTATGGTTAATTTCAAATGACAGAAATATGGTTTTACATGTTTTGTCCATTAAATATAACCAAGCTTAACTCTTTTCTGACACAGATGTCATTTTGTCTCTTCCTTGATTTTCCAGGTTGAAGAAGTCCCAGAGAATCAATTCCTGACCAAATTCCCCAATGATTAATGTGGGATTTTCTCATCTCAACATTTTATCCTCTTTTTTCATTTAATAACCAAAACAGAACATTAAATATTTACATCATGTGATATCTATGGTCAAATTACCCATTTCATTAATGGATTTACGATATGTTCATGCATTTAGTTTCCAGGAAAACGTCCATTTCAATCTTCAGAGTGCAATATTTTTAATGTTTGTTAGTGAGACATGGCTTATTACACAGTTCAGTATGCAGCTCTGGCCTGAACTAATGCCAACATTACTGATCCAATGCAGAGCTATGCCTAGATGGGGAAAAAAATGTTTCAGAGAAACCCAAAACCATCTTAACTTACTATTCCTGGGAATCCTGACACCTTACTCATTTAAAACTCTACCAATAAGTAAATTCTACTATTGGAAATATTCTAACACTAAAATAACACTGGATCTCACTAGATGAGCTCAATTTGGTTTAGTTTCTACCTACTCATAGGGTATGAAAGATCCCATATATCTTATTTAAAATTTAAGACAAAATGAGAATGTAAATTTATATAGCCATTATGAAGAAAAATGTAGAGAGTTCTTAAAAATGAAAAATTACCATATAACCCACCAATCCCACTACTGGGTATTTATTCAAAAGAAAGGAAGTTATATATCAATGGGATACCTGCACCACCATGCTTGTTACAGCATTATTCTTAATAGCAAAGATTTGGAATCAACCTAGGTGTCCATCAAAAGATGAGTAGATAAGAAAAATGTAGTAAAAATAAGCAATGGAATACTATTCGGCCTTAAAAAAGAATGAAATCCTGTCTTTTGCACCAACATAGATGGAACTGAAGGTCATTATGTTAAGTGAAATAAGACAGGCACAGAAAGTCAAATATACATGTTCTCTCTCATATGTGGGAGCTAAAAAGTTAATCTCATGGAGGTAGAAAGTAGAATGATAGTTATCAGAGTCTGTGAAGAGTGTGTGAAAGGAGAGGATGAAAAGAGGTTGGTTAATGGATACAAACATAGTTAGATAAAAGGAATAAGTTCTAATGTTCAGTAGAAAAGTAGGATAACTATAGTAAACAACAATGTATTGTATATTTTAAGTTAACCAGAGGAGAGGACTTGAAATATTCCCAACACATAGAAATGATAAATGCTCGAGGTGATAAATATCCTAAATATCCTGAATTGATCATTACACATTCTATGCATGTAACAAAATACCACATGTACCCTATAAGTATGTACAACTATTATGTATCGATATATTTTTTAAAAAGATTTAAGGAATGAGGTTGGGGCTTGAGACACTGCTAACCTTCTGCCAGGACATGTGGATTCTACTGATAGATCCATTTGGTTTTTCTGAAACCAGCTCCTAACCAAGTCTTCAGGTCTCTTTTCCCATGTGACACCTGAACAAGTGAATGCAACTGCAGACATGATATTCAAATTTTGCTTGTCGTGTCTCAGTAGCCATGATGGATTGACCCAAACAAGATTCAACAGGAATTCCTGCCTGGCGTAGTTCTCACTGGTTTAATTTGATTCGGTATTTAACAAAGGCTGCAGAGATTAAACCAATTTATGTTATTCTTCAATCCAAAAGCCCTTGGTGAGGTTTGCTGTTCCCTAGGTCTGAAAATTGCCAGTGTAGCTTACATGCACACTCATCACCACCAATTGCTCCTCACTTTGGACATCTCAGAGCTATGTAGAGTTGTCGAGTTTATACTAGAATGGATTTTAATTTGCCCTTTGGAAGCCCCTATTATAGGCCCTTTACATGTGAATGGGATAGCTGGCTTTGGCCCGCTACTGTTCTAACTGTGGCAGTGTCAGCTGATGCCTCAAAATGTAATTGACTAGGACCACTCTACTTGCTCAGCCCTCCAGCTTGGACATGCACTTGCCCTGAAGCCTGGCAAGTCCATCTTTATTTTCTTCAAATTACATTATCAGATTTAAGAACCCTTGTGTCTGTGCTACTGTCTATTCTCACATTTAACCCAACAGATTCTGATTTCATTCTGTTTAATGGCCCAGCTTTGGCACTATTCATGCAAACACTAGTTATAGTGTTTATTTGTCATGAGTTACAAACAGATGAGCATAAAACTCAGAAATAATAAGTGAACTTCCTTGTTTTTCTTTGCTATTTTATAAATCTATTCTGCCTAAGAGCAAAGAAGGTTTTCCAAATTTTATTTTTTTTAATTTTTAATTTTTTGGGGTACACAGTAGGTATATATATTTACGGGTTACACAAAATACATTGATGCAGGCATACAATGCATAATAACCAAATCATGGTAAACGGGGTATCCATCACCTCAAGCATTTATCCTTTGTTCTACGAACAATCCAATTATACTCTTTTTTTTTTTTTTTTGAGACGGAGTCTCGCTCTGTCGCCCAGGCTGGAGTGCAGTGGCGGGATCTCGGCTCACTGCAAGCTCCGCCTCCCGGGTTCACGCCATTCTCCTGCCTCAGCCTCCCAAGTAGCTGGGACTACAGGCGCCCGCCACTACGCCCGGCTAATTTTTTGTATTTTTAGTAGAGACGGGGTTTCACCGTTTTAGCCGGGATGGTCTCGATCTCCTGACCTCGTGATCCGCCCGCCTCGGCCTCCCAAAGTGCTGGGATTACAGGCGTGAGCCACCGCGCCCAGCCCAATTATACTCTTTTAGTTACTTTAAAATGTATAATAAATTTATTATTGACAATAGTGACCCTGTTGTGCTATCAAATAGTAGACCTTATTGATTCTTTTTTCAAAGAAGCTCTCTTTATAATCTTAGAGTTAAATTCTGTAACTTCTGAGATTTCTCATTACTCATTTCAGGTTTAAATTAAGATTTTCAGCTCAAAAATTAGGATTTCCTTTCTAAACTCTCTTATATCTAGATTACACTCTAAAACTCAGGAGCTATAGCAAGACTGTAGCATCGATAGTAGAATTGTCCACTTCATAGTCTTTACATATTGTGTGCTAGTGCTGCTGATATGTAAAATAATTATGTTATAGACTTTGTTTGACAGCATGCCTAGGCCGGTGCTATACAACAGTAATATAACATAAACGATAGCTATTATTTTAAATGTTCTACAAAGCATATTCCTAGATTCATGTATAGCTTTTTAACTCCCCAAAAACCTAACTACTAATACCCTACTGTTGACAGGTAGCCTTATGGATAACATAAGCAGTCAAGTAAAACATATTTTGTATGTTATATGTATTTTATACTTTCTTCTTACAATAAAGCTAGAGAAAATATTAAGAAAATTAACCTCTATTAGTTTGATATTAGAATTCTCCATTTTCCTTATTTTTTCTCTCCTTATTCATATCTTTGTGTTTTACTTTCAGTGAGACTTCATCAACTTCATGTTCCAATTCTTCTTTTAAATTTTTAATTTTTGCTATATTGTGAATGTATAAGAGCTTTTTCTTATTCTCTTCTAATTCTTCTTCTATTCCTATAGCATCCTTGACTCTCTGGGGATATTAATTATTGCTTTAAGGTAAATTTTCTTCTGTTCTTTGTTTGCTTGTTTTTTTTTTTTTTTTCGAGCTTTTCTTTTCTCTCTGCTTCTTCTGTGATAGAACTTTCTAAAAAATCCAGACTCCGCTTTGCATTCATTTCTAAGACTGATACACTGAAACCCTCTGTGTTTGAGTGAGGCTTGATACTGCTGAAATCCAACCCATAGATGTTTTCCTTGGGAAAATACATGTGTGTGTGCATGCACTTGTATTCCCTTTCCTCTTTCTCCCTGGCCATTGTGATCCCCAGAGGAGGAGGCACCAGTCTTTTCCATTGAGATTTAAGTGTAGTAGATGGCCTTTGCTAGGGTAGGGAAAGGGAGCTGAGTGCCTTATCATTCAGGATGCAGCCTTTCACGTAACCCCTCTCTTTTGAGTTGGTTACTTCATCCAAGCTCTCTGCCATACCTTGTGTCTCTGAATTCAGAAGCCGTCTGGTTCAGCTGCTTCATAGAATAAATCTCTCCTCTCCTGCCAAAGTAAGAGAGGGACAATTACCTGGATGTCCAGGGTGGAGGCCTGGAGGTCGAACTGACTTTTTTGCAGACTTTCACCCAATTCCTCTGTTTTCAACTATACCACACTTCCACCTTTGCTATAGACTGAATGTGTGTGTCTGTTCCCTCAAAATTTATTTGTTGAAATTCTAACCCCTAGTGTCGATGGTATTAACAGGTGAGGACTTTGAGAGGTAACTAAGTCATGAGTGTTGAACCCTAATGATTGGGATTAGTGCCCTTATAACGGGGACCTTAGAGAGTTTTCTCATTCCCTTCACACCATGTGAGGATACAGGAGAAGTTGGCAGTCTGCAACCTGGAAGAATGCCCTCACCAAAACCCAACCATGCTGGCACCCTGATCTCAGACTTCCAGGCTTTGGAACTGTGGGAAATAAATTTATGTTGTTTATAAGACAAGCAGTCCATGGAACTTCGTTAGAGCAGCCCAAACTGACTGAGACAACCTTCCACAGCACCTGGTGTCCCTAGTTTTTTGGTCTGTCTGTGGCACTTCAGAATGCATAAAATTGCTTCTCACTGGTATACTATCCACAAACACTTAACTTTCATCTTTTTAAGCTTTCTGTGATCTGCTAAATCAATTCCCAACATCTCGTATAGTTTTGTCTGTATATATTGTGGTTTGTGGTTGCATATGTTTTCCTAGTTTCACCAGAGTTGGAGTGTATATTCTGTTCTAGTTCTCCTTATTGCTTTGGGGTGATTTTTTTTTTTTGAGATGGAGTCTTGCTCTGCTGCCCAGGCTGGAGTGCAGTGGCACAATCTCTGTTCACTGCAAGCTCCGCCTCCCTAGTTCACACCATTCTCCTGCCTCAGCCTCCTGAGTAGTTGGGACTACAGGTGCCCACCACCATGCCCACCTACTTTTTTGTATTTTTAGTAGCGACGGGTTTTCACCGTGTTAGCCAGGATGGTCTCGATCTCCTGACCTCGTGATCTACCTGCCTCGGCCTCCCAAAGTGTTGGGATTACAGGCATGAGCCACCGCACCTGGCCTGCTTTGGGGTGATTTTTAAAGAGATGTAGGAGAAACGTCAACTCAAACCAGAAGTTCCTGATCCCTTCTTTGCCCCTTCCACTTCTACTGCTTAATTCATATCCTTATTGACTCTCACCTATACCTTTAAAGTATCATCTAGCTGCTCATCTTATCTCCAGTTATTTCTCCTACAATCCATCCTTCACATATAACCAGATCTGATTGCACTCCTCCCCCAATTCAAGAACTTTCAATGACCATCTACAATAAAAAGAACTATGTTCTTTCCCAAAAAAAGAAGAAAATTATATTTACTATTTATTAAGTAGAAGTGGATCATCATAAGATCTTCATCCTCATTGTCTTCACATGAGTAGGCTGAGAAGGAGGAGGAAAGGAGGGATCGGTCTTGCTAACAGGAGTGGCAGAGGCAAAAGAGGTGGAGGATGTAAAAGGGGAGGCAGGAGACACAGCTTCACTCAGTGTAAATTTACGGAATTACATTGTAATTTCTGTCTGGCTTTTTGTCTTGTTATTTCTTTAAAAATGTCTCTATATGGTACCAATCCTTCTTCCATTGTTTGCTTTAGTTTCAGTGCCCATTTTATAGGAGAGTCCATGTCATAAAAGATCCAGGCCCTCTGTTGCCATCACATAGGAGCCTGTGGCATAGCGTTCATTCATACAACAGGAGTAACTCTGCCCAGGAAAGTGATTCACTGGCTTTAACACTTCCACAGCCTTCTGGTATGTTTACATTTTCTTCCTAACTCAGTAATAAAAGCCTTGGCCTGGTGAGGTGGCTCACGCCTGTAATCCTAGCACTTTGAGAGGCCAAGGCGAGCAGATCGCCTGAGCTCAGGAGTTCGATATCACCCTGGGCAACGTGGTGAAACCCCGTCTCTGCTAAAATACAAACAATTAGCCGGGCGTGGTGGCGTGCATCTGTAATCCCAGCTACTCAGGAGGCTGAGGCACAGGAATCGCTTGAGCCCTGGAGGCGGAGGTTGCAGTGACCAAGATTGCGCCACTGCACTTCAGCTTGGGAGTGAGACTCTGTCTCAAAAATTATAAATAAGTAAAATAAAATTAAAAACCAAAAAAGTCTTAGAGTCTTAGGGACAGTTGCTGTCAGATATTAAGACTGAATGAGGCTTAATGGTAAGCATGTGGCAATTCACTAGAGGTGGGGAGAGGAACACTGAAGAGGATGGGTATCTTGTAGAACACAGGAGGTTGTTGCTGGTCAAGCACTATGGTAGCAGATGCTGAGATGTTTGAGGTACCATATGTTTATTGGGGCTCAGCATCAGTAAGAAGAAAGAGAAGGAAGAGGATTGAGCAGAGGGAGAAGCTAACTGCATGATACAGACCTGACAAATCTTCAGCCTACCAAGCGGAAAGCCTCGGAGAAAATATTGCTTATCAGAGTTGTCCTGTTTTGAGACAAAATGGTCAGATCATTTTATCACTACCTCCCTGCATGAAGACTGATCCAAGAATGGCATGACCTCACATGAAGCAGCTCTGTTCATTTGAGGCAGACCTTGCAGGAAGTGACAGCTGGAGATGGCTGCCAAAGCAAGTCCTTCTTTGAAAGGGATCTGGATGGGGCATCTCCTTGTTTACCACAGAGTTCTAGCCACAATTCAAGCAATATTTGACACCAAGGTTTCCAATCAGGTAAACAAGGCACCAAGATAGAAGATTCAAGTCTTGAGGGGCAGAATATTGTGGAAAGACTGTCCCTGGTGTTCAGGATTTAGCTACAAGAACGATATTTTTGAGGAAGAAAATAGAAACAAGGCAGAGTGGTGAAATGCATGGCTGTGGTGCTGGGCTTTAGGATGTGACTCTCGTTATAGGCAAAAACTGGAGAACAAGAGAAACCAGAATTTGAGAGCAGTAGCCAATGCAAAGCTCTGTCAAGTAAAATAAACCACCAGCACAGGCAGGAGAGGAAGGCAGTGAGTAGAAAGGAAAACCAAGTACTGGAAATCATTGCATAGAAGGAGCTCAGAGACAGAAGGCCATGGATCCACATTTGTTACTGTAAACAATGATGCTAAGGTAAGACAAGCATTCTTCTTAATTCATCAAGAAGTGTCCAATTGAGTATTACTTTCCATTACTTCAGCATTAATAGAATATGGAGTTTTCATTAAAATAAGTTGCACAACTATTTGACCAAGACTTTTGTTAACAATCTCTCAATAGGTAGACATGCTTCATAAATATTTTTCATTTGTGAGAGTGTTTTTTTTTTTTATTTTTTAAATTTTTTTAGATGCAGTCTTGCTCTGTTGCCCAGGCTGGAGTTCAATGGCAGCATCTCGGCTCACTGCAACTTCTGCCTCCTGGGTTCAAACCATTCTCCTGCCTCAGCCTCCCGAGTACTGGGATTACAGGTATGTGTGACCACACCCGGCTAATTTTTGTATTTTTAGTAGAGACGGGGTTTCTCCATGTTGGCCAGGCTGGTCTCAAACTCCTGACCTCAGGAGATCCGCCCACCTCGGCCTCCCAAAGTGCTGGGATTACAGGTGTGAGCCACCGCGTCCAGCCGAGAGAGTTGTAATGGCACAGGAAGACAGCAAAGTTAACACTTTCGGGAAAAGGTACAGGTCTTTTTGCTTTAACTGAAAATAATTCTAACTTAATTTCCGAGATAGCAAAATTAGTTCTGCTTTCTGTTACAACAAGGCTTACTTAGTTTACATGGCCAGGCCAGTCATAAGGAAGCAAAAGCAACATTCTGATAATTTAATTAAAATGCCTATTTTTACCTTCATGCTGCTTAAAAAATATTACTTTCAATTTTGGGGAAAAAATGAAAATTGAACTGATACCAAACATTGAGAGCATCAGGCTAAAAGCAATTTTAAAAATAAATGTGTTCATACATTTTTTAAAAAAACAAAAATTGATGCTAGTGGTAGCATGCATTTTGTAACATTGTAAGAGAGAAGATAAAAGTTTTACTTGCCTAAAGCACTGAAGAGATCATAGCTCTCACAGGATAAATGAATAGCTGCTACTTTTTCATTTGATTTTCCACTTTGTCCACCACACTCCTTTTGCATTCATCTTTTAGGAAAAAGATGTTATAGTAGGTTGTTTAAAAATTTGAATCAAATACCTTTTTTGTTGTTAAATGAATTATGCTCAGGAGTGTTATTATAAAAAGCTACTAAAGCAAAAGTCAGGAATAAATATCACTAGATGATTAGAAATAAGGACATTAACATATTAGGGATTCAACGGTTTAAGAAATCCTAATTTTATGGAGATGATAAGCCCTCTATGACAACAACTATTTAAGTAATTACCCTTATTGTTTGATGGATTGATTATGTGTTAAATTATTTAACACCAGTTTGTAAGATTTCTTTTGAGATGATGAAACCAGATGCAAACTTCATTTGCTTTTCCTCGTCTGTTTATACAAATATATGTATTTGTTTTTTATGTGGTGTATAAAAGTACAATCAGAGCTAATCTGTGCTATACACTGAATGTTTGTGACCCCTGAAAATGAATATGTTGAAACCTAATCTCCAACATGATGGTATTTGGGGTTAGTGCCTCTGGGAGGTGACAGGTCATGAGAGTAGAACTCACATAAATTGGATTAATGCTCTTATAAAAGACACCCCAGAGAATTCACAAATCCCTTCTGCCGTATAACAACACAGTGACAAGATAGCCATCTATGAAACAGAAAGTGTGCCCTCAGAAGCCATTTGGTCTTGATTTCAGACTTTTCTGTCTCCAGAACTATGAGAACTACATTTCTGTTGCTTATAAGCCACCCTCTGTTTGGTATTTTGTTATAGCAGTGTGAATGGACTAATACAATATTGAATTCTTTCAGCTGGAAATCTGTAATTGGTGTTTTTTCCATATTTACAGTACAATGACAAATAACATCCTTGGCGATATCAGAAGGTCTGGTAGAAGGTTAAAGCATTTTCTGAACAATTAAAATGGATTATCTCATGTTTAGTAGATTGGTAGTGTTCTGAGTGTGTTTCTGTGTAAAAATTTTAATTCCTTAAAAAGTCAATAATATTTAAATTCTAAGCATATTAAAAAATTTGATTAAAATATCTCATCCTCTAACTCTCATATATGTTTAATATGTCTTAGAAAGTAGAATTCGTAAGTTTTAAATTCTCTTAATATTGAAACTACACATAACAGAAGAAATTTTTAAAAATGTATCTACCTATCTAAAGTTAGACTTCCCAGAGTCTTACTGGACCAATAAAAAATACTTGCACAATCCAAACTTAGACCCACACATTCAGATTTGATTTTTAAAGACAGATACCTTGAGTCAAGAAAAAGAAAATCACCTGCCATAGCTATAAACACAGTTCTTTAGGAAAATTTTTATTATTTTTTCCTTTATGGGTTAGAGTGAAAGAAAAATAGATCTGAGCTGGGGAGTTTTGGGTAAAAATAATATATACAACTTCAGACAGAAGGGAATGAATCAATATTTATTGAATGCAAAGTGGTCCATTTTGCTGATTATTTTTGCTACCTTGAGCGTAATCGACAGAAAATGGAATTCAGTTTGAAATTCAAAATTGTTTTGCTGTGGTCATCCTACTATTTTGCAACATAATCACTAACACTTATAATAAATTCTAATTTAATTCTAGTCCTTTCTATAGGTTATCATAAAATAATCAATGTGGAGAAATCAATTTCTCCAAGTTAGTCCTACTCTCAGAAACTGGCCACAGCATGAGACTTACAGGAAACTTAGAAGTAACAGTTCTCAAAGAATATTATCTTTATAGGATGGGATCTCCTACAAGATGGCCAACTAGACACAGCCAGGAAACACCTCTCCCCTGATAGACACAAAAATATCAAGTAAACTATTCCACTTTTAACCAATCTCAAAGAGAGGTGACACAGGCACTGGGGTTGAAGAGGGAGGAAGGTGGGAAGCCTGCGCGAAGTTGCTGAGTGCCGAGACTGGCTCCCAATCCTGAACATGTCCTAAGGGGCCGGTGAGTGAAGGAACTCTGGGGCACCACATATCCCACTGCAGACCTCTGGGATCCTTGCTGCAAGAGATTCCGTGATCCCCATAGACATTTGAACTGGCAGGGAGAACTACCCAGAGACTTGAACCTACACAGAGCCCCAAAGGTTTTTCCTGTGGGGCAGCTGCCCCAAACACATCCACAGGCACCCATACCCCAGGGCTCTCCACCTTGCTCTGAATAACTCTAGCCCCTGCTGACTGCCAGTCTGGGAGATAGCAGGGCTGCCTTTCCTGTGGAACTGGGGCACACCTGATCCATGCACCTCCTTGTCTGCCAGCCCCTCCCAAGGCTGCCTACCTGGCCACTCCTGCACAGCCTCCACTGCCCCACCAGTGTTTTACCAGTGGCCTAAGAGCAGTTGGCTGCCTTCCCCGCAGTAGGAGGCCAGAGGACAAAGCCGCAGGTCTCAATGCCCCTAAGGTTCAAGCACACCATCCAGGGGCATTGAGCTGAGATCTGTGGCCTGAGTTCAAGCAGGAAAGGAGCCTCCACTCTCAGAACAGAGAAGAGTAAGGTGCTGGTTCCAGTGCCAGTGCAGGAGCTAGGTGTCCCTCCCTCTGCAAGACCAGTCCAG
Source organism: Homo sapiens (assembly GCF_000001405.40). Taxonomy (NCBI): domain Eukaryota; kingdom Metazoa; phylum Chordata; class Mammalia; order Primates; family Hominidae; genus Homo; species Homo sapiens. The sequence continues at coordinate 40,165,565 of NC_000005.10, forward strand.
GAAGCCTGTAGCCTGTTGACATACCACAGCTTTTGCCTCAGGGAGTCCCAAAGCCTGGAACTCCTGGAATAGTAGGGCAATCTAGGTTCAGAAGGCTTGGGACAAATCTAGCTCCTCAGGGCTACTCCTGGGGCAGAAATCAAAGGGAAACCCAGTCAGGGGAGCGTGACCTGGGCAGCCGCTACAGCCATTCGCTGGGCAAAAAAAAACCTGGGTCACGGTCATTATACCAGATGCGCATCCATGACACCAATGCCTGCCTAAGGGTCCTCTGCCCTTGACGCACTGCATCACCAGACCACCCACAGACATTCCCCACAACCTCCTCTGACTCTGACAAGCTCAGTGAACCAGTGGATCTCTGGGGAAGTGTGGGTCTCCTGGTGACCTAATCTTCAGCTCAGGCCACTCCTAAGGGAGGGGGAAATGCAGCCTACCACAGCACCCCTTGGGGTTGAGAAAAAACAAATGTAACACCAGTGATTGGAGGGACCACCCCCCCACCCCTAAGGCCAGGGAACAGATTTAGTAAGGAGGTCATCGCTCTCTCCCCCTTCCCCAGAGAACTGCTGTGAATGCACTGACATGCAAAAGAGGCACATAGGTGGGTAAAAGCCTCTTAAGCATCATCTACTGGATCGCAGCGTGAATTACACGAGCAAACAAAAATAAATTCCTTTAGCACACACAATGCCTGTGAAACCCAATGCAGGAAACTAGCCACTGCTAAGGAACCCATACAGAATCTTGGCCCTCTGAAAGCCCCCAGAAATGAAGCTAATAAACTATACACAATACACACCACTGTCAAACCCTCAGGGGGGAAAAGAATATATAAACAAAAGGCCATCCAAATGACAGCAACTTCAATTTTTTTTTAAATGAGCTCCCACAAATGAGAAGGAATCACTGCAAGAAGTCCAGCAACCCAAGAAGCAAGATTGTTTCCTTACCTCCAAAGGATGGCACTAGCTCCCCAGCAATGAATCCTAACCACATCGAAATGTCTGAAATGACAGACATAAAATTCAGAACCTGAATTGCAAGGAAGATCAAGATTCTAGAGAAAGTTGAAATCCAAACTAAGGAAGCCAGTAAAACAATCCAAGAGTTGAAATATGGCATAGCCATTTTAAGAAAGAACCAAACTGAATTTTTGGAACTGAAAAATTTACTACAAGAACCTGAACATACAATCGGAAGCCTTAAAAACAGACTAAACCAAGCTGAGGAAAAAATCCAGAGCTCAAAGACCAGTCCTTCAAATCAACCTGGTCAGATACAAATAGAAAAGATGTTTAAAATAAAAAAAATTTAATAATGAACACAGCCTTCAAGATATATGGGATTATGTAAAGAGACTAAACCTATGACTCATTGGCATTCCTGAGAGAGAGTAAGCAACTTGGAAAACATATTTGAGGATACAGTCCATGAAAATTTCCCCAAGCTCATTAGAGAAATCAACATGAAAATTCAAGAAATTCAGAGAATCCCTGCATAATACTATGCAAGATGACCATCACTAAGACACATGTCATGAGACTTTCCAACGTCAATGTGAAAGAAAAAATCTTAGAGCCAGCTAGAAAAAAGGGCCAGATCACATACAAAGGGAACCCCATCAGGCTAACAGCAGAATTCTCAGCAGAAATTACAAGCCAGGAGAGACTAGGGCCTATTTTCAGAATCCTTAAATAGAAGAAATTCAAAGCAAGAATTTCATATCCCACCAAACTAAGCTTCATAAGCAAAGGACAAATACATTCTTTTCCAGATAAGCAATCATTAAGGGAATTTGCAATCACTAGATCAGGTTTATAAGAGTTCCTTAAGGAAGTTATAAACATGGAAACAAAAGAATGATACCTGCTACCACAAAATACACATAGCCTACAGATCTTAGAAAGCGATTACACAATCAAGACTACAAAGCACCCAGCTAACAACATCATGACAGGATCAAAACTCACATATCAATATTAACCTCGAACGTAAACAGTCTAAATGCACTACTTGAAAAGCACAGAGTGGCACATTGGATAAAAAACTTGTAGCCTCTATCTCCCCAGTCTCACCTGGTGGTCTTCCCATCTCAGCCTCCCAAGTACCTGAGGACTACTCAAACCTTCTTCCTCTGGTTTTTTTCTAACCCCACTTTCAGTTTATTTCCACAGTATTTAGACTGACTTGCTGTTGGATGTGTCTCTCTCTTCAGGGGACACATCTCACATATAACAACACCCATAGGCTGAAGGTAAAGGGATGAATAAAGATCTATCACGAAAACCGAAGACAAAAAGAGAGAAGGGGTCACTATTCTTATATCACATAAAACAGACTTTAACAACAATAAAAAAGGACAAATAAGGGCATTACCTAATGATAAAAGTTTCAGTTTAACAAGAAGACCTCACTTCATAAATAGGCACCAAACATTAAAGCACCCCGATTTATATATATATATATATATAATATATATATTTATAATATATATTATATATATTTATAATATATATAATATATATATTTATAATATATATAATATATATATTTATAATATATATTATATATATATTTATAATATATATTATATATATATTTATAAAATACTTCTAGGCCTACAATAAAACTTAGACAATCACACAATAATGGGGGGCAGGACTTCAACACTCCCACTGATAGTGTTAGGCAGATCATTGAGGCAGAAAGCTAACAAAGAAATTCTGGACTAAAATTTAACACTGACCAATTAGAAATAATAGACATCTACAGAATATCCCACCCAAAAAACTACAGAATATACATGCTTGTCATCTGCACATGGAACATACTCTAAAGCTGACCACATGTCCAGCCATTAAACATGTCCAGCCATTAAACATGTCCCAGTAAATTCAAAAAAATTGAAATCATACTACGCATACTCTTGGACCACAGTGAAATAAAAATAGAGACCAATATTAAGAAGATCTATCAAAGCCACACAATTACATGAAAATTAAACTACTTGCTTCTGAATGACTTTTGAGTAAACAATGAAATTTATGCAGAAATCAAAAACTCTTTGATATTAATGAAAAGAGAGATACAGCATATCAAAATCTCTGGTATACAGCAAAAGTAGTATTAAGAGGAAAGTTTAGTGCTGAACACCTACATCAAGGAGTTAGAAAGATCTCAAATTAAAATTCTAACATCACACATAGAGGAATAAGAAAAACAAAAATAAACTAACCCCAAAGCTAGCAGAATAAAAGAAATAGCTAAAATCAGAGCAGAACTGAATGAAATTGAGACCTGAAAAATCTATACAAAGGATCAGCAAAACCAAAAGTTCCTTCTCTGAAAGGATAAACATGATCAATGGATTGCTAGCTAAATTAATAAAGAAACAAGAGAGAAGATCCAAATAAGCACAATCAGAAATGACAAAGGTGACATGACAGGTAATCCCTGAGAAATAAAAAAGATCTTGAGACTATTATAAACACCTGCATGCACACAAACTAGGAAATCTAGAGGAAATGGGTAAATTTCTGGAAACATGAAATCTCCCAAGATTGAATCAGGAAGAAATTAAAACCCTGAACAGAACAATATGAGTTCTGAAATGGAATCAATAATAATAATAATAAAATCCTACCAAACAAAAGAAAGCCCTGAACCAGATGGATCCACAGCTGAATTCTACCAGATGTACAAAGAAGAGTCCCTGAATCTATTCCAAAAAATTGAGGAGAAGGAATTCCTCCCTAACTCATCCTATGAAACTACCATCATCCTGAACCAAATTCTGTCAAAGACATAATGAAAAAAGAAAACTACCGGCTAATATCCTTGATGAATATAGACACAAAAATTCTCAACAAAATACTAGTAAACTGAATACAGCAGCACGTGAAAAACTTAATTCACCACAGTCAAGTAGGCTTTATTCCTGGGATGCAAGCTTGGTTCAATATGCACAAATCAACAAACGTGATTTACCACATAAAGAGAATTGAAAACAAAAAACACATAATCATCTAAATAGATACAGAAAAAGTGCTTGATAAAATCCAACATTCTTTCATGATAAAAGCTCTCAACAAACTAGGCATTGAAGAAACGTAACTCGAAACAGTAAGAGACATCTATTACAAACCCACAGCTAACATCATACTCAATGGGCAGAAGCTGAAAGCATTCCCCTTAAGAACCAGAACAAGACAAGTATACAGACTCTCGCCCCTCCTATTTAATATAGTGCTGAAAGTCCTGGAAAGAGCAATCAGGCAAGAGAAAGAAAGAAAATACCTCCAAATTGGGGAAAAAAGAAGTTATCTCTCTTCCATGACAAGATGGTTCTATACTTGGAAAACTGTGAAGGCTCCATCAAAAGGCTGCTAGAACAGTAAATAACTTTCATAAAGTTTCAGGATACAAAATCAATGTGCAAAAATCAGTAGCATTTCTATACAGCAATACACTAAAGCCAAGAACCAAATCAAGAACACAGCCCCATTTACAATAGACACACAGACACAGACACACACACACACACACACACACACACACACACAACCTACAAATACATCTAACCAAGGAGGCGAAAGATCTCTACAGGGAGACCTATAAAACACTGCTCAAAGAAATCAGAGAAGGCACAGATGGAAAAACAGTTCATGGTCATGGATTGGAAGAATCAACATCATTAAAATAGCCTGACTGCCCAAAGCTATTTGCAGATTCACTGCTATTCCTCTCAAACTACCAACATCATTTCTCACAGAATTAGAAAAAAAAAAATCTGTTCCAAAATTCATATGGAACAACCAAAAAAAGAGCCCAAATAGCCAAAGCAATCCCAAGCAAAAAGAACAAAGTTGAGGAGGCAGCACATTACCCAACTTCAAACTATACTACAAAGTTACCATAACCAAAACAGCATGGTACTGGTACAAAAACAGACACATAGACTGATGGAAAAGAATAGAAAACCCAGAAATAAAGCCATACACCTACAACTAGCTGACCTTTGACAAAGTAAACAAAAATAAGCAATGGTAAAAGGACTCCCTATTCACTACATGATGCTGGGATAACTAGCTAGCCATATGCAAAAGAATGAACCTGGACCCCTACCAACCACCACACATAAAAATTAACTTAAGGTGGATTAAAGACTTAACCGTATGACCTCACACTGTAAAAGTCCTAGAAGAATGCCTAAGAAATACTCTTCTAGACATCTGCTTTGGCAAAGAATTTATGACTAAGTCCCAAAAAGCAATTCCAACAAAAACAAAAATTGACGAGTAGCACGTAATTAAACTAATGAACTTCTGCATAGAAAGAGAAACTGTCAACACAGTGAACAGACCACTTATAGAACAGGAGAAAATATTCACAAACTATGCATCTGACAAAAGTCTAATATATCCAGAATCTGTAGGGAGCATAAATAACTCAACAAAGACAAAACAAATAATTGTCTGTTATTGGTGTATAACAGACAATTAAAAAAATGGCAAAGAACATGAACAAACACTTCCCAAAAGAAGACACAGAAGTGGCCAACAATCATATGAAAAAAAATACGCCATATCACTAATCATCAGAGAAATGCAAATCAAAACCATGAGATACTATCTATCTCACACTAGTCAAAATGGCTTTTGTTAAAAAGTCAAAAAATAACAGAAGTTGTTGAGGTTGTGGAGAAAAGGGAATGCCTATACACTGTTGGTGGGAATGTAAATGAGTTCACCCACTGTGAAAAGCAGTTTGGAGGTTTCTCAAAGAACTAAAAGTAGAACTACAATTTGACTGAGCAATTCTTTTTCTGAGTATATGCCCAAAAGAAAATAAATTATTGTTCCAAAATTACACATGTACTCGTTCATCACAGCACTATTCACAATAGCAAAGACATGGAATCAACCTAGGTGCCCATTAATGGTATATTGGATTTAAAACATGTGGTGCATATACACCATGGAACACTACACAGCTATAAAAAAGAACAAAATCATGTCTTTTGTAACAACGCAGATGCATGTGGGGGCCATTATCCTAAGTGAATTACTGCAGAAACAGATAACCAGTTTCCACATGTTTTCACTTATAAGTGGGAACTAAACATTGAGCACGCAGGGACTAAAGATGGGAATGATAGACACTGGAGACTAATAGAGAGGGAAGAGAGGAAGGTGAGTAGGGGTTGAAAAACTACCACAGTACCCTACCTATTGGGTACTATGCTCACTACCTGGGTGACAGAATCAATCATACCCCAAACCTCAGCGTCATGCAATATGCTACACATGTACCAAACCTGCACATGTACCCCTGAATCTAAAATAAAATCTGATTTTTTTAAAAAAGAATAGACTAAAAGAGAGAAAATTATCTTTATAGGATAACAACTTTATCTTTTACATATCCTTTTTACAATATGCTATAAAATAAAAACTCAGTAATTGGATATCTCTATAAAACCAACAAAATAACTGATTGAAAGTACGAGTTCTTCTTCACCAACACTTGTAGGTGATCCATGTCAGGAGAAATAAAGAATGTAATTGACTCAGGGAATGGTGACTAATAATTCAACAGGATGTAATAGAGGAAAGTCTCATCGCTTCATGACTAAGCCTCTTGATTTACTAATAGAGACTGGACTATGAAAAAATAGCAGATTCCCCTTAACTGGACAGGGAAAAAAAGATAATTCTTAGTTGATTATATTTCTTGATCTATTTATTTCTTCTAAGAAATGCTCATTTTTTCATTGACTAACTTTTATAAGCAATCAATATGATAAAAAAACAGTTACCTTACTTCATTTTTTGCAACTTTTTTTCATCTGCTATAAATGCTATAAATGAATTCTGAAGAGTGTGGGGTAACTAATACTCCATGGGTATTATGTAAAATGAGTTTCTAAATAATGAGATAATAACAAATGGGTCAAAAAATAATCAAAGGATCACAATAAGGGTAAAGACAGATTAGCCTTCAATATCAGCATCCTCAAAATGTAAAATGAAGCAAAATAATTAAGACTCCTTATAATAGAATTTTATTTTGCTGTGATTTTCCTTCACACTTTTGTGGTCTTTATTTAATACCTGTTGATGTGGACTAAAGAACCAAAATTGACAAGACTAACTGCAAATAAAGACATTGGTATGTGTATGAGATTTACACCATTTCAATAGCTTGCCAGAGAATTTCCATTCTAAAGTCCTAAGATGAATGCCTAATCTGACCAGGCATCTTGTAGATGTAGTCTTCACCCAGGTGCTTGTCAGAATGGAATTCCATGTAATGGAGGCAAATTACTACTGTTTACAAATATGACCAGGAGGAAAGAACTGGGATGAGTCATTACAACCTATCACCTCTATAAGAATAAAGTACTCAATGCCTTCAAAAATAGCTTAGAGAAGAGAGATTGCATTGTGAGATTTGGATGTGGGACCTTTAAAGGTAGAAGCAGGAAGTGTAATATTTAACTCCCAGTCCTTCCCTTAGTCCTCCAATAGAGGCTTAATTCAAATTCTGGGAAAGGGAAAGTGGTTGTTAAGGATTTTCCTAACTCAAAACATGTAGGCTTTAGAAGGCCCTGTCTGTTGGTCAAAATAGGTTCTTGCCAGGTCATAATCTATTTGTTTATTTGATAAGTTTTTATTGGGTGGCCTGTAGTGCCAGTTACTGTGCCAAGTAATAGAAATACAAAGATAAATGAGGCAGAGTTCTTGTCCTTAAGGAATCTGTATCAAAGTCAAGGAGCCACATAAGCAAGACACTGACGACACAGTGAAATGGGTGCTGATTTGTTCCAACTGAGGGCAAAGGGAGAGGTCAAGGAAGCTCTCCTTGAAAAGTAACCTAGGAAAGAAATTTTGGAAGGTAGCAAAAAAAGGACATATTAGCAAATTGCTCCAGATACATGAAGAAGATGTTCAAAGTGTGTAAAGAAAGCACAGCAAAGACTTGTGGAATTAATAATGGTTGAATTGTTGGAGTAATCAAGGGCTATATTGTGAGAGCTCTTATGTGCCAGGCAGTTTGAAGGAAGGCTTTGAGGAACAATTAAAGAATGGTAATCAGGAAGTGTTTTAGAAAGTTTATTCCATATTAGTGAGAGAAGAGAGACAGACCCTCTCAAATTGTTTTATATTGTTTTATACTGAGAAAAGGAAAGAGAAACGACACTAAAGGCAAGTAGCCCGGCGCCTAGGATCCAGACCTGAAACCAAGGAACCAGACCAGAAACTAGGCCTGGGCCTGCCTGACCTAAGCCTGGTAGTTAAAATTCGACCCCTGACCTAGCAACTGATGTTATCTATAGATTCCAGACATTGTATAGAAAGACATTGTGAAACTTCCCAGTCTGTTCTGCTTCACTCTGACCACTGGTGCATGCAGCCCCTGTCACGTACCACCTGCTTGCTCAATCGATCACGACCCTCTCATGTGGACCCCCTTAGAGTTGTGAGCCCTTAAAAGGGACAGGAATTGCTCACTGGGGGAGCTCGGCTCTTGAGACAGGAGTCTTGCCGATGCTCCTGGCCGAATAAACCCCTTCCTTCTTTAACTCGGTGTCTGAGGAGTTTTGTCAGCAGCTCGTCCTGCTACATTAGGGTGGAGTCAACCATAGACTAAAAACATTTACAAGGTAGAACAAAAGTCAAGGTAGTCTTGATTGGGAAAAAAAGTCTTGAGTGTGAAAAATATTAATGATGTTGAATTAAAATTCTGCTGCAGAGGGGTATCCTCTATTTTGTGTCCTGATTTCCAAAATTCAAGAAGCTCCTACTATTTCTTACCTCCTGAAGACTTCTAAAATGTCTCTCTTTCCTGCTTGCATGGTAGTGTCCCAAGGCATGATATTTTTCTCTCAAGACTTGACCCAGAATTCATCTAAACATATAAAGTATATTAAATAACAAATTTATTTTCAACAATACATGCTTCAAATAAATATCTAATGAGATACATTATTCTCATCGGTTTGTAAACTCAGAATTATAAATGCTCTCTTCAGAATTCCTCAAAATTAAAAATATCAAGCAACTTTGACAATATGGAATGTTTCCTTCTCATTTCTTAACTGCTGATTTCTATACTCTAGAAAAGCAAGCATATCAATATGTTCTCTGATTCATAATCATGCCCTATCTTATTTTTTCTCAATATGACCTAATTCTGACATTATCTTACTCTAATTCTTTGTCAGTTTTTCTCACTCATCACTTGCCTACTGTTGGCACCAAAACCTCGTATCTGTCTACTATGCTGTAACTCATCTCTTCAATTGCCGTTCATCTTCTCAAGACTGTTCACAAACTACATCATCATATATACATGTGTGATTGTGTATATGTACAAAGCCAGCCTTGATATCCAATCATCATACTATCTAATATCATAGACATGAAGTTACTCATTTACTAGCAAGACCTGGGGCCCTTAAGTCACCTTGATATTAAGATTCTCACCCAAGACACTACATTCTATTCATAGAAACAGATATTCCATCATATTCAGCTATGGTATGAAAGAGAAAAATCAGACTCTGAACAGTTACCACACATGGAACAAAAGACTTACCTTCATAGGATACCATATAGCCAACTCTAACAATGCTGGCAGTAAAGACTCAACCCTTGCCTGATATCTAATCTTTTAATAATTACATATATGTGCCTTGGTCTTTTGCTTTTTACCTTGTTGCTTTTCACTTTTACCTCATCATCACTACTTCCAGTCTTCTGCAATTTCTTGATACGAAGTTTGTTTTCCTGACTTTCCCTCAGCTTCCATGTTAAGTCATGGAATTTTATTTAATGTCTTCCTCAACTTAGTTACCACCCAGTTCTTCTAGTCATACAATCTGGATAGCCATAGCCCTGATGATCTATTCATTCTTAAAATAAAACTGAGTTCCTCCCTGTACCCTCATTTACTCCACAGAAACTGATGATTTGGACACTCCAACAATTTGTTTGTGTACATATACCAAAAACAATCAGTATGAGATGTTGTAATATCTTAATTCATTGTTCTATTACCTCATAAAAGGGGAGTAACCTCAATATTTAGGTGGATTTATACACTTTGGTTTGTTTGAATTGCTTTGGTTTGGTTTTTATCAGCATTCTCAAAGTCTTTGATTTCTGGTGTTTGTCAACTCTATAATTAATTTTAGTGTATACTAAGCTCTGAAATAATGTTAGCAAATCATTTCCATAAATAATTTATTATTTTTCTAATACATTAGAAGCTATGTAATGATGATTATCTTAATAAAAAATCCCACAAAAAGAATTTTCTACTCAAGTGTAAATTCCTAAAATTTACTATATCTACTTAAGTATAATATTCCTAATTTTCTGTAGCAGATGCATATTGTGCCCTTAATACAGTTACAGTTTTAGTCATGACGCACACTTACACATGGAATCAATTTCAATATCAACTATCCTTATTTGGATAGTACATGTGTGCTCATGCTGTACAAGTTTTTATTCTCCCCTCAGAAGAAAAGTGCAGATAAGATTATCATCTCATAATCTCAACATAAGCAGTACAGAGGAGAAATGACCAATTCCATATAATTATAAATTATAAGTGATTCATAGTACAGGTGTACCTTGGAGATACTGTAGATTTGGTTCCAGACCACCACAATAAAGTGAATAAAGTGAGCCACACTTTTTTTTTTGGTTTTGTAGTGCATATAAAAATTATACTTACACTATTGTCTAATAAATGTGTAATAAGACTATGTCTAAAAATTCACATATCTTAATTAAAAATACTTTATTTCCAAAAAATGCTAACAATTATATAAGCCTTCAGTAAGTTGTCATCTTTTTGCAGGTATAGGGACTTGCCACGATATTGATGGCTGCTGATGGATCAGGGTGATGGTAGCTAAAAGTTTGGGTGGTTGTGGCAATTTCTTAAAATAAGACAACAGTGAACTTCACTGCATCTATTGATCCTTCCTTTCATGAAAGATTTTTTGTAGCATGTGATGCTATCTGATAGCAGCATTTCACCTACTGTTTCAAAACTGGAGTTAATCTTCTCAAATCCTGCCACTGCTTGATCAACTAATTTTTTGATGTCCTTTCAACAATGTTCATAAGATCTTCACAAGAAGTAGATTCCATCTCAAGAAACCACTTTATTTATTCATCCATAAGAAACAACTCCTTATCTGTTCAAGTTTTATCATGAGATTGTAGCAATTTGGTCACATCTGCAGACCCCACTTATAATTCTCTTGTAATTTCCACCACATCTGCAATTACTTCCTCCACGGAAGTCTTGAACCCTTCAAAGTCATCTATGAGGGTTAGAATCAACTTCTTCCAAACTCCTGTTAATGTTGACATTTTGACCTCCTCCCATTAATCATGAATGTTCTTAATGGCATCTAGAATGGTGAATCCTTCACAGAAGGTTTTCAATTTACTTTGCCCAGATCCATCAGAGAAACCACTTTCTATGATAGCTACAGCCTTACAAAAAGTATTTCTTAAATAATAAGACTTGAAAGTTGAAATTACCCCTTGATCCATGAGAATTGGCAGGCACAAAAACAACATTAATTTTCATGTCCATCTCCATCAGAGCTCTTGGATGACCAGATGCATTGTCAATGAGCAGTGATATTTGAAAATGAATCTTTTTTTACTGAGCAGTAGGTCTCAACAGTGGGCTTAAAATATTCAACAGATCAAGCTATAATCAGATGTGCTGCCATCTGGGTTTCGTGATTTCATTTACAGTGCATAGGAAAAGAAGATTTAGCATAATTCTTAAGGAGCCTACAATTTTCAGAATGAGTTTGGCTTTAAGTTAAAGCCAAATGAGCACTGGCTTAAACTTAAAAGTCACCAGCTGCATTAACCCTAACAAGAGAGTCAGCCTGTTTTTTGAAGTTTTGAAAGGAGACACTGACCTCTGTAGCTATAAAAGGCCTAGATGGCATCTTTTTATAATGGAAGGCTGTTTTGTGCACATTGAAAATCTGTTGTTTAGTGTAGCCACCTTCATCCATGATCTTAGCTAGATCTTTTTGGACATTTGCAGTAGCTTCTACAACAGAACTTGCTGCTTCACTTTTCACTCTTATGTTATAAAGATGGCTTCTTTCCTTAAATGGTATGAACCAAACTGCTAGCTTCCAACTTTTCTTCTGCAGCTTTCTCACTTCTCTTAGTCTTCATAGAATAAAAGAGAGTGAAGGCCTTGCTCTGGATTAGACTTTGGCGTAAGAGAATGTTGTGGTTAGCTTAATCTTTTATCCAGACCACTCAAACTTTGTCCATATCACCAATATGGAGCAATCAGTTTCATTTTCTTATCATGTGTATGTTCACCACATGATGTGCATGTTCAATTTCCTTCAAGAACTCTTTCTTTACATTAACAACTTAGCTAACTGGTGCAAAAGGCCTAGTTTTTGTCCTGCTGTAGCTTTCAACATGCCTTCCTCAATAAGCTTAATCATTTCTAGCTTTTGATTTAAAGTGAGAGATGTATAAGGCTTCCTTCCACTTGTGTACTTAGAGGCCATTGTAGAGTTATTAAGTGGTCTAATTTACATTCTGTTTTGTCTCAGGGAATAGGGAGGCCAGAGGACAGGGAGAAAGACAAGGGAATGACATATCAGTGGAGCAGTCAGAACACATGCAATATTTGTCTATCAAGTTTGCCATCTTATATAGGTGTGGTTTGTAGCACTCCAAAACAATTAAAACAGTAGCATCAAAGACCCCTGATCACAGATCACATAGCACTTATTCTAAAATTAACCACATAATTGGAAGTAAAACACTTCAGCAAATGCAAAAGAACAGAAATCACAACAGTCTCTCAGACTACAGTGCAATCAAACTAGAACTCAGGATTAAGAAACTCACTCAAAACTGCACAACTACATGGAAACTGAACAACCTGCTCCTGAATGACTACTGGGTAAATAACAAAATTAAGGCAGAAGTAAATAAGTTTTTTGAAACCAATGAGAGCAAAGACACAATGTACCAGAATCTCTGGGACACAGCTAAAGCAGTGGTTAGAGGGAAATTTATAGCACTAAATTCCCACAGGAGAAAGTGGAAAAGATCTAATATCAACATCTTGACATCACAATTAAAAGAACTAGAGAAGCAAGAGAAAACAAATTCAAAAGCTAGCAGAAGACAAGAAATAATAAAGATCAGAGAAGGACTGAAGGAGATAGAGACACGAAAAACCCTTTAAAAAAATCAATGAATCCAGGAGCTGGGTTTGTTTGTTTGTTTGTATGTTTGTTTGTTGAGACAGGGTCTCACACTGTCACCCAGGCTGGAGTGCAATGGTGTGATCTTGACTCACTGTAACCTCTGCCTCCTGGGTTAAAGGGATTCTCCTGCCTCAGCCTCCCATGTAGCTGGGATTACAGGCACCTGCCACCACACCCGGCTAATTTTTTGTACTTTTAGTAGAGACGGGGTTTCACTATGTTGGCCAGTCTGGTCTTGAACTCCTGACCTCATGATCTGCCCACCTCAGCCTCCCAAAGTTCTGGGATTACAGGCATGAGCTACTATGCCTTGTCAGTTTTTTGAAAAGATTAAAAAAATAGATAGACTGCTCCCCAGACTAATAAAGAAGAATAGAGACGAGAATCAAATAGACACAATACGAAATGTTAAAGGGGAGATCACCACTGATCCCACAGAAAGGCAAGCTACCATCAGAGAATACTGTAAACACATCTATGCAAATAAACTAGAAAATCTAGAAGAAATGAATAAATTCCTGGACACATACACCCTCCCAAGACTAAACCAAGAAGAAGTCAAATCCCTGAATAGACCAATAACAAGTTCTAAAATTGAGGCGGTAATAAGCCTACCAACCAAAAAAAGCCCAGGACCAGATGGATTCACAGCTGAATTCTGCCAGAGGTACAAAGAGGAGCTGTTGCCATTCCTTCTGAAACTATTCCAATCAATAGAAAAAGAGGGACTCCTCCCTAACTCATTTTATGAAGCCAGCATCATCCTGATACTAAAACCTGACAGAGACACAACAAAAAAAGAAAATTTCAGGCCAATATCCCTGACGAACATCAATGCAAAAACCCTCAGTAAAATGCTGGTAAACCAAATCCAGCAGCACATTAAAAAGGTTATCCACCATGATCAAGTCAGCTTCATTCCTGGGATGCAAGGCTGGTTCAACATATGCAAATCAATAAGCATAATGCATCACATAAACAGAACCAATGACAAAAACCACATGATTATCTCAACAGATGCAGAAAAAGCCTTCAATAAAATTCAACAGCCCTTCATGCTAAAAACACTCAATAAACTAGGTATTGGTAGAATGTGTCTCAAAATAATAAGAGCTATTTATGACAAATCCACAATCAATAGCATACTAAATGGACAAAAGCTAGAAACATTCCCTTTGAAAACTGGCACAAGACAAGGATGCCCTCTCTCACCACTCCTATTCAACATAGTATTGGAAGTTCTAGCCAGGGCAATCAGGCAAGAGAAGGAAATAAAGGGTATTCATGTAGGGAGACAGGAAGTCAAATCATCTTTCTTTGCAGATGACATGATTATATATTTAGAAAACTCCATTGCCTCAGCCCAAAAACTCCATAAGCTGATAAGCAACTTCATCAAAGTCTCAGAATAAAAAATCCATGTGCAAAAATCACAAGCATTCCTATACACCAATAATAGACAAACAGAGAGCCAAATCATGAGTGAACTCCCATTCACAATTGCTACAATGAGAATAAAATACCTAGGAATACAAGTTACAAGCGATGTGAAGGACCTCTTCAAGGAGAACGACAAACCACTGCTCAAGGAAATAAGAGAGGACACAAACAAATGGAAAAAAAAAAAACATTTCATGCTCACGGATAGGAAGAATCAATACCATGAAAATGGCCATACTGTCCAAAGTAATTTATAGATTCAATGCTATTTCCATCAAGCTACCATTGACTTTCTTCACAGAATTAGAGAAAACTAATTTAAATTTCACGGACCACTAACCAGACTAATGAAGAAAAGAGAAAAGAATCAAATAGATATAATATAAAATAAACCAAGAAAGAGTCCACATTGTCAAGACAATCCTAAGCAAAAAGAACAAAGCTGGAGGCATGATGCTACCTGACTTCAAACTATATTACAAGGCTACAGTAACCAAAACAGCATGGTACTGGTACCAAAACAGAAATATAAACCAGTGGAACTGAACAGAGGCCTAAGAAATAACACCACACATCTACAACCATCTGATTTTTGACAAACTTGACAAAAACAGCCAATAGGGAAAAAATACCCTATTTAATAAATGATGTTGGGAAAACTGGCTAGCCATAAGCAGAAAGCTGAAACTGAACCCTTTCCTTACAACTATACAAAAATTAAATCAAGATGGATTAAAGATACAAACATAAGACCTAAAACCATAAAAACTCTAGAAGAAAACCTAGGCAGTACCATTCAGGACATAGGCATGGGCAAAGACTTCATGACTAAAACACCAAAAGCAACTACAACAAAAGCCAAAATTGACAAATGGGATCTAATTAAACTAAAGAGCTTCTGCACAGCAAAATAAACTATCATCAGAGGGAACAGGCAACCTACAGAATGGGAGAAACTGTTTGCAATCTATCCATCTGACAAAGGGATAATATCCAGAATCTACAAGGAACTTAAACAAATTTACAAGAAAAAAACAACCCCATAAAAGTGGGTGAAGGATCTGAACAGACACTTTTCAAAGGAAGACATTTATGTGGCCAATGAACATATGAAAAAAAGCTCATCATCTCTGGTCATTAGAGAAATGCAAGTCAAAACCACAATGAGAAAGGATCTCACTCCAGTTAGAATGGTGATTATTAAAAAGTCGGGAAACAATAGATGCTGCAGAGGATGTGGAGAAATAGGAACACTTTTACACCATTGGTCAAAATGTAAATTAGTTCAATGATTGTGGATGACAGTGTGGCAATTCCTCAAGGATCTAGAACCAGAAATACCTTTTGACCCAGCAATCTCTTTACTGGGTGGATACCCAAAGGATTATAAATCATTCTACTATAAAGACACATGCACATGTATGTTTATTGCAGTACTGTTCACAATAGCAAAGACTTGGAACCAACCCAAATTGCCCATCAATGATAGACTGGATATAGAAAATGTGTCACTTACACACCATGGAATGCTATGCAGCCATAAAAAAGAATGAGTTCATGTCCTTTGCAGGAACATGGATGAAGCTGGAAACCATCATCCTCAGCCAACTAACACAGAAACAGAAAACCAAACACTGCATGTTCTCACCCATAAGTGGGAGTTTAACAATGAGAACATATGGGCACAGGGAAGGGAACATCACAACCGGGGCCTGTCAGAAGGTGGGGGACAAGGGGAGGGATAGCATTAGGAGAAATACCTAATGTAGATGATGGGTTGATGAGTGCAAACCATCATGAGACATGCATACCTATGTAAGAAACCTGCACGTTCTGCACATGTATCCCAGACCTTAAAGTATAACAATAAAAAAAATTCAGCAATAATAATGATAATAATGGTGGCTGTTACATAATAATAAATATTGTTATATATACAGATAAAAATAATAAACCAAATGTGGTAAAATATTAACAACTGGTGAAAGATATTTCACTAAGTTTAATCTTCATTCAAAATAAAATTATTTTATTTTATGTTAAGTTACGGGGTACATATGCAGAATGTGCACGTTTGTTACATAGGTTAAACATGTGCAGTGGTGATTTGCTGCACCTATCAACTCATCACCTAGGTATTAAGCCCAGCATGTTTAAAAGTCATAAATTTTGAAAGGTTACTAGATATAAGATCTATCAAGATACCAAGATCCACTGTATTTCTGCCTATTGGCTACAACTAATTATGAAACTAAGTTAAAGACATGATACCGTTCACAATAATTAAAATGTCATACATGAGAGTATGTTTAAATAAAAATATATAAAATCTATACATGGAAAACTATAAAACTTAAAACAGAAATGAAAGAATAACAAAATAAATAAGAGATATATCATTTTCGTAGATTAGATGACTCAATATTATAAAGGTAAACAATTTTCCCAAATTTATCAATATTTTCAATGTTATCCTAACAAATATCAGAGTTATGGGTGGTTTTTTTTTTTTTTAATTGACGCACTGATTCAAAAATTCACAGGGAAGGGCAAAGGGCCAAGAATAGCCAAGACATTCTGGAAGAACAAAGCTGAAAGTTGTTTGGCAGATAATTTCTGCAATAAAGCTACTGTAAATAACAAAATATTGTTTGGCCCAAGGTTAGACAAAGCAATCAATAGAACAATAGTGTCTAAAAAAATATGCAACTGTATATTTATGAAAAATTAATAACATGATTTTTGCAAAAAGTAACAGTAAATTTCAGTAAGAAAGTTTACAGTGGTCTTTTATATAAATGTTTTTGTGTCAACATTGGCTAGGCACATGGCAAAAAATAAACTGTGGCTGCTAAGTCAAAACCATACAGGAAAAAATCAGTTCCATATGTATTGCAGGCGTAAATGTGAACTGTAAAATAAAAACTTGTAGAACTGTATTTATTTATTTAGAGACAGAGTTTCGCTCTTGTCACCCAGACTGGAGTGCAGTGGCATGATCTCGGCTCACTGCAACCTCCGCCTCCCGAGTTCAAGCTATTCTCCTGCCTCGGCCTCCCAAGTAGCTGGGACTAGAGGCTCGCGCCACTACGCCTGGCTAATTTTTGTATTTTTAGTAGAGACGGGGTTTTACCATGTTGGCCAGGATGGTCTCACTCTCCTGACCTTGTGATGTGCCCACCTTGGCCTCCCAAAGTGCTGGGATTACAGGCGTGAGCCACCATGCCTGGCCAGCCTGTAGAATATTTTGTACCTTTGAGGAAGCAAAGATTTGTTAAACTAAACAAGTTGTAAAGAAAAATCTGAGAAAAACAGGAGCACCTGTTCACCAAAAGACTCCAGACATAGGATAAAAAGCAAGCCACAGACAATCTGACAAAAAGATCATATCAAGGTTATATAAAGAGTTTCTGAAATAGAAAAAACAGAGAACCAAGCATTAAAATAGGCAAAAGACACAGACACTTTAGAAAGAGAATATTTAAAAGACATATGAAAACATTCTCGACAACACTACTCATCAAGGAAATGCAAATTAAAACTACACTCTGATAACACTAAGCATGCTATACTCAACTCCAGTTGGCAAATATGTTTAGTAACTAGAGTTTGCCACTTGTGAGAATGTAAATCAGTACAACCATTTTGGTAAGCTGTATGACAGCATCTACTAAAACCAAACACCCTCTAATCTATGACCCAATAATTCCACTCCTAAGTATATAATCAACAGAAATGCATGTCCAACAATGTTCACAGCATTGCCCCCAAACCGCATATTTCTATGACTCCCACCAACAGGAGAATGGATTTTAAAAATGTGATTTATTAACACAAAATAATACTTTGAAGCAATAGGAATGAACTATCATTTTCATAATAAGCTCATGAAAATTATAGACATTATATATAGAAAGGGATGTCTGTACAATATTAACATAATTTTTTGGAAAAAGATAAGTAAAGTCAAAGCAAATAATAGACTCGCAAATTTGTTTGTAACATATGACAGAGAAATGGTTAATCTTATTTATATCACTAGCAATCATAAGCAAGCAATCACAACACTTTTAAGAAAATGAAAACTCCTTAATTAGTGGACAAAAAGTATAAACATATGAGTTATAAGCAAGATCATATAAATAGTCATTAAATATGAAGAGATGTTTACTTGAGCAGTTGGTAGAGAAAATAATGAATGCTCTTTTTTCTCATTAGATTAGAGTTGTTGGATCACTAACATGCATTCTGGGCTGGTTAGGATGTGAATTGCTATAACATTTTCTGGAAAATAATTTGATAATGCTAGGAAAACTTAAATATATAAAGTATTTAATATAAAAATACTAGTTTTAGGAAGTTATTCTACAGTACAACAAAGTATATTCACATATTTATCACAGCATGATTAAGGTAAAGATAATTAATGTAAAGGTCCTTCAATCAGAGATTAGCTCAATAATTTAGAATCCATTTATAGATGGATTCTAAATTATTATATATTATCATTCTAAATTATTATTATTCTAAATTATTATTATAGAACATAATAATATTCTATAAACAATTGACCTGGAGCAATGAACATGACATATTGGCCACCAGGAAAAAAGAAAAAAAGGAAGGAGGGAGGGAGAAATGAAAGGAAGAAAAATAATGGCAGAATTTCTGATCATAAAGGGAGGTGTGGGAACATATAAAACAAGATATTAATACTTATTTTCAATTTTTTAAAAAACTTATTTAATTATTGCTTTTTTAAGGAATGTTTTTATTTAGACATTTTATTATTGCTTATCTTATTACAATGAACATACATTTCATTGTAATAGAAAAAAGATGATAAATCACATTTTTAAATTTTAAAATATGGAAAGATATGGAGACAATTTACACATACACAAATACATATAACTAATAAATTATCAAAATATTTTACATGTAGTCAAGGATATAAAATTATCACATTGATAAGTAAAGCCATTTTACTGATAAAAATGATAAAAATTAGAGCACACATAATGCTCAGTGTTGGCTAGGGCATAGTGAAACAGCAGTTCTATGCATACTTGACCGTTATGCCATCGGCTATTTCAAGAAAACTGATAAGAAGTATATAAACATTTAAAAAGTTTTTTATACTCTGATACAATCATTTCATTTCCAAGACTTTTCACAGCTCACCTGAATCTCAGATGAAGAAAACAATCCCAGATGATGAAAATGAAGTTCCTCAAAATATTGCATAAACTTGAAAAAATGGAAGATATAAAATATGCTATAAATAAGAGTATATGAAATAAATTATGGTAATGTTTTGATGGAATATTAGGCAACCACTAAAAGGTCTTATATCAAAACCAGAGGTAGTTCTATAATATCATAAATATTAAGTCAAAAGCAGAATACATGACAATAAAATAACTGTTTATTCATCATTAATACCCATATATGAATTCATTCTCTCTTGTAATTATATAAAATACTAGAAGCAAATAGGTCAGAGTGTTAGCAATTTATTCTTTTTATTCTTTTTCTTTTTTTGAGACGGAATCTCCCTCTGTCACCCAGACTGGAGTACAGTGGTGCGATCTTGGCTCACTGCAACCTCCACCTCCTGGCCTCAAACGATTCTCCTGCCTCAACCTCCCCAAGTAGCTGGGATTACAGGTGCGTGCCACCATGCCCAGCTGATTTTTGTATTTTTAGTGGAGACAGGGTTTCACCATGTTGGCCAAGCTGGTCTTGAACTCCTGACCTCAAGTGATCCGCCTGCCTCAGCCTCCCAAAGTGGTGAGATTACAGGCGTGAGCCACCGCACTGGGCCAGTAATTTATTCTTATGCATGAAGACAGGTTACTGTGTTACCTACCTTTCCTACAATAAGAATATATTGATTTTTCTTTCCTTTTTTTAAAAATTTTTTTTCAGATAGGGCCTCACTCTGTTGCCCAGTGTGGATCAAAGATAATAACTGGGGACAGATAAGGCAATAATCATGCCTGGGCACTTATAGAAGAGACTGAGGACTTGGCCCAGTTTTTATCCCAGCAAAAGGGTAGAGGGTTCTGACCCAGTCATAGAAGTTTCCCTGAGCTAAAAGTGGCTAAAATGAAATCTGTTCACAGTCTCCCTTAATGCTAGTCTCAGAAATTTCCCAGGAAGTTATCAGTTCTTGCCCTGAGAAATTCCATCAGTCTTTGAGCAAAAGGAATATCTTCTGTCTAAATAAAGAAGCATGAATTTAAGGAGAGAATTGGCACATGTTTATTTATCATTCCGCTCTGTGGCTTCTTTGGAGAGAACCATGGCCACGATCTATTACCAACCTCTATTCAGGGATTTTCCAGAGTTTTTCCAAGCATTGCCCATAACATAATACTGTATGGGGGAGTGTGGAAGTGAAAAAAAAAAATGGAAAATGAAACCCAAATGTTTTAGGGCTTAGAGACAGGGAAATATCATGTCTAGCTCAACCAGATCAGAATAAGTCTCCCTGATTGAGAAGCATTTAGTTTAAAAATAGAGAGAAAGAAATTAGAGAAAGTAGGTTAAGAGAACGTTCCCATAGGATAAGGGAGGGTGGTGCTGATGTGAACTTGGTTAGAGGTAGTGGGATGGAGATGGAGGTAGGAGGTCCAAAGATGCCAGTAATATAGAGTGAAATACTAGACAACCAACTGGCATGTGGAGGGTCAGAGAGAGGTAAAAGATAAAGATTCTACGCAGGCCTGTGGTCAGAGTGGCTGGAACAATTGATAATGCTTTTAAAATAAAGAGCAAAATCCCTTTTTTTGAGACAAAAAGTATTGGACTTGTTATCTTTCAGGCACTAGTCAGATATGCTTATAGGGCTATATGGTAAGCAACCACATGTAAGGGACGAAATGGTCAAAGCCAATAACAGCAATGCCCAGCTTTTATGAAATACATTATATTCTTCCAAGTCTTAACTTGATTTGATGTTCACACTAACCCTATTAGTCAATCAAGAAACTTATACTGTACTTACTGTCAATTTAAATTTTGAAATGAGCCACCATGATAAGAAATGTTACATTGTGCATAGCAGAGCTGGAAACTTGGAGATGCCTGATACATTTAGTACATTTATGCCAGAAGAGCCTAACTATCTTATCAATTGAGATATCACTGAGATAATATGAATGGATTCTAGACTACTCTAAAGAGAACAAGAGTTATTTGGTTCATATTTATTTGGTATAGATTATTTAAATGAAAATTAAATGTAGTTATCAGGGCTGGGGGGAGGATGCGGAGACATTAGTCAAAGGGTACAAAGTTTCAGTTAGACGGGAGGGATACAGTTTTTAGATCTATTGCACAGCAAGGTGACCATAGTTAATAATAATGTGTTGTATATTTCAAAATTGCTGAGCATAAATTTCAAATGTACCACCAAAAAAAGACAGGTGAAGTGATTGATATGTTAATTTGCTTCATTGAATGATTCCATGTAGTATACATATATCAAAAACATCACATTGTACCCCATAAATATAAACAAGTATGATTTGTTGATTAAAAATACTATTTATTAAAAAAGAAAAACATTGGCCATTTTCTCTTCAAGCTGTTCAACCTTATTAACCCATTCATAATCAATGTGTTTATTCGAACCTCTAGTATATCAGTGTGTTAACCATGTCTTTTCTTTTTTGATGCTTTGACAATTTGGGTCTTCTTGACCCTGAAGGGATTGCTCATCCCAGGATTAGCGAATTCCTAGAGATAGCAAAGGACCAGCCTGCAAAAGTGTCTTTCATATGCAAGCCAACCAATCCGGAGCGCATACCCCCACATCTTTTTTATGGGGCTCTTACACACCTTTCCCTAATCAACCCAGGGCCAGGTACAAAACAACTAGGAACTGCCCCCTGTGCCCCAGGTCCCACTGAAGTTATTCAAAGTAGTTAATTCTAAACCTGCTTACCCTGCCTCACCTGTTTCGTCCTGCAAAGACCACAGCAATGGCTCTTGACCATGAACCCTACCCAACACGCCTCCTGACCAACTCTGGTGCTTTCCTGTGTGGCTCCCATGGGATCTGTGAGTATAATTGTCTTTTCAATGGCAGTTGTCCCTTGATCTGTTGGCCTTACCATACCTAAATCATAAGAAAATCTACATTGTAAAGCAACCGTTAGAAAAAGAGGTCTGAAATAATTAAGAAAACTGAATGTGAACAGATTCCCATGTGGCTTGAAGAGCATAGCCATCATTAAAACAAAACACACCAAAACTGTCAATGTGACAAGTATAATGACTGACAGGAGAGATATTTTTTAAAAAAGTGTCTCTCATATAAATATTATGTAGAAAACCAGATTATTTCAACATTGTCAATTCATCAAAATGAATGTATTAAAATTTTTAAGTCTTTAAATTATTTTCTAATACTAAATATTTTTATTTTTAAATAATTTTGTCTTTGGATCTTGATATACATATATGCATAATATTACAAAAAGATCATTACACCAATAATCATCACTTTTCACATTTTAACTTTTCTGTATGTATCTCTTTACCCATATAGTTTGTACATAATAAAATTATATTGCATATAACACTGTAAAATGAGAAAATTTTTTCCATTAATGCTATATTTCAATGTGGACAAACTCTGGGCAGCAGGCAAACCTGGGCTACTGCTTACATTTTTAAATAAAATTTAATCAGGACACAGCCATGCCCACTCATACATGCATTGTCAATGGCTATTTTACCACAATGGTAGAGCTGAATGGTTGCAACAGATAACAGATGGCCTACAAAGCCTAAACTTACTAATTGGTCTTTTATGAAAAAAAGTTTATCAACTCTGATACAGTATGTACATTTTTCATGTTACCTCAATATAATATAATATAATATAAAAGTTTAAATTGTACAGTAATTTATTACAAGTACATATTATAATTGAATAAATCAAGTGCCAATTCTTGGATCAGAATGTCGGATTCATAATTCTCAGAAATAAATGTTTTCTATTTGTTTTTAGATTATGATGTTTTAAAGAAGTCTAAAAGGAGTACTTCTTAAATAATATATTTAAGCATTATTAAACTTTAAACTGTAATTAAAAAGCAAAATAATGATTTTGTATATTAGGACTTAAAAGTCCATGGCACTTTCAGAGTATGTAACAATAGCACAGCCAATATTAAGCATGAAATAGAGAAGTCATTTCTACACACACAAGTACTGAAAATGCCCATGTTCTGCTCAACCACATGTATTCTCTCTGCTTGTTGTGTATTTTAAAAAAAAGCCAGTACAGCATATGAATAGTTCCTAAACTCTTACATAAATGTCCCTCACATTTTTGTACCAATTTGATTAGGTAGAATACATTCAAGAAGGAGGAGTATGGGAGGAGGAGGAGGAAGAGGAGGGTAGGAGACTAACATTCTTGTGTTCCATGTAATTCTTTCTCAAAAGATCTATCAATGACTATGTTAATAAAAACTTGAATATGTGGGATCGCATATGGAAAGACTGAAGCTCTCACAGAAGAACCCAGTTCACTTTAAATTAGACTTTCATCTTAGCTCTACAGAATGAAATCAGGAATAAAAGGAATAAAAGACAATAATGGGAGGTACACCAAGAAGAACTTTATACTGTTGATAGTAATAAGATACCTGGGATTATGCTTATTTTTTAAATGAACTACATGTAATAAACATTGAGTTTTAGTTTGCCATGTTTGGATAAATTTACTTATTACTGAGACTTCCTAACATGTAAAATAACTTCAGACTGATGAAAATAATTTTAGTATAAAACAAAAATATGTCATATCACAGTATATTGAAACAAATTACTGCCTATGTGCCTCTCTTCCACATCCAGATTTTGATGAGTTATCCTAGCTTTATAACTTCTTATAAAACTGCTAGGCCAGGCACGGTGGCTCACACCTGTAATCCCAGGACTTTGGGAGGCTGAGGCAGGCGGATCACCTAAGTCAGGAGTTCGAAACCATCCTGGCCAACACGGCGAAACCCCGTCTCTACCAAAAATAACAAAAATTAGCCTGGCAGGGTGGTGGGTGCCTGTAATCCCAGCTACTCAGGAGGCTGAGGCAGGAGAATCGCTTGAACCTGGGAGGCAGAGGTTGCAGTGAGCCGAGACGGCACCAGTATACTCCAGCCTGGACAATAGACAGTAGATTTCAAAAAAAAACCTTCTATATGATTTTGTTATTGAAATTAGTAGTGCAAGAGTAATATAATAAGGGTAAAGAAGAAAGAGTCTATAGAGAGGTATGCATAGGCTGGGCAGGAGAGAGATAATCAAGGTTATTGATGAAATAACAAGATGTGAGTGATTTTAAGCAGTCTTTACATCATTACAGCTAAGATTATGGAATCATTTCTAATCAGCTGGTCAATTAACTTAATACCCTTGAGACTTGTTCATGATCTGTTTAAAATCTCACTTTGAAAATCACAACATCTTAACTTTATTGGTAAATGCAAAGATAAGTAGGCATTATTTGTTCTTGTTACATACAATTAAGTAAATATAATCAATAAATGAATCAATAGAAAAGAACAAGACTAAAGTTTTACTTTCTTTTCTCTGCCTCTGCTGATTTTCTTTTTTATCTTTAATTTTGCCAATAATTAGGAGACAAGGTAAATTCAGGACAGGAATGATTCTATAAAACCATGCTTCTGGTTTATATTATCTGACATACTTTTTTAATCCATCACAAGATGTGCTTCAAACTGACGCAGACAGCATTACCAAAGAGGACAGCTGAGGTTAGACTACTCACAAACAATTATAAACAAATGAATTGTTTACTTAATTTGTAATGTTCGAGAAGTCAATTATGCTCCAATTTTCAAAGCCCTGCAAGCACCCAACCAGATTCCTTTCCTTACGCAGATCACAGGTTCGTACTGCAACTCACTACTGTCTCAGAACTAAAGCTTTCCTGTTTCTCATTTGTTATGTTCCACCAATGTCAAAGAGAGCACAACAGTCATGAACTTATCAATAAATCACATTAATGTCAGGCTCCAATTGTGTGGTAATGTCCTGGAAAAATGCAGCCAGGGCTAAGTAAATAAGTCTAGCTGTGTTGTTATTTCAGAGGTGGAAGAAGCCATTTTACATAAGCACACTAAATGGATAAGAACTAGATTGTCCCCACTTCCAGAATGTACTTCCTGGTATACGAAGAGAAGCATTACTCTTAACAGGTTATTTAATGTCACTTAAGTGCTCTCTTGACCTGAAAGAAACACAAGTCCAGCTATTTCTTAAGGATGAGAGTGGGTGAGCTTCCAAGATGGGTTTGGAGATATTACAGGTGCAGTTAATATTAAGGTCTCCTTGCCTCTGACTTCTCATAATCTTACTTCAGATACTACTGCATTCTTTTTACTCTAGATTTTACTATTAATAGAACATATCATTCTTAAAAAATAAATTTGCCAGTTGAAAAATAATTCAAATGTTAAAGTCAAATAAAGGAAATGCTAAGGTTAATAAGGTTCTTCCAAGGTTCCTTTCTGCCACCATCTGCCCCTGCCAAAATCCCAGACCTCAAGGGAAACCATTCAACAGATGGGCGTAAAAAATGCCAAAACTTCTGGGGCATACACAGGCATAGCATATATTTTTAAATATGTCAGTAAAAAACTATACCATCCTGTTAGATTAATTTAAGAAATTTACTTCTCCATATAGCACAAGTGGTACCTATAGAGCCACCTCACATTCTTTAACAGCAATGTAATGTTTTTTGGTGTGGGTATAATGTGATCTATTTAACCAATCCTCCATAAAGTATAAAGTATTTTATATTATTTCTCATTCTTTAATTCTACAAATGTGCTACAATGAATATCTTGGTACACATTAGCTGGCATAGTATTTATTAGAAATCACTTAGTGTTTACTATCCTCCAGGCACGGTTACAAACCCTTTAATCATTCAATTCTCATAAGAAGTGTTTGAATTCAGTAGTTTTATTATCTCCTATTTGGAATTAGGAAAAAAAAAAGGAGACATAGAAAAAGCAATTTTTCCATGTAGCTATTAAGTGACAATGCTGGTTTCAAACTGAGGCTGTCATGCTCCAAGATCAAAACTCTTAACAACTACACTGTACTGCCTAAAGTGCCTTTGCTTTGGATGAAGGTCCAAAATTTAAAAACTCACCTCTGTGTTTTTCTGAATGTGCTTAGATCTTTAATTACCAGCCAGCTTCTGGATTAAATGTTTCACCTTGACACCAAGCTTAAATGGACAAATCATTCTCTTAACTGTATTCCAGTTCTTTGTTCTCAGCCCAGTTGTGGTTCCCTCACTCTAGAATTCTGATGTGCTTCTGTGATTTAAGCCCACTCATAGCTTTGGCTTGAAAATAAAATAACTTGATCACAGCAGTATAAAAATGTTTAAGGAGTCTGTGTCAGTTATGATACTTGGGAAAAACATGAATGTTTAGGACACTGAAGAATACTTTTGCTCAGAATCAATGGCCTGAGATTAATGTGTGGGTTTGTGACCTTGAAATTTAATTTCCTATCCATACGATCCAGAAATTTACCAAAATTATCCCTCAGATATATTTCAACAGTAAAATTTAGCGATAAGTCCCTACGTTTCCTGATTCCTGATTCGGATGTCAGCGATCTAGTTTGTAGGGTTTTCCTGATCCTATGAGTCTGAACTGTCATCATCTCAGCCATTATGAACATCAAAACGAGCAATGTGAACAAACCATCAGTTCTAACTTTTACTGATCTGGCTGAACCAGTGTAAATGGATCAGCAGTTTTTTCTTCCTCGACTTAATGTTCTTGAGGATGTTACTCAAAAACATTCGCATAAAATGGAGCCATAAGAAAAAAATAATTCCTGGCATGGCATTTTAGGATTTTTTTGTTATAAATTTTTGGGGAAAATGTGTTTGACGTATAAGATGAAAGTTTCTCCTGCATTTGTGCAGGAGAGCTTAGGCTCTTGGGCCAGAGACCAGACATTGAGGGTGGGAATCAACCAGGTTTTCAGACTATGAAGTATGAAAGGTAGGAAGCTGTGAAAAGCATTGAAGAGGAACTAAAAAAGAGTTCACATGAAATGGCATACCAAAAGAAACAGACATTTTTAAGGTGAATTTTGCAGCCTTGCCCGAGGGTCAAAATAATGTATTGGTCAATCTAGACAGAAGCTGTTTCTTAAAGTGAAATTTTAAGTATTATATGACAGATGGATTATAGGAAATAAAATTAAGGAAGAAAAAGTTACTGTAATTAAGGAGTCATTTTTTAAATTCAAATCCCAACTCATATTAGTTGTGTAAGCACAGAAAAATCGCTTAACA
The DNA here is from genome assembly GCF_000001405.40 of Homo sapiens. Taxonomy (NCBI): domain Eukaryota; kingdom Metazoa; phylum Chordata; class Mammalia; order Primates; family Hominidae; genus Homo; species Homo sapiens. Next base: position 40,193,671 of record NC_000005.10, read on the forward strand.
TCTATGAGCCTCCATCTCAAACTTACAAAAGGGAGCTATTTGTTTCTACCTTGTAGATCTTTTGTGAGTATAAGCTGATTTAACATACTTGTAAAAGATTTATAAACTGTGAGTATCAAGTAAATATATAGATAGTTCTTGTTATCATGATTATATCACAATTTCTCAAAGTAGGACTCCATCTGAATGAATATTGGTGACTAGGATACTTTCCTACTGTCCTTGGCCTTTTACCTTTGTCCACTCCAAATAAGTGACATGCTACAGCTGGCACGTAAGTGGTTACTGAAGGGAAAATGTAATTAATTCCATTTATTCCTTGGTTATTCTCAACCAGCTGTTCTTCTCATAGATTTCAAGACCTGATCCCAGCTTTTTCAATTTTTATAAGCCATTCTTTGAATTACTAGAACATGACTTTTATAATTAAATCCTCTATGTTTTTTTTCCTGGAATTTCTGCTTCAGCCTTTGTCACAAATAATTACTGGGGGAGGTGGATTCCTATAAGTTCTGAAGTCATAAAGTCCAACAATTAGCAATCTATATATTTTCTCAAGAAAGGTGCAACTATTTCATGTTATTGGCTTATAAATGAGCAACATCCACAGAGATTGCATAGAAGAAATTTGAATTTTAGAAACCAAAGTACAGACATTGCATGGTTTTTTAAGAAAAACAGGACATTCACAACAATAATATACGTATCAAGGCTATTTCTGTCATATTTATTCTAACACATTTCAACAAGATGAATGGTCCCACGTTGCCTCTCCTGGAACCAGCACTAGGCCAGCTGCCTCAGAGTCACCTTGAGAGCTTTGAGAAATAATTCTTCAGCCCTTCTACTAAATGATTAAATGATAACCACTGAGTATGGGATTCAAGATTCAAAGTATTCTTTAAAGTTTTCTAGGTTTGAACATATTCTGATGCCAAGCCAAGTTTGGGTGCCACCTTTGAGTGCCAAACTTGATGATATACACGTGTACATGTAGCCATGGATTTGACTTCCTAATTCTAGGTATTCCCTTCTCTCTTCTCTCTTCATATTAGGTAGCTGTGAAGGATTAACCTTTTCAACTGTATAGCTCCATAACATAGTACAACAAGTGGCATGTGACACTTACTTGATGCATCATTCAATGCACAAAGACTGAATTCTGCTGAATTTTATCCCAGCATTATTTGAGAACAAAACTCAGAGTAATTTAAGAAAAGACAGGGCAACTGAAAAATACAACTGAGACTGAATACATCTTCCATTGTTATTATCTAAACAACTGAATTTCTGCAGCTAGTCAAATTGATTTGCTGTAATGTTCTATTGAAATAAAAAGTAGATAAAAGGAAAATATTAGGATTAATGGAAAATTATGTACATCTTTGTATGTCAGAGAGAATAAGACTCAGATAATCTAAGAAAAAATTTGGTCTGTGAATGGAATCATTCAAAGTTACACTAAAGAAAAGTTAAATTCTTTAATTTCTGTGAAATCAAAAACCAGTTTACTATTTGAGCTACAGTGACTCTCATAAAATAAATTGAGCTGTATAATTTCACTTTAGAAACGGTGCTTTGGAGACAGATTTTCTTAAAATGTCCCATTTCTCTTTCTGATCCTTTTGACCATAAAAATGTTTTTGTATGCAAATAAATTCTAGTTGTAGTTCACTCAGTCTTTACTCTCTAACACTGGAACAACTCAATTAGGTTTCATAAATTGGTAAAAGAGGAATAGAATCAAATACACTCATACCTGATAAAATGTAAATATGCATTGGTTTTATTAATTAAAGCACCAATTTGTTAAATATCCTACTGTTCTTCTGTATATATGGCTTCTTTTTTTAGGTCACAGAGCAATTTTATCGCTTTTCTCCTTAGAGAACCTTGACATCTACCACTTCTCAAAGTTAAATCCATTTTCTCTTGGCTCACTGCAACCTCTGCCTCCCAGGTTCAACCACTTCTCCTGCCTCAGCCTCCCAAGTAGCTGAGATTACAGATGCCTGCCACCATGCCTGGCTAATTTTTGTATTTTTGGTAGAGACGGGGTTTCGCCATGTTGGCTAAGCTGGTCTCGAACTCTTGACCTCAAGTGATCAACCCGCCTCGGCCTCCCGAAGTGCTGGGATTATAGGCATGAGCCACTGTGCCCGGCCCATTTTCTCTTTTCTTAAAGAATATGTGTTAGATTTTGTAAAGTGCTGATTTTATTTACCAGATAGCACAAAATCCAGTACATGGTAGTACTTAACAAATGTTTTTGAATAAATTAATAGCTTAAGGTTTTCAACAAGCAGAGCTCGAAGAAAAAAAATGTTTAGTCAAAATGAAACAATTTTATTCTAGAACTCATTTCCCAAACACTGAAGCAAGAACACAGGAAAATTCCTTAGTACTCAACTAATGGTGAATGATATGACTCCCAAGATATACAGTAGTCTCTCCTTACAAAGCATCTTATTAATTACTAGATGAAAACTTATTAGAGGCCAATTACTAGACTATAACACAAGATTAAAATAGATCTACCCATAAATGGTAGACAGAAAATACTTCTTGATTTCTTCAGTTTGATTTCATCAGTGTGAGATTATAAAGATGACTCCAAATCCCTCCTTACATCCCCTTGTGTTATGTGTCATTGCAGAGCCTCCTATGAAAAGGTCAACTCTGTTTCTCACTCCTTGAGCTTGAGTTGGCTAAGTGGCCTCCCTTGTCCAGTGGGGCATTAGCCAGCCTGTCACAAACAGGGGACTCAAAAATGCTTGTATATTGGAGTCCACCCTCTCTTGCTGATCTTGGAAACCCTAAAACTACTACTATGTGGACAAGACTAGAGTGGCCAGATGGATGCTAAAAGACACTTAGAGAATTACTCTTATAACCCTAGCTATCATTGCAGTTGAGAGAAAGACAACTGGTACATTATTGGCCTATCAACTGTCATTTAAGTGCAGAACCATAAATGATTACAAACAAAGAACAGCCAACAAAAGCCAGCCCAAATTGCTGACACTCAAAGTTGTGAGCTAAATATCTTAAAACCATTAACTTTTGGAGCAATGTGTTAAGGCAGCAAAAACTAACTTATACAAGGAGATAAAATGAAATTCAAGATATTTTTTAACTTTCCCTTTTGATTTCTTCTTTGACCTAGTAGCTCTTCTGAAGTGTGTTGTTTAATTTTCCCATATTTGTCTCTTTTTTTTAGTTTTCCTCTTGTTATTCATAATTTTGTGGTCAGAAAATATTGACATGATTTCAATCTTCTTAAATTTGTTAAGACTTGTTTTGCAGCCTAACATATGATATAGCCTGGAGAATGTTTCCTGTGTACTTAGGAAGAATGTTTATTCTGCTACTATTGGGTGGAAGAGTCTGTATAGTTCCATTCTGTCTAAAGTGTAATTCAACTCCAGTGTTGCCATATTCATTTTCTGTCTGGATGGTCTATCTGCTATTGAAAGTGGTGTGTCAAAGTCCTCTACTATTATTGTGTTGCTGTGTATTTCTTCCTTCCCAGATCTGTTAATATTTGCTTTAGATATTTAGGTCCTCTGATGGTGGGTACATATATATTTACAATTGTTATATCCTCTTCATAGAGTTTTTATGGTACTTTTGTTGGAGATAATTTATTAGATTTAATATAATCAAAATTCCCCAACATGTTTTTTGTGTCATGTTTCAGAAATTCGTCAGTAACAAAATCCATAAAAGCATTATCTTATGTTATCCTACAAAACCTCTGTGTCTTTGACATTTAGACCCTTCATCCACCTAGAATTAATTTTTTTTACAATAGTCATGTTCTTTACTGATCAGTGTGTATATGCTATTCACTATGTTCTCTTATTACTCATTTTACAAGAGCCCGTTCAAACATTATCTACTTGGTGAATCCTTCCACCAAGTCACAGTTTACTAATTTATTCTTGATGCTTTCATACTAGGGTGTAATCCAACAATGATTTTTGAGAACAAATATGTTCTGGGTACTAGACTAAATTCTGGAGATACAAACAAGAGTAAGTTACAGCTTTTGCCTTCAGCATTTCATTGCTCTCTTCAAGGTTTTTTTCCTTTTCTCTTCTCCTCTTTTTTGGTGCCCTGGGCCCTCTGGGCACTCTGCTGAAGTCTATGAATTATCTTTTTATCTTTTTAAAATACTATTTTATATTTGTAATGACTAAATAAACAATACAACAAAGGAATCCCATGTATTAGAATAGTTGTCAAAGTGCTAAAAATTGTAATATCACAATACCTGAGTTTCTTAATAGTCACATGAATTAACAAGGTCTGGGGAAATAGAATAACTACTATAATTTTGGGGTACTAGTGAACTCAATATTTTTACATAATAGAAATAATCATAATATGGTATAAAATACCATATTTATTGGTGACAATGTCACAGTATTAGTATTGCTAATATTACTGTGGTAAGTTTCCTGCAATCATAACTGAAGGTAATGCTAAATTTTAGTTCAATATTAGTGAAACTAAAGATACCATTTTTTCCTATTCAAGTTTGTGATCTCTATATTCTGTGGCCTCAGGTTATGAACCCCTGGTATTCTGGAGCAATTTGAAACATTTGTTATTATCGGTTGCAGTAAAATATAACTTTGAGATCACATTATATCTATCTATCTATCTCTATATATATAGTATATTATCCTTCAATAACCAAATCTATAAATGTATTATGTTATCCTATAAAACCTCTATGCCTTTGACATTTAGAGCCTTCATCTACCTAGAATTGATTTTTTTAATAATAGTCATGTTCATACGTATCATTTAAACCATCAACAATTACCCTGCCTATATGTAGTACAGTCTGTTTTTCCATTTTATTCCACTTCACTTTAAAAAATTCAGATGGGATCCCCAAAACTTATTTCACAATTTACTAATGGATTATATGAAGCTTGAATAACACTGGTCTAGTGGAAATGTTATGGTTCATCCTTATGTTATTTTTTTTTAAAAAAGAGTTTCTTCTTCCGTTATATTGATTGTTTTTCACAAAACTCATAGAGTTTCCCCTTTTGTATAGTAATTATGAGTTTTCATCTTTGTTGCATTGAACCATAACATATTCATTGACTATTTCATTTTCAGGATTCCTTTAACTTAATGGCCTGGTAAAGATTGAGTCAAAGCCCGTAATATAGCATCCTCATCTCATGCTATCAGATCCACACAGAGCAGGCACATTAGCCAAGTTGTTAGCTGCCCAAATGTGATTTGGCTCAGGAAGTGTGCATTAGTCACACATTTCCCACAATCATCTACCACATGGAATAGAATCTTCATCTCTTTCAGAGTTGCTCCCTACTTTTAACCAACCCGAGAGACCAAGTATATCTAGTCTTTCTGGAGGACATTTGGATTCTCCCATGACCCCTTCATCCCACCAAAAAAATGAAGTCTTGTTTCATGGTCCTCATTAGGCTTTGAGCTCATTTGCCAAAGTGGGATTGTGTATATACTAAGATTTCTGAGTTTTAACTCATAGGTATCTTAGGAAAAGAGCTGCTCCAGAGTCATGAGGGTGAATTTAGTCTTTCAGCCCCCACAACCTTCCAATACTATTCTCATCTCTCTCCCCTGCTTAATGGTAGTCTTCTCTTTCTTCATGTAGTATCCTTCTTCACTATTTATGCTTCTTTTTTCCCTTATCTTGTCTTTCTAAAATTTACTCACACTAAGTTATCCCCTTTAAAATGGAAATACTCTTACTAAAAGAAACACAGCTGTGGAATTTCAAGCATAAGAAGGCAGTTGGAACATTTAGGAAGGCAGAAGGTGAGCTCATGAAGAGGTTTTGGACAGATTTGCATTACACATTGAAAACATAAATCTCAGGTTCCGTCACACATATTGAGAGCAAAAGTTACTTGTCAAGAGAAGCAAATAAATCTCACTGGCTTGGATATTATGTTACAGTTTTTCATAATTTAAATTAGAAATCTGTCTTTAATGCGAGGATTTGTTAGTTAAAAGAAAACAATATAGCCGGATATGGTGGCTCATGCCTGTAATCCCAGCATTTTGGGAGGCTGAGCGGGAAGATCACTTGAAGCAAGGAGTTTGAGGCCAGCCTGGCCAACATGGTGAAATCCTGTCTCTACTAAAAATACAAAGAAATTAGCTGGGCACAGTGACTCACGCCTATAATCCCGGCTACTCTGCAGGCTCAGGTGGGAGAATCGCTTGAACCTGGGAGGTGGAGGTTACAGTGAGCTAAGATGCCACCACATCACTCCAAAGTGAGACCTTGTCAAAAAAAAAAAAAAAAGAAAAGAAAGAAAACAAGGTGATTTTTTATTATTGAGTAGATTTACCTCTCTTGCCTGAAACTGGAAGGTTTTATAAGAACAAATACATTTTAAATATGCTAACTGGGAAGAACATTTTAGATGAGGGAAAATTTAAACTTTCAAAAACTTCAGCATAAAAATACAAAGACTTTCTTCTTTTGGGAAACTTATATTAAAGAAAAATTGCTAAGTAATCCAAAATTTTGTAAAATTAGGCTCTTGTTTGTATGTATGTATTAAAAGTTAATTTATTTAACATATATTTATAAAGTACCAACTAAGTATCAGGAATTTTTCTAAACACTAAAGATACAGCAGGGAACAAGACTGATATTTTACCAGCACTTGCTCTAGTTGGGTGACAGAGGAAATAAATGTATATATATATTTCAATGTATATATTTGAAATGGAAGATCAATTCCAGGTAGTAAGCAATACAGGAAAAAGTTATTTTAAGGATGGGAAAATATAGGTTCTCCAACAGACATAACCATATGAATGAAATTAAATAGTCGTGCCTTTAAAATAAATTTGTATTGATTTTCTCATGATTTCTAAAATAAGTTCATTGTAGAAAAGATGGAAATGTATCAAGAGTAAAAATGTCAATATCATGGCTAATCTTTACTGAGAATTGCAGCATATGCTTTTATTATAGTGTCTGATTTAATTTTCAGAAACATCCAGTGAAATCAATATATTTACTATCCTCATTTTGTACACAAGAAAACTGAGACATGGATGACATAACAAGGTCTACATATATTGAATGGCAGCTTTTGAAATAAAAACAAGGTCTATTTATTACATGTCTCTAAGCCCATACCATTACCATTACACTATTGTGGTAGGCCAGAAAATCACTCTCCAAATGTGTCTCTACCCTAGTCCATGGATCCTGTGAGTATTGTTATGTTATGTGAGTATGTTATGTTAATGGAGGAAGGGACTTTCCAGATGGAATTAAGGTTGCTAATCAGTGGCATTTAACAGGTTCATGGATTATCCAAGTGGATCCAATCTAATTTCCTCAAGGCCTAAAAAGCAGAGAAGTTTCTCCAGCTGGATTCAGTCAGAGAGATGCCATGGAATAAAAAGTCAGGAAAGGTGTAAATCATGAGACCTCACCCACTGTTGCTGGATGTGAAGATGAAAGTAGCCATGAGCCGGAAAGTGTGGCAGTCCTTAGAAGTTGAGAACAACCCTGGCTGACAGCCAGCAAGGAAACGGGGACCTGAGTCCTACAGCCACAAGAAGCTGAATTCTTTCAACAACCTAAATGAGCCTAAAGTAGATTCTTCTTCAGAGCCTTCATGTAAGAGCCCTAGCTGACTAGCACCTTGATTTTGGCATCATGGAACCCAGAGCAGAGAAACGAGCTGGGCCTCCTAGAGTTCTGACTATGGAACTGTGAGATAAATTTGTGTTGTTCTAAACTATTAACTTTGTGGTAATTTGTTATAGCAACAGTAGATAATAAATGTGCTACTCTACTTCTCCTTAAAGAAGCAAAAAAATCTCTAATCCTGCCACCAAGAGATAATTACTATAAGCATTTTAGTGCATATAGGTTTACCGCTTGTTGTCTATATATAGATATATTGTTATAAGTTTTAGATTATGCTGAACATATTATTTTTAACATCCTTTCTTTTAAACCCAACATTTCATGATGAAACTCTTCCCATGTTTTGAAAGTCTTCTAAAAGAATTTTAAATAGCTAATACTATTCCGCTGAAGAGTTATACCACAGTTTAATACCCTACTTTGAATATTTGTTTCCATTATTTTATTAATATTCACATAAGCTAGATGTCTAATAGGGCCTCTTGCCCGCTGAGGTTTAGATAGGTTTTCTTGAAGACACTATTTCCGTAGCCCAAAAGAACTGAAATCTCATGAAACACTTAGGCACTTGCAGCTCAAAAGTAGTATCCATCTTCTCATGCTATTTCTGGGACATATCACTCTTATTCTGATAAAAGAATTATTTTTAAGTTATCCAGAATAAATTTTCTGCCACTAAATCATTAATGACTAATTAAAACTTTATGAAAATATTTTGTATGTGAACCTATATAGACAATGGGGTCAATTTCCTTCTACATTTTCTTATCAGTTAACATGATTGACCTTTCCTTAACTGAAGTTGGAAGTCAAAGTTACTGATTAATTTTTTACTGTTTCTTAGCATTGCAATAAATATTCTTATACATACGTCTTTATACATGTTATTATTTCCTTAGGCTAAAAGGCTTTGATCTGGAATACCAAATCGAAAAGTATACACGTTTACAGCTTTTTATTCTTCTTCATAATAACCCAGTTCTTTTGACAAACGTATTGTTCAAATACAAATCAAATGCTAGAAACTTTATTGGAAATATATTTGCATTAAAAGTCAAAGGAAGGCTGGGCGTGGCGGCTCAAGCCTGTAATCCCAGCACTTTGGGAGGCCTAGGCGGGTGGATCATGAGGTCAGGAGATCGAGACCATCTTGGCCAACATGGTGAAGCCCCGTCTCTACTAAAATACAAAAAATTAGCCGAGCATGGTGGTGCATGCCTGTAGTCCCAGCTACTCAGGAGGCTGAGGCAGGAGAATCGCTTGAACTGGGGAGGTGGAGGTTGCAGTGAGCTGAGTTCGCGCCATTGCACTCCAGCCTGGCGACAGAGCAAGACTCTGTCTCAAAAACAAAACCAAACAAAACGAAAAGTCAAAAGAATATGTTTTTCTTTCATATCTGCAAATAGTTAAGTTTCTTGGTTTTGCCTTCATATTTTTCCTCAGATGTAAAATGATGGTCTTGGTTATAAAGGATCACATTATGTAATGCTTTAGAAAAGCAAGCTGAGGATTTTCTGGTATAAGCACTATATTATAACAACCATCTAGGATTAAATATATTTCTTTAAACAGTTGCCAATGTCATGTTGAGTCTGAATTATTCAGGGAGAAATTACAGATGTGCTTCTACTGAACCTCTTATCTTATTACAGCATATTTCCTTCACAAATATTTACTGTGCAGGAAATAGAAGGGTTGGGCCTATTAGAAAACTTTCTGCATTGCTCATTTCCCTAATTATTAATGAATATTGTTCTCCTAGCATCACAAATTCATTTCTGAACTCATAATTAAATGACTAATACATATAAGGTTCTGTATCCAGTAAAGGAAATAACCAAATAATTTTCTACATTTGATAGCTTTTGGGTTTATTAAAAGCACATGACCTCATTCTTTCTGATGCCAATATCAGGGTGCCTTAGAGAGAACTGTTGTGAAAAAAACTTGTCTTTTTTTTGTTGAAATTGATTTCAAATATGAAGCACCAAAATTTACCTTTCTTAAAAGAAACCTTGGTAACTAAAGCCAGTTTTTATTAATTGTAAAAGGAAATTTCTAATTTATTAAGAAAATTAATGGCTTGATAAGTACATGGAGAAATTTCTTACAAGCTAAGATTCAGTCATTTCTCTGCTCTCATAAACAGTTATAATAGCTAACTATTTCCACCATTTCCAAAGAATTGAGAATTTATTTGTTTCTTAATAGAGGATTATCTTCATTGGAATATTCTCACAGATGCAGTATTTTTTTTCTTACAGTGTTCTTATGGGAAAAAAATCTTACTTATGCTGGATGTGTTTTTAGGTGATGGAAATTCTAGGTGTTAAAAATCCTGGTGACTCTGTAATTATAATGCTTAAATTCCAAGTGAAATTGTGCATTTGGTTTGATTCTTGGATAAAACCAGAGCTTTACTCTCAGAGAATATGCTTCTTACTAATTTTGCATTTATGGATCCTGAGTAAGAGAAGCATGTTCTAAAATCATGGTTCTCCAGCTTTGGTAGGTATCAGAATCTCCTGGGAAGCTTGGTAAAAATAGAAAGGTCTGGGTCCTATCTGAACCCAGTGAATCCGTGGCTCCAATTCTCTTGTTGATTCTGTTATACACCAAGTTGGAAAACCACTTTTCTAAAATCCTATTTTAAAGTTTGTTCTTCCCCCCTTTAGTGTGTGTATGAAAAAACTGAGGACTTTAATAAAATACAGATTCTGACTCAGAGTGGAGCTGGGGTGAAGTCTTAACAATCTATACTGTTGGCAACTACCAAAGTCATACCTATGCTCTGATCCATAGTCCATATTTTGAGTAGCAAGGCAGAGTCCAAGGGAATGGCTTATATTACTTTTCATACAATATCTTCCTCAGGCCAGTATGAATAAGTTTCCCACTTCCAGCAGCACTTGCCTAGGAGATATCAAAACTGACTTTTGTATTTTATCACAGCTGGCTCTAAATAGCTTGATATTTTCCTGAACTTTGAGTGACCTGGATGCCAGATCTTTGCTGAACCTAATTGAAGACACTATTATGAAAAATGAACAATGAGACTATTTTAGCCAAGTGTACACAGACCTATGGACTCACTCTGTCCTCTCCAGAGTGCTAGTTTTCCATGCTTAGTATAATTATGAACTCCTTCTCTGCAGTATATAAAAACCTCTGACTTTTCCCCTTCAGCAAATAACTCTATTAATTGAATTTCCTCATTAGCATGTGTTTCCTTCCCTGACAAGTTAATAGTTTAGTCTTGGTTTGTTACTGTGGTTGTTATTGCTGTTGTTGTTATTGTTTTTGCTCTGGAAGGCTTTCTTTTATTATTTGACACCAGGTGTAAGACATAGTATTATCCAGAAAATCTCTGTTGGATCTTTTATGCCTTTCTCAATCATGTCTGCCTAGGGAACCCTACCCCATCATTAGCTATTTGTGGGTTCACTCAAGTCTCTGTGCCTCAGTTCCAGGTAAGGGAAAAACATCTTCCCTGAAGATTAGCTGCATCCAGGTAGACTGGCAGTTGAATTCATATTACATACTTGGTCAATGCATGACCAAGAACCTCTAAACTGAGAAATAAACTTTACATAGTTCTGTGTTTAATATCCTGGGCATTGGACAAAAGCAGAGGGAAATGGACCCACCATCAAATCAAAGTTACCAAATTATAAAAAAATAAACTCCCAAGAGCAAGAGCTAGCACGCACGTGCACACACACACACACACACACACACACACGAACAATTTGCCTTGTAAGTTTTTTGGTATTACATTTATTAGAATCAAAATACAAAATAAGCATACTTTAAATGTGTTTGGAAATGAAAGAAAACAAAAACTTGAACCAAAAAAAAGCAAGAAACAAAAATAACAGATGAACTAAATAGATTAAATATACAGGAAGAGAGAATTGATGTGGTAGATTGATTAAAAAATGAACTCAACTCTTCATCCCTCCCTATATTTAAACCCTCTGCAGTGTGACTTTGCAGAGCTCATTAAATTAGTGGAGTCTATTTTCCTAGTCTTAAAGTCTGGGCTTGCCTTTCGATTGGCTTTGACCAAGAGAATGTGGCAGAAGTGATAGCATGCAGGGCTGACATTCATTAGGCATGAATGTCACAATTCCTAAAATTTCTGGGGACCATAGTACTTTCAGAGGCCCATAAAAGTGTTTTAATATTAATTTATTTTAAAGTAGAAAAAATGCTAGATGTGGTGGCTCATGTCTATCATTCCGGCACTTTGGGAGACCGAGGTGGGATGATCATTTTAACCTACATGTTTGAAACCAGCCTAGGCAACATAGTGAGACTGGGACCTTATCTCCACAAAAAAAAGGTGTAAAAATTAGCCAGGCCCAGTGGCCCTTACCTGTAGACCCAGCTACTCAGGAGGCTGAGGTGGAAGGATGGCTTGAACCCAGAAGGTCAAGGCTGCAGTGAGCCAAGATCATGCCACTGCACTCCAGCCTGGGCAACAGAGTGAGACCCTATCTCCAAAAATAATAATAACAATTAATTAAGTAGGAGAAAAAAGATGAAGTTACAGTAATAAGTGTAGCTTGGATCATATTAATCTTTCTACCAATACCATTGTAAAACATGATTTTTATACTTTTTAATGAAGTGATGTTTGCAAAGGCAACATATGTAGGGTTCACAAAAATAATAATGAAACCTGATAGGAGCTTGAGACTTGGCCTCAATGGTCCTGCTCTATCACAGCCCCATAACCACCATGAGAATATGCCTAGGCTAGCCTGATGAGAGAGTACCCAGAGAAGAGCTGAGTCATCTTAGTTGAGACCCCAGACATTTTGGCTAAAACCAGCCAAAATCTGCAAAGCCAACCCACAGCTTCCTTCAGACACCTAAGTGAATCTAACTGAGATCACAAGGATCAGCCTGCTGACTTGGTTCATGAGCAATAGTAATACATACTCATTGTTTTAAGCTGCTGAGTTTCAGAATGGTTTGTTATGCAGCAGTGATAAACTGATACAATTAGTGAACTGAAAGAAGATTCCTGTAACGAAACCAAGAGACATAACGTGAAATTATAAAATTAAAAGCATGAAAGATAAGAATAAAATACTTTCAAATACATTTGTTTAGAATTCTCCGTGGCAGCTACAGAGAGATTATTTTCAAAATGACGATGACTAAGCTTTTTAGAATTGATAAAGAGTATATAAATTGTAGATTTAGTAAGGACAATAAATCCCAAATAGTGAAATAAGAAGAATCCATATTACAAACATTATAGTGGAAAGTAAAACATCGAAAACAAAATGTATTTAAAACAGAAAGAGAGTAAACATTACTAAGTGCAGACAGCGTCACAAATGTATGTCAGGTAATAGAAAGCTTTTTATAGGCACTGTCGAGGTGCAAAGCCATGCAAATTCTACTTAACCCATCTACTCTTCCCTGATCATCTAACCTGTGAAGGTTTTATCTCTCTTCTGATTTTTGAAGACTCCATGTGGGAATCTCTTATGTTGTACGTATCTCATAATTCTTAGTATCATCATTATTTCTGCACAAGTCTAAACTTTTTTCTTTGACTAGAGATTTCTTAAGACATGCAAGTAGCTGACAGATTATGAAAAAATGCTCATCACTAACCATCAGATAAATGCAAATTAAATCACAATGAGATATCACCTCACACGTGTTAGAATGGCTACTATCAAAAAGATGAAAGATAAGTATTGGTGAGGATGTGGAGAAAAGGAAACCTTGGACACTGTTGGTGGGAATGTAAATTAGTTCAGCCATTTTTGAAAACAGTATGGAGGTTTCTCAAAACACTAAAAATATTAATAGCATTACCATATGATCCAGCAATCATTGGGTATATATCCAAAGTACTTAAAATCAGTATGTTAAAGAGATACCTGTATTCCTAAATTCATTGCAACACTATTCACAATAGCAAGACATAGAAACAACCTAAGTACCCATCAATGAATGAATGGATTTTAAAAATGCGGTATAGGTAAATGATAGAATACTATCTGGCTTTAAAAAAATGAAATTCTGCAGGAGGCTGAGGCAGAAGAATTGCTTGAACCTGGGAGGCAGAGGTTGCGGTGAGCTGAGATCGCGCCATTGCACTCCAGCCTGGGCAACAAGAGAAAAACTCCATCTAAAAAAAAAAAAAAAAATTGAAATTCTGTCATTTGTAACAACATGGATAAATCTAGAGAACATTATGCTAAGTGAAATAAGCCAGGCACAGAAAGACAAATACAGCATAATCTCACTTATATGTGGAATCTTAAAAAAGTCAAATTCAAAGAAGTAGAAGGTGGAATGGTGGTTACCAGAAGCAGAGGAGGCGGCAGGAAATGGGTAGGAAAAGGGAAAATGTTCGTCAAATGGTACAAAGTTTCAGTTAGACAGTGGGAATAAGTTCTGGTAATTTATTGCACAGCACAGTTAATATAGTTAATAATAATCATGTATTGTACATTTCACAATTGCTGAAAGAGTGGATTCTAAGTATTCTTACCCCTAAGAAATGATAAATATGTGAGGTGATAGATAGGTTAATTAGACTAATTTCATCACTCCACAGTGTACACGACTCAAAACATCACATTGTACTCCATACATATCTACAATTATTATTTGCCAATTGAAAATAAAATGAAATTTGAAAACTTTTTTATTTTTTGTTTTTTTGATTGCAGTTCTTTTTCCTCGTTTTATTGTGAAAAATTTCAACTCTTCAAATACACAGAAGAGTTGAAAGAACAATACGATGAATACTTGTATACCCAGCACCTAGATTCAATTGTTAACATGAAAACTTTTTTAATAAGGGAAATTACCTCTTTTAATTCAAAAGCATCTTATAAAATAGTAGTAATACCAATACATTGTTATTTGCTGTTGGATAGTCTTATCAAAATATTGTTTTCATATTTTCCCACATTATTTAGTCAAAACATTAAAATATGTGATTGCTGGTAGCTCGCTGTTTTACTAACTCTGTATATTTTCACATTAAAACATTACATTCTAGTTAATAGCAGTACATCAACATAGAAAGTGACTAAAGTAAGCAACAGGGCATGTCTACAAGAAGAGTGATTGTTAAGAATGCTTTTCAAAATCTCATTATGTAAGGTTCAATACATGTTTAATATAATTGTAATTCTTGATGCAGATATGATTTGATCTACAGACACATGCTTTCTCTCTATCTTGCTAACATTTACTTTGCAATATTGGATAGATAAGTATTCACTTCCTACATTATTAAGCACATGTAAATGCTATTCACAGCTGTGCCCAGTAGTACATAGTGATTACCTCTTTTTTCCTGCATATTTGCTTTTTCTCTAGTGATTACAGTTGTCGTAATTTTTTACTTACTGAAATTTCTTTGTACATTTTTTAACAATTCAGACCCAAGTTTTCTCCAAAGTTTGTAAATACCTCATCAATACATTTCAGCACATTAATTATTTTATCAATGTGATTATTTTGAAACAATCTCTCCTGAACCCCCTGACTTTGCATATCTTGGCTGATTGGCCTTTTTTGTGTGTGACTAAATGATCCTCTAGGGCAAGGATTGTATTTTTATGTCTTTAAAGTTCTCACTGCCAGCATAGTGACTTGCATATTGTCAGCTTTCAGTAAACTACTCAACAAATGATGCCACTACTGCAAGAGGAAAGCAAATGGAGAAGCTATGGGACTGAACCACTTACTCCAGAACATTCTAGTCAACTGACTACAGAAAGCTTTTATTACCTCTGGCCTGTAGTAATAGGACAGCCTAGATCTGTGATTTTTGCCTCTTGAATCTGTGCAAACAACTGGCAGTTCCACTCATTTAATTGACCTGTTACTTGGGTATAACATAGCTACTGTGCACTACATACTTGTTTGAATTGGCAACTAGAAAATCATTCAATATCCTTCTTAGTCTATGAGTCTTCTATTTTACATAAATAGTTAATGAAAAAAACCACATAAGTACCATTTTATTATCATGACCTGCAGAACACATTTCAATATCTCTGAAAGTAACCAATGCAGGAAGGCTTTGATCTTCCAAAATCAAGGGAGAGAATCTTGTTTCTTTCAACATAATTGGAAACCACACCACAAGTCAAATGTACTAATACCTGAGAAACGCAATTATATGATTATTTTACAAATTTTATGTTTGTTTCTTTCATCCTAACCATGGAAAATGGCATGTTTATAATATAAGTAGTACAATGGAAAAGCAAAGAGCAGATAGAATCTAAAATATGGAGACCCAACCCTAAGACCTAGTTATGAAAGCCTGGCAGACTTCTCAGAGTCTCTATTATTTCATATAAAAAATAACAATAATACTAACTTTAACTTCCAGGATTTCTTTGACCATATGAAAAGACAAAGAGTATTATAAAAATTTGTAAATCTTGGGGCACATTGAAAACAAAATACACTTTCATCAGGTATTTTAGATAGAACCATGGTATAAACATTTACAACGTATATGAGAAAACAATAAAAGATCATAGACAATGAAATACTGTAAAGTGTCAGGGAACAGGCATGGTTTAAAAGCATGAGATCTATAGACAATCTACCTGGGTTCAAATCCCAGCTCTAATATATACTGGCTGAGTGATTATAGATAATTTGCATATCCTTACCTTTATCCATTTTTCTGTAAATTTGAAATATTAATAGTATCCATCCCACAAGGTTGTAAGTCAAATGAGTGTGTAAAGCATGTAGCTTGATGCCTAGTGTATGAATATGATGCCACATCTTTTTAAATTATAATTTCATAAATTAAGCATAACCTTGAAATGGATTACATTTTTAGCTAATCTAGAATGGAAACTATACTACTTGTTATGTTATTTCCTCTTTGTTTGTAATCATACAGTAAAGATTAGACATTTTTAATTATTATTGCTCAACAATAGTATTAGAGTTCAATTTACCTTAATCCTTCTTTATAAATCTAGAATATTCTGTGGCACTATTTTGTAGTTGTAAGGAAATATGCAGTTATTTTATTAAAACCACTGATGTCACATTATAACATCAGAATTTTAAGCCAAAATTAAACTTTAGGGAAGATTTAATCTAAAAACCTCAATTTTCAGATGGAAAACTGAAGCACAGAGAGTCCATTTACTTGATTTACTTGATTAAGACCACTTGTTAGTGGCAGAGTTTACAGTAGAATCCAGGGCCTTTGACACAGATTGCTGCTTTCTGGATACCTTCAGTTATCTCCAAAGGTGTACCAGAAACAAATGATTTTCCAAATTGTTAGAATTACTAGTATACATAGCTGCCTTAGCATGGGCCTTTTGTGTACATTCTTCTCAATGAACTTATTCACTAGAATATAAAAGAATGTTTCAAATAAGTATACATATACATATACATACATGCCTACGCATACACAAAGTTATGTATTATATGTGTGCATACTGGAAGATAGGCACATTTTTCAACAGTTATCTGTAGTCACTTACTGGAAGTAGAGATGCCTTGAGAAATTGAAACAATAACTCATAATGTATTTTCAATTAGCTGATGCAACTTCTTTTCATGTTGAAGCTTGAAATACTAGCTAAATCCACTTACACTTGCTTAAGTTTTGAAGTATGACAATCCCCATCTGAAATGAGGATACAGAATAACTGGCTTTGTATTTACTCTACAATCTATTGTTTCCTTCAAGGAGGTCTTTTTAGCATCACTCCCATAAAAAATAGTAAAATTAAACAGAAAAAAGAGAGGCAATTGAAATACAATAACCTGTAAATAGCTTCAACAGCTTCTCAGAAATGAGTAATTTCTATCTGGGAAAAAGGATCCATAAAAACTCAAAGCAGGGCGGGCACAGTGGCTCCTGCCTGTAATCCCAGCACTTGGGGAGGCCCAGGCAGGCAGATCACTTGAGGTCAGCAGTTCGAGACCAGCCAGGCCAACATGGTGAAACCCTGTCTCTACTAAAAATACAAAAATTAGCCAGGCATGGTGGCGCACGCCTGTAATCTCAGCTACTCGGGAGGCTAAGGCAGGAATATCGCTTGAATCTCAGAGGTGGAGGTTGCAGGGAGCAGAGATCATGCCACTGCACTCTAGCTTGGGCAACAGAGTGTGACCCTGAAAAAAGAAAAAAAAAGAAAAGAAAGAAAGAAAGAGAAAAAAACTCAAAGCATTTCTGTATAAATCATGAGTTTCCCTGTGTGATTCGAAAGATGGCAGGTTTATCCACACATAGGATATAATGAACCAGGACAATCGCCCCAGCACAGTCTTGGGGGGACCTCATGCATGCTACTGCTGCTAAGGTAGATGAGTAGAGACTGAGTAAACCAACCACTGAGGAGAATAACGTCTCAACTAGCTCATTCTGCCATCAAGGAAGCTTCTTGGTGTTTGCTTTAATCTGATTTTACATGGATCCCATGCTGTGGCAACTTGAAGGCAGAGAAAAACAAGATAATCTGTCCTGAGCTCTGTGTGTCCCAATGGCATTTTTTAAATCTTTGAAATCCCGTTTTAAAAGTGCTGAAAAGTAGAGTTCACTGATAAGAAATGAATGTGATGTTGTATCTTTTCTAACTATAATTTTATAAATTAGCATAACCTTGAACTGGGATTAAATTTTAAACAAATCTAGAGCAGGAATTATCCTACTTTTTAATCTTCTTTCCTGACTCATTGTCTTGCCCATGAGGACCCTCAGTAAACTGGAACACAACCTCAACCCAGTGCTTTTTCTACTCAGCATGGACTGCCTCCTGAATTCATTCATGTATGCTCTCTCCTAAGCCGTCATGCACATTGTCCTTTATGCCTTCAACATATTATTCTTTTTGTCATAAATCTGGCTTGAGTGCAGCTAACAAGCAAAGCATTCAGTCTCTTCATGGCTGTGGCTCTGTTTAAGAAAGTATATATCTTTATTTTCAATATATAGTTAGTTGTTGGGGTTTTTTTTTAATAGAAGTTCCTTTACTTAGCCTATTTCTCAAAGGATAATTTTACACCTGTTGGAAGAAAACCAAGAATACAAAGGCCCTATGTTTTTTATTTATTATACTTTATATTATAGAGAATTTTAAGCATATACAAAAGGAGACAGAATTCTGTAACTCAATCATGTACCCTCATTCAACCTTAGCAATTATGAATTCAAGATAAATCTTGACGCATCTATTGTATATTCCTTACTTACTCACCCTCTTGCCATTATTGTGAAGCAAAATATTATGATGTATTTCAAAATTGTTTGTTTGTTTGTTTGTTTTCTGAAACAAGGTCTCTCTCTGTCACCCAGACTGGAGTGCAGTGATACAATCATAGCTCACTGTAATCTCAAATTCCTGGACTCAAGCAAGCGTCCTACCTTCCTCCTGAGTAGCTATGACTACAGGCACACACCACCATGCCCAACTAATTTTTTATTTCTTTATAGAGACAGGGTTTTGCTATGTTGCCCAGGCTGGTCTTGAAATCCTGGCCTGAAGTGATTCTCCCAAAATGGCTTCCCAAACCACTGGGATTACAGGTATGAGCTACCAAGCCTGGCATAAAGATACTTTTAAAACATACGTAACCTTAATATTATCATTAGATATTTACTATTTTTAATAGTAATATTAAAATTATTTAAATAAGAGTTTCTTAATAATATCAAATATCCAGTCAATGAAAACCTCTACTTCTAGCTACAACAAAGTAGCTTGTAACAGAACAAGACAGATCCAAGAACTGGAAAAGATGAATGAGACACAACTCTGATGCTTGAAGATGTTTTTGAGGCAGGAAGGATTTGAAATGTCAAGATCCTAGGGGGAAGGAAGCTTGAAACTCTTTACGTTGTTATTTCTTTTGCAGCACTTGCCAGTTCCTCAGCCTCAAAAGTGAGAGGTTGAGAAGCTAGGGAGTGTGCCCCTATTAAGAGGCAAAAAGCCAGTACACACTGGCATCTGGAGAGAGAAGAGCTGGAGTTTAGCCTGGCTAAGACAAGCAGGGCTTGAGAATCTAAAATCCCTGACTAAAGAGAGTCACAAGAAAATGACCCCAACACTCTGCTGATTTTCCGCTTGAGGTAATTGCCACATCTTTAGATGTGTAGTAAAAAAAGAAGGCAAAACAAAACAAGAGCTCAAACAAAAAGCAGCTAAAAGCAGAGCTTTCAATGCTTGGGAGTCAAAAAAGCTGGAGTCCAGGGCTTTATCAGACCCTGATAAACAACCTAGGCTCTCAATCAGAACCTCAGAGGGTTACACTGTAACGGGGGATAAATCACAGGTAAACTGATTAGATTAGGGTGATCTGTCTGTATTTAGCCAGAGCATAGGGTATCTCTTCTCTAAAGAAAGAGTATCTATAATTCTTCATGCACAATATCAAGCAGTCAATTAGAAATTACCAGGCATGCCAAGAAATGACAAAAAACAAAAAAGAAAAAGGATCACAGGTGGTTTAAATATTGGTGTTACTAAAAACAGTCTTTTAAAATAATCATGATCAATATGTTCATGGATATATACAACAAAAATGAAAATTTAATCAGAGAACTGAAATCTGTTTCCTCAGAAAAAGAATTGTATATTCCCAAATTGATAAATGCAATAATTAAAATTAACATCCAGTTGTATTCAGATTTATTTGTCTTAAAAATGTTTTATATTTTGGAGGTTTTAAAAAATAATTTTAAATGTGATTTAAATAAAGTCATATATTTTGCTCGGTTGATATATCTACCAAGTGTCTCTTAAACTACAGGTTTAAAACTGCCTCACCACAAAACAGTAAGTATGTGAGGTGATGCTTGTGTTAATTAGCTTGATTGAGCCATTCCACAAAACATCATGTTGTACAACATCAATATATACAATTTTTACTTGTTAATTAAAAAACTATAATTAAAAAATAGAAGAATGTGGATTTCAACCTATAGTTTTCTTTTCATTTCTTTGCTTTTTCTTTACAGAGTTTCCTTATAAAGCCAGGTTATTTGTCCTGTACTTTCTACACTTTGAATTTTACTGCCTGTTTTCCTACAGTGTACTGAGCATATCCCTCCATTCATATTGCTTATTGTGTATTTGTAGTTAGATATGGATGCTTCACGAGATTCAGGTTCAGTTTCCTTGGCGAGTCCTTTACAGGCTGTGACATGTGCTCCCACCAGGAGGTCAATAAGGAGGAATAATCTTTTATTTCATGACGTTAGCAGCCGTCAGTGACTATTGCCTAGATCCATTATTCCATTAGGAGTCGCAAAGGGGTGATATTCTAATTTTATCATTGCTTCATCATTTATTAACTGAAATGCGTCTATAATTCCTCTCGCCACTATTTGGCCACCACTCCAAGAGATAGTTCACATAGAAAAGACAGAATAAAATTGTGATTCTTTTATTTACAGGTTTTCAAAATATAATAGTTGGTTCACTAGCATCCTACAACAGTAATGGCTTATATTTTTAAGTATCACTATGGATTAATGGATTAAAAAATCTTTGTATCTAACCTATTTATTTATAACCCATTTCGATGCTCAGAATTAATGAATTATTGGAAGCCTATTTATGTTGGCTCCTGAGCCCTTTTGACAGAGTCTTAGCTGTCTTTGATAGCTTCCCTGGCCACATGTTTTTAGCCTGAATCATTTTTTAGGAAATAGAGGCATTATTAGAATATATGGATGTAAGTATTTCTGTGTATATACATACATACATATTTGTATATATCTAATGGAAACATCATCTAGGTATGTCACAGTTGCCAACTGAAAACAAATGAAGAAAAACCTAAAATTAAAGAATAGATTATATCCCTCTACTTATACACAAGGCCATTGAGGAGAGACTCTCCATCAACTACCTGTCCTTTCCTCTACCTACCATATATTTTATGGCATAGCTATATCTACAATAGAACAAGCAGGAAAAGAGCCCACATTATTTCTTCTTTGAGGATAAAGAATAAACTGTCTTAAAATGTAGTGAAAAAACTATGTTTAAACCTTTGCATCATGTGGTCGAGTTTTAGTTCACATAAAAAAAATTATGTGGGTATAGGGAAGTAGGAAGACTGGAAAGAAAGCAGAATTTCTGAAGTAGATTATAGCCTTGTCTCTTAAGGAAAAAAAAAGGTTGATTTCTTGGGTGCTTAAGGTTGGTGTGGAAATGAACCCTCTGAAAAGAGATGAGAAATTGGATGATTTTCAGGCATACAGTTCTGTCAAAACTTCTAATTTCCTATGATCAGTTCAACAGGAATAAAATCATTGTAATTTCTTATTGTTTTTCATGTTAACCCTGGATAATTGGCATCCTATTGTTTGTACAGGACAAAATATTACAGGAGGAACATCATGTGACTTGGGTACCTCTAGATTCTCGTGGGAACATGAAGATTCTTAGCAAGAGGGGGAAAATATACAAACAGCATAACCACAAGCTCACTAATGGGCATTCTCTGCTTAAAAGTGGGAATTGAGGGAACTTTACATGCTTGATTTATTTTTTCAAAAACATTTATTTTTCAAAAGTAAAGCAGGGAAACTGGAATATTTATTACAATTCTTGTTTTTGTTTTTGTTTTCTTGCCTTGAGATATGAGGCTGTACCGTTCACAGCAAAGTGTAATTAAAGCTATGTGCTTTGTAATCTGTTCTGGTGTAGTTTTGTATATTCATCTTGCTCAGGTAGACTTTCTCAATTATTTGTGGTTGTGAGGGTTACTGATAGTACATTTATTAAGTATTGTATTCGTTTCCTCTTGCTGCTATGAAAGATTACCACAAATTCAGTGGCTTAAAACAACTCGTTTGTTATCTTACAGTTCTAAAGGTAAGAAATCCACAGTGCATCTCACTGGGCTAAAATCAAGGTGTTAGCAGAATTGCATTCCTTCTGGAGGTTCTAAGAGAGAATCAAATTCTTGCCTTTTCCAACTTCTAGATGCTACCTGAGCTCCATGGCTCATGGTCCTGCCTCACTGCAACTTCTGCTTCCCTAGCAATATTTCTTTCCCTGTGACGTATTTCAGGTTCCAGGGACCAGGATGTGGACGTCTTTGGCACGGGGTCATTATTCTGCCTATCAAAAAAATACTTAATATGTACTGAGCACTCTTCTAAATTATTTTATTAATTTAGCTAATCTGCCAACCACAGATTAGGTAGTAAAGTACATAGTATTATATTTTCCATTGTAAAGATGAGGAAACTGAGTTACAAAAGGTTAGAATTCTAGAAAGCGGTGAAGCTGATACATATACCTACCAGGCTCAAGTAGCCAATCTTTAGCCTTATACCATACTGCCTCTTTGAAAATAAAAATAGCATGGAAAATTAGAAGACAAAGATGTACCCAAACCTCATTTTAATCAATAATGTCATACATTCCAAGTATAGCTTTTGCAAGACCGAAGATTGGAAGTGGCATTTGCTGTTTTGATTCTCAATTATTCAGCAATTAGTTACTGATTGCCAAGAATTGGGATAAATGTTGAGAATTCACAAAGTCCCTGCCTTTAAGGATCTGCTTAGAAAAATAAAATGAAAACATTTAAAAACCACTAGAAAACATTACAAAAGTATATGCACTCAAATGCTAAGTGGAATAACACTTTATTTTTTTAGTGGAGTTCAAGAGACAAATCCAGGCACCGTCAGTGCTTAAATGTAAGTTCTCCAAAAAAAGCAAAATAGGAGAATCAGCCAGGTGCATGGGCAAACTATAGACTGCATTTCTATGTGTTGGTAGCTGTTATGTTTATTCATTCTTAACCTTCATTACAATGGGAGTTATTTCATAGTCAAATTACAGTAGTCCCCCCATCCTCGGGTAGATCTTCTGAGACAGCAGATAATACTAAACCCAATGGCTGTCAATCAGAACACATTTCTGTTCATTTTCCACCTACCACTTTAATGCCTTTTCCATCTTAACTAAGCACGTATCATGCACTGTGGCTGTAATTTTTGTATTTTGTTGCGTGACAGCAACTCTGGTACAAATTACTTTTTCGCTCTTTGCAATTTCATGGACAGAAAATTTCTTCCTACCATAGATCTTAGCAACCTCAAAATAAATGTTTTCCCCTCTCCTTATTAAGTCCAAAACTATCACCTTTTCACTTAATGGAAGCACTTTCTCTTTGGTATACCTGAAACACCATCATCACTACTCTGCACTTTGGGGTTATTATTAAGTAAAATTAGGGTTACTTGAACACAAGCACTGTGATACCGTAACAGTCAATCTGATCACTCATATGGCTACCAAGTGATTCATGGGCAAGGAGTATTTACAGCCTGGAGATGCTGTACAAATGGATGGACATGCACCAGGATGATGAGAGATTTCATCGCAGTATTCCAAATGACGTGTATCTTAAAATTTATAAGTTGTTTACTTATGAAATTTTAAATGTAATAGTTTTAGATTGTGGTTGACTGTGAGTAACCGAAACCATGGAAAGTGAAACCACAAATAAAAGAGCACTACCATAGGGATTTTTGCTAAAATTAAAGGGGTACAAGTGCAATTTTGTTATGTGCATATATTGCTAAGTGGTGAAATCTTGGCTTTTAATGTATTTATCATCCAACTAATGTAAATTGTACCTGTTAAGTAATTTCTCATCATCTTCCCTGCTTCTGCCCACCCACCCCTCTGAGTCCCTAGTGTCTAACATTGCACACTCTTTGTCCATGTGTACACATTATTTAGCTCCCCTCTATAAGTGAGAACATGTAGTACTTGACTCCATTTCTGAGTTATTTCACTTAAGATGATGGCCTCCGGTTCCATCCATGTTGCTGCAAAATACATGATTTCATTCTTTTTTATGGCTGAATAGTATTCCATGGTGGATTGATCTATCTATCTATCTATCTGTCTATCTATCTATCTATCACATTTTCTTTATCCATTCTTCCACTGACGGGCATTTAGTTTGTTTCCATATCTTTGCTATTGTGCATATTGCTGCTATAAGCATACGAGTGCAGGTATATTTTTGATATAATGATTTATTTTCCTTTGGATGGATACCCAGTAGTGGGATTGCCAGGTTGAGTGGTAGTTATGTTTTTAGTTCTTTGGACATCTCCATACTGTTTTCCAAGGAGGCTGCACTAATTTACATTCTCATCAATAGTGTAGGAGTGTTCCCTTTTCTCAACATCCTTGCCAATATCTGTTTTTTGACCTCTTAATAATTGCCATTCTGACTGGTGTAAGATGATATCTCATTGCGATTTTAATTTGCACTTCTCTGATGGTCAGTGATATGGTTTGAATGTTTGTCCTCTCCAAATCTCATGTTTAAATGTGATCTCCAGTATCGAGGGTGGGCCTGGTGGATGAACAACTTGGTGCTTTCCTCATGGTAATGAGTGAGTTCTCTCTCATGGTTCACTCAAGAGCTGCTTATTTAAAGGAGCCTGGTGCCTCTTCCTCTCTTTCTTGCTCCCTCTCTTGACTTGTGACTCACTAGCTCCCCCTTCACCTTCTGCCATGAGTGGAAGATTCCTGAGGTCTCACCAGAAGCCAAGCAGACACTAGTGCCATGCTTATACAGCCTACAGTACCATGAGACAAGTAAAATTTTTGTCTTTATAAATTATTCAGTCTTACGAATTTCTTTATAGTAATGTGAAATGGACTAACACAATTAGTGATATTGAGCATGTTTTTATATATTTTTTGACCATTTATATGTTTTATTTTGAAAAATATCTGTTCATGTACTTTGCCCACTTTTTAATGGGCTTATTTGTGTCCTTTGTGTTGAGTTATTTGAGTTTCTTATAAATTCTGAATACCAGTCCCCTGGCAGATGCATAATTTGCAAATATTTTCTCCTATTCTGCAGGTTGTCTGTAGTTTTATTGATAGTGAATACATGACAGAAATGCCTTAGTTTGGGTAACTTGGCCAGTCATCTTTCTTTCCCATGGGTGGAGAAGGAAAGTATTTGAAGCACTCTTTGATTACTTTGACTGCTTCCAGATCTCATTATTTTCAAATAAACTGCTTTCCATAATAGAATAATAGATTCATGTTATCATCATTCATCAGAAAGGATTCATGGGGACAAAGAATATTGTATCACCTCATTGAAGACCCAATATTCAAGTCATTGACAACATGAGTTTTATAGTCTACAAGTGAATGGTAAAGGAACAAATGGTAGATTATGTTTTTGGGAGCTGTTATGGAGGAGTAGAGACTGGAGAGATTTAGATAACACTTTTGTTAATTGATCTTATCTTACAAGAGCTGAAATAATGAAAATAAGGGATAATTTGTCCTGAAGTACTCAGAAATGAATTCTGTTAAACTAGGCTTAAAAGCAGATGATAGAACCTGTTCATCTACATGCCCTGAAGTAATTAGATATTCTCCATTATCATTTCTAATATTCAATGTGACTAATGAGGCTATTAATCATGCAATTGCATTTTGGGTTTTCTTTTTGCTTTCTTTTCGGGAGGGTGTTCTTTAATTATGCAATTAACTACCTTTCATTCAATTTTATTTCAATCTATTCTTTCTGGCCTCCAGCTAAATAGCTAAATAGTGGTGAGTGACCCTGAGCTATGCCACATGGAGAAGATTCGCTTAACCAATGCCTGCCTGAATTCCTGACCCACAACATCATGAAATATAATAAAATGATTGTTGCTATAAATCCCTAAAATTTGGCATAATACATGGTAGATCAAAACAACAGACTACCAGAACACCGGGTCTAATACTTTTCAATGCACAGGATTCTGAATACCTCCTTAATCTCTGCTGGCTAACAAAAATGATCTGTTACGGTACAAGCTAATTGCTGGAAAGAAATCACAAATTTCACTGATTTAACACAATATTTATTTCTCCTTTACATATCAGTCAAATGAAGTTCTGAAAAAGTATCTCTGCTACACAGTCTGTTAGGCACTATAGGCTCTTTTCATCTAGTGGTTCTTCAATGTGCTAGTGCTTGAAATTCTTCATTAGATCTTCTGCATTTGGGCAGCAGGCCAAGAAACAGAGGAAGGGTAGCAGATAGTGCAGAAGGTTTGACACTTAAGCCTTTGAGTGGCTTACATCACTTTTGACTCCTTTCCATTGACCAGAATATAGTCATAGGCTGCACCGACCTGTGAGAAATTGGAAAAATGTGGTCTAGCTCTTTGTCCCCGATGAAAAGGAAACAGGGTTTTATGAAGATATAACAGACTCTGCCACATATGGCTGTATTAGCATGAAATGGCATTGTCTCCTGATCTGTGAATTTTGCCACTGTGTGAGCAAGCCAGATGCAGAGCAGAGTACTTTTTTGTGTGTATAAAGAAAGACTACTACACTCACAAATGCCCTGCTCCTTAAGCACTTCCTTGATCCCTCACTACGAATCCAAGAGTTACAGTCATTACAATTGTTTCCTCTCCACTGTGCTACCTACTTAGATGTAAAGTCTTCAAAAGGGAGAAAAAGAAAAGAGCCATGTAGTTTGGGATATGATGGGAGAATAAGGCAGGACTCTGGCCAGCTCAGAAGTCAGCTGCTTGAGTTTCTATCAGTGGTCAAAGACTGTACTTAAGCCAAAGCCACTTCAT
The DNA here is from genome assembly GCF_000001405.40 of Homo sapiens. Lineage (NCBI taxonomy): Eukaryota > Metazoa > Chordata > Mammalia > Primates > Hominidae > Homo > Homo sapiens. The sequence continues at coordinate 40,220,994 of NC_000005.10, forward strand.
GTTATCTTTCAGCTCTTTTGTTTCCCTGATTTGGCTACTCTGTCAAGCCCATCAAAGCTGTGATCCTCAAATCCCTATGAGTTACATTTATGGTTTTCTCTTTAGCCTTCAATATTGCTGTCAACCTTGGTGCGTGTATGTGTGTGTGTGCATGCATGTGTCTTTATAGGTCTTTAATTAGAAGTTGAGAGAATTATTATACATAACTGGGCTGCCACTGTAAGTGAAAATTTTCCTCAAAGTTGTCCTCTTTGAAGTTTAATTTGTTGTTGTTTATTGTTTTGTTTGTTTATTGTTACTTCCAGTATGGCTTTGAGTTCAGTGTAAACAATAAGCAACTACATCATAGAATTCAACGTTAGTGTTTCAGGAAGAACAAAATCAAAAGACAAGTTTCAGAGCAGAGCAAACACCTCAGACATCACTATTTGAGGCTGGTACTATTTACCACAAAGTTTCATTGCAGCCTTAAAGTCCTCAACCCATCCGTTTGGGTAGCCACTACCAATCAGTGTGGACATGTGATACTGTGTGATGCTACTGAGCCAAAATGACCTTATTTTGCTCAAATGGTTTGCCCCATTAACAAGTATTTATTAAGCATCTACTATGTGGCAAGCAGTTTGGCCTTTGCTGGAGATAAATGGTAAAGAAGAGCATACTCCATACCACCAAGGAGCACATGGCCTTTTGGTGAAGACAAATAACTAAAATTACACACAACGTAAGCCCGGGATGCCATGGAAGCACCTGGACCAAGCATCCAACATAGTCCTGAGGATCAGGAATGGCTTCTGGGAGGAAACAGAGATTTCATGGATAGAGGGAATTAATCAAGTGAAGTGGAGAAGCAGAGTCTTCCAGGTATTCCTTAAACCCCATCTCAGCATTTATCCCACTGTTCAGCCATGTTTCTGGGAAATTCTCTCTCTCTCGGGGACTCCTGAGCCTAATTCCTCAGGCATGACATGGATGTGAGCGACATTATTATATCACGGTGAATCACTTGTCTTTGGTTGTGGTGTTGAAATTGCAAAGGGATGACATAACCTGGCTGTGGTTCTTATTTGGGAAACCTACAAAAAGAATTTTTGCTCTTCTTTTTTCTTTTTATAGAACTCTGCCCTCCATTTTCTCCCTTGGTGAGGCATTCTGGGAAAAGTTCTTCGGTCACAGCAGACTTTCCTGAACTACTGTAGAACTACTGTCTCATAGAAGCCACCTCTACCCACCAAAGTTGGCTTTTATTTTTGACTTCACAACAAAGAGTCTAGGAGACCACAAATCATAAAACCAAATTTTTTTTATCTTATCCTCATTAGTATAAAGCATGATTTTGTTATCATTTGGGAAGAGATTTTTTTTTTTTTTTTTTTTTTTTTGAGATGGAGTCTTGCTCTGTCACCAGGCTGGAATGCAGCCGCGCGATCTCCGCTCACTGCAACCTCTGCCTCCCGGGTTCAAGCGATTCTCCTGCCTCAGCCTCCCGAGTAGCTGGGATTACAGGCATGCGCCACCGTGCCCGGCTAATTTTTTTTTGTATTTTCAGTAGAGACGGAGTTTCACCATGTTGGCCAGAAAGATCTTAATCTTTTGACCTCGTGAACCGCCCACCTCGGCCTCCCAAAGTGCTGCGATTACAGGCGCGAGCCACCGCACCCGGCCTGGGAAGAGATTTCTTTGGGGAAGTATGATTATTTTTCTAATAGTTTCCTCATGGAAATGATCCTGAGTTGTTGAGTTTGCAAGAGTCAACTGCATGCAAAGACGTGGGATAATGGGCATTGCAAGGATCCCCTGCCCTCAAACTTCTTCCTTGCTCCCAGCCTAGGTTTTGATTCCCCTAATTAAATATTGCTGCTTTGGAGTTACCCAGAAAGTTTGTGGCTAAAACAAATTATGTCTGGTCCTGATAAAACCTTCATGCCTCAGCTTCTATTCATATTCTAGCTTAGCTATCTTCCAGCTTTGTTTTTTTAAATTAACTGTAACTAGCAGAGAGCTGGCCTTGTGAAAATAGAACTCAGAGCAGATCTTGTCTGGTAGGAAGTAGTTAAAAGGATTTGCACCACCTGAGGGGACATTTCTGGAAGGGCTTTCCCAGTTATACTCTCTGTTAAGTATTAAATGTGCAATGGGGAAATAAGTTAAAAATCATAATATATAACGATAATTAAATTATTAGAGGTTTCAAAGACAATAAGCACATGAACATGTTTCATTTTTGAATCAAATATCTTCTCCCCTCACTTTCACTACCAGGAACTGAATTTGGATATGTTGTTCCTGTTTAAGCCTAAGAAGAAATGGGGGACGGGTGGAGGAAATAATAGATCAAGTAACACTTTAACAAGTTGAATTCAGTGAGTAAGACATCTCATTGTAGCCTTTTGTTTCTCTAGATCTTACTCTCTGTTTAAGTATAGCCTCCTTAGATGTTTATACTTAAGTAGTTTAATATAATATTATAATATTTTTAAAAAGCATAATCACATAGACAATAATGCTGCTTATAACCCTGATTTAATTCATTTGGGGGAATCTGAATTGGTGGGTGTAGGAGAATATAGCCAACTTATAAACCTAATACTAATGATGGTTTTATAGTAACTGGAAGTCATAGTGTTAAAAAATAATAATAATAAATTTTTAAAAAACAAACCTACAAGCCTGAACTACAAAATAATTGCAAGCCTCTCAAAACATACAGTATTTTCACCGTGTAAACATAATGTAGTAAAATTTCATTTAACTGAACCTAAAGTGCTGGATCCCTAAACTAATAGTATTTTTAGTATTTTATTTTTTAGGAAGGGGGCATAAGAAAGCAAAAAAATCAGACCATGTTAGAAGACTCAAAAAAGCGTATTCCAGCATAAATCTAGAGATGAGAATACATTCAGAGTAGTCTCCCAAGCTTCTGCATTGATTCTGCTCTGTGTTAAAGACATAAGCTTCAAAGGCAGGAGAGTGATTTAATGCATTTCAGAAGAACTTTGAATAACATTTTTGAAACAAAAAGGGATTTTCCACATTAGCCACAGCTGACCACAAAATACAATTTAATGACTTGCCCCACTTCCTAAGTATCTTGGTTGAGGCTTAATGTTTGCAGCTGGTGGAGCATTTTGCCATATTGTAGTTTGCGCATCTCATCCCTTTTTGGACCATATACTCACTTAGAAACAATCCCAGTCTCATTGCTTTTGTGGCACGAGGTCTTCCGATGATCAACTGTATAGTAGGGTGACTCACATCTTACCAACTCAATATAAGCAGCTGAGAGAACACAGTGCCAGTATATGTCCAGTAATTCACTGCATGGTGGTTTCTCTGAAATCTTAATGGAATGCCCCTCACACAGGCGTAGGCACACATTATGCACTCCGTACACACTCTACTCACTACATAGGGAGACTATAACTCTTACACTTTCATTTATACCCAAACTATGTGATTTGGGCAATTTTGACTCTTCTGGTTTGTTTTGAAATCTTGGTTGCACTTTATGTTTTCTGTTGAAAATTATGTTTTATTTAATACTTGACGAGAGGTTGAATTGTCTGCTTCATTTTCTCTTCTGAGTCCCTGTATGATGCCTTCAGTCAAGTCACAGGTGCCCTTTGGAAAGCTTAACTTCACTGCTGAGTCATGTTGTTGCTAAGCAAGCCAAAACTTCCTCCCATCCCGAGAGGCTCATTCTTCTCAAATTCTCTTCTTTTTCTAAGGACACCAGAACAGGATGGGTAAAGTGAACTTAATTTCTAAGTATGTGAATTTTTAGTGTTATCCATTTCCAGAAACATTTATTACAATACTTAGATTGTAGGACCTCTTCTGTGTTAGTCCATCCTCACGCTGCTAGTAAAAACACACCCAGCCAGGCATGGTGGCTCATGCCTGTAATCCCAGCACTTTGGGAGGCCAAAGCAGGTGGATCATGAGGTCAGGAGATCGAGACCATCCTGGCTAACACGGTGAAACTAAAATACAAAAAATTACTCTACTAAAAATACAAAAAATTAGCCAGGCGTGGTGGCAGGCACCTGTAGTCCCAGGTACTTGGGAGGCTGAGGCAGGAGAATGGCATGAACCCGGGAGGTGGAGCTTGCAGTGAGCCGAGATCGCCACTGCACTCCAGCCTGGGCGACACAGCGAGACTCCATCAAAAAAAAAAAAAAAAAAAAAAAACACCCAAGAGTGGGTAATTTTTAATGAAAAATAGGTTTAATGAATGGACTCACAGTTCCACATGGCTGGGGAAGCCTCACAATCATGGTGAAAGTTGAAGGAGGAGCAAAGTCATGTCTTAGGTGGCAGCAGGCAAGAGGGCATGTGCAGGGGAACTCCCCTTTTTAAAACCATCAGATCTCATGAGACTTATTTACTATTATGAGAACAGCATGGGAAAATCCTGCCCCCATGATTCAATTACCTCCCACCAGGTCCCTCCCATGACACGTGGGGGTTATGGGAGCTACAATTCAAGATGAGATTTAGATGGGAATGCAGCCAAACCATATCACCCTCTAATACATATAATCTAATAGAGACCTGGAAAAATATTTAGCTGGTCATACACACTGACACACACATTTCTATTTTAGTCTGATAGAAGCCAATACTCAAGTTAGGAACTCTGGGTTTTAATTTGTAAACCTGTGTGATCTTGGGTTTTGGAAGCACTTAGACCTTCTGCTGCTACATCACTTGATCCTGGGACCAGAGGCAGTAGAAATAGGCTGTGGACACAAGCCACAAAGAGCTCCATGAAGAGAGTAAAACTCTAACATCTACATCAAGAAGGAGAGATCTGTAGGACCATGAAAAGATGCACGGAAGGACCAATCAACTCAGCTTGAACAGTTAAGAAAGGTGACACTGAGAAAGTATCACCTATTCTAGAAAATGGACAGGAATTATTGAGGTAAGAATGAAGGAGATGGGAGTGAGATGGTGTCCCTAATAAAGCCATGGCTTATGCAAGTGACCTTGGAAGTAGGGAGAGTATGTATAATTCAGTCTGACTGAAGATTAAATTGCAAGGAAGTAGGAGATGGTCAAGGGGTAAGACCAGAAAAGTAAACAGTAGCACTCAGCAGTGTTATTCATTTTATTCCCTGAAGTCTAACTGTGGACTGCCGTAGTTTCCTGGGTATGGAGTACAGTCACAAGATACATGCAAGAAACTGTGAGAAGAGGATGTCAATTAATACCTAAAAATATTCTTCCTCATAAATCAGTAGGCAAGTGCCCTAAACAGCCAAAAGCAGAGTTTTTCAGTGAAGGTCTTAGAGTACAATAGGAGATTAAGTGGTGATATCTTGTTTTATCATGGTTTTCCCCTCCCAAGGTAACTAAGAATTCTTTCTTTGCATTTTGGACAAAGGCTGCTCTGATGCAAATCATCAGGGTGAGAAGGATGTGACAAAAACACATACCAAGAAAGACTGCATTTGCGCCTCTTACCTGGGACAGAACAGAAGCCCACACCATGCTTTCGCCACAAAAAGGAAAAACAGAAAGTAGATGTCCGCACCAGCCTCTTGTTAGTCCATGAAACAGGAAGGGAAAGGGGTATAGGAGAATGACTTCCTTCATTTTAAAGCACAGTAAGCTTGTTCACAAAAAAAAAAAATTGAAAGAAAAAAATAAACAAATAAGAAAATCAATGAGTGAATAAAAAAGTACTAAATAGAGTAAGTAAAAGGAAAGGAAAATGAGAAAAATGAAATTTGGAGCTCTTAAGATGTAAGAACGTATTTGGCTAGAAATTTCATTGGCTGTGATTCAGATTTATAAATTGTTAAACATACCTCATTCCAAGCCTGTTTAGATCAAATAAAATCATGTATGTGAAAGCATATTATAAGCTATACATGTGATAAAAAGAAAGTTATTACTATCCACTTTTACTAGTGTTACCATAGGCTAATTGCATAAATTTCAAAAAGATGGAAAGATCATCTCAAAATGTAAGTATGTGTGGAGCACCTGATGTGCCTGATTTGCTACCAGGCATAGAACATTTTCAAAACACAGAACTTAGGAAGAAAGCCAATAGGGGCAGTTGCTCTGTCAAGCAAGACTTTCCACCAGATCAACAACTGAATTCAGTCAGCCAAAGGAGCAGAAATGTCACAGCTGAAATTTTCAAACCAGTCAATGACCTTTAATATTTACGAATGGCTGTGCACCCAGGAATTAACACACTTGAACTTTTTCCTGTTACGTCTATAGCAGACATGTACCCAGATTAAGGCTTTGCCCAGCCATCTGTTAGGGGAAATAAATGCCTGTATGTTTTTTCCATTCCCTTCTCTTCCATTTCTCCTTTACTCTCTCATTCCAAAAGGAGTCTGAAATCCATGGCTGAATGCACAGAATGCAACAGAACAGAAATAAACAGATGAAGAAATCAGTATAGGATCAAAATGAGGGTGAGAAAACCGGGTGACTCTAGGGATAGAAATGCAAGCCTCATTGATAGGTTGGTATTTTAGTTCTGAGCATCCCAGGGACCCAATGAGGCAATATGATTGTTCCAAGATACACAATAACCATGAGATAAAAGCCAACCGCATTTTTAGAAGAAACATTTCAAATATAAACAGTGTTGAAACATTTTCATTCATCACTCTACACAACTGTTGGGCCATTGCAATAGAAATTTCCAAGTTTCCCACCACATATTAGAGAAAAATTCCAGTCTAAACTGAATCTTATGAATTGTTTTTCCTTCTTTGCTGAGGTAATGTTAAACATAAGATACATTAATAGAGAATGACTCTCATTTTGCTAAGGAATATGTTTGTTACATCACTAATTTGAAGCACCTGTTGCTTTAATATAGTGTGGAGCTTTTTTCTTTTTGCTTTATTAAATATTTTCTGCCTATCTCATGCATTATATACCTCTGTGATGAATCTATTTTCATGCTGGGACTCTGCCTTAGTGGGGGTTAATTGATGAGGTCTATTCTTGTTTAGTTTATTGGCTTCTATGCTTACCCTCTTTTATTACCTAAATGTGAGCTCTTTATTGTTCCATCCCCTTCCCAGCTGCTCTCAATATCCATGTAGGGGCCTGAGGGCTGGGCTGGGCTGGGCTGAAACTCTCCCAAGTCTGTGAGAAAGGGGTAGTGGTGGAGTCAGGGGGCGGTGCAGTATAAACTAGACTCAGCTGAGCAGCCTGCTTCACATTATGCGGGGGATGAGTTAGTGCCTTCTGTGGACATCCCTCATGCTCTTTTCTGTGTGCACTAAATTCCTTAGGTTGATAGAGCCTTCTAGACACCTTGGAGTTCCCCTCAAATATTGGTTCCTAAGGAGAATTTCACCTATCACCATAACGAGCTGCCTGCCTCACTCCTGTGTATTAGGAAAAAAAAAAAAAAAAAGAAACACAAGAGATTTGTATCTCGTACACTTTGTATTAGTTTTTTATTGTTGCCATAACAGATTACTATGAGTTCAGCGGCTAAGAAAAACATCCATTTATTATCTAACACTTCTGTGAGTTAGAAGTCCCACACAGATTTCTCCAGGCTAAAATCAAGGTATCAGCAAGGCTGTGTCCCTGACTAGGGCTCTAGGAAAGAATCTGCTTCCAAGCTCACTGACATTGGCAGAGTCTAATTCCTTGCAGTTATAGGACTGAGATTCCATTTATTTGCAGGCTATCAGCTGCGGGCCATCCTCAGGTTCCACAGGCCTCTCTTCAGTCCTTGCACGTGGCTTCCTCCATCTCAGAACCAGCAACAGCGCACCAAATCCTTCTTATGCTTGGAATCTCTCTGATTTTCCGTTCTGCTGCATCTCCTTCCTGCCTCCTCAAATCTAAAAAAAATTTGCGATTAAAGTGGGCTCACTTGAATGATCTGAGATAATCTCCCTATGTTAAGGTCTGTAACTTTAATTAGATCTGCAATGTCATTTTTGCTATGTTGAGCAACATATTCACAGGTTTCTGGGATTAGGATATGGACATCTTTGGGGGACCATTATTCAGCCTAACACTTGCTCAGTTTGAAGTCTCTATGTAATTTCTGTTTGGGGTTTCTCAAGCTGCCTAGACTTTCAAGAGACTTTTTTCTGGCTTTCTACCTGTCAAGCCCCAATTAGACTATATCTTAAAACTATTACCTATTTCCTATAGGGTCTTCATTTACCTTATTTCCCTGTGTTCGTATGAGCAGGACCACCATCTCCCAGTGGCATATCAGTAACGCTGCTACACAAGTTAAATGTTAACCAGTACCCATCCCCTCCCTACTCATTCCCCAACCACCAAGCCAACACTCTTGATGTTTATTTTTAATAGAGAGGCTAGGGAAAACAAAACATCTTGAATTCACCTAAATAGCTATTATTTTCATACACACAAAAGTCACATTACAGCCTATGGCTTTCTGCAGGACATTATTACAAATACCAGGCCATATTTTTCTAGTACTCCCTAATATAACAGGAACAGAGGCAATAAATCAGGAGTCTAAGAGCTCTGGAGTTTTCTTCCAGGCTGCGTGTATTCTGAAAAGTTACAAAACAGCTCAGGAAAACTCCATTTAGCCAGGCCAAGGGATAATTTGATAGAATGATGAGATCTGAATGGTCTAAATCTATGCAAACTGCCAAACTCATGTAAAAATCATTTATCAGGTTTTATGAGATTTATGAAGTATCTCCTAAATCATTTGGGCTGTAGATAGTTCTTTATGTGCATCTCACATTGTGTGTGTATGAGAGAGAGTTTGAGTGATTATCTGTCAATGGAGAGAAGTAAGCTAATGACAGATGAGCAAGTAACCACTTAGATGACCTCTCCACAATCATTTCCACCTCCTGCTTTTTATGCCCTTGAGTGTGGGCCAGACTGAATGGCTAGCTACTAATGAATTAAATACAGCACACCTGGTGGAAATTGCCATGGTTAGGTTACAAAAAGACTGCAGCTTCTGTCTCGGGCATTCTCTTGTTCTCTCCAGGAGTGCTCTCTCTGTCCCTTTGGATGGTTCACTGTGGAGGAAGCCAATTGCCATTTCCTGAAGCCTCCCTGTGGACAGGTCAATGTGAGGAAGTTTGGAAGAAGACCTACTCTCAATGTAACTTTGAGATGACTATGGGTCTGGCCAACCACTTGACTGCAACCTCATAAGAGGCTTTCAAAGATCTAGCTAAGCCATGTCCCTACCCCTGACCCACAGATACTGTAAAATAAACATTTGTTGTTTCAAGCTGCTAAGTTTGTAATTTTTTACACAGTAATTGATGATATGTATTACTAATTATATATATGTAACAAATATATACTTACAGCACAATTCAAACTGCAAAACCAACAATTTATGAACAGTTCCTAATAGTCTTTGTATCCAAAGCACTCTATTTAAAACAACGTGAATAAAAGAAAAATGATTATTTTAGAAAAAACATGACACATTCAGAATGAGGTAATTTCCAGGCCCGGTGTGGTGGCTCATGCCTGTAATCCCAGCACTTTGGTAGTCCGAGGTGGGCTGATCACGAAGTCAGGAGATTGAGACCATCCTGGCTAACACAGTGAAACCCCGTCTGTACTAAAAATACAAAAAGTTAGCTGGGCATAGTGACAGGCGTCTGTAGTCCCAGCTACTCAGGAGGCTGAGGCAGGAGAATGGCATGAACGTGGGAGGCGGAGCTTGCAGTGAGCTGTGATCATGCCACTGCACTCCAGCCTGGGAGACAGTTCGAGACTCCATCTCAAAAAAAGGAAAAGAAAAGCAGAATGAGGTAGTTTCCATAGTAAAGTAGTATGTACTTGATCTAATCATATTTGACACATCATTATTTTGTTTTATGAAGTACAGGCTCTGTAAGAAGTTTGAGTCTGCCACCAACACATGAACAAACATTATTTAGTAAACTTGGATATTAGCCATAACTCCATTCTAAACCAGCTGTGTGACTTTGCCTATGTGGTTTAATGCTACTACAGTCATTAAATCTAGTCATTTGTTCTTGTACTGACACTGTATCTGCTGATTTCTTCTGGATGAGGCATCAAAACTTCCTAGAAGTTAAAAGGACTATGACATAAAGTACCATGTATAGCAATGAGGAATTAAAAAAAAATGAAGCCAGATGAGAAATCATGACACATGATTAAAATGTTTTTACTACAATTTCCTTAGAGTTGGAATAGAGCCTACAAATTGGTAGGAAGTATATGGAGGCTCACACACAAATAGATTGAAATCATAAAAAAGCCACAGAAATATAAATTTGAAATGTGAAAAATGTTAAAACCTAATTAATAAAGAAATGCAAATTAACCAATAAAATATGTTTAAGGGACACCCTATCAAGTTGGTAATGATAAAGAAGAAAACTAAATATTGGTGAAGTTGTAGTAACATGAACGCAGTAACAGGTTTCTTGGGAGCAAGGAATTTGTAGAGAGCTATCTGGCAACACGCATCAACTACCATAAAAAGTTGAACACTTTGATTCCTGACACCCACATCTAGAAATGTTTTCTAATAAAATAATATGAGATGTAGTCAAATATTTATGTAGAGAGATATCATGAGAGTCTAATTAATAATAAATAAAAGCAAGGAAGGAAGAAGCCATCTTAATATCCATCCTGGGAATGACATAGCAAAACACAACAAAACCATACCATGAACAATACCAAAAACAAGCCACACATACACATACACAAAAACTATGTAATAGTAATAGAAATAGTAATAGCACAGCTTAAAAACTATATAATATTTTAAAAGTCTATATGATAGAAATAATAATAGCATATAAAAATTTCTGTGGCGTGGTGGTGTGTGCCCTTAATCCCATCTACTTAAGAGGCTGAAGCAGGAAGACTGCTTAAGCCTAGGACTTCAAGCCTGCAGTGATCTATGATCGCACCACTGCCCTCCAGCCTGAGTGAAAGAGTGAGACCCATATCTAAAAATTGTTTGTAAAGTTTATGCCTCTTATAATGTTAAGTAAAAATGATAGCATATGAAAATATTAAACAAGTTTCTAATTTTATATACAGTGAGATCCTAAAAATTTAATTTTTATGTTTATATCATGTTATCTGTATAACCTGAAAAACAATGTTTCCAGTAAATGAATGTAGATACATTTTTTTTCTGTCTTTCCTTTGACTCCATATCAGAAGATTTTACGAAGAGAGCTCTTGGTGAATTTATTACTTAGTTTGATTCTTACACATCTTTTTACTTCTCTGAAGTTAGTATTAGTCAAGACTTAACACTTACCTTGTATCCGCATGCACACACCTCCTTAGATAAAATTTTTCACTACACTAATTTTTTAAAAGCTACAATAGTTCTGAAAATTAGAATGCATAATTTAATAGGGAAAGAAATGAAAATAAGCCATAAAATACATTCTTCAATTGTTGTTGCTGTTGTTGTTGTTTTTTGAGATGGAGTCTCGTACTGTGGCCCGGGCTGGAGTGCAGTGGTGTGATCTCAGCTCACTGCAACCTCCCCCTCCTGGGTTCAAGAGATTCTCCTGCCTCAGCCTCCCGAGTAGCTAGGATTACAGGCACATGCTACCATGCCCAGCTAATTTTTTGTATTTTTAATAGAGATGGGGTTTCACCATGTTGGCCAGGCTGGTTCTGAACTCTGACCTCGTGATTTGCCCACCTCAGCCTCCCAAAGTGCTGGGATTACAGGCATGAGCCACTGCGCCCCGCTGCGCCCCACCACATCCTTCAATTTTTACAGGAAAAAGTATTAGGCAAAGAATTGGCTAAAAGCCATCTACAAAACATTTTAATGAATTATGATTTGGGAGGAGGAAATAAGGTGTGGATTATTTGTTGCTTGTAATGTATATAAAATGTATTAATATGTATTTGTGGATTGTTAGAGTAAAACTTACCCAGAAACCTTATTGCTACTTTCACCATTTTGGTCTCAGTGATAACTCTTGACTTTGACCAAGAAAAATGTCTTATTTTGAAATTTAAATTTCTAGTTCAATAGAAGTAAATAAATTCTTTAGCCACTGAATTTAAGAAGCAGATGGAAGTGGCAGATGACGTGATCCTGTCTTCATCTCCAGAAGGCTAGAATCACTTCATTAACCTTGGATAATGTTTTTTCCTGTTCAAAGCAAGTGAAATATTAATGGAGAAAGAAGAAGGCAGGTCTGTGCCAGATTTTCTGAAACAAGATATGAAGGCTGCTATCAGTAAGTAGACACATGGCCATCTATCAGTTTGGGGGCCACTAAGAATTATAAAAGAATGAGATTATTATAATTGTTGGAAAGTAACAACAACAATAATAACTACAAAAAGTGGGATGACATTCTCAAGAAAAATGAAGAAAAAGGGGAAAAGAAGAGAGATAGAGAAATTTCATGTATTTAAAATGAAAACATGCAAGTGCTTCTTGAAAGAATCAAAGTGGCCACAAAGGTATTTACTGATTTCCTTTCTGGTCAGGCCTTCTCATGAATGGATGAGGTCATAATGAATTCACATTTAAATGATGTCTTTTTTGGTTTGCTAAAACCAGGATGTTATCCATCCAGATAGGGTTCATACCCAATAAGAAAGATTTCACTTTTTAAAAAATACAGTTTACTTGTGGGGATGAACATCCTAGGACACTGAAGAATGAAGAAATTCAGGATATATTCTGAGATGCACACATGATAATATATTCTTACAAGTTATTCTAAGCATAAATCACACATTCACACAATTTAATTGTTGAGCAGAACTTATCTAACCTGTTGTCTTTGTCCATTTTATGTTGCTGTAACAGAATACCACATACACCAAAGAAGTTGATTTTTTACAGTTCTGGAGGCTGAGAAGTCCAAGGTCAAGGGGCTTGCAGCTGGTGAGGATTTGGAGTGAAAACTTCTTGAAGGCATAGATTAGCTCATTCATTTTTGCATCCTAATAGAACTTATCACCTTGCATTCTAATACTTATGTCCAAACTGTTAATAATTACACAATAGACAATGGAACACCCTACATCATGAAAGTCATTTATTTTGCCTTAGCTGCAGTTCATTCTTCCATCCAGGCACTTATCACATTATATTGTAAATATCCCCTTATTTGTCTCTTTCTTCCCACTGGATTGGAAACTTATTAAAAGCAAAAAGCCTCCCATCTTTGTATTTTTAACACATAGCCCACAGCATCCTGCTAATGGCCTCCCAGTAAATATGTAATTAATGAATTAATATTTGGAATCTGTTCTTGTAGATTTCTTTATTTGTCAGTGCTTTGCTTCCCAAATAAATCTTTTTATATCAACGTCCAAATTACTTTACAAAGCTTGGGATTTAACTAATGTTTTTACTATAAAGCACAATGTTTCTACCTATACAATATTCAGTAAGTTTGGGTCAGAGTCATGTGGATGTCAAGGTGTTATGAAAAATCTACACTTTCTTTTTAGAGGCAGAGTCTCACTCTGTTCACCCAGGCAGGGTGCAGTGGTGCAATCTTGGCTGACTGCAGCCTTGACTTTTTTAGTTCAACCAATCCTCCTGCCTCAGCCTCCGTAGTAACTAGGACTACAGGCATGCACAACCACACTCTGCCAATGTATTCTATTTCATTTTTTGTAAAGATGGCATCTCACTATGTTGCTCAGGCTAGTCTAGAACTCCTGACCACAAGCAATCCTCTAGCCTCAGCCTCTCAAAGTGCTAGAGTTACAGGTATAAGCCACCATGCCTGGCCCTGCACTCTCCAATATGGTATCCACTATCCATATATGGATGTGTACATTTAGAATTAAATAAATTCAATTTAAAATTCAGTTCCTCAGTCACACATTTCAAGTGCTCAATAGCCACATGTAACTAGTGGCTACACTATTTGGATGGCATAGATTATAGAACATTTTGCCCATAGAATAGGTAGAAGCTTCTATTGGAAAGTACTATCATGGCATAGAACTTGGGAGAAATTCCCAGCTTTGTTTTGTTTGTTTTTTTGTTTTTGAGACAGAATCTTGCTTTGTCTCCAGGCTGGAGTGCAGTGGCGCGATCTTGGCTCACTGAAACCTACACATCCCAGGTTCAAGCGATTCTCCTTCCTCAGCCTCCTGAGTAGCTGGGAATACAGGTGCATGCTGCCATGCCCAGCTAATTTTTTTTATTTTTTATTTTTTTTGTTATTTTGGTAGAGACAGGGTTTCACCATACTAGCTCCCAGCTTTTACAGAGTGGACCATTCAATTCTAAGTTGGGTCTGGGCATTGGTACTGCCAACTGACAACAGTCCCCAAACAATAAACCTCTTTTGTCAACAAGGTGGCCAGTGAGCTTGCACAACTCAGTCCACCGCCCCTACCCTCCCTCAGAGATCTGATTCAGGAAGCCCCAGATGGGGGCAGAGGTGAGGTTTGCAGCATTGAGAGCCTGCAGAGAATGATTTTTACCTTCCTTGCTTTCTGGAGGGTGGTATCACTTTTAGTAAGTTCCCTTCAGTGCATTCAGAAAACTGAGAGCTAAATCCCAAGAACAAGCCCTCCTACTTATATTCAGTGACAGAGGGAGCATAGTCAATAAATATTGGTCACAAAGAACTCACAAGTAATGTTATTTGTTCTGAATGGACTCTATTTGATGCACGTTTTTTGTGATTCAGGTTCTCCGGTGGTGTTCATTCCTGTGTAAATGCTGTGCTGTTGTACAAACTATGAGACATTCGGAATTTCGTTTACATCTTAAAGCAAACAGTGCAATATATTTCCTAGATTTTGCTGGGCCAATGTTACCTTGTAGGGTGAGTTTTGTATTAAGATATTAGGTTGGTGCAAAAGTAATTGCAGTTTTGCCATTTCTTTCAATGCAAACACTGTAATTTACTTTTGCACCAACCTAATATTTAAACACCAAGTGACCTCTAGTTCAACATTTAGAGTCTTACATTGAGTGTTTCAAGATAGGAACCACCAGGCAAAAGGGCATCACTTGCCCTCTGTGTTCAAAATCTGCAAAACGACATGGAGCTTATACACTAGAGGCCAAGACATGTTCCCTTTAGTAGAGTAATTTAGCAATGAAGATCCAGTTCATACTATTTCCAAGAGGCATGTAGATAGGGCCTATCCCTTGCTGAAAACATTTTTTTAATTAGAGTAGTCCACAACTATAAAATTCCAGAAGATTTCTGGTAAATTCTGGAGTCCTGCTATGGTAAGTGAAGCCCCGTATGTAAATATAAATGAATCATCCTGTGGTTTGTATTCATGTGTTCCCAAACAACTTTGTGTTTATTTCACTTTAACCAACACTACATTTAGATGCTATTATTAAGATAAAGACAGCATGTAATTGGAGAATGGAAATTTTACCATTGTTATCAGTCAAATAATACTTTGTTAAAAATTATAATCACTCTATTTCCTTCCTTTTTATGTTTACTATTGCATGTGTGCATGTGTGTGTGTGTGTGTGTGTGTGTGTGTGTGTGTGTGTTTTAATTGTGGCTCTCACCCTCATCTTGACTCTCTCCATTCTTGCAATTCCATGTTCCTCTGGTTTTCTTGGAAGTAGTTTAAAATCCATATCCTTTTGGAAGTCTTCTTTGATTTACCAAGTTGCACTTCCATCAAATCCCAATTAATTTTACTAAGCTAATCTTTGTGAACAAGTGAAAGGACATTTATTGAGTTTGGTACATACATCTGTTTCTGTTTTCCATACAAGCACAGCTACCACAAGACTTACAGGGCACAATGGAATAATAATCACAAAATATTTAAAGATATAAAAAGACCTAACAATGAGGGACATAAGCAAGTCCCTCATACAGGACATAAACCACAAAAGCAACAAGACATGTATGGGAAAAGTGCTCTTAAGGTCATTTTAATATCATGTACAATCTCTTTCTGATTTCAATATAAGTTTAAGAACTCTTATCTCAAATCGACGAAGGAAAGAACTAAATTTGTAAGTTATAATTTATAAAGATTATCAGGGACAATGCTAAGAAAAAAGAGAAAAGAATGAATTTGCATACATATTCATGAATTCTTACACAGTTGTCTTTTTTAACAATGGAGCAATGAAAATACAATCTGAATAACTGGTGCTTTTTGAAAAGCTGATTGTAAATGGTCAACTGCACATTTGAATCAATTACTATGATACATGGCAAATAACAGAGAGCCCCCAAAATTGTGTGAGGCATATTTATTTCTTTTGATTTTTTTCATTTATGAACATGAGTGCTTATTTTACTTATAATCTTCTGATTGGATTGATCAAGAAAGCCATTAAACTTGGTTGAAGAAGGTAGTCAGGAGTCTGCACAACTGGTCTTTCTTAGAGCAAAGTTACTCAGGAATAGTTTCTGAGTTCCCTCTCCTGGGCTCATAATTAGTGGCAGCAGAGAGGGAAGAACAATCTAGAAGCTGGCAGTATCAGAATGAGAGTAAGAGCACCCCAGCTCGCTCACAAACACTCCAAAAGCTAAGAATGCCCTCATGACCATGAGAATATATCTGCTTCCTATGATAAAATACCACAAATCTCAGTTTCTCTCTGCCATTGTTACTTGTAATAAACTGTATCCCACGGACCCAGTTTAGCCCCCTGATCAAAAGCATGGCTACAGACTAATTCAGTGAATGGGCCTATGAGTTCTTGTAATGTACCTGAACATTCAGACATATTGTTTCCATTTTTGCATTGTCTGAAATCTTCTGTCAGTGTAGCAAGTGTGCCTTAACTGCTAAATAGTTTACCCCACTTAGAAAAATAACTAAGGGCATGGAACTCCCCAGCCTTCAATAAATTCTGATAGCTGTGAATGCTGTTTTCACCTTCTAATCACCAGTACAAAAAAATTCCACACTCTAGACTTAAATCTTACATCAACTGTCCTTCAGAAAATTATTTAATCTTTCTGGGTCTCTAATTTCTGATCTTTGAAATTAGAGTAGTGGTTTAAATTCCTTCCAGCTGTACATTTTATTATTCTCTACTTGTATTTGATTTGTGTGACTAAATACCATCTTAGAACAGACATCTCAGTCTGTTCTGAGTGTAAACTTCCCAAAAGAAGTAATAATTCCCAATTTAAATTATACAACATCACAGCACCTAAACTGGCATCAGGCAGCCTATGAAAGTCCAGTGCATATGTAATGATGGTTCTCAAAGACAGTGGTTTCAGGATTGAACTCTTAGTTTCACTGCCCCGTTGTGTCTGCTTAGAGTCAATGTGTTGAAGTGAGGTAGCCAATGAGTCAAACAAAAACTTGGAATAATTGTGTAATGTTTTAGTCTTGAATCAGTAACTTGCTTTGTGATCTTGTACCAAATAAATATTAAGTCCGGGAAAATACGGAATTCTGATTTATCTTGTGTCAATTCAATTAGGTACACTGCTGACCACATATAGTAGTTAGGATTATTGTTCAATAAAAGTTCATTCTACCTCTCCTTCCCACTCTGCTTAGAGCATATCTGCCTGCACCACTGATATTAGACTTGGCCACGAGATCTGCATTAGCCAGCAGAATGTTAGGAGACACTATGTAAGTACAGCCCTCACATGCTTGAATGACTTGGCTTGACTTTTAGACTCTAGTGATCCGACATGAGTAGAACATGTCCCAGACAGCAACTTATTTCAGACTAGAAAGGAAAACAGAAGAAAACATAAGGGGACAGAACTATATCCAACCCACAGCCTGGAAAAAAACATCCAATCTTCAGCCTGAAGCAGAGCCACCTGGCTTAATTGACTTTAGATCAGCCAAACCCCAGTTGATGCACAGATCCTGGGGCATAAGAAAGAACACTGTTTCTGTAAGCCACTTGTTTTTAGAGTGGTTTTTTATGTAGCATTATTGTGGCAATACCTGATCAACAAAATGTGGATCTGACACAAAAATATATACTGGATCATTTACAGGACAATAGTTATCCATCTCTCCTTTTAGTACAACTGTTAAGAACATAGGTTTCCCAAATTCCTGAACAGAACCAAGGTGTTTTAACCCAGAAACAGACCAAGACCAAAACTGGGGAGAAAAGCCAAATCAAAAACTACTTTAGTGACAATGAAGTGCAAAAGAGATCAGAAGGCCAGAACTGATTTTATTGGCATAAAATAAAAACAAACACTAACTATTGATCTATTCAACAAATGGAAGAATCTCAATTTTTTTGTAAAGTAGAAGAAGCCAGCCACAATACACTACATATTTTATTATTTCATTTATAGAATATTCTGGAAAAAGCAAAACTCCAAGGACAGATAGAAGATTAATGGTTGCCAGGGTTTGGGGGATGGAAAGGGCTAACAACAAAGAGACCACACACAAAAAAAATTTGGGAGTGATGGAACTGTTCCATATCACAAGTATGGTGGTAGATACATGGCTCTATGCATTTGTCAAAAGCCATAGAACTGTATTCCACAAAGAAAATTTCATAGTATACAAATTAGCAATTAAAAATAACTCAACAAAGTCAACAGATTGAAAAGTATTAGGCTAGCGGACCTTTAAATCTTACTTCCAGACCTAAATATTGATGTGATACATACCTCATTTTCTTTTATATCTTTTGTAAGCTGGTATTTTTGCTATGAGTGAAAAGCATTATCTAAATCTATTTTGTATACTTTTTATATGGCCATAATGAAATGTCTTCCAAAACCCACTTGCAATGCACTGCAAGCTTTATTATACTTTTATCTTCATAAAGAGCAAGCCATTGGATATTTACCGGTCCATTGTTCTCTTAGGATAGTATTTGCAGTGGGCACTTGTAGAATGCAGTTAACCATACCATGAAGCTGGCATAGAATAAAAATTTGTGTATGCACAGTCTGTCTTAAGAGCCCCTGTGTCTTTCCTTTCCAGGAGGGATTGCATCTTTTAATTTAAGATAAAACTGTAGAAAAAAACTATTTCTTGCAAAAGATGTGAGCTTTCAGATGTGACATGAGAGTGAAGGCAAAGGTTTCCCTTACTCTTTGGATACTCCTCTACATGCCTTCAAGAGGCCCCAATAATTCATGCCTCCTGGTATTTGCACCCTGGTTTACCCCCTTCTTATTCTGTACGAGGGTCAGTCACTGTAACCAATAGCATTCAGGAGAAGTGATGATATGTCATTTCCAAAATCAGATTATAGAAATATTGCATCTTCCTATTTAGATGAGCACCTTCTTGCCCTTGGATCACCCACTCTGGGGGAAGCTGTGTCATGAGTAGTTCTATGATCAGGCCCATGTAGCCAGAAACAAAAACCTCCTGCCAAGAACTGCATGAGTCATCTTGGAAGTGACCCTCCCCAGTCATGACTTCAGATGACACTGCAACCCTGCTGGCAGTCTTTACTGAAACTTCTTGAGAAATCTTGAGCCAGTACCACGTAGCTGAACTGCTGCCAGATTCTTGACTCACAAAAACTGCAACATGGTAAGTTTTTTTTTTTTTTTCTGGTGGGGCAGGGGGTTGTTAGTTTATTAGGTAACAATAGATAACTAATACAATAATATACCCTCATATAAAAAACAAATAAAAGGTCCTGGGTTGTTGGCCTTGCCATGTTGTTTCTCTTCAGTTAGTTCTACTGAGGATCCATGCCACTTGGCTAGTTTAAGTTACAGTTTTGTTTGTTTGATGAATTTGAGCTCCTTGTTGTTATTGAAGATATGGATATTCTATTTTTTAAACTGCTGTTGGTTCTGCTTTGATGGAAGATTTTGATTCCATTTGCTCATCTCCTTTTATTTTTTTTCTACATTCTTGCCACACTTTACACATTTACTTTACCATCTGTGGCAGATTATAGATGGCCACAAATTCTTTGAAACTTCTCCCATCTAGCTGTGGTATCTATTCACCCTCCTCTTGAATCTGGGTCTGATTATGACTGCTTTGATCAACAGAATGTGGAACTGACACTATGCCAGTTCTAGGCAGGCCCACATATTCTCTTGAGCCCTAAGCAGTCATACAAGAGGCCCAATTACCCTTCTAGAGAGACTATATAGAGAGGAATTGAAACTATATGGAAAAGGGGAGATCCAGTTGAACCCAGCCTTCCAGTAATCCCTACCAAAATGTTGGATATCATTGAGTCTCACATTGACCTTCCTGACCAGCTTGGCCTTAGATGAATACCAAGTAACTCCTATTAATGCCATGTGGAACAAAGGAATTGCCAACTAAACACTTCCCAAATTCATAACCTAGAATTTGTGAGATGTAATATATGGGTTTTGCTTAAGTCATCAGGTTTTATAGTATACAGATATATGTATTATTATTATGTATAATTATGTATTTCACAAAAATATATAATCAGAATATTATCTATCAATTTATATATCTTTTAGTGTATATTATTGTTTTTGCATAAATTCTAATGACTTCTAAGTTTTAGTATTTTCATTTTTTTTTTTTTTTTTTAGACAGAGTCTCGCTCTGTCGCCCAGGATGGAATGCAGTGGTGTGATCTCGGCTTACTGCAAGCTCCGCCTCCTGGGTTCACACCATTCTCCTGCCTCAGCCTCCCTAGTAGCTGGGACTACAGGTGCCTGCCATTAGTTACTTTAATGTTTATCCCTTATCTTCATGCTCTCAATATTTTTTCATTGATTTCAACATCAGTTTTTATTTAAAATCACTTTTTTTCTATTAGAAAATTTATTCTCCCCTTTACTCTAAGTATTATTTATTTTTAGCCTTTAAAAATGTTAATATCACCTACTGGTTAAAATTAGAGAACAGAGTGATACTTGAAGGAAAAAGAAAATGTTGCTATTTTTTATCTATATACTTTTATACGGTTTAAACATTTACTATAGCATTGCATTTGTGAAGTGTTTTATACTTGAAAGGAAGAAAACAAAAGACAAAAAAAACTTCTATTTATTCTTAACTTTTTAATGTTTTAATTTCTAAATTTACATTTAGGTTTATTATCAAGTTGTGATTCTACCCTTCTTGGCAACTTATAACATTTAAATTCTGCTTTTTATCAGAATATATTTCAACTCAATCCAATAAAAACTATAATTTTGTATATTCTCAATCAATAGGGGAGATTTTGTGTTAAACAGTTAAAATAAAATTCAGTAGATAAGAAAAAATGTCAAAATATATCCAACATATATTTTATCACAATTAAAGTTGGGTCATCCAGAACATCTAAATGTTTTAATTTCTACAGCACTGAGCACTAGAGAGCCTAGACATTTTGACCCAAAATTTCTGCTGCAGAAAAAAAAAAAAAAGAAAGAAACTGAAGACTTCCTGAAATTCTAGTACCTCAATCCAATTGGAAAAAAAATTTGCCTAATCCAATCAAGCAAGTCCTCAGTGAGTAGCAACATAAACAAACACATAAATTTAAGTCAATATTTAAGTCAATATTTTTATTAAAATGCATACTGCTAAAGCCAAGACAAAAGATATTACAGGAAACATCTTTTTCCATAAAATATGAGTTTTGGTATCTTTTTGGACTAATACTTGGAGGGCATACAAGAAAGATGCCAAGACTTTAGCTCAGAGCCTGGAAAGGACAAGAGAGGCAGGTGTGATTTGGTCCTTGAGAAAGGATTGGTTACGGCTGCAACCAAGGGTCATCTGGTATGCTGAGTTGAGGAAAAACAGTGAATTCAGTATGGCTGCTGGCTTAAAAACGGCAAAGTACAGCCCAACCTTCTCTAACCCTAGAGACAAGGATTAGGAATATTTACCTTAATGTATATCATACAGAGCTTCTTGAAATATGAATGCTTCCTGAGAAGTGATCTTTATCATATTTCTATGGAGAAAAAACGTGGACAGAGTTTGAGTGGCTCCTCTAAAGGAAGTGGAAATGAGTCAGCACCCCTGAGATGTTGAGACTAATTACTTTACCTGACTTTCCGCTATAGGATGAAACCAACTAGACTAGTGTTTGACTATTGACCTCCTCTGAAGAACACATGTCGATTCCCTGGGGTAATTAGACTCTATTTCCCCAAAACTTTTTGGCTGAGGTAGAGACCCAGAAATGGTAAATGGCAGGTTTGGAGGGTTGTAATCAATTTCCTGTTTCTCTGTCCACTGCTTTCTGTTGACTCTACATAATACTTCCTTGTTGACTTCAACAGCATCCATCAGCACAGTAGTCTGTGGTTAAGAGTGAACAAAATTTCCTTTAGTTGTCTGTCTCCTCATTTGGAGCAAACAGGAGAACATTATTATGGTCAAGATTAAGTCACCCACATAGAAAAACCTCTATTCGGAAAATTGTAAAATGCCAACACCAGTCTTAGCTTTCCCACTAGCCTGAGACAAGTTACTTGACTTCCGTGGACATCAACTTTCCATTGTCATTCTGAGGAGACTGAAGTAAATAAGAAGTTTTTAACAAAGACTTTGTGGACTTGGAGAGGTGGTGTTGATGGAGAAGAGAGCTTCAAATACTCAGAAATGCAGTACAACTTTTAAGTTGTACTACATTTTTTTTCTGAGAATAAGCTTTAATCATTTTTACAGAGGTTTGTGACCTAAAATTGTTGAGAACTAAATATTTTTATTCTGTAAACATATATTGAACAAGGCCTTGGGTTAGGCAAAGTGGGAAACACAAAATGAGTGAGACAAGTACCCAAATCATCAAAATCAAATGTACAATATGCTACTGCCACAGAGATGAAGAGACCATAGTATTTATAGAAGTGAGAGATTATAGCTGTCTGGAGGTAGGGAAGTGAGAATGGGGGAATACTTCAAGGAAAATAGTTCAGGTCTGTGCATGTAAAGAGAGCAAAGTAGTTGATGTAAAAAGAATAATAGGAGCTAAGCATAAACTCGAAAAACACTATGGATGGTAGTTGCAGTGGCTCACGCCTGTAATCCCAGCAATTTGGGAGGTTGAGGTGGGAGGATCACTTGAGGTCAGGAGTTCGAGACCAGCCTGGCCAACATGGTGATACCTTGTATTTATTAAAAATACAAAAATTAGCTGGGCATGGTGGCACACGCCTGTAATCCCAGCTACTTGGGAGGCTGAGGTACGAGAATCACTTAAACTCAGAAGGCAGAGGTTGCAGAGGTTGCAGTGAGCCGAGATCATACCACTGCACTCCAGCCTGGGTGACAGCGTGAGACTCTGTCTCAAAACAAAACAAAACAAAATACCCTATGGGTGTGAGGCAACGATATGCAGTCAGACACATTTGGCTAAGATACCAGATATGGGGAGAAAAGAAGGAGAGCAGTAAAGCATACAGCCAAGTAATGTATTTTAAAAATAAAAATAGCACCCACATGGAAACACAAAACTGGCTACGACTTATGCTAAGTCTATGCTAGTGCTTAGATCTCAGTGGTTTTTAACTTTGTGGAAATATGTGCTTGGCTTCTGTTAATACGAAATATCCCACACCTGATGTCAGATAGATGGATGTATAGATGGATAGATAGATAGATAGATAGATAGATAGATAGATAGATAGACAGATAGATAGAAACTTCCTTTCAACTCACAGAATTACTATATATCTACGGATGTAATCTATGCTGTTAATTCTCAATATTCATGGAATTATGTTTACAAAAATGCTGTGAGCACTGAATTAGTAAATACTGAAACATTCTTCCTAGAGAAAAGACAGGAAGAGGTTCCTATAAGCCTCTGGTCACATTTTTATCAACAGATCAATATATAACTTTGTTTTATGAATGTTTCTGTTTAAAGATACCTTTTCTTAAAGGTTGACTCAAGAACTGCTAAGTAAATAAATGTTCATTCATGAACATCGAACTTATGACCTACAGCACTATAGGCCATATGTGAATTAAGCTTATCAAGCACAGATATATTCTCCATGAGGTTCATTGCAGCCTTCCTGTGCTTAGGAACACTAGTCAGCACTTTGGGACTACACTTTTGGGCCATTTTAAATGGTGAGATCACTAACAAGAAGCACACGAGTAAAAACAATGGCAATAAATAGACTATGGAAGGACCCTTGTTTACACTATTATACATGAAACAAAAAGGCAGAGTGCTGCCTTGTTTAACCTCAGCTGGGCATATATGCATTGAACAAGTCAAATTTTTTTCACTCTACTTGTGTCTGTGAATAACCTCAAAAGTGTCCCAAGCATTTATTTTGGGTTACAAATAAATAAATTTCAGCAAGTAGGTGAATTTGTAAATATAGAAACTGTGAATAATGAATTTTGACTATAAATATACATCTATATGTATATATATATATGTGTGTGTGTGTGTGTGTGTGTGTGTGACCCCAAAATTCTTATTTTAAAATTCTAACCTGTGACATGGTGGTATTTAGAAGGCGGCCTTTGGGAAGTAATTGGGTCATGACATTGGAGCTTAAAAGAAGAGACCAGAAGTGGAGCAAGATGGCAGAATAGGAGACTGCACTGATTGTCCCCACCATGCAGGAACACCAAATTTAACGACTATCTACACGAGAAAAGCACCTTCCTAAGAACCAAAAATCAGGTGAGCACTTACAGTACCTGGTTTTAACTTCATGTTACTGAAAGAGGCACTGAGAAGGGGAGAAAAAGCCGTCTTGAATTACTAAAGCCACCCCTCCCCCTAACCCCTGTGGCTGTGTGATATGGAGAACCTGTGCACTTGTGGAAGAAGAACACAATGACTGTGAGACTTTGCATTGAACTTGGTTCTGCCGTCACAGCAGAAAGCAGAACTGAGCTGTAGTTAGCTGATGCCCATCCACAGAAGGAGCATTTGGACTGGGTCTAGCCAGAAGGAAATTACCCATCCCAGTGGTTGAACCTTGAGCTCTGGCAAGCCATGCCACCACAGGCTAAAGTGCTGTGGGGCTCTGAATACATTTGAAAGGCAGTCTAGGCCACAAGGACTGCAACTCCTAGGAGAATTCTATTGCTGAGCTAGACTCAAAGCCAGTGGACTGAGAGGGCACACAACCTACTGAGAAACCTGAAAAGATGGCTAAGGGAGTGCTTGTGACTCCCCTGCCGCAATCCTAGTCTGCATAGCTCATGGCTCCAAAAAAGACTCCTTCCTTCTGCTTGAGAAGAGGAGAGGAAAGAGCAAAGAGACTTTCTCTTACATCTTGGATACCAGTTCAGCCACAGTAGAATAGGATTCCAGGCTCTAGTTCCCAGACAACATATCTAGACACACCCTGGTCCAGAAGAGAACTTGCTGCCTCACAGGCCAGGAGAGAGTAGCATAACATATTTAAAGTGCTGAAAAATGTTTACCCTAGAATAGTATATCTGGTGAAAATATCCATCCAACATGAATGAGAAATAAAGACTTTCCAAGATGAACTGAAACTAAGAGATTTCATCCATTCCAGACCTTTCCTACAAGAAATGCTAAAGAGAGTACTTCAATCAGGAAGAAAGGACTTTAATGAGTAATAATCATGTGAAGGTAAAAAAAAAAACTCGCTGGTAATAGTAAGTACACAGAAAAAATACAGAATATTATAACACTGTAACTATAGTGTATAAACTACTTTTATCTTAAGAAGAAAGGCTAAAAGATGAACCAATCAAAATTAATAACTACAACAACTTTTCAAGACATAGAACAATAAAATATTGATAGAAACAACAAAAAGTTAAAAAGCAGGAAAATGAAGTTAAGGTGTAGAGTTTGTATTAGTTTTCTTTTTGGCTTATTTGTTTTTTATGCAAAAACTGTTAAACTGTTATCAGCTTAAAATAATGGTTTATAAGATAGTATTTGAAAGCCTCATGGTAACCTGAAATAAAAAAAAATACAACAAATACACCAAAAATAAAAATCAAGAAATTAAATCATACCCCTAGAGAAAATTATCTCCACTAAAAGGAATACAGGAAGGAAGGAAAGAAGGAAGAGAAGACCGCAACAAACCAGAAAACAAATAGTAAAATGCGAGGAGTAAGTCCTTACTTATCAATTATAACATTGAATGTAAATGGACTAAACTCTCCTATCAAAAGACATAGAATGGCTGAATGGATGAAAAACAAGACACAATGATTTGTTGCTACAAGAAACACACTTCACCTGTAAAGACACACATACACTAAAAATAAAGTGATGAAAAAAGATGTTCCATGCCAATGGAAACAAACAAATCAAAAAAAAAAAGTGGGAGTAGCTATACTTAGACAAAACAGATTCCAGGACAAAAACTGTAAGAAGAGACAAAGAAAGTCACTGTATAATAATCAAGCAGTCAATTCAGCAAGAGGACATAACAATTATAAATGTATGTGCATACAACACTGGAGCAACCAGTTATATAAAGCAAATATTGTTAGAGTGAAAGAGTGAGATAGATCCCAATACAATAATAGCTGCACACTTCAACAACCCACTTTCATCACTGGACAGATATTCCAGACAGAAAATCAACAAGGAAACGTCAGACTTAGTCTGCACTATAGACCGCATGAACCTAATAGATATTTACCGAATATTTAATCCAAAGGCTGCAGAATACATGTTCTTTTTCTCAGCACATGGATCATTCTCAAGGATAGACCATATGTTAGGTCACAAAACAAGCCTGAAAACATTCAAAACTTTAAAATAATGTCAAGCATCTTCTCTGACCACGATAGAATAAAAAAACAAAAATGACAAGAGGATTTTTGCAAACTATACAAATAGATGAAAATTAAACAATGTGCTCCAGAATAACCAGTGGGTCGATAAAGAAATTTAGAAAAAAATCAAAAAAATTATAGAAACAAATTATAATGAAAACACAACATACCAAAACTTGTGGAATACAGCAAAAGTGGTACAAAGAGGAATGTTTATAGCTATAAATACCTACATCAAAACAGAAGAAAAGCTTCAAATAAACAACCTAGCAATGCATCTTTAAAAACTAGAAAAGCAAGATCAAACCTAACCCAAAATTAGTAGGAGAAAAAATAATAAAGATCAGAGCAGAAATAAATGAATTTGAGCTGAAGAAAACAATACAAAAAATTAATGAAACAAAAAGTTGGTTTCTTGAAAAGTTTAACAAAATTATCAAACCTTTAGCCAGACTAAGAAAAAAAAAAAGAGAAGACTCAAATAAATAAAATCAGAGATGAAAAAGGAGATGTTACAACTGATACCACAGAAATTTAAAGGATCATTAGTGGCTACTATGAGCAACTATATGCCAATAAATTGGAAAATTTAGAAGATATGGATAAATTTCTAGACACTTGCAATTTACTGAGATTGAACCATGAAGAAATTCAAAACCTGAACTGACTAATAACAAGCAATGTGATTCAAGTTGTAATAAAGAGTATTCCAGCAAATAGAAGCCTGGGACCCAGGCTTCACTGATAAATTCTACCTATCAAACATTTAAAGAAGAGCTAATAACAATCATACCCAAACTACTCTAAAAATAGATGAGAAGGGAATACTTCCAAACTCATTCTATGAGGCCAGTATTACCCTGATAACAAAACCAGACAAAGACACATTAAAAAAGAAAACTATAGGCCAATATCTCTGATGAATATTGATGCAAAAATACTGAACAAGATACTAGCAAAATGAATTCAACAATACATTAGAAAGATCATCCTTCATGACCAGGTGGGATTTATTCCTGGGATGCAAGAATAATTCAATACGCATAAATCAATCAATGAATACATCACATCAACAGAATAAAGGACAAAAAACATATGACCATTTTCATTGATGTTGAAAAAGCATTTGATAAAATTCAACATCCTTTCATAATAAAACCCCTCAAAAACCTGGGTATAGAAGGAACATACCTCAACACAATAAAAGCCATATACAAGAGATCCACAGCTAGTATCATACTGAATGGGGAAAAACTGAAAGTCTTTCCTCTAAGATCTGGAATAAGATAAGAATGCTTACTTTCACCACTGTTATTCAACAAAGTACTAGAAGTCTTAGCTAGAGCAATCAGACAAGAGAAAGAAAAAAGGGAGAAGTCAAATTATCCTTGTTTCCAGATTATATAATCTTATATTTGGTAAAACCTAAAGACCCCACCAAAAAAAACTATTAGAACTGATAAACAAATTCAGTAAAGTCACAAGATACAAAATCAACATACAAAAATCAGTTGCGTTTTTATATGTCAACAGCAAACAATCTGAAAAAGAAATCAAGAAAGTAATCCCATTTACAGTAGCTACAAATAAAATTACATACTTAGGGACTAAATTAAAGTAGTAAAAGATTTTTACAATTAAAACTATAGAACACTGATGAAAGAAATGGAAGTGGATTCAAAACAAAAGGAAAAAATATTCCATGTTCCTGGATTAGCAGAAACAATACTGTTAAAATGTTCGTACTAGCCAAAACAATACACAGATTCAATGCAATTCCTATCAAAATGACAATGATGTTCTTCACAGAAATAGAAAAAAAGAATTCTAAAATTTCTATGGAACCATAACAGACCCAGAATAGCCAAAGGTATCCTAAGCAAAAGGAACAAAACTGAAAGACTCACATTATCTGACTTCAAATTATACTACAAAGCTATAGTAACCAAAACAGCATGGTTCTGGCATAAAAACAGACATATAGACCAGTAGAACAGAATAGAGGACCCAGAGCTATATTCATACATCCACAGTGAACTCATTTTTGACAAAGGTCCCAAGAACATACATTGGAGAAAGGAGAGTCTCTTTGATAAATGGTGCTGGGAAAACTGGATATCCATTATGCAGAAGAATGAAACTAGCCCCCTATCTCTCACCATATACAAAATCAAATAAAAAATGGATTAAAGACTTAAATCTAAGACCTAAAACAATGAAACTACTAAAAGAAAACTTCGGGGAAGCTCTTCAAGACATTGGAGTGGGCAAAGACTTCTTGAGTAACACCCCACAGGCATAGGAAACCAAAGCAAAAATGGACAAATGGGATTACATCAAGTTAAAAACCTTCTGCGCAGCAAAGGAAACAATCAACAAAGTGAAGAGACAACCCACAGAATGGGGTAAAATATTTTCAAATGATCCATCTGACAAGGTATTAATAACCAGAATATATAGGGAGCTCAAACAACTCTATAGAAAAAAATATAGTAATCCGATTCAAAAATGGACAAAATATTTGAATAGAAATTTATCAAAAGAAGACATAAAAATGGCAAACAGGTACATGAAAAGGTGCTCAACATTATTGCTCATCAGAGAAATGCAAATCAAAACTACCAGAGATCATTTCACCCCAGTTAAAATGGCTTTTATCAAAAAGACAGGCAATAACAAATGTTGGTTAGACTGTGGAGAAAAGGGAAACCTCATACACTGTTGGTGAGAATGTAAATTATTACCACCACTATGGAGAAAAATTTAGAGATTCCTCAAAAAACTAAAAATAGAGCTACCATATGATCCAGCAATCCCATTTCTCCATATATACTCAAAAGAAAGAAAATCAGTATATCAGAGATATAGCTGCACTCCCATATTTTTAGCAACACTATTCTCAATAGCCAAGATTTGGAAGCCACATAGAGGCCTAGAAATACATGAATGGATAAAGAAGATGTAGTACATATACATATACACGATGGAGTACTATTCAGCCATAAAAAAGAATGAGATCCTGTCATTTGCAACACTGTGGATGGAACTGCAGGTCATTATGTTAAGTGAAATAAGCCAGGCAGAGAGACAAACACTGCATGTTCTCACTTATCTGTAGGAGCTAAAAATTAGAACAACTGGACTCATGGAGGTAGAGAGTAGAAGGATGGTTCCCAGAGGCTGGGAAGAGTGGTGGGGGGTGGGGGCAGGGAGGAAGTGGGGATGTGGAATGGATACAAAAACACAGAAATAATGAATAAGACCTAGTATGTGCTAGCACAACAGGGTGACTGTAGTATGAAATAATTTAATTGTGTATTTTAAAATAACTAAAAGTATAATTGAATTGTTTGAAACACAAAGGATAAATGCTTAAGTTGATGTATACCCCATTTACTGTGGTGTGATTACCACACATTTCATGCCTGTATCAAACTATCTCACATAACTCATGAGATAGTCCACTCTCCATTTCCATCCAGGGTATTGCAAATGATGGGATCTAAATATGTACACTTACTATGTACCCACAAAAATTAAAATAAATTAAAAACAGAAAAAGCCAGATAGGTAACATTCTCTTTCTGTAAGTGAGGATACAAAGAAAGAGAAGTCACAGCCTGCAACCTGTAAGAGAATGCTCACAAGACCCAGTCCAGGCTGGGACCCTGATCTCAGACTCCAGTCTCCAGAACTGTGAGAAATAAATTTCTGTTGTTTATAAGCTGCCCAGTCTAAGACTGTCATAGCAGCCAGAACTAAACATGTATATATACCTACACATCTTTCATGCAAATTACAGAATTACTAAGTAGGAAAATTCACACAAAGTAAATGATGATGTTAAGGGCTATTTGGTTGTCTTCTAAATACTCAGTATTCATTCTAAATGGGAAACCAAATAATACTCTGAAAGTGGCTTGGTTAGGATGAAACTGGAGAACATTACTTACATTATTTGATGGTTTAATAGTATTAAGCCAAAGGAGGCAAGTCCTTAGTGAAATGGAATATTAAGTAATGTGTAAATTAATATAAATGAAGATGCTTTGGGAAAGTTAGCCAAGTACCCCTTTGGCTATGACAGCCTGGATTTTCAACAGGTACAGGGAGGACAAGTATTTTTGTGGCAACATCTCAGGAAAAGTAGGCTTCTTTCCAAATGGCACCCACATATACAGTTTTAAAAGATAAATTGTTTCTTTTGATTCCTCTTTCCAACTTTTATTTTTGATTCGGGGGTACATGTGCTGGTTTGTTGCATGGGTAAATTGTGTGTCATGGGGCTTTGGTGTACAGATGATTTCATCACCCAGGTAATGAGCATAAATGCCATAGGTAGTTTTTCAATCCCCATCCTCCTCCCACCCTCCAGCCTCAAGCAAGCTCCAGTGTCTACTCTTCCCTTCTTTGTTCCCATGTGTACTTAGTATTTAGCTCCCATTTATAAGTGAGAATATATGGTATTTGGTTTTTTGGTCCTGCATTAATACGATAATGGCCCCCAGTTCCATCCACATTACTACAAAGGACATGATTTCATTTTTTTGTTGGCTACATAGTATTCCATGGTGTATATGTACCACATTTTCACATCCAGCACACCATTGGTGATCATTTAGGTAGATTCCATGTCTTAGCTATTGTGAATAGTGCTGTGATGAACATACGCACGCATGTGTCTTTATGGTAGAACGGTTTATATTCCTTTGGGTGCATACCCATTAATTGGATTGCTGGGTCGAATGGCAGTTCTGAGTTTTTTTGAGAAATCTTCAAACTGCTTTCCACAATGGCTGAACTAATTTACATTTCCACCAGCAGTGTGTAAGTATTCCCCCTTCTCTGCAACCTCACCAGTATCTGTTATGTTTTGACTTTTTAATCATGTTTATTCTGACTGGCATGAGATAGTATCTTATCATAATTTTGATTTACATTTCTCTAATGATTAGTGATGTTGACCATTTTTTTTCTCACGTGTTGGTCTCACGTGTATGTCTTCTTTTGTGAGGTGTCTGTTCATGTCCTTTGCTCATTTATTTAATAGATTTCATGCGCGTCCGTGTGAAGAGACCACCAAACAGGCTTTGTGTGAGCAACAAGGCTTTTTATTTCACCTGGGTGCAGGTGGACTGAGTCCGAAAAGAGAGTCAGTGAAGGGAGATAGGGGTGGGGCCATTTTATAGGATTTGGGTAGATAAAGGGAAAAGGGGGGTTGTTCTCTGGCAGGCAGGAGTGGGGGTCACAAGGTGCTCAGTAGGGGAGCTTTTGAGCCAGGATGAGCCAGGAGAAGGAATTTCACAAGATAATGTCATCAGTTAAGGCAGGAACAGGCCATTTTCATTTCTTCTGTGGTGGAATGTCATCAGTAAAGGCAGGAACCAGCCATCTGGATGTGTACGTGCAGGACACAGGGGATATGATGGCTTAGCTTGGGCTCAGAGGCCTGACAATAGAGTTGCTTATTTTTTGCTTGTTGATTTAAGTTTCTTATAGATTCTGGATATTAGACCTTTGTTAGATGCATAGTTTGCAAATATTTTCTCCTGTTCTGTAGATTGTCTGTTGACTCTGCTGGTAGTTTCTTTTGCTGTGCAGAAGCTCTTTAGTTTAATTAGGTACCACTTGTCAATTTTTGTTTTTGTTGCAATTGCTTTCGGTGTCTTCGTCATGAAATCTTTGCCAGGACCTGTGTCAAGAATGGTATTTCCTATGTTTTCTTCTAGGGTTTTTTATAGTTTTAGGTTTTACATTTAAGTCTTTGGTTCATCCTGAGTTGATTTTTGCATACGGTGAAAGGAAGGGGCTCAGTTTTCATCTTTTGCATATGGCTAGCTAGTAATCCCAGCACCATTTATTGAATAGGAAATCTTTTCCCCCATTGCTTGTTTTTGTTGAGCTTGTCGAAGATCAGATGGTTGTGGGTGTGTGGCTTTATTTCTGGGTTCTTTAACCTGTTTCATTGGTCTGTGTCTGTTTTTGTACCAGTACCATGCTTTTTGTTTACTGTTGCCTTGTAGTGCAGTTTGAAGTTGGGTGCTGTGATGCTTCTGGCTTTGTACTTTTTGCTAGCTAAATTATTTCTTAATGAAGGCCCATAAATAAAAATAAAATAACTCCTATCTTACCTGACCCAAGGGAGAAAATATTGCAACTAACCTGGAGGAAGTGAGGCTGAGTTTGAGTATGAATGAGTAGAGAATCAGGTGGAAATGTGCCGGATTCAGGTAATGATGAGTTCCCATTTCCTCCAGAGGTCCACTTGGTGACAGGCAGGGACCATCAGGCGTGAATCCCAATTACTTCCTCATTCTTCTCACCTAACCCTACTAGTGTTGACTTGAAAATATATCTCAATAAATGCACATCTTTCTCTACTTCTTTCTCTTGGCACTTCAACCAAGAGACCATTCTTTATTCTTGAATAATCTAAGCCCCCTTTTTCCCATTATTCTCCCTACTTGAAAAGATTTCCCTCTAGCCCTTCAATGGGTGGCTAATCTCCCTCCCTCAGACCTCAGCTTAAATGTCTCCTACCCAACAAAGTCTTTCTCGTTCAGTCTGTCTGATCCTAGGTGTCCTTGCTAGGTCCTCAACTATTTATTTCCTTCCTATAGTAGTACAGCACGTAGTGATCTTGCTTATTCACTTGTTCACATGATCATTATCTATCTCCTTCCCCTGGCATATAAACACCATGAACACTAAGAATATAACCACCTTGTTTACCACTAAATCCCCAAAGCCTGGAAAAATGCTTGCCTCAAATTAGTTACACACTGTATGTTTAATGAATAAACATAAAGTCTACCTAAGTCCTTAAGTAGACTTTCTTAATAATCCTACAAAATAAAGACAAATTAGTGAAATTATAACTTATAATTGCATTGCAAGATTACAATCCTCTGGTTGAATTTTATGGCTTTTCAAATTGAGGTCAGGAATGTTCAGCATGTAATCCTAACCATGCAGGTAAATTTGTAAAGTAGGCTGTTGAGTGCCAGCTTTCAAATATCACTAACACCACCTGTTAAGACATTTAGTTTATTGCTTAATATAACACCATCTATCTCCACAAAGTTTCAGCAGTGTCATGAAGGGAATAGGGCAAGAACAGAATTTATTAAGAATTGGAAATTTTGTGTAAGATGGGGAAAAGTGAAAGGGAGGACTTGATTAGGATTGTATAAGAATTAACAACTTTTCTGGACTGCTGGAAATAGCAAGGTAAAGATGTTGGCACAAAAGATTCAAAGATCTTTCCAGTAAGATAGACAGTAAGGTTTAGTTGTTTTGCTTTATTTTGTTTTGTTTTGTTTTGGAGGGGATGAGGACTTAGGTAGTTTTGGTTCTCAGTGTCCAAGCAATGTAGGGCAGATGATTTTGGTTTCAGGGTGAAGGCTGGATCACAGTAACACCTTCCCAATTCCATGCTCCCACAACTAAACCAAACCAAGAGTTTAGAACTAAATGGATTATCTTCCCCACTCCTTCAAAATGTACATTTTAAAAACAAGTTTCTAGGAAAAAAGCTACATATTTAATCTGATGAAGTAGGACAATTTTAAATGGGAAAAAATATGAACTCTATTCAAATCACGTTGCTGCTCATGAGGCACCCCTGAGGATAGCTATACTTACAAGAGATTGATAAGAATTCCATTAGTACATATTAATATTTCAGTCTATTTAGAAAAAATACATATTCACTTAAAAATGGTTCTTTGCTTTTGTTAGGTATAGCAGTAAAATATAAAACTTCCAATGAGATTTAATATGTGGATAAATAATCTATTTAATATGATATGTGTATTTTAGCACCTAATGAGGGAGGGACCACATAGTTTGAATTGCATAATCTATGCAGTAGAGTGGCTTTTGATTCAATTGCTCAGTTGAATCAATTAAATAACATGCTTAATTGATTGCTTTTCTCTCGAATAAAAATAACCTTATTGGACTGAATATGCCAAAATTCCAGTCAGATATTTTGAAGTTACTTGTAGTCAGAAATCAGGATATTCAATATTCTTTGTCAAAAAAATCTCATAGGTTTTTACAAGCATCCATAAAGTCTCTCGGATTAGAATTTTTTAGGTTTAACCACAGACCTAACCATTTCTGAAGACAAAATTGATCAAATATTGCAATTTTATATGGTACGCCTTAATAGAACTTGAGAGCTGGATGAGGTCTTCAGAGACATATGGTGCAATCAAACTCCTATTGGAAGCTAGAGCTTGTTAGAGACAAACAGGTTGCAAGAGTCAGTCAGCTTGTGGTCAGACTTAGGACTGAGAATCCAACCTTCTGACGTTTGCCCACTGCATTCTGCTCAGGGTTCATGCCTTGACTTCCTGACAAGTTTTAAAAGTAACATCTTTTAAAAATAATTGTTGCATTTTGGATAATCTAGGCTACTGATTCATTCAATACGTTTAGCTCGGAAATGGTTGGATTTTTGCTTCAGTCCTTAGTTAATGGAATATTATTTCACAATAAAGTGAGATTGTCCTGTCTTTCTAGCTTGGCTCAAAAGCCTCTTGAAAAACTTATTTTGGAACAGCTAATCTTTTTAGTAGACTCATTGTCCTTTAACTATGATCCAGTATGCTTAGGCACATACGAAAGAGTTTCTGTTAATTGGCTAATGACAGACACACAAGACTCGAAACTCATTCACAACTCTAATTTCAGCATCAATGTCTGTAGAGCATTCAGTTCCTTAGAGCATTAAAACAATCGCAGATCAAACTATAACAACTTGATACTTTCATTATAATTTATTTTATAAAGTTTTTTCTGCAGGTTGGAAATCATTGCATAATCACTATAGAGCCCCTTTTATGAGAGTCAACGGGAGTGTAGTTGTGTCTATTTAAATTTATACTAGGCTCTGGGATTGAGTCGTAGGATAGAGCATCAGATGCCCACAGAAGCATTCTCCACACTATCCCTGTGTCGTTGTGGCTTCACAGGAGGTGGAAGATTGCAATTCCTTCAAAAGGGAAGGAACAAACTTAGTAGCCTTGCATGCTATTTGACTGCATGTTTATAATGGTGCCTTAGGAGGAAAAAGTTTTTGCCAATAGAAAAAAATAGATTTAGAAAAAAATTCTAAATAATAAAATAATAAATAATAAAACAGATTTTTTCTATTGGCAAAAATTTTAAACACTTGTTGTGTAAAATGTGGAAAAATGGAGACCTCAGGGTAAGAATGTAATCTGGAACAACAACTTTAGAAAACAATATAAGAAGGTCTTGAAAGTTACACAAGTCCATTCCGTATGGCCCAGTAATTTCATTTCTAGACATACACTGTAGAAACATTTTATATCTCTGCAGGAGGATAGTGTTGTATAAATTATTGGTGTTGTATAAATTTATATTTTATCGGTGTTGTATAAATTTATCTTGGTGTTACATAAATTTATAGTTTACTAAATTTTCCAGAGTTTGAGCACCTTATTTCTGGTGGGCGAGGAAGGATCACAAAATTTCTTTCTTCTGTAAATTGCCTTTCAATTTTCTTTGCCTATTTTTAGTTGGGCTGTTTATCTTTGTCTTATGATTCAGGAAGCATTTGTTTCTTAAGTCTAACTTATTGAGTTATGTTTATATACACTAAAGTATATCTGTTTTAAGTGTAGAGTTGAATTAGTTTTTTTTTTTTTTTTTTTTTTTGGAGACGGAGTCTCGCTCTGTCGCCCAGGCCGGACTGCGGACTGCAGTGGCGCAATCTCGGCTCACTGCAAGCTCCGCTTCCCGAGTTCACGCCATTCTCCTGCCTCAGCCTCCCGAGTAGCTGGGACTACAGGCGCCCGCCACCGCGCCCGGCTAATTTTTTGTATTTTTAGTAGAGACGGGGTTTCACCTTGTTAACCAGGATGGTCTTGATCTCCTGACCTCATGATCCACCCGCCTCGGCCTCCCAAAGTGCTGGGATTACAGGCGTGAGCCACCGCGCCCGGCCGAGTTGAATTAGTTTTAATATACACCTGTTTAACTAATATCACATCCAGATAAGAAATATTTTCCTTATGGCAAAAGTTCGTTATATCTATTGGTAACTAATCATACCTCTCCCCTCCTACCCTCGAGCCCCTGGAAACCACTGATCATTTTATTTCTCTGGAAATGTTTATTATTTTTCCCTGGGCCCTGACAATCTTCCAGTAGAAGTTTTGCCACTATTTTCTCTTGATAAATAACTACTCTCAAGGCAAGAGCTAGACCCACTTCTCTGGGTTCTCCTTTCTTAGATTTTGCATCAATCCTAGGTCCCCTTACCAGCTGGCTTCCTGCTAGGTTTGGCTAAAGGGAGGTTAAAGCTCTCCTCAGGTGGCACCTTCTTTATGGCTCTAATTCTCACTAGGTTCCCATAACATTTTTCAATACTTGGTCATATAGTTGATCACCCCTTCTTAGTCTTCATTTTCTGTTTGCACAGAGTCGCAAAATCAATGAGAAGTAAGAGCTTAAGGACTTTTCACTTTTTTTCTGAGTATGCTTACAGTCACATGCATGCCTGTAGTGTTTTAAAATCCCAGAAATATCTTAGGGCTTTTCCAAAACTCCTACTGAATTTTTGTTTACCTGATTTTTCCTTTTAGCTTCATGGTTTGTCTACTGTTTGCCTCAACAGTCATTCATGGCTTCAGTCAGACATGAAGTTAAGCAATTTCCTGTGATTGTTTTTGACAAACACCCTCAGAGAAGAGGCTTTTTGCACTGGTAGCTCTGACTGAGGTCAAATAAAGACAGCCTTGCAAGTGAGGTCTTAAGTAAACCATCAAACAGGACAAGTAATGGCAATGCTCTGGCAAGGGTCTTTGAAGAAGCTCCAAACCCTTTCTACTTCCAGTTGCAGCCAGGCTGCCAGTTTTCACTCTGATGCAGACTGTCAGTTTTCAAGGCTACCACAGAGCTGGATGCTAGAAAGTGGAACTATGATAAATTAAAATGTCGCAAAGCTTTCTGTTCTTATTGAGATTCTGTCACTTTTCCTGGGGTGGGGTAGTGGGGCGGGGAATGCACTTCATGTTGCTGCAAGCCTTTTGTTAGTTTTTAGAGTTCTGGAAGTTTTGATTTTAACAAGTTTTTGCCAATTTTCTCCTTGCTTTTATGGAAGAGAGAATTTTCAAAAATCTTTAATCTGTTATTTTCACTAAAGTCCTATGATCAGTTTTAAATTCCCCAACTCTCTTGGTTAAAAAAATATTTAAATTTCCTTGATGATTGATAAGAAAAGTGTTTTTCCCTCCCCTTCTAGATACAAATTATTATTCTAATTATGCTGCCTAAAATCTCTAGTTAATAGCTTACTGTGCACCTAGCATGAGCTAAAGACTTAATAGAAATTGAGTATGAAGTATGATTCCTTTGCAGTTACAAAAACAAGAATATAAAGGCTATTTTAAAATATTAATAGAAATTATTTACATAGTTATTTCTTCATTAGAAGCAAAACCTAGCTGATGAAATTATGTCTTTTTCCCAAAAAACATCCAATATTCTAATTTCAATTGGCACTATTTTAATTAATGAGAGACTTCATAATAAATCATTTGTCAAATTTATAAATATACTAAATTTCACACTGATGTATCTCTGAATTGCTTTAAATTAGATAATTTGTAATGTGATTCATCTTCTTCAGGCAACACCTCTTGTGGCAGTGAAATGGATCCATACATTCTTTTGTTTGCCTTTTTGCTCTGTTCTGACACATCACATAAGTTTCTTGGAAGACAAAAATAATTTCTTAAGAGTTTTTGGTTTTGTATGCTTTCAACAATACCTTTGGGTAGCCAAAATAACACTTGAAATGCATTCTCCACTGTCTCTAACAAAGTACTTGACATGGTCTAATTTATAAAGCAGACCCTTTTAGGCAGGGCGCAGTGGCTCACGCCTGTAATCCCAGCACTTTGGGAGGCCGAGGCGGGTGGATCATGAGGTCAGGAGATCAGGACCATCCTGGCTAACACGGTGAAACCCCGTCTCCACTAAAAATACAAAAAAAAATTAGTCGGGTGTGGTGGCAGGTGCCTGTAGTCCCAGCTACTTGGGAGGCTGTGGCAGGAGAATGGCATGAACCCGGAAGGCAGAGCTTGCAGTGAGCAGAGATCGCACCATTGCACTCCAGCCTGGGCTACAGAGCAAGACTCTGTCTCAAAAAAATAATAATAATAAATAAATAAATAAATATAAAACAGACCCTTATAAAAGTGACATGTTTCAGCAAAATACACTCCATGAGGTATTTTATTACAATTTATGAACAATTCTACGGATGGAAAAAGTTACACATACAATCATGTTACAGACTCCCACATCTGTAGATGTCTTTGATACTAGCGCTTTCTGAAAAATTCTGACACAAAATATCACTTGGCTTAGTAGAGATGATAAAAAAAGAACAGGCTATCTGAAAGAATCAGCATTAATTTTCTATCTTTTTGTTCTTGCTTGGCGTATCTCATTTTGCCCTTTTTGTTGTTGTTGTTGGTATGTAAATTGCTTTTAATTTTAGTATAAAAGCAAAAGACAAAAGTATTAAGAATAACTATAAATACAAAATTTGTTAACAGATATACATAAAACAGATGTTAATTATTTCATTTATAACATAAAGTGTAGGGGTTGCTAAAGTGTAGGTCTTTTGTATTCTATTATATTAGATTGGTGCAAAAGTAATTGTGGTTTTGGACCATTACCCTTTTTATCTGGGAGAGTTTTGTGGAATTAAGAATCTAGCTTCACATTGGAGGCCCTGCTGGAAATATGGATGACAGAAAAATTTGCTAATATTGTCAAACGATCAGTAACCACAACAAGAATGCAATTAGGTACAGAAGAGATGTATTTCAATCTGACTTTTAAACCATGAAACTGTGTGATAATTCTGCAAAGTTATATTTTGTCAGCAAACAAGCTGCGTTGGCAGTTCCCATAGGCAAAGTGCCAGACAGCTCATGTACAAGGGAATTGAAACATTGAAAGGGATTTCTTCCCTTAGTTCCTTTCATAACCGTACATATCTGTTATAGTTAGAGGGAGAATACTTGAAATTATTTCTGGAAGATATGGGAACTTTTGCGTGAAAAAGGGCTACAGAATTTTGCCTGTAAAGTTATGCTAATCTCTGTACAGAAATGTCTGACAATTCAGAAGCTGAAACTCAGCAAAATCTCTACTTTAAGTGTCAGATAAAGCCTAACGTCAAAGGAAAGGGCAAGAGTCTCAGGAAAGAGGTAAGCGAATAAAACTAGCTCTACAATAACCACAATGTCATTTAAAAATCTGCAGTATCCCTGCCAGATTAAATGTACTGAGAATTCGTCAACCCTAAAATCAATAGGAAATGTCCCCTTATTGAAGGTACCAGGGCCTTGGAAACATTCTCTTCTTCTCTAAATTTTCTCAGTAAACTCCAGAATTCTCTTTTATAAGCCATATGGAATCATAAATTTGTTTATCTAATAAATTACAAAGATGACTAGCAGCACATCACAATTAAGGGATATCTTTTACCTACTGTTCTCAGCTTTGGAGCTGTGGCAAAAACTCTGAAACAATTAAAAGTCTCAATGTACATACTGTTAAACATATAGATGATAACAGTCAGGGAATAATTACAGTGGTCCAGACAAGGAAAAATGGCAACTTGAACTAAGCTTCTGTTGATATAAATAGACTTGGACAGAAAGATATTATAGTTTGAATATCTATTTTAAAATTAACTAGGTAATAAATTTGATTTATGTTGAAGGGTAGGGGGCAGATAAAAGTAGATTTTGGACGTGACAAAATGGATGAATAATGGTCCCATTCATCATATAAAAAATAATTGAAAAGGATTATATTTGATGTAACAAAATCATGAGACTGATATTGTACCTTTGAAGTTTGAGAATATTTTCAGATATCTGAGGGACAATATTGAGTGTATAGTCCAATATGTGTCTGGAGTTCAGAAAAGAATTCTGGACTGGAGAAAAAAAATCCAAGAGCTATAAAAAAATAGGTACATGGTAATTGAAGCTATGGTTAAAGATAAAATTTCCCAGCTGGGTGCAGTGGCTCACGCCTGTAATCCCACCACATTGGGAGGCTGAGGCAGGCGAATCACTTGAGGTCAGAAGTTCAAGACAAGCCCAGCCAACATGGTGAAACCCCATCTCTACTAAAAATACAAAAATTAGCTGGGTCCGGTGGTGCCTGCCTTTAATCCCAGGTACTCCAGTGGCAGAGGCAAAAGAATCGCTTGAACCCCGGAGGCAGATGTTGCAGTGAGCCAAGATGGTGCCACTGCACTCCAGCCTGGGCAACAGAGCGAGATTCTTCTCAAAAAACAAACAAACAAAAGATGAGATTTTCTAATATAAAAGTAAAGAGTATGAAAAGAAAAAAGATCTACAAATGAAATTCAAATAATTCCAGTAATTAATGGCCAATATGAAGAGAATGTGCCCCCAGTGAAGACAAGAGACTAAATGCCAAAGAGGTAGGAAAGGAAACCAGAAAGATATATTATTTCAGTAACCAATAAAGAGATCATTTAAATAAATGAGGTGTATTCGATGATGTCATATTGTGCTGAGACACTTATAAATAATTTTAAATCTCCATTGCATTTGGTAGCATGGAGGTGGTTGGTGACTTTAGCCAGTCAGTTTGGAATAGGTTAAGGAGTGAGTGGAGGGTTGAGGAAATAGCAACTGCAAGTAGATACAACTCTCTTGAAAGATATGCTAGGATATGAGAGAAAACTAAGATAACAGAGGGAAGAGGTGGTGGGGTAAAATGTGTTTTTTAAAGAGTTGAATAGATCTGAGGATATTTAATTGCTGCCAGTAAGAATATCATTAAGAAATACAACAGGGTTACTATAACAATGCAGTGCCTATTTCATATAGCTAGAAGAGATTTTGAATATTGTCACAAAAAATAAATAATAAATGTTAAAAGTGATGGATGTGGTAATTACCCCAATTTGGTCATTATACTATGTGTATTTGCATTGAAACATCACATTGTATCCAGTAAATATATATAATTATTATGTGTTAATTAATTATAAATAAAATAAATAAAGTGTTAATTCTCAAAAGCAATATAACCAACAGGGTAAATTCCTTTGAAAGACAGAAGATGAAAAAAGAAAGAAATAGAGAAAGAAAGAAAGAGAGAGAGAGGGAGGGAGGGAAAGAAGAGGAAGGAAGGAAGGAAGGAGGGAAAAGAAAGAAGGAAAGAAAGAAAGAACAAAAGAAAGAACAAAAGAAAAAAGAAGAAAAGAAAGAAAGAAAGTAAAAGAAAGAAAGAAGGAGGGAAGGAAGGAAAGTAGGAAAAGAAAGAAAAGAAAGAAAGAAAGAAAAAAGAAAGAAAAGAAAGAAAAGGAAGAAAGAAAGAAAGAAAGAAAGAAAGAAAGAAAGAAAGAAAGAAAGAAAAGAAAGAAAGAAGGAGGGAAGGAAGGAAGGAAGGTAGGAAAAGAAAGAAAAAGAAAGAAAAGAAAGAAAGAAGGAAGGAAAGAAAGAAAAGAAAGAGAGAGAGAGAAAGAAGGAGGGAAGGAAGGAAGGAGAGAGAAGAAGGGAGGGAGGGAAGAAGGAAGGAAGGAAGGAAGGAAGGAAGGAAGGAAGGAAGGAAGGAAGGGATTTAGATTGGATATGGGAAAGAGGAAAACCTCAAATATAACCAAAGAGAAGAAAAAGAGAATGGGTATGTGTTATGGCTAATTTCATGTGTCAACTTCACTGGATCACAAGATGCCCAGGTATTTGGTTAAATAGTATTTCAGGTGTGTCTGTGAGAGTATTTCTAGAAGAGATTCATGTTTGAATCAGTATGCTGAGTAAAGCAGATATCCCTCTCCAGGTGGATAGGCATCATCCAATCCACTGAGAGCCTGGATAGCACACAAAGGTAGAGGAAGAGAGAATTTTCTTTCTACACCTGACTGCTTGAACTACTACATCAGTCTTCTCCTGCCCTTAGACTGGGACTTACACCATCAGCACAACTAATTGTCAAATGTTCAGACTCATACCAGAGCTACACCATTGGCTTTTCCGTGTGTGTGTGTGTGTGTCTGTAACATATATATATATAGAGAGAGAGAGAGAGACAGAGAGACAGAGAGACAGAGAGAGAGAGAGACAGAGAGAGAGAGAGAGAGAGAGAATGCACCAAAGGGGAAAAATACAAATAAGAATGAATGCTGACTTCATATGAGAAGTAATGCATCCCACAAGACAATGAAACAGTATTTTTAAAGAGCTAAAAAAAAATTTTTTTAGTCACTGCTAACCTAAAAGTCTATATTCAGTAGAATAGCCTTCAAATATGAAGGTGAAGTAAAAACATTTTCAGACTAACAAAGCTGATAGACTTCATTGCCAGCAGATTGGCACTATAAAAATTGGTGAAGAGAGTACTTCAGCTTTAAGTTATGATACCAGATAGAAACACAGGTCTGCAGAAAGAACTGAAGAGCATTAGAAATGGCAAGTATGAAAGACTTTAGTTAATAATTTCTTTAAAAAATAATTACCCACTTAAAGCAAAAATAATAATCCATTATGTAGTTTGTAATATGTGTGGAAGTAAAACATATGAAAAAAGTAGCATAAAAACCAAACATTAAACATATTACAGGTGAGTTATTAACAAATGTATAAACTAAAATTCTAAAGATTTCAGAAGCATATATAGGAGAACATAATTTATGAATTGGAGTAGTAACATATTTTTTGGATGAGAAAAAAGAACAAAACAAAGGAGAATGATTGATAAATTCAAATTTACTGAATCGAGTAGGATAGGGAACTATAAACAAAAATAAAAGACAAATAATAAACCAGGAAAAGATATTTATCCACAAATTGCAAAGAATTAATACTTAGATTACTATATAAAGAATAAGGATCAAATCAATAAGTAATAAAAGAGTGATCTAAAGCAAATAAAATGACCAAAAGGTCAGTATTATTCATGGGGAGGAAACTAAAAGTATTAATAAATATGTTAAACGCAACTCAAACTTAAAGAATTCAGGACAATTACCACTAAAACAATCATATGACACTAGTTGATTTTCATTCAACTGACAAAAAAATTAGAAGTCTGGCAATAAGAGGCTATTTTACTTCTCTTACGCTACTGATTAGCGTGAATTGGTACATGCTCTTTG
This sequence comes from Homo sapiens, assembly GCF_000001405.40. NCBI lineage: Eukaryota > Metazoa > Chordata > Mammalia > Primates > Hominidae > Homo > Homo sapiens. Next base: position 40,264,789 of record NC_000005.10, read on the forward strand.
GTAAACAATTTGGATTTGGCATTAGCTGATAAAGTTGAAAATGCATTTTTCCTATGAACACGTAAGTTTCTTCCTGGAAACTTTAACACACATAGGCGTAAGGGACATGGACAAGAATATTCACGACATCTTTGTTGATAACAGCAAAAACTGGAACAATCAAAATTCTGACTAATCCAAAAAGAAATAAATATATTTTATATATTTTTATAAGGGGATAATTCACAATAATTAAACAACAAACAATAACAGCAATTTAAAATAAGTACAAAAACAAAATTTCAAAATGATAAATTCAGAATACTATTTATATAAGCTTAAAACAAAACAAAACTGCGTTTATGAACCCATACCTATGCATATTTATTCATTATATGAGGTGGGCAGATGTCTCACAATTATAGATAATTATAATCCACAAGGTTTTACTACTTTTGATGACAGAAACTAGTCTAATCCATCCTTGTTTCTCAAAACAGAACATATAATAGGGGCTTAATAAATAATTGATAAATAAATTAGTGATAAAATTCAGGTTTCATGACTCTCAACTCCAATTCTCATCATATTTATGCAATACTAGGTAAGGCCTTTGTAAACATGCAATATATGTTGAAAGAGAAAAATTAGCTTGTCTTCAGAGTAGCTGAAAACAAAAACCAAAAAGCTTTGCTAATTTTAGCTTTAAAAAATCTCAAAAATTATGGGTAACACAGTAGCATTCCTACTCAAAGGACCATATATTTGAAATATTGTTCTTCAAATAATTATGCTTCCATGTACTAACAGGAAAAAAGAATGTCAAACTCTCAGGCTACTTTTATGTATAATTCCAACATCTTTTCTTTTCTCATGAATGTCTGAAATTACGTTGTTCTCCAGATGCCAGTCACAAGACCAAGTCAGACCCATCAATAGTTTACTAAAGACAAGCCCAAATTGTCACAAATCCAGAAAGTCAAAACTGTAACATCACTACATTCTTAATTGAGATTATGGTCATTGTAAAGCAAATCCATTTAATAGTAATTTTCCACCTTTTTTATTCTGCTACACCTCATATGTAAATATGTACAATAAGAATTCCATGGGTACACCTAGCAAGAGGCATCATTCAATATACCCTCCAACTCACATTTTAGTTTCTCAAAAACTTTCATCCCAAGAAGAAAACACATACTGACTAATGTGTCCTCCCCACTCTATCTCCTCCACTTACGTCACTGGACATCTGTCCTTGATCTTTTAATTTGTGTCAGACTAGGCCAGAAACACTATGTGGGCAAAGAAAAAGACCATTACTGTTTTACATTTATCTCTCCTCATCTGGGAAGTTGAGATACACAGGTGTGTGACAAAGGAATTTTGGAAAAAAAAAATTAGAAGCTAGGGGATGTCATTTATGCATTATCCAAAATCTATTTTATTCCAACAGTAATTTAACTGTCTAAATCCACATTCACCTATGAAATGGTTTCATATGTGAGCATATGTATTACAGTAGAAAAAAGGCAAAGAACCACAGTTGTTAGGTAAATCTCAACTGCTTTGAGATCTCTTAGTGTAGTCCTGCCAGGAAAAGCAAGCCCAACTGGAAAATGTTTTTCCCTCCATCACAAAATCAAATTGTAAACTTATTACATAGGCTACCAATAAGTGTCTGCTGTCCCCCTAAATTATACAATTACCCTTTTAATTCTTACAAAATAAAGTTCATATACCTAATAGGATAACAGTGATCTTTCTCTCAAACCATAATCCAGAACTTAGTGTGCCCTTCTAATCTACAAGATGAGTGTGATGGTTAATATTGAGTGTCAACTTGATTGAATGGAAGGATGCAAAGTGTTGATCCTGGGTGTGTCTGTGGGGGTGTTGCCAAAGGAGATTAACATTTGAGTCAGTGGACTCGGAGAGGCAGACCCACCCTCAATCTGGGTGGGCACAATCTAATCAGCTGCCGGCTCAGCTGGAATAAAAGCAGAAGAACGTAGAAGGACTAGACTGGCTAAGACTTCTGGCCTCCATCTTTCTCCCGTGCTGGATGCTTCCTGCCATTGAACATTGGACTCAAAGTCCTTCAGCTTTTGGACTCTTGGACCGATGCTAATGGTTTGCCAGGGGCTCTCAGGCCTTTGGCCACAGACTGAAGGTTGCACTGTCGATTTCCCTACTTTTGAGGTTTTGAGACTCGGACTGGTTTCCCTGCTCCTCGGCTTGCAGATGGCCTATTGTGGAACTTCAACTTGTGATTGTGTGAGTCAATACACCTTAATAAACTACCTTTTATATATACATCTATACTGTTAGCCCTGCCCTCTAGAGAACCCTGACTAATACAATGAGTATGGATGTGCCCACAGGATCTCCCTTGCCAGTAGTGGTGGGGTAGAAGTATGCAGTCATCATTAGGCTCTGAGGCTTAATCAAGCTAAACATGATAATCTAGTACCCACAGTCTAGCTTCATGGCTATGGTGAGCTCATTAGGGATAAGAAGTGACTTGAGGAATGGAAAGAGAGCTAAGTTGTTGTCAGTGGATTTAACAATATCATTCTCACTTGCAGTATGCTGACTTCCAGGGCCAGTTCTTCAGAATCTGCTTTTTCTCCTGAAATCAGGCCATGCGAAAAGAAGATGTTGCCTCCTGGCACAGATCATTCATCCTGCCTGGTCCTCAGTCAAGTCTCCAGCAGCTTGGGATGTCTGAAGAATGAAAAGCCTAAGAGACAAGGCCCGGGGATGCCCAACATACATTCTATAAGTGGGGAAAGTGGATAAAATGTTTTCTGTGTGGAAAGGACAAATAACAGTTAATTTCTACTGGAAAAGTAAACAAAAACCGTAATTAAAATTGCTCAAAAGTAAATTCTGATGCATGGCTTTGCTCTCCTGATGCGTGTTCCAAAGCCTTCAAACCCAGAGCACATAGCACCTTTTCTGTAATCCTTTACCCAGTACCTATCAGGGGACACAGTTACCCGCTGCTGTGGACCAAATCATCACCCATCTTTCTAATACTATGATGTACTTGCATGATAGTCAGCTTACCAATGTGTTTGAGTATGCAGTGGGATTGCAAACTGATCAAAGATTTTGCAAAGAATATGAGGTTGGTAAGGACCATATCAGTTTTAAAGGTGAACCATGAACCCCCATCACCAGAGCCAAATGAGAGCCCTTTAGTTCAAGCTGTATCCAAATGAGATGTACAAAAAACTGCTTCTCTTCAATATTTGGCCCACATTTTTCCAATGGAAGCATTTTTCTCATCAGACTGGTGTTAACTGCCAACTTGTAAATAAAATATAAGCTTAGTTTTGAGCTGATTATGGGCAATATCATAACCTCATTTATTCAGACAAGCTACCCAAATCACAGACGTTCTTTAACTGGCCACTTTTAAGAAAATACTTGCCAAATAATGGGCTTGTTAAATAGCAAATGTCAAAAACAGATTTCTAATGTGACTAACAGGCATTTACTGAAGCTGAAGCAAGTGTTTGAACCCAATGGAATGTTAATCTAATATGAATATGCTTATGCTAGCAAACACTAAAGCTGGATGAAAAAAGCATGACATAGTTTTAAAAACAGTAATCTCATATAGATATGCTTATGCTAGAAAATTTTAAAATTTAGATGGATTGTATTTTTTAAATGGTAAACTATGCATATTTTTACATATATATGCAAAACATTGTGTAATTTAAATGTATTTTAAATCTCAATCTATTTCAGGGTTCAGTGTTTTGATTAGTAACTATCAAATCCAGCCCAGAGAAATTTAAAAGAATTGGTTTAGCTGGGTATGGTGGCTCACATCTCTAATCCCAGTACTTTGGATGGCCAAGGCTGGAGGATCAGTTGGGCTGAAAAGTTCAAGGCCAGCCTAGGCAACATAGTGAGATCCTGTTTCTCCAAAAAAAAAAAAAAAAGTTCTGAAAAATACCCAGGCATATTGGGGTGTACCTGTAGTCCCAACGACTCAGGAAACAGAGGTGGGAGAATCACTTGAGCCCAGGAGGTGAAGGCTGCAGTGTTGCCCATCACTGCACTCCAGCATGGGCAACAGAGTGAGACTCTGTCTCAAAAATAAAATAAAATAAAGAATTGGTTTAACTTTCCAGATTTACAGATATTTCTGATAGGTGTTTGGATTGAACTTGGTTAAAGAAGAAATGGTTAAAGAAGACGAGGGATACAGACACAGCAACCCAGCAGTTAAAGTAAAAAGTTTGGAGCTAGACAGATAAGAACTAGAATTCTAGCTCCTATACTTGCTAGCTGTAATATTTTAGACATGTTATTTCACCTTTCTAAACCTCTATTTTCTTTACCTGTAAAATACAAGTGAAAACACCTGACTCACTGGGTTGTTTTAAGGATTAAATTAGATATCATTTGTAAACTAGTAACCCAGAGTCTGACCCACAGCAAGTGCCAGTAAATGGGAACTTCCATCACTTTGCATACATACTTCCCATGAACTCTCTTACTGGAAGATATTCCCAGATGCCTGCTATATTCTGTGAACTCTAACCCTAGAAAAATAAAATATTTTCTTTTATCATAGTTTCATTTTCTTTATCAAGGTTAAGTTTCATTCATATTTTGCCATCATACTAAAATATTCCCAACTTAAGAATGTTTTTTCTACACAGTTCTTGTCCTCCTCCCGCTCAATAGTATTATAGTTTTTTTACGAGATAAGGTACTTGATTCCATTCATTTCTTAAATTTTCTTTTTTCAAGGAACCTCATGTGTAATATTTACCTGGCAGGAGAGATCCCATGATCACAAAGGTGGTTTTCCCAGAGTGAGGCTTAACCATTGCCTCCGAGGTGCTGATTCCTGATATTCCCCCAAATGTGAGACGCTGGAGTGCATAATTTATGGTAGTGGGGGCCTGAGTTTGCACTCTCCCCTAATGTTTTTGATATAAAAAAAGAAACTTCATGTCTTCAAATCTTTGGGGATTCCTAAAATATCTATTTACTAATTGCATGCTATTATTTTTATTCAAAACCTTTCAGACAAAGACTGATTGAGGAAGTTAACTTTTTCTAGGATAATGTTAGGTTATCTTGACCTTGAATTCAACTTCAGCTAATTTTTTTTCTTTACTAGAGAGCCTTATCATTAATCCCATATCCCATTAAGAGCTGCTTTGATCCCCAGTCAGCCTGCCTAATCTAATGTTTTGGAAAAGATATTCTGCTCTCTGTTCTGGGAGACTTATTTTCCTACATTTGGTCAGAAAAAAAAAATGTCAAAGGTTTGAGAGACTGAGAAAAGTGCTGAATGAAGCTCTAGGTCCACATTGTGGTTCTGACAGTCTGGTTATTTTTTGGGGTGTCTGCATTTGGTTTGCACGACTCCTCCCTCCATTTCACTCTTGGTTCACTGTCTTTGAAAAAGGAATCAGAATCCCACCTTGTGCCATGAGCAAGATTTGCTCTGTTGGATTTTGACCTTTGGGAAAGAGTTTTGTTATCTAGTCTTGGACATGGAGTTGTCAACTTTTAAAAAATCATCTTAAATGGGAGTGAGCATTTCTGACCCTTGGGAGGGAAAAACAACTTTAGATATCTTGGTAAATGGGAACAAGCATAAGGTTGAGATGAAGGAGAAATGCTTCCCTGGACACAGTGCAGATTGTTTCTACCAGCAATCGCTGGTGGTGGCTCCAGCTGAGCAGGATGGGGCAGGCACCCTTGTGCCACTACTACAGGCGTTCTTTCTGATACATGCAGCTCTTTCTGCAACAACTAATCCTCTTCATCTGGACTCTTCAGCCTGATTCATGGCCCTCTTTTCTGCCTCATTTTTAAAAAGTGTTGGCAATGATACAGCAGAGAATGAAAGTCACTGATATCTCATTGGGGTTCTAAATAGAAAGTGGCAGAAAACTGTGAGGCCCTGAACAAATCATTTCCTTTTCTTGACATCAGTTTTTTTTAACCTATAATGACTGGCTGAAAAAAAAAAAAAAAAGCATGAACTCTAAGAGCCTTCCAGCTCTGGCATTCTTTCCTTTTTAAATATTTTTTTTCTGAAGACCTCAAGCACATTATATTTGTAATTGTTATTTTTAAGCTATATACACGCGGCACACAAACATATACAGTTTAAATCTCTCTGTTAGTGAACTGTGCAACCAGTGCCAAATGTAAGATAGCCTTCACATTTGACGGGATATGCCTTTACTACTCCAGACCCTCAGTTAACAGAGCAGGTGATGAACATTGCAGTTGCAACCCAAGAGCATAAAGAACACTCCAACCTCCAACAACAGTCTAAAATGTCAGACTGCTGGGCATTTAGCAGCATCTGCTTTATAAATTACCATGTTTATGTGGTGTTCTCAGAAGGGTTCCCATTGTTATTTACTCCTCAATGTTTGGTGCTAAACATCAAAAGAACCCGAGCACCAAAATGTCAAGCCCAGGGAGGAAATGTTTCAAGAGAATTTATTTTTGTACCAATTTAATTTTTCTCTGAATTTCAAGAACAAGGGTGTGGACCTGACATCGGACCATTCTGCCAAATGGGATTCATCCAGTTCTAATTACTACTCCCTTTCACAGGCCCAAGGATGCCACTCTATGCTTGGCACATGGAAGTTACTGGCTGGACAGATTGTACTAAACAAAAAAAACTCCCTAATTACAAATGATTAGAAATAAAAATAAAATCTGCACTCCAAGTCTGAAATTTGTATTACTTTATCCTGAGGTGTAAAGGATTTGAGAGAAGGAAGAGGAGCTGAGATTTTGTTTATGACATTTTTAGGGTGTATTTCTTTCAAAGAATTTAGAATGCCCGGAGCTTCGTCTGGAGTAGTTACTTGTGCACAGTTTTTTGTTTTTGTTTTTGTTTTTGTTTTGCAATCTCCTCTTCTCATTTTTTTTTCAATGAAAAACAGCTGAAGAATAGTTTTATTAGTTCTGGACATATGAGTGGTAGTTTCTGGAGCAGCTGTTTTCACAACCTATTCCAAGCAAGATGTCTTTTTTAAAGACTCTTGCTTCTTTCCTGCTTACTAATTACAATATTAGTCTTTCTCTTTGTTAGTTCTCTGTTTTCTTTTAGTCTCATTATTTGATCATTTTAATCTTATGATGGGAAAAAAAAACTAAACATTTGCAAATTTATACCTGTGAAGCCTACTATGTGCAGAGAGGTAGGCCAGTCAGTCTCCACATGCAAAGAATGAAGAGCCAGACATTGCACAATGAGTGACAAAGGCATTAGATTCAATAGAAATTCAGGAAACAGAAGAAACTTTATAATGTCTGATCTATTAAGCAGATAACATTGAAGTTGAGGGAACAGGTTCATCCAGGGATCAAACTTGCCCTGAGAAGCCTAACAAGGAACAAAGACTTTGAAATAGTAGAAACTTTGAGGGTTGTACTTATGTCCCACAATAGTACGGATTAACCAAAACTTTTGATCTCATCCAATTCTGCTTCATTCATCAAAATGAATGTATATTTTCTCACAATACGTTTTCTCTTTCAAAGAGCAAGGGCTTTTGAATGTCAAGTTTTCTGCAATCTAGCTCACAAACACTTATGAGGATAGGCATAAGAAGGTAATGTTAACCTGAAGAGTCTTGCCTGGAATTAAAAGTGCACAATACACATTAAGACACTCATTATACTATATGAGTATATATACATTATACTTTAAAGCACATGATACTCATGTGTTTTAAAGTTGATACTGGGAGGAAGAGAGACGATTTTTAAATTTTCTCAAATCCGTGAGAGTCCTTAGGTATGGTATGCTGAAGATAGCTCCCTGAGGATTGGAGTAAAAGAAAATGGAATGTGGTCAGAACATGTAACTTGAGATTGAGGGGCTGCCCATAGGAAAATAGTTGTAGGCCAAAAAGCAGGAGATGGAAAGCTGAGCATGACACCTGAGGCAGCCTACCGAGTTGCAAAGGAACCACCATTTGCAAGTGAGCACTCAGTCATGGTTGGCTATTTTTAAAGCATCATTACACTTAGAGAAGTACTTATCACATTTGCTTGGCTTATCACCCATTTTGCACTCTGGGTAATTGAGTTGCAAACAAAGACATCTTTATTTCTCAAAGGATATAAAATACAAGCTTTTGTATCAGAAAGTATAAAGCAAAGTAAAAAAGATAGATTCCCTAAAGCAGTGATTTTCCAAGGGTGGTTCCACGGTTGGCAGCAGCTGCTGGGAACTTGTTAGAAATGCAAATTCTAGCAGAATCATAATCAGAAACTCAGGGAGTGTGACTCAGTGATATCTGTTATAACAAATCTTTACGATAAAGTTTGAGAAACACTGTTTAATGAATAGGTAGGAAACACCATACTTTAAAGTTCAGCTTCTTAAGAGACCAAAGACTTTATTTATTTTTAAATTTTTTATTTCCATAGGTTTTTGGGGAATGGGTGGTATTTGGTTCCATGAGTAAGTGGTGATTTGTGAGAACTTGGTGCACCTATCACCCAAGAAGTATACACTGAACCCAATTTGTAGTCTTTTATCCCTCACCCCCTTCCGACTCTTTCCCACTGAGTCCCCAAAGTCCATTGTGCCCTTCTTATGCCTTTGCAACCTCATAGCTTAGCTCCCACTTATGAGTGAGAACATACTATGTTTCATTTTCATTCCTGAGTTATTTCACTTAGGATAATAGTCTCCAATCCCATGCAGGTTGCTGTGAATACAATTCATTCCTTTTTATGGCTGAGTAATATTCCATCATATATATATGATATATATATCATATATATGTGTTATATATATATATATATCATATATATGTGTTATATATATCATATATATGTGTTATATATATATCATATATATATATATCCTAGTAGGTATATGAACTTTATTTTGTAGGAATTAAAAGGGTAATTGTATAATTTAGGGGGACAGCAGACACTTATTGGTAGCCTATGTAATATATATATATGATATATATATCATATATATACACCAAAGTTTCTTTATCCACTCATTGATTGATGGGCATTCAGGTTGGTTCTACATTTTTGCAATTGTGAATTACAACCACTATGAAAAACATTGTGGAGACGTCTTAAAGAACTAAAAGTAGAACTAACATTTGATCCAACAATCCCACTACTGGGTATCTACCCAGAGAAAAATATGTCATTATGCAAAAAAGATACTTGCACACGCATGTTTATAGAGACCAAGACTTTAAATCAATTTGTAAAGAATGTGCTGTGTGTTTACTCTGTTTGCCTGAAGGAGAAGTTTGAGCACTGCACAGCAATTAAACAATGAGTCAAGACAGGCCATCATCAGGAAACCATGTCAAATATCTGAGGAGAGCTATCAGGAGGTAGGGAAGAGATAAGGGCAGTATAAGCTGAAGGCATCCAGAAAGAGTAAAGACAAGATGAAATGGGGTTCTTATAAGAAACTTGCCTAACACACCAACATTTCTCATTCATAAGGGTATGCTTACTCTGTTTCTGGGAAGTAGGAGAAAAAGACTCTGCTTCCCATTGCTTTCATAAGGGGTAAACAATGGCCTCCTTTAGACACAAATTGATGACCCTCTTCAGCCTCCACTTTCTGTGCTGAATGTACCAGAGTTTACAGCCAGCCAAGAAGTAAGAGGTGGACATGCTCCTTGATGAGTGGTTTCAGGCAACAGCCTGCAGCACCAAGTCTTCTGAAAAACCTCCCAGGTCTGAAAACGACTATGAGAAGAGTGAAAAAAAAAAAGTGTGTTGGGGCTGCTTCTAGCCAGATCCTATTCAGAGTTCCACAGCTGAACTTCCCTTTGGACTGTGTTTAGAGTTCCTAAACAAAATAGATGGGAGATGTATCCCACTGAGGAGCAAAACAGACAAAGCCATTACCCCTCTAAGTAAGCACAGCCCTGAGCCAGGAACAAAAATTGGCCCAGTGTGTGGGAACGTGGGCCTGCCAGGCCTATCTAGAATCCACTCCCAGGCAGTGGCAGTAAGGAACATGCTGGGAAATGTTATGCTACCCCTCCCCAACCAAGCTTTCTACTCAAAGGTTAAGGAACCACCCTCATTTCCTTGAATTAGCCACTGTGAATTGTTAAATGTGAGTCTAACCAAATCTTTTTCAGGTTACTTATATTTTTACAGAGGCCTGGGATTTGGTATTCTATAGGCACTACTTCCTGGATTGTAATGGGATTTTAGACTGACAACCCTATACCACAAATATACATCAGTTCTTGAGAGCAGACAAAGGGAACCATGCCTTACTTTAATCTTTCCTAAGTATGGATTGTTGGCCATCTATAAAAGAATCCCCCAGATTCTTGTTAAAAAATACTGGTTCACAGGTCACATATCAGACCAGTAAAATCAGAAATGTGTTAGGGTGGACATTGGGATTCTGCATTTTTAACAAAACTGCCAAGTAATTTGTATTTTCATTAATATTGAAAACATGGTCAGTTGGCTTAACAGTCAAAATCAACTTTGCAAAAAAGTCCAATCATACCCACATGCATTAATTATTGTTACGTACTTTGTCTTGGCAATGATACAACAAGACAGAGGGAGAGAGAGAGAGACAGATAAATGGACAAATGCAGAAAAGGATAGAAAAACTGAAATGAGGCAGAAAAGAAAGTGAAAAGGAGCTATACTACTATCCTTTGCAACCCATTACACAAACTGGGAAGCCTAAAACAACAGAAATGCATTCTCTCTCAGTTCTGGAGGCAGAAGCCCACCATCAAGCTGTCAGCAAAGCTATGCTTCTTCCAAAAGCTCTAGGGCAGAATCCTCTCCTTGCTTCTTCAAGTTTCTGATTGATCTTGACAATCCTTGATTTCTGGCCTCATCACTGTCCTCTCTGCCTCTGCAGTCCCATTGCCTCCTCCTCTTCCATGTATGTCTCCTATGCACCTGTACCCTAAAAGATACATGTGATTGAATAGCCCAGGATAAGCTCCCTCTCCCAGGATCCTTAATTTAATGACATCTGCAAAGACCATTTTGCCAAATAAGGTCACATTCACAGGTTCCAGGAATTAAGACATAAAACACAGACACAGCTTTCTGTGGCTACCATTAAGCCCACTATAGAATCAAAGAGGGGAAGGAAGTGAGAAACACGGAAGAGAAGAAAACAGCAGCTTCTTTGCCTTGGGCACATTTAGCCCTCTTAGCCAGGAAGGCTGAAGTGTTTTGGATTGAAGGTGAGACCTCGTGTCAAAAGAGATTGAAATTTAAATAAATAGAAAAGATATCTCTATGCCCTGTGTTGTTTTAGGCATGCTTCAGTGTTCTACACAACACTGAGGAAGTCTGCCTCTTGTTGATGTCAATAATAATTTAGCGAAAGGAAAATTACAAGCTGAAAAGGGTAAGTACAGCTAACCAGATGCAATGCTATTAGCCTGAGTAAGAAGAGTTCTGGAAATGTGACGTTAACAAAACATCTGTTAGTGTATCAATCATCTCCCTCATCTTTGGAGACACCTGGGGGAGGGGGTACCTAAAATGAAAACTTCAATCTCTTATACATGCCAAATCCTCTAGGCTTGGGAAACTTACTTCACACTAAAGCACGCTAAAGTCATGCACGCCAAGCAATAAAATCTCATTGTGCAAATCGTATGTTCTGTTTGCAATAAGAGACAGTAACACTTGGCTTAAATTATTTTTTGGGTAGGGTAAATGGCTTCAGAAGTATAGGAAAGCACAATCAATTCATGTGTAAGACATAAAGAACTTTAGAAAGTGCAACTCAAATAATCTAATTCCAACCTTGCTAATGCACAGGAAGTCACTTTAGCACACAAATGGAAGGTCATCACTGTCAGCACATTGTCACATGCGACTCACTCATACTGAAGTGTGCATAGTCTAAGATATAATTCTTCAGAATTCTGCCCCTTCACATTTTAAAAACTCACATGATGGGATTTCCTATGTATGTGATATTAGACCACAATTTGGACTTCACTAACGCATGTAAAGGGAGAGAGAATCCTGTGCCCAAGGGATCATGTTGAGATTGTGAAATATCTCCCAGAACTTTCTGGAAACTTAGAGATCCTGGGCCCTTACGTGGAATTCTCCATGCCTGAACGTTAGACACTGGCAAATCCTGCTCATGGCTCACTTCTTCCTCTGTCAAGAGGGCAGTGAGAGGGAACTGAAGCTAGCAAAGCCAATCTTGAGGTGTTAGTCTCACACTAACCAGTATTATTGGGAAGAACTTTTTCATTTTTTAAATGTAACGTGTCCACCTAAGGACAGGGTCTTCCTGCTAATGATATGAGTAACAACTCTTTGAAAACAAGTGATATCTCGTTCTTCTCAAGTTATTTCATTTCACTTCCCAACTTTAAGGAGTACATAGCAACCCCTATCTTACAGAGAACAAAACTGAAACTTACAGAAGTGAAGCCCCTTGCCTAAATGCACAGTTAAGAGGGGAGAGCGAGGTTTCATTTCCAATCTATCTGATACCAGGCCCAGGCCCCTTGCCTGTACAGCCTCTCCTCTTTGACCCCCACTGAAGTGATTTCTTCCTGGGCCCAAGTATCACTTTGAATGTTCCTCATTTTCTGGTGTTGCTGGCAGAGGTGTGGTATGATATGCTCATCTGCCTTGACTAATTTTTTCTTTTCAGCTTCTTTGATGTAGATTCAAATTTCAAATCTGTGAAACCTACAGAAGGTAGTATGAAATCATAAGCATCTTTTGCTTCCTTCCTCTCTTAGGTTTATAGAACAGATCTCTAAATTTTCATCAGCTTTTTTTCTACAAATTCTCTCTCTTCCGAGAAGTAGCATAAATCCTGGGGAAACTGATCGTTGTACCTTTGTAGTGAGTCATCTAAGCCACAGCAACTTTGTCTGGAAGTTCCATTTCCTTGCAGCATCACACTACTTTTTGAAAAAACATAAATATAGGTTTGGCCTTGGGGACTTCCATCTCTCAGCCTTCTACTCATTTCTCAACACCCAGCACCTTGAGGCTCAGGTTATTATAGAGAAATCATCCCCTGCCAATGTACTTTATGAGCTCAATTTTTTTCCAAGCTTCACCTACACGTTGCTGCATTCTGTAGCTAGCTTCCTGATAAAAATTATTCCTCTGCTAATACTGCCATAATTTATTGTCCCTCCCCAACATAAGTTTTACAAAATCACCTCTGAATGTGGAATTTTAAATACAGAGGCAAGCTAACAAAACAGAAAATTTTGACAAAATTGTCCTAAAATCATGAAATTTTAGAGCTCAGAACTTTAGAAACCATCCAAGTGAAATTTGCCTAAAATTTTTGAAAATTTAAAATTAAATTAAATTTTAAAAAAAGAACTTTAGAAACCAGCGCTTTTACCTCTCCCTATAGCCTTTGTTTTATGGTTAGGAAATTAAAGCCCACAATGGGAAAATTTATCTGGAACCAGCCAGAATGCAATCTGGGTCTCCTAGTCAATGACTTTCAATGAACAGGTAATCTTGCAAATTCATCCTACATTATGCCAAATCTATAGCTGTTGATTCTCACCTTCAATCTGCCACCTTTGGTAAGTATTCAGGAATATAGATCAAGTCATTTAAATTGGCTTAGCTCAGGCTCTGCTCATGGACCAGGCTCAGCCAGACAGCACATTGTTTTATTTGGTCTGTGTTAATGCCCCACAGCTAGTGAGATGGTTTTCATCTGTCATCTCTCTGTTGACAGACACACTCTCCCCTTGCTGGGCTTCTTGCTACCTGAACCTCAAATGTTCCCCCAAAGTCTTTTACAAGACTTCCCCAGAAAGTGATGAATGCTGCAAAAAGGGAAAACCCAAGTCAGTGAGGAGGGGAAATTGGCAAGAATTTAGAGTTAGAATGAGTGACTGGAAAAGAGAACTCTGGAAGTAAACAGGGGTGAAGCATAGGCAGGTAAAAGAGAAAACCAAAGAGATGGTGCAAACGTACCTAGATTCTGCTATTCCAGTGAGCAATGGAGAGGCCTAATGATGTTAACAGGGAAGGAGCTATGCCTATCCAGGCTGAGGGAGGAAGGAGGCATGCTGGACACCTGCAGCACTGCTGGTTTGGGTTAGAAGAACCTAGCAGAGCACTTTCTCCACAGTTGTTATCCCTGCCTCTCTCTCTTATCCACTTCCCATCCATAATTGACAGTTAAATAAAGAAACGCTCCATTTAGATAACACTTTCTCCCTTTTTACAGGACTCAACAGGGAGCAGTCGGCTATTTAAACATACTTTCCATAGTTGGTCATTTGAACACACTGTGTGGAAAGGAAATGACTGTCATGCCAAGGGAAGGAGAAGGGATCATCACTTTTAATAATTTCCCCGACTTTCTTCCCCTGAGAGTTTGCTCAATTCCTGAACTAATGGACACTCGTAAATTGGGAAAGAAGAAGTTATTAAGAAAACCCGATGAACATCCAACCACACTAAATTCTCCACTCTAGTTGCCTTACACAACCCAACTTTTTCCTCCTTTACATAAGAACAGGAGAGCAAAAGTTGTATTTAATGAAGAAAACTAAATTTGAAAGATGACTTAGGTTAAAAATGTATTCCAATCTCTTTTATATTTCTCACATAATTTATTACCCACATTAATGTAATTATGTACTGTTGAAATCAAGCCAAAAAAAACAAAAGTTAGCATAATATGTCAAAAGGTTACTGCAGGTCCATAAAAGATGCTAGTAGTTTCAATACAAAAATTGGTTAAATAATCTAGTGTTTAATTTGAAGCTGCCTTTAACACAGTTTGAAGAATTTTTGTTTTATGAAAGCTACACAAAGTCCTAACAACCATCTGAAATTTTTTCAATGTCTCCTATTGCAACTAAATTGCTACTTCTGGCAGGGTATAATGGCTCACACCTGTAATCTCAGCATTTTGGGAGGCCAAGGCACTAAAATCACTTGAACCCAGGAGGCAGAGGTTGCAGCGAGCCAAGATGGTGCCACTGTACTCCAGCCTGGGCAACACAGCAAGACTCTGTCTCAAATAAATAAATAAATTGCTACTTTTAATTTTATTTAAATATTCTGTATGTGCTCTGAAGCATTATGAGAAAATGAAATAATTGGCAGGACTCTGCAGTCAGTGTTTCGTTTGGTTAAAAAATAATTTGAAGTATATAGTGGATAATACATATCAGAAGACAAAAAACGAAAAATACATGTCTGCTTTATAAATCTCTATAAAATCTAATTGGAGTCAGTTGTTGTATAAGCAGAGAATGAACAGAAAAGCTAAATATAAAATTGAAAATTTAAAAATACTCTAAAAACTCTTATGAAAAAAATTGGTCAGCCTCTCCTGGAATGACTCAGACAAGCTCTTCTTTTTGGTAATGGGCCTGGAATCATATCAAAAAATATAAGTTAAGAAAACACTATCTTTTTTATATTATGAAACTAAAATTCATCAAAAGATAATTTGGAGATCTATGGGAACTATTTTAAAATAACAAATGCCAAAAAAATTATAGTCCTTAATTTGTTATGTTAATGATTTGAAACATATGTGGTAATATCAAAATATTTAACTCAAATGTGGCAACTCCACATGTGTTTTACCAAGAATAACTTTGTAAAAACAGACTCTCTACCCCACGCTCCTAGAAAAAGGAGAGAAACAGGTACAAAATTTTCTGCTTAAGTCAAATCTATGTGGGTATCAAAAATTAACAACCCTTACTATTGTGGTAGTCTCTGAACCCCTTTAAGAATCAGAATCTTCTTCTAGAGAAAAAAAAATAGACCTACACATGCACAGAATTCTGGAAGCTTAAGAACTTGTGAAGCCAATTTATAAAATCCATGCTAAGAACCCTGGATCCTAAGGTAAACTCCTGAGAGAAAGAGAAACAAACGTCAAACAAGCCTTTAGATAATATTCTGTATCAGTCGTGGCAAAGAGTGATCTCCATCCACCCAGAACCACTCACGTGATTTATGACTGTTTTTCAGTGTTGGGAGCCTGAGAGCTGTAGGACATGATTTAGTGGCTCCTACGACACTGGGACTGTGGCCTGGGTTGCTGGTGTCAAAGAAATGGGACTTTTTTCAGGTTCCCAGCTAACTTGGTGACTTGAAGGTTGTAGGCTGGTACTGAAAATTGCTCACTAAGCAGTGATCACCCACCCTCCACCCACCACTCCGTACCCCCAAATTCACCCAGTTCTCTCAGTAGCTGAAAAATAGGATAGCTTGCTGTTGGTTTCTTTAGACCTGAATAGATGTGGGCTTAGCATTTTCCCATGATGTCTTTGAAGAAGAAAGCGGGAGTAAAATCACAATAGTGGGAAAGGAAAATTCTTTGACGTTGGCATCTTCATTCTAAGTACCCCTCATCCGCTGGTACACTTGGGGTGAATTTTGTCATCTGCAATAGGTGAGAAAAAATGGTAGAACCGAGTTGTAAATCTCCAGCAGATGAGAGGCAAGACCAGAGTTTCACATGAGGAGGAAGCAACGGCCATTCACAGTAATGTCTAGACTGGCTCTGGCCATAGCACATAGCTGATCATGGCTGCAGTGTAGCCTCCCACAGTGCAGCCATCAGGAATGTGCAGGATTGCTCTGATCCCAGGGCCTAGGATAGGGCATGCACAGAGTAAGGTGCTTTCCCAACATCTCTGGAAGGAAGGGAGAGAGGAGAAATGGAGGAAAAGGTGGTAATGGAGAGTAGTAAAATATACATGGAAAGTGATCAGAGGATATATTAGTTTGCCAGAGCTGACATAAGAAAATGCCACAAACTGGGTGGCTAAACAACAGAAATTTTTTTTTCCCACAGTTCTGGAGGCTGGAAGTCCAAGATCAAGATGTCAGCAGAATTGGTTTCTCCTGAAGCCCCTCTCTTTGGCTTGCAGATGATCACCTTCTTGTTTTTTTTTCTCACATGATCTTTCTTCTGTACTCACACACTCCTAGTGTCTTTCTGTGTGTCCAAATTTCCCGTGTTTATAAAGACACAGATTAGGCTGGATTAGGGCCCATCCTAATAACCTCATGTTAATGTAATCACCTCTTTAAAGGCCCTGTCTCCAAATATACTCACATTCTGAGGTAATGGGGATTAGGGCTTCAACATGTGAATTTGGTAGAGATACACATCAGCCAAAAACAGAGGGAAATACTGGTTTTGTTGAACCCTAGCCCCATCTCTTCTCCCTTTCACATCCCAAAATCTTAGGTGGGAGATTAGATCTGAGAGATGAGGCATGGTCAAGGGTCCCAGACCCTCAAGTGAAATGAGCAATGGCACTAAGAAGTCTCTCCAGCTCTTCCTCTAGGACACCCGACTGGCTACATAGACAGAGTCATAAGTACCAGGAGGGCCACAGACAGCCACATAGACAAAAGCCACTCCCAGTGGTACAGAGGTTCCCAGGTACCAGCAAACCATTAGACTCTTCCATAGAAAGCCTCTTGCTTTTAGAAAAATCAAATCTTAGGTACTTTCTGAGGTTGTTATCTGCCTTTTGTCTGTATTGAGAACATATAAAGGACTCCTTCAAATTAATAAGAAAAAGCCTATTTTTAAAAATGGACAAGATTTGAATGGGCCCTTCAAAAAAGAGGAAATTCAAATAGGCAGTAAACATATTAAAATATATTCAAAGAAATGCAAATTATAACCACTTTCAGACACCAGTTGATACCCTTCTGAATGGCCAAAAGCAAAAGGAGTATCTATATCAAAGTTTGGCAATCATACGGAGCAAGAGGAATGTGTTTATAAGGGTAAATTTGTAATAATCATTTTGAAAAAATATATATAATGTTAAGGTATTATTAAAACAATAATAAGACAAAACAATACTATGAAATATCACATATTCAATATGTTAGGGGAAGAAATATGTTATTTGATTTTGGTATTCAACATAGAGCAAAATATGAGAATCTTTGAATTAATGCAAATTAAGTGTGTTAAATTTTAATAGTATTTCCTGTACTTGACCAAAACGCTATGTTTTTAGAACACTCGGAGTAAATCTAATGTCTCCTTCACATGGCAGCTCCTCAGAAATTAAAAGACAGTTTGTTTTCACATCCTTTTGAGACTTCTCTGCCCTTGGTAGTGCCTTCATCTGTTTTTCTGCACCACCCTGATCACTTTCCTATGAACAAATTCTTTTTTGGTTTATATCTCTTTAACTGTTGGGGCCCAGAATAAAACACATCGCTGTCTGTATATTTTGACAAAGCAAACTAGAGTAAGACTGACATTTCTTTCTTATTTGATACAAAATTTTCAGTAATGCTAAAGTCCCATCAACTTTTTGATAGTCACTTAACACTTTACCCGTTTGGATACACATTACCTCCTCTGAACTAAAACCTTTAAGTCTTTTCTACACATATTGTTACAAAGCACCCTCTGTTTTGTGTATTTTTAATTCACTTGCACACATTTATATATACCAATTTTTAAATGCATTTTTTTAAATTCAACACAATGCTCCAAACTCCCTTTGGGATTTTGATTTTGTCATCTAATATGTACATTAATTGAAAAAACAGTACAGCATGACCTTCATGTGTGTATGTGTGTCAGTGTGTGTGCATGTGTGTGAAGATGGTTATAGATAAACATAGGTATAGATATAAATATACAGACAGACATGGATATATAAATATATATTACTATAAATCTATATGGCAAGTTATAACTACAGTTATTACTAAGTGACAGGATTGTGTGTGATTCCTATTTTCTTGCACTTGATTTTTATATTTCCTTTGAAATGTGTATCTAGTGAGGCAGAATGCTCAAAATTAGTGCCATCATCTTCTATGTTTAGAGGTGGAGAAGGCAAGTCATATTGGAACAGTTTAGTCCAGATAATACTTGGGTTACAGATGCATGAGAAGAATCTTAAAAAGGAATATAAGTTTGCTTCAGATTAATGGGTACCATCAGCAAAGAATATAGATTTGTTTAGAGATCAAACAGAAAATGTACTATGGCTTGATCAGCAATGACTTTGAATGTGTACCAAAGAGTTTATTATATAAATAATTTATTCTAGAGACATTAGAAAAAATTAAATAGCTTTCAGGAAAAGGAAAACATAATTTGACCTATTTATTGGAAAGAGAAAAGGTATTACCAGCGAAAACACCA
The DNA here is from genome assembly GCF_000001405.40 of Homo sapiens. Classification (NCBI taxonomy): domain Eukaryota; kingdom Metazoa; phylum Chordata; class Mammalia; order Primates; family Hominidae; genus Homo; species Homo sapiens. The sequence continues at coordinate 40,283,942 of NC_000005.10, forward strand.
GATTTAGAGACAAGAGGTTAGAAATAAGGATAACTGTTAAGTGTCCACTCCAGAAACCTATAGCAAAATGACTAGGTTCAAGTAGAAAATTGTCAAGAAAATAAAGAGTGGATTCAGCAGTATTTCCCAAACTATATTCAACAGAACACTATTATTTACCAATAAACATCTTTAAATATTTATTAGTGTCAACATTATTATTAATATTTATATTATGGCAAGTTGGAGGGATTATGTTTGATCAAACTTTAGAAATGTCATCTATTACATTATCCTGTTAAACATTTGAAATGCATACAAACATATTGAAGACCTGAGAAATCTTGCCATAAAAAGCATATTTAACATTCTTTAATGCACCATTTTCCAAATTCATTTGATCACATGGAAAGCCTGTTAACGTCTCACTGGATACTAGTATTCCATGCACCTGAATTTGGGAAACACAGCATTATAGAAATATTGAGAAGGCAGAAACAACAAAACGTAGTATTTGATTGCCTGAGAAAGAAGAGAATTCAAAGATGATGTTAAGTTTTAGCCACTCTGACTAAGAAAACACGCTATACCATAATTATCAGTTTTATGAGAACAGATTTTTGGGTGGGAATTAGTGTAGGCTTGGGTTAGTTAAGTGTCAGGTGTCAGGGTATCAACATTTGAAGATATTCATATAATAAACATAAATATCTGCAAAAATTATTTCAAAAACAGTAATGGAAATTCAGGTAAACTACTTGCAATTATTTCATAAACTGTTGCTACCAACCAAAATGAATGCCTAGCAGAGCGCTCCAGCACATGGCACAGCTAGACCATGCCATGCCCCATGATGTGTCACACATCGGGGATAAGAACAATAGCAAAGATGCTGCTAAAGAAGCCACAGTAAATGGTTCTCATAATTGTGAAAGCTGAATAATTATGTCCACAGGATACTCCTTTGCTAGTCACCGTAACTAAAGAACTTGGAGCCTCTTGCCCATTGGCACATGAAATTCCGGGAAACACCTTTAATCTGTATTTCAATCTCCTAAAGTTTCTTGTTATTTAAGAGCTTAATTGTTATGACTGTGCTAAGAAAAACTCAAGAAGGTAAAAAGAGATGTTAACTACTTGGACCTGAAATTACAGAGCATGAAGTAAATTCTCAGAAAGAACATTAATATTGAGTAGCTGCAGATATACGTCATACCTGGGAAAAAGTGTGCTTAACCACCCTCTGTCATGCCCAATCCAATCAAGCTCTGAACATGTGTGAGAAATTCATTCCCCTTCAGAAAGGAGAAAGGGAGAATGCAAGGACAGTCTGTCCTGATTCCAGTTGTTTTGCTGAACTGCTCTGTGAGCTGAAGCAATTCCAGGAATTTATCTTCCTCAATTCCACATCTGCAGAAGGGTAAAAACAGCAATAGCAAGGTACCTTGGCCCTCAGCTCTTCGGGCTTGCTACAAATTACCAGAACAATTCACACTTGTAAGTATGGTGGCAGGAAAAAGCTTTGGGGTCAGAAGAACAAAGACTACATTCCACAACTCCTTCACCAATTAAAAAATATGATCTTGGGTAGATGTTAGCTTTTGGGCCCTCTAGTTTTGTCATCTGTAAAATGAAAATAATAATTCTAAAATTGTGAGAAGTCATAGAATTAAATAATATGTATACACATTTTAAAAGTTATTTAAAATATGTGCTAAATATTGTAGTTATATTATCTGTCCTGTATAAGTAAGATTAATGGAACATACCTGATTTCTATGTTAGAGAGACAATATATACATATGTAATTCCCAACACTAAATAATAAACCATTTAGTTCCAAAGTTGAATGCCTTTCCTCACACTCGGCTCAATCATTTTCAAAAAGTCTACTTCATATTTAAAGCACTTGTCTCTTTTTCTCTGCCACTAGTTGATATTTCACTACTTTTATATCCAACTTTTCCTTAAGTCATTCATCCAAAGAAGAAAAAATTTTGTCCCTAAGAAGGAGATTTGCTTAGTACTTTCTGTTAAATTTAGAAGTGGCTCCCAAGGAGTGAGCTCTTTCAAAGACCCCTTTACCTCTCTAGTTAATGAAAGTTTAAGACCCTTTAGGGAGCAGGCTTTTGTTTGTTCATTGAATCATCTAGTTAACAAGAGAATACATCAGAATTTTTTTGATTCATCTATTCATGTTTCTAATAAGCTGATCTCTCTTGTAAACATAGTTAAATCAGTCTTTACTGTATGAAACTCTTATCTGACTCAGGGCTGTCATTTTACATAGAGATTTTTACATTTTAGAAGTTGGGGAACAACTGTAAACTCAGTTCATTTTACAGCATTGACCATGTGGAAGCAAATTCTTCAAAGTCATCACACTCGACACCTTATAGACTGGTTCTAAGATAAAGTGAGAAATTGGTGCTTTTAACTGACTACATTTCACAGCTAATTTTGCCACTATTTTCCGTTTCGTTTGAAAAGTGTCACACCTGAAAACTATCATGATTAGTTGAAGCTTTGGGTTAAATTCCAATACCTTCAGGGATCCAAAATAGTTCATAGAATAATTTTAGTTCATCATTTATTCTGTACCCACAGTGAGCAAGGTACTTAATGCGGGGTGGGGGGGGCTAATTTCAAATGAAACGACTTCCCAAAGTGTCCATATCCTGTGTCCCTTGGGGACTTCTCTCTCCTCCACACCTTTAGCCTTTCCTAAACACCTAGCACTTTATGCCAACAAAAGTAGCCAGGATAAATATGCCCATTGATTAGGAACATTAAATGGGCAAGAGAACTGGAAATTTAGAAAGTGTAAATTTTACCCCTTAATTTAGAACCACTGATCAAAGCATTCAAGTGGCAATACCAGGTAGACCATGACCACAGAACTCTTTCCATACTTGTACTCCCTGCAGCCATCTGACTTTCCCTATAGCAAGCTGGAACAAATTGCAGAAATCACTGCCATTCATACCTATTTAGAGTCCGTTGACCCTCCAGGGAGCCTGTAACCAGCTGCAGGCAGGCCAAGATGCTCCCCTAACCAGAACTTATGTGGTGGGGATACCTGGCATTAAAAAACATGCAGAACCATGGCGCCTGTTTTCTCTGTCCTTCCTGCTTCTGGTCTCTTCTGTTGCTCAGTCTATTTCTCCCCTGAGCTTTGCCTCTGTTTTGTGGTAGTTTCTTTATACTGAAGTTTTCTTTATTCCTATTTTATTGCAAATATGGGGTTTATCCAGAATTTTATCTACCAACAAACAGTAAATTGAGTCTACATCTGTTCACTCTGTTCTTGAGATAGTTTGAATAGTCCTCATTTTCATACCTGGCAATTTATGTTTGAACACGGGGCCAATTAGTCTTTCTGAATATTCCTGAAATACCTACACAATTGAGGGTGATATTTTTATGAGTACTGAGGTTCATTTATAGCTATTAAATGAATTTAAGAAATATATTTTTAGCCATCACAGCAGATGCAGTCGATAACTCTCTTCCGTATGCACTGACCTAACTTCTAACTGCCAACACCCGCCCCTCTTTACCTGAGGACTTTCTCCAAAACCCAGAATGGCCTTTCTTCCCAAGCAGAGCAGTTATAAAATCTGAAATTTATCACTCCTCAGGAACAGCCTGCACCAGATAGCCACAGGAATTGAGGCATAAATATCCCACCTCCCTTGGCCCTCAGATGGGGTAGCTTTGAGGTACCTGTGCTTCAAGTTTCCCAGGGTATTTTTGTGGGATTAATCTCCAACAGCCCAGCATATCCATAGCCACATTTTCTTGATAACACACCCCTTGTCGTCCTGCCTCCCTTCCCTTTTCACCTTCCCTCTTCCACATCAGTGTTTCCTGAACTTCCAAACTACTTTTCTCAAGTCTTTGTCTCAGAGTCTGGATGATCTCAAGTTAAGAAAACTGTCTACAATGTGCCAGACATAGATAAGCACTAAAATGACAGAGATGAATAAAAAATTATCCCTGCTTCAAGGTGTTCACCATTTGATCAGAGACAATAGCAAGAGGATAAGTCAAAAAACCTATTACCCACCTTCCTTTCAAGCCCACCCAACACCATAGCACATTCACTTGGGTCCTGACTCCTCCCCAGGGCCGCGTATCTGATGATTGTGTCTGACCAGTTGTCTCAGCAGGATTGCCTAGACATGACTCAGTCGAAACTGCTTAAGAGTACATAGGTGAGGTCTGAGGTTGGCCCACATTTCACAAAAAAAGAATATTCTAATCATTATTGAAGAAAATTTGGTGTCATATTGATGATGCGCACTGCTTTCCACTCTGCTGAAAACCAGGTTGACTTTTTAATGCATTTTTCAATGCCTAGCATTGCCCAACCGTCAGGTAAATAATTATATTGGACCCCAGGTAATAAATCAAACTTTGGTCTGTATATCAGACCCTGACATAAAGTTTCACATAAAAGATGTTTCATAAGGAGTGTTCTTGGAATTAATATTTGGGGGGAGGAGTGGAAGGAAGCAGAAATGGGAAAAAATAAAAGCCAAACTGCAGTGATTGTCCCGAAAGAACATTGGCCAATGCCATGAGGACCCTTGGAGGTAAAATTGAACATTAGCATTGTCCTAAGTTAAACCAAGATAGTTAGACTTTTATTTGCCATCTGTCATTGGACATGGGTCATCTAGGAAAGGATTTGACCTTGGGCAAGATGGCTATCCACAACAGAGGCAAGCCCTGGAGTGTTGACAACAGAAGGATATCTGCTGACGGCATTACCAACAAGTCCTTCATTAAGGGGTATCTGGACTGTGCATCACCTAAGTTCACATCATGTAAATTTGGAACATAATAACCCCTTGCAAGTACATCAGGTAATGATATTGTAGGTTCACTGCCAACTCTGGTCGTGGTATTTACAGACACAAGAATGCTGTTTACAGAAACAAGCATGCTAAAGCTCCTTTAAAAAAAAAGTCTTGTGGACTTTTTCATGAAGTCTGTCAAGCTGGAAGCAACTATTAGGCATCTGAAAGCACACTTTAATGCATGCTCCAGGGTTCCTGCTGGTGCCTCCTTGAGGAAGACTGTGGGAGTACATGGAATTGAGCTGGATGTATCAGACAGTTCTCCATAATCCTATTATTAATGTGCCACTGATAGGACAGGGCACCGCCATTCCTAAGTGTGGTCATAAAAAAAAAGTGGACTCAGGTCAGAAATCTAAACTATGAAATAATGTTACTAATCTTGGTCAGAATATGTAATTAGTCAAAAATACCTCTCATAAACCAAATAAAGTTAATGCTATTTCAGTAGTTTGCTTTACTTCATAAACTTTCAAGAGCCAGGGTGATACTGCGCAGCTGTTGCATAGCGTTTATAAAGAACAGGGTCTTCTTAGCTACTGTGAACTATGTTCACATCCCAATTATGAAAAGACAAAGCACATGGTCACAGAAAGTATTAATCACATTATTTATGTGAACCCCTACTTAACCTTATAGCTTGAAGCATTTCATAATAAAAACATTTGAGTTGTTTTAAGTCAGAGGCTGGTTGTGCTCCCGTTAATATTTAAGAAAGGATAATCCCAGCCCAGTGTGGCAAGGGGGAAATATCACTGAGCTGAGAATTGGTGCAAGTTTCTGATATGCCTCCAGTTGAATGGTGTGGAAAATTAGCCTCATTTTCTTCTCTATAAAAGCATGGGGTTTGAATATTAGATAATCTCTAAAGGTCCTCCCAATCTAAAAGTCTATGATCCTCTTTGCCTTTCAGATTAGTTAGCAGCCTAAATTGAGAGACACCCTGTGACTTAATATCATAATTTTGCATGATGACCAGTCCTAGGTTTTCTTTAGATTGGAGATTTTTTTCTTGCAAATTGAAATTTTCCAGTTTTTTCTTTTTCCTATGACAATGACCTCATTTCAAAGTGTTAATATTGCTATGATATATCTCTCTTGCAAATGTTTTCCCAAACAAAAGAATCATCCAAATCAATGTTATCCACGAGCTTCATATTTAAGAACATCTTTAAAATGTTGGATTTGTTTTACTACCTCCTAAGTTTCATACTAAGATCTAGCCAGGAAAATAAGGTTGATTTTCAAACAGTAGATTTTAGTAAAGGGGCTCACTGACTGATGCACTAGAAGCCAATACTGCAACACTGGGTTTTTTAGAAAAGAAATGCTTTTTATTGCAAGTCAGCTAACAAGGAGACAGGAGTCCAGCTCAAATCTGTCTCCCTGTGCTGGCTTTAAGGCAGCAATTTTATCTGAAAAGGTCTAAGGTGTGGATTCTAGGATTAGTAAGTGATTGGTGGAAGGAAAGGGGAGGTGTGGGAAGTCTTTGGCCATGCACAGTTATTCCATCATGCTACCTCTTAGATCATGTGTGCAAATTTGGGGGAATTAGTGTAAAACGTGCAATGGAAACTCAGGCTGTGGCATCAGCAAGTTCGTTCTATGCGAACTCCAGTTGGCCGTGTTGATTCCAACCAATTTCTGCCAATTTTATTATCTTACAAGTGGAGGACATTTCAGAATTTCAGCAAGTTCTTTCTTTTCTTATCTGCTGTCCTGTAAATTCAAGAATTTATGTTAGTTATTGTTATTAACTCTTATTAATAGTTATTAACTCTTTGGGGAACAATTTCACTAGGATCTGTAACCTATCACTCTTACACACTCATAGCTGGTATATTAGGGTTATCCAAAGAGATAGAACCAATAGAATATATATAGAGAAATATACATAAAAAGAGATCATTTATTTATTTCTGTATTTCTGTATTTATTTATTTATTTTGGGGCTTTTTTTTGTTTGTTTTTTGTTTTGTTTTTTTTTTTGTTTGTTTTTTGAGACAGAGTCTCACTCTGTCACCCAGGCTGGAGTGTGCAGTGGTGCAGTCTTGGCTCACTGCAACCTTCACCTCCCAGATTCAAGCAATTCTCGTGCCTCAGCCTCCCTAGTAGCTGGGACTACAGGTGTGTGCCACCATGCCCAGCTAATATTTGTATTTTTAGTAGAGATGGGGTTTCGCCATGTTGGCCAAACTGGTCCTGAACTCCTGGCCTCAACTGATCCATCTACCTTGTCCTCCCAAAGTGCTGGGATTACAGATGTGAACCACCACACCCAGCCTAGGAATTGGTTCATGGACTGGGAAGTCCCATGGTCTGCCATTTGCAAGCTACAGAACTGATTGTGTAAGTCCCAACCTGAGTGCAAAGCCCCAAGAACCAGGAGTGCTGATGTCCAAGAGCAGGAAGTGATGAATGTTCAAGCTCAAGTAGAGAGCACATTTTCCCTTCCTATGCCTTTTCTGTTCTATTCAGGCCTTTAAATGGATAGGATGATGCCCATCAGAATTCTTCGCTCAGCCTACCAATTCAAATGCTAACCTCTTCCAGAAACACTCTCAGACACACACGCAGAAATAATGTTTTATCAGCTTTCTGGACATTTCATAGCCCACTTAAGTTGATGTTAAATTAATCATCACAGTTGATGTATGTGCTCATTGGCCTTTTGTGGCTTTTTTAAGGAAACAGTATCAACATGATTTGGAAACCACTCTGACATGAAAAAATTCGGGCTCTATTTTCATCACATTCCTACTTATTTGGACCAATCTTTACAAAGAGGGAAATCCTGTGCTATGACTCATCAGGTATGAGTTCTATATCTACCCTTGTGCCAGAGTGTAGGCAGAACTCTGGGAATGGCACTACCATTATAGCTACAAGGGATAATGGAGGGGTGGTTCCCAATTAGAAAAGGCCTTGCTGAAAAGACAACACAATCAATACCATCTACATGGTGACCTGTCTATCTTTCTTGAAAGTCTTTCCTTCTGTGGCTTCTTTGACGCTATGCTCTCCTGATCTTCTCTTACCTCTCTGGCAACTTTTCCTCAATATCCTTCCAGGGCTCTCGTATTCCATGCCTCTTTCAAAAGTTGGTCTTCCAGTGGGCTCCATGCTCAGCCCTCTCTTCAATTTCTACAGTCTCTTGGGTGAATGCATATAAACTCATGACTTCAACAGCCACTTCTGTGGCTAATTCTTATCTTTTGCCTAGACTTTTCAACAAGCTCCAAACACAAATTTTCAATTGTCTGCCATATGTATTTTATAAACACTTCAGATGCAACATATTGTAAAGCTGAATTTATCAAGTTTCTCAGAAATCTGATTACCCCTCTCTTAGTCACTATCATTTCCATCACAAGCTAAAGTACATCTTAGGCCAATGCCAAAACCCTCTCTTCCCTTCGTGGTTTATATTTGAGTATTGTAGACAAAAAAAAATCAAAGTAAGGGTAATTCTCTACAGATCTTTAGCGTTAACTGTGAAGTTAATGTCACAGAGAACCAGAGGGTTGCATGGATGTTCTAGTAGCAGGTGCGGGTTTTGGGGTGTGGGTAGGGCTTGGGGGTGAAAAGTGGCTATAATGACATTAAGAAAGAGAAGGGAAGTGCAGGAAGAAGGATGGTCAGCCTCAAAAACAAACATCACTGCTTTACTACTTTGGCAGGGGCTTGCCCTTACTGATCCCAGAGCAAGCAAGGCCATGTGACACATCTCAGTAAAAATTTATGCTTGGAATATACATCCCTAGAGACTCAGAGAGGACAGAATCACAGACATTTATGAATTCAAATGAGGCACTTAAGATCATTATGATACTCATGAAATTTTTGCTAAAATGGGAAATGTAATAGTAATTTTAGCCAAAACTCACACAGAAGCTGTGTCAAAAGCCAAAAGTAAGTATTCTTTGAGCATCCACTAGAAGCCCAGTTTTATGCCATATTTATTAATAGTAAATAAAAGTCAGAAGACTTGGTTATTTCTCACATGGAATGTAAATCTACATAGGGAGATGAAATGAACAACAAATACCTCACCTACTGTGTGGTCCATACATTCTGTCTCTTTTCCACATTTTCGGTTCGGCTTTCCTGAATTTGTTGCTGAGTTCTTTACATACTCTGCTGCTTGTTATTTCTGAGTGTTTTCCAAAGTTATGTCTTCTCTCATTCTCGTTTCTGAAGTTCACCTTCCTCATTCCTGTTTCATCTGACTAATTCCTAATTAGTTCTTTGATTAGAAAGCCTTCCAGACCTCAAGATGAATTTGGATACGTGAGATTAGAGCATTAAAAAAAGTAATAGAAAAGCATTCACTCTGTTTTGGTTGCTAATTATTTATTTATGTTTCCCACAATGCCATGAATTCTGGGACACTGTCTTGTTCATTGTATACGTGTGCACTTGATAACTACTTGTTGAAAAAGAATGGATCATTGATTTTTTATTAAAACAATGTAGGAATTCAATAAAGAAAGTGGCACTTGAGTTTAGGCTTATAGGACACCTAGGAAACCAAGTGATAGAGGAGACAGCAGAAGGAGCCAAAATCAGTTGACAGAAAGGACCATGGACTTGTATATGAGGATTAAAAGGAGATTTGATTCATGTTAAAGCAAATCATTCCCAACTTGAGACCTGCAAATCCCAATGTAATAATAATGAGAACATTATTTATTTTTAACATTTCAAAAAACCATATACAATGTTAGTGTATACTACATAGTTCCATCTATGCCATATGTACTTATGTTGTTATGAAACATTCTCAAACAATAATCATCAAAAAAGAAAAATGAAAAGAAGTAGGAGTTGAGTGAATGAAAGAAGGCTTCACTGAACACTTTCTCTGTGTTATTTTACTTAATCTTTAAAACAAATCTATTTTTCTCATTCCTTTTTTTTTTTTTTTTTTCTTTTGAGATGAAGTCTTGCTCTTGTCACCCAGGCTGGAGTGCAATGGCGCGATCTCGGCTCACTGCAACCTCTGCCTCCCGGTTTCAGGCGATTTTCCTGCCTTAGCCTCCCGAGTAGCTGGGTTTACAGACGCCTGCCACTATGCCTGGCTAATTTTTGTATTTTTAGTAGAGACAGGGTTTCACCATGTTGGCCAGGCTAGTCTTGAACTCCTGACCTCAGGTGTTCCGCCCGCCTCAGCCTCCCAAAGTGCTGGGATTATAGGCATGAGCCACCGTGCCCGGCCTATTTTTCTCATTCTAATAGACGAGAAAACAAAGGCACTAAGAAGCTACTAATTAGAACTTCTGCTAAGTTAGTTTTTATTATAAAATCATTTAGAAACAAATTATTTCATATGGTTTCAGCATGTATGAAAGATACTAGAGTATACCCAGGATTAAAAAGAGACAAAAGGTCATATCCATAGTAAATGTTCAGGAAACTAACATACGAAGAAGAAAAAGATAAATCCTTAATTGTCAGGCTATGAAGATTAGTTGCTGTGTTCATAGAACATGTCTATTTCTGATTAAACATTTTTGAAAAATTGTTTTTCTCACCACAACAAACAATATATTTGGCTTAATGTCAATAAATTAGTTATATTTTTATTGGAACACCTGATGACCAAGACATTTTCAGTCTATCTAGGCACAATACAAGATTTAGCAAGAAACCTTTTGAAAAATTGAAATGGGCTACTTATGAAAATCTTCATGTGGGTGGGAAAAAAAGAAGTTAGAACTTCTCTTGAAGTACGAGCTTATTTTCCTAATTGAACACAGTTTTCCGGAGAAGTGTCAAGAGAAGCACGTGACTGCTGAACTGTTCTAGGAACATGCAGAAATCTAGCAAAATAAAGATTATAGATATTCAAATCTGCAAAGCAAAAATGTAGTTTACAGTATTCTTTTTTGAAGGAAATTATTTTTATATTTATACAGATATACAATTTTTATTAAATATGTAAATGTGATTTTTAACATATATATTTTCAACATTATTTTCCCCCCTTTTTTACTTGTTTTCTTTTCCTCCTACCTTTATTTTTCACATGCATGTCAGGGCACCCTGCCCTGTACCTGTCTGACAAGCCATATTAACATCCTAGTATTGTCCTTTAATATTTTTCAACTTCAGCCTCATGTAACCTAAATCAGATATGGGTTCACACACATGTAGGATGTTTAAATATTATTTATTATATAAAAAGTGGAATTGTATAAGCACATGATTTTCTGTATCTTACTCTTCTCATTCAACACTATCTCAGGTCAACCAAGAGAAATAATTCATTCTTTGTAATAGCTGCATAATATTCCATGTTGTGAATAGCCATTTTTTTCCTACTGTTTCTTCTATTCGTGGACATTATCTTTAGTTTGAAAAATTGGCTTTTAGTTTGTTTTATCATTAAGAATAAGGCTGTTGTGGCCTTAAATAAATACCTTATGTAGTGGTGCTTTTTTTCTAATGAATGTATTCTGAAATCTGTGATCGCTGGTTTAAAAGATGTATGTGTTTTAAATTTTAGCAGATACTACCAAATTGTTTCACAAAACAATTGCAGTGATACACACGTTTACCAACAATGTATGAGAAGGCACTTTTAATGTTCCTAACAGTGTTAAGGATTCCATTATTTGAATAAATTTTAGTATATAAAGTTATAACTATTTAACTTGAATTTCCCTGATCATTGGAAAATAATAACATTTCTTCTTATGTTTCTGGATCTTTCTAATTTGTTCTTTCGTTTTCTCTTTATCCACATTCTTTGCTTAATTTTATATTGGATTGCTTAGTTTTATCTTGCCAATTTGAAAAAAACTCTTTTATAAAATAGATATTAACATTTTTTTCATCTGTGGTACTAATATTTTTGCCCAGTTTCTTTTCAGTCAATTCACTTTACTTAGAGTAGCTTTGAATACAGGTTTTTTTAAAAAATCAAATATTTATGTTATTTTATTCCCTACAAACTCTGAGTTTCTAGTACTTGTTACTAGAAACCTAAAATTAATTTAAAATGAAACTTCCCAGATTTTTACTTATAGCTTTATAATTTTAAGTTATTTATACTCAAATCTCTAAGTCATCTGTATATGGGATATTCATGGAGTTCAACTTAATAAAATCTTTCAATTTGAAGACATATTTCTTTTCATTTGGTATATATCATTTTATGAATGCTAACAAGTTTTATAATTTCCCATGCCATCCCAATGAAATTTGTTTCTAAGACTTTTATGAGATTTTGTTGCTATTGTGGATAGACCATTTTTCCCATTCCAGTTCTAATGGCTTATTGCTTAAATAGAAAATAAAGACTATTGATATTGCATGGTTTTCTTTTCTTCATCTATCTTACCAAATGCTCTAACCAATTCCATTTGTTTTCATATGAAAACCTCTTGTTTTGTAGGTAAACTGTCTCAATTACAAAGAATATTAAAAACATATGCGAAGCAAAGCATGCACAGAATGTATTGATAAGAAAACCAAAGTTCTGTGTGTAGTTGACTGTATGTATTTTCATGTACTACTAGAGTTGTTTTGTATATTATTCCTGGGAAAATAAAACTGACTCTGTGCTTGGTCTTCTTTGAACTAAATATAATAGAGAAATAGAAATAGTTATTGTCCATTTTCCCAGTTATCTGTTTCTGAACATTTCCAGGAAGGATTAATAGGCTCATATTGCAATACCCTGAAAAGGGTCTTAGAGATAATTACACCAAATGACACAAACAGAGTCAACGGAGCTTCAGTTTTGCCTTCCTAATGCAATTCAAGGTGACATTGATCAAGTTGCTTCCATCTCCTGTTTCATGAAAAAACTATTTGTGTTCAGTGGAGTCACTGTTAATAGCTTCCCTCTAGTAGTGATACTCTTTCAGAGACCTAGCAGAGAGGTCCATGTACCTTAGACATGGGTTCATTAAAAAAATGCACATGAAACCTCATCATCTTCTAGGGAATTTTTTTATTATTATTATACTTTAAGTTCTAGGGTACATGTACACTACATACAGGTTTGTTACATAGGTATACATGTGCCAAGTTGGTTTGCTGCACCCATTAACTCATCATTTACATTGGGCATTTCTCCTAATGTTATCCCTCCCCCAGCCCCGGACACCACAACAGGCCCCGGTGTGTGATGTTCCCCACCCTGTGTTCATGTGTTCTCATTGTTCAACTCCCACCTATGAGTGAGAACATGCGGTGTTTGGTTTTCTGCCCTTGTGATAGTTTGCTTAGAATGATGGTTTCCAGCTTCATCCATGCCCCTGCAAAGGACATGAACTCATCCTTTTTATGGCTGCATAGTATTCCATGATGTATATGTGCCATATTTTCTTAATCCAGTCTATCACTGATGCACATTTGGGTTGGTTTCAAGTCTTTACTATTGTGAATAGTGCTGCAATAAACATACGTGTGCATGTGTCTTTATAGTAGCATGATTTATAATTCTTTGGGTATATACCCAGTAATGGGATCACTGGGTCAAATGGTATTTCTAGTTTTAGATCCTTGAGGAATTGCCACACCGTCTTCCACAATGGTTGAACTAGTTTACAATCCCACCAACAGTGTAAAAGCATTCCTATTTCTCCACATCCTCTCCAGCATCTGTTGTTTCCTGGCTTTTTAATAATCGTCATTCTTACTGGTGTGAGATGGTATCTCATTGTGGTTTGGATTTGCATTTCTCTGATGACCAGTGATGATGAGCATTTTTGCACATGTCTGTTGGCTGCATAAATGTCTTCTTTTGAGAAGTGTCTGTTCATATCCTTCGTCCACTTTTTGATGGGATTGTTTGTTTTCTTCTTGTAAATTTGTTTAAGTTCTTTGTAGATTCTTGATATTACCCTTTGTCAGATAGGTAGATTGCAAAAATTTTCTCCCATTCTGTAGGTTGCCTGTTCACTCTGATAATAGTTTTTTGTTTGTTTGTTTGTTTGTTTTCTTGCTGTGCATAAGCTCTTTAGTTTAATTAGATCCCATGTGTCTATTTTGGCTTTTGTTGCCATTGTTTTTAGTGTTTTAGTCATGAAGTCTTCGCCCATGCCTATGTCCTGGATAGTATGGCCTTGGTTTCCTTCTAGGGTTTTTATGGTCTTACATTTAAGTCTTTAATACATCTTCGTTAATTTTTGTATAAGGTGTAAGGAAGGGATCCAGTTTCAGATTTCTACATATGGCTAGTCAGTTTTCCCAGCAGCATTTATTAAATAGGGAATCATTTCCCCATTGCTTGCTTTTGTCAGATTTTTCCAAGATCAGATGGCTGTAGATGTGTGGTGTAATTTCTGAGGCTTATGTTCTGTTCCATTGGTCTATATATCTGTTTTGGTACCAGTACCATGCTGTTTTGGTTACTGTAGCCTTGTAGTATAGTTTGAAGTCAGGTAGCATGATGTCCCCAGCTTTGTTCTTTTTGCTTCAGATTGTCTTGGCTATGCCAGCTCTTTTTTGCTTCCATATGAACTTTAAAGTAGTTTTTTCCAATTCTGTGAAGAAAGTCAGTGGTAGCTTGATAGGGATAGCATTGAATCTGTAAATTACTTTGGGAAGTATGGCCATTTTCACAATATTGATTCTTCCTATCCATGAGCATGGAATGTTCTTCCATTTGTTTTTGTCCTCTTTTATTTCATTGAGCAGTGGTTTGTAGTTCTCCTTGAACATGTCCTTCACATCCCTTGTAGCTGGATTCCTAGGTATTTTATTCTCTTTAATAATTGTGAATGGGAGTTCACTCATGATTTGGCTCTCTGTCGGTTATTGGTGTATAGGAATGCTTGTGATTTTTGCACATTGATTTTGTATCCTGAGACTTTGCTGAAGTTGCTTATCAACTTAAGGAGTTTTGGGGCTGAGATGATGGAGTTTTCTAAATATACAATCATGTCTCTGCAAACAGAGATAATTTGAATTCCTCCTTTCCTAACTGAATACCCTTTATTTCTTTCTCTTCCCTGATTGCGCTAGCCAGAACTTTCAACACTATGTTGAATAGGAGTGGTGAGAGAGGGCATCCTTGTCTTGTGCCAGTTTTCAAAGGGAATGCTTCCAGGTTTGCCCTTTCAGTATGATATTGGTTGTGGGTTTGTCATAAATAGCTCCTATTATTTTGAGATACATTTCTTCAATACCTAGTTTATTGAGAGTTTTTAGCATGAAGGACTGTTGAATTTTGTCGAAGGCCTTTTCTGCATCTTTTGAGACAATCATGTGGTTTTTGTCATTGTTTCTGTTTATGTGATGGATTACGTTTATTGATTTGTATATGTTGAACCAGCCTTGCATCCCAGGGATGAAGCCAACTTGATTGTGGTGGATAAGCTTTTTCATGTGCTGCTGGATTTGGTTTGCCCGCGTTTTATTGAGGATTTTCGCATCGATGTTCATCAGGGATATTGGCCTAAAATTCTCTGTTTTTGTTTTGTCTCTACCAGGCTTTGGTTATCAGGATGATGCTAGCCTCATAAAATGAGTTAGGGAGAATTCCCTCTTTTTCTATTGATTGAAATAGTTTCAGAAGGAATGATGCCATCTCTCCTTTGTACCTCTGGTAGAATTCAGCTTTGAATCCATCTGGTCCTGGACTTTTTTTGGTTGGTAGGCTATTAATTATTCCTTAATTTCAAAGCCTGTTGTTGGTCTATTCAGAGATTCAACTTCTCCTGGTTTAGTCTTGGGAGGGTGTATGTGCCCAGGAATTTATCCATTTCTTCTAGATTTTCTAGTTTATTTGCATAGAGTTGTTTATAGTATTCTCTGATAGCTTGTATTTCTGTGGGATCGGTGATGATACCCCCTTTATCATTTTTTATTGTGTCTATTTGATTTTTCTGTCTTTTCTTCTTTATTAGTCTTACTAGTGGTCTATCTATTTGTTGATCTTTTCAAAAAACCAGCTCTTGGATTCATCGATTTTTTTGAAGGGTTTTGTGTGTGTCTATGTCCTTCAGTTCTGCTCTGATTTTAGTTATTTCTTGCCTTCTGCTTGCTTTTGAATGTGTTTGCTCTTGCTTCTCAAGTTCTTTTAATTGTGATGTTAGGGTGTCGATTTTAGATCTTTCCTGCTCTCTCTTGTGGGCATTTAGTGCTATAAATTTCCCTCTGCATACTGCGTTAAATGTGTCCCAGAGATTCTGGTGTATTGTGTCTTTGTTCTCATTATTTTCAAAAAACACCTTTATTTCTTCCTTCATTTTGTCATTTACCCAGTAGTTATTCAGGAGCAGGTTGTTCAGTTTCCATGTAGATGTGTGGTTTTGATTGAGTTTCTTATTCCTGAGTTCTAATTTCATTACACTGTGGTCTGAGAGACAGTTTGTTGTGATTTCTTTTATTTCACATTTGTTGAGGAGTGTTTTACTACCAATTTTGTGGTCAGTTTTATAATAAGTGCGATGTGGTTCTGAAAAGAAAGTATATTCTATTGATTTGGGGTGGAGAGTTCCGTAGATGTCTATTAGGTTTGCTTGGTCCACAGCTGAGTTCAAGTCCTGGATATCCTTGTTAACTTTCTGTCTCATTGATCTGTCTGATATTGACAGTGGGCAGGTAAAGTCTCCCACTATTATTGTGTGGGAGTCTAAGTCACTTCGTAGGTCTCTAAGGACTTGCTTTATGAATCTGGGTGCTCCTGTATTGTGTGCATATATATTTAGGATATTTAGCTCTTCTTGTTGAATTGATCCCTTTACCATTATGGCCTTCTTTGTCTCTTTTGATCTTTGTTGACTTAAATTCTGTTTTATCAGAGACTAGGACTGCAACTCCTGCTTTTTTTTTTCTTTCCATTTGCTTGGTAGATCTTACTCCATGCCTTTATTTTGAGCCTATGTGCATCTCTGCACATGAGATGTGTCTCCTGAATACAGCACACTGATGGGTCTTGACTCTTTATCCAATTTGCCAGTCTGTGACTTTTAATTGGGGCATTTAGCCCATTTACATTTAAGGTTAATATTGTTATGTGTGAATTTGATCCTATCATTATGATGTTATCTGGTTATTCTGCCCATTAATTGATGCAGTTTATTCATAGCATCGATGGTCTTTACCATTTGGCATGTTTTTGCAGTGGCTGGTACTGGTTGTTCCTTTCCATGTTTAGTGCTTCCTTCAGGAGCTCTTTTACAGCAGGCCTGGTGGTGAGAAAATCTCTCAGCATTTGCTTCTCTGTAAAGTATTTTATTTCTCCTTCACTTATAAAGCTTAGTTTGGCTGGATGTGAGATTCTGGGTTGAAAATTCTTTTCTTTAAGAATGTTGAATATAGGCCCCCACTCTCTTCTGACTTGTAGGGTTTCTACCAAGAGATCCGCTGTTGGTCTGATGGGCTTCCCTTTGTGGGTAACCCGACCTCTTTCTCTGGCTGCCCTTAATATTTTTTCCTTCATTTGAACCTTGGTAAATCTGACAATTATATGTCTTGGGGTTGTTCTTCTCAAGGAGTATCTTTGTGTTGGTCTCTTTAGTTTCTGAATTTGAATGTTGGCCTGCCTTGCTAGGTTGGAGAAGTACTCCTGGATAATATTCTGAAGAGTGTTTTCTAACTTGGTTCCATTCTCCCCATCACTTTCGGGTACACCAATCAAACGTAGATTTGGTCTTTTCACATAGTCCCATATTTCTTGGAGGCTTTGTTCATTTCTTTTCACTCTTTTTTCTCTAATCTTGTCTTCTCACTTTTTTTTATTAATTTGATCTTCAGTCACTGATTCCCTTTCTTCCACTTGATTGAATTGGCTACTGAAGCTTGTGCATGTGTCAAGAAGTTCTTGTGCTTTGGTTTTCAGCTCCATCAGGACATTTAAGGTCTTCTCTACACTGTTTATTCTCTTTATCCATTCATCTAACCTTTTATCAAGGATTTTAGCTTCCTTGCAGTGGGTTAGAACACGCTCCTTTAGCTCAGAGAAGTTTGTTTTTACTGACCTTCTGAATCCTACTTCTGTCAACTTGTAAAACTCATTCTCCGTCCAGTTTTGTTCCCTTGCTGGGGAGGAGCTGCAACCCTTTGGAGAAGAAGAGGTGCTTTGGTTTTTGGAATTTTCAGCTTTTCTGCTCGTTTTCTACCCATCTTTGTGGTTTTATCTAGCTTTGGTCTTTGATGTTGGTAACCTACAGATGGGGTTTTAGTGTGGATGTCCTGTTTGTTGATGTTGATGCTATTTCTTTCTGTTTATTAGTTTTCCTTCTAACAGTCAGATCCCTCAGCTGCAGGTCTATTGGAGTTTGCTGGAGGTTCACTCCAGACCCTGTTTGCCTGGGTATCTCCAGCAGAGGCTACAGAACAGAAAATATTGCTTCCTGATCCTGCCTCTGGAAGCTTCATCCCAGAAGGGCACCCGCCTGTTTAAGGTGTCTGTCAGCCCCTACTGGGAGGTGTTTCTCCTAGGGAATTTTTAATGAGTAACCAAGCACAAGACAAGGAGAGAGCAGGGGATTTAAATATCTGGAGAAGCTTCAAAAACCATTGATGCACATGTACATACACACACATCACACCCATGGACACACTTACATATGATGAGACATATTTGAGCAGAAAGTTATTGTTGCCCTCACTATTCAAGGCAATAGTAGGGGCATGCAGAAGCTGATCTTTTCATTTTGTCTCCTGTGATGGTTATTTCCCACAAGATGACTTTCTGAAATTGTAGGCTCAGAAATTCTGCAAGGTATTGATGACCAACCCAAATGTGCACAGAAATCTGAAATTAAAATACTTATTGGAAACAGTAGCCAGGAAAAAAGGGAGTTTACTCCCAGTTGGGTTTATCTCCTTAGTTAAAACAGCTCTGTATCAGGAACATGAACTGGTTCATCACTTTGGATTCTCCAGATGAAATTGTTGACCAGGAACCCCTGGTCCTTACCAATGAAACAAGTTTCTGTATTAATTCCATCATCTTTGGGTGCCTTATTACTTCAATCTGTTATTTATAAGCTGAAAAAAGTGGGTACTGACTCATGATTGTCCTCTAACAAATAAAGTTGAGAAGCATCTTATTGGCAATAATATTACTAACATGAAATCAAGTACGTTTTCCAAATGATTCTCGATCTTCACTGAAGAGTTGCCATTTTTCAGTTTTCTATCCTTAGAGCTCAAGGAATAGATCTTGGAAGCTAATGTACCAAGAGTGCTATAAAAGACACACACATACTGGAATTTTGGCGAGATATTGTACCCTTTTGCCAGTATGCTATGTGTTCTTCAGAGTGCAGCTTCTTATAAAAGCTCTTTTGTGCCTTTTTCTTTCTAGTTTATGTTAGAGTTGATCATTTTTTCCTAGCACTACAAGTCCCAAGTTTGTGATCATTCAATGCTAAAACATTTTTACTTTTCTTATCAAAAGTTTTTTGCAATTTTTTTTGGTAGTGCCTCTTTTTTTATGCATTGAAAATAGTGAGCCAACATATATACTGCTTGTTAATTATTCTCCTGTGATCATTAATTGCTGAATGATTAATCAGAACCCATTTATTATTGCTGTTGTTTAAGTATAATTCAACAGCACCTTTTTTATTAAGTCATTACCTACTTCATCATAATCTTTAGTCACCCTTACATCTACCAGAGTCAACATGGATGTCCTAGCCTGTGTTCCCACCGAAAGCAGAGCTTATGACAAGGGCTTATACGCAATTGGTTTATTCTGAAAACTCCAGGGAAGAGGAGAGAAGGAGAGATGGCCATTTGAAGAATCTATTGAATTGACAACTGGAGCTTGATCCCACTGGGACCCTTTGAGAAGCTGTGTAGAATGTATGGAAGCTGTACAGAATTGTTCTTCCAAAAGATGGGAAAGGAGATATATAGCCACCAATTCCAATTCTCACTGGGCACAGGTTTCCCATTAGCATTAATTTCTACTTCCAGTTTGCACAGAATTACTGCAGAGGTTTCCGAAAGCATTTCACCTGTGCCATCAGAGACACCTCATGGCAGAAAAAATATATATACATGTGCACATGGGTAAGCTTTTGCTGCAGCAAGAGCTTGCAGAGATTGAGGTGAATGAAGAGGTCATGAGGCTGGACACAAGAGGAATCTAATATAGTTAAAAGTTTAGTTTAAACATAAGTGAGCAAATAAGTTGTTCATATAAAATCATTGGTACTTCTACCTCTCGCATTATAGACAGCCATTCCACCTAATGGGTAACAATTATATTATAATGATTTGTATAATGATTTGTATAATGAAAATGCTTTATATTTATTTATTTCATATAAATATGCTAGTATTTCAATATGGCTAACATAGGATTCTTATGTTCTTTAAAGTTTAGACTTTATCCTATAACCATGGTGTGGTTATAAACAGAAAAGAAATATTATTGTATTTATATTTTAAAATAAACAGTTTGGCAATAGCAGAGAATGAATTAAACAGACTATTGCATTAGTACAATTTATAAACTAATTTAGAACTCAGGTAGTAGCCATAAAAATGAAGAAAGGGGAAAAGACACAAGACACGTTGAGGTAAAATCATCAGGAGAATAATTAGATAAAATGATTAGGAAAAAGGATGAAGCTGAGATAACTCCAAGACTTCTGATTTGAATTGAAAGGTATATTTGAATGTCTTTCATCTCCATCTCCAAGACTACAATCCTTCTTTAAACAGAAATAATGAGAGATAAGACCATAAACTCTCACTTAGAACACTGAAATATCCTCCTCACTGGTTTCCCTGAATCTGCTCTTCCCCCTACAAATCAGCCTCCCAACAGCAGCCAGAATGGCACCTTCAAAACATAAATTTTATTCCTTTACTACAATAATTAAATGCTCCTAAGGGCTTTTCACTGGTCTTAGAATAAGAGGAAAATACTTAACACATCTTAGAAGGGCCTACATGGTCTTGTCCTTGCTACCCTTGTAACTTTGATGACTGTCCCAGATATACCAATTTTTTTTCAGTCTCTCTAATATGCTAAGCTCCTTCTCATCTCAGGGCCTTTGCAGGTGTTGGAATCACTACTTGGAAGTCATCCCTTGCCTAGTTAACTGCTACTGAACTTTTTGATCCCAACTTAATTAGCAATTTATAGGGGAAGCCCTTCTTGCATTCCCCACTCCGTATCTTCCCCTCAAAGAAAGCAGGTCTTCTATTAGATGCTCCCACAGCATATTTTATTTTCCCGTCTTAGCACTTATTCCAGCTTGGAATAATTATCTATTTGCAAAATAATGTAATTAATGAGAGCCTCGCTCTCTGAAAAGTAAACTCTATACACGCAGGAACCACTATTATTTTGTTCAAAATTTTATCCTTAGTGCATAGGCTTTCATGTGACTCTCCATGATGCTTGATTAATTCTTATTGGTTGAATACATGAATTAATGCCAAAAGGGAAGCAGGAATAATTGGAAATGTGTTTTATGTAGATTGGCTTTAAGAGGCCTATAGGAGATTCAAGGGAAGATGCTTAGCAGGTGGTTGAAAACAAAAGCACTCACTTTAGAGTCAAACTGTCAGGGTTTAAAACCCAGCTTAGTTGTTTATTATCTGCATGACTCTAGGAGAATTGTGTGATATCACTCAACTTTAGTTTTTTCTCCTGCAAAATGAAGATGATGATGGCATCTACCTCACAGGTGGTTGTAAGAATTAAATGAGATTATGCGTGTTCACTTGTTAACCCAGTGCCCAGCACATAGTAAGTATACAATGAATGTTGCCATTATTGTTGTTATCACTTTGTGGGTTTTTTTTTTTTTTTTTGAGTTGGAGTCTTACTCTGTTGCCCAGGCTGGAGCACAGTGGCATGATCTCAGCTCACTGCGACCTCTGCCTTCCAGGTTCAAGCAATCCTCCTGCTTCAGCCTCCCAAGTAGGTGGGACTACAGGTGCAAGCCATCACACCCAGCTAATTTTTGTATTTTTAGTAGAAACGGGGTTTCATCATGTTGGCCAGGCTGGTCTCAAACTCCTGACCTCAGGTGATCCGCCCACCTCGGCCTCCCAAAGTGCTGGGATTACAGGCATGAGCCACCATGCCCAGCTTGTTGTTGTTATCACTTTGGACCACAAGAAAATGTTGGAACCCAATACAGGTTTCCAAATCATTCAAGATGGTTGAAGTGATGAGAGTGGTTGAGATGGCCTAGAGAGAGAACACAGAGCAACAAAAGGCCAAAAGAGAGACCTTGAGTAAATGCCAAAAGAATGAAAAGGGATAGGAAAAAAATACAAAGTATTGATAAGATGATTAGAAAAAGGCTAGGGAAGTTTGACATTAACAAACAAGATTTTATTCTTTTCTATTCATTTATTAATTTAAAATAAACCCATTCTTTAGGTTTTAAGTCTTAAAATGTCTGGGAGGCAATATCACTACACAGAGCCAAAGAGCATTTATTGTATTCTGTAGAAATTATCTGTTTTGGCTTGAAACCACTCTTACCAGGTTCAAGATTCTTTTCTCTTCATTATATCAGAGAATAGCTTCCTTGGTACTTAGTTGATCTAAAAATGACACATTTATGGAGGAAAGAAATGGGTGAGTTTTTCACTAAATGGGGTAATGCCCTACATAAACCCCAGGATCTTTTTTTTATCAAGGAATTTTCTGCAGAAAATCAAATGATTTTGAGTGGATGACATTTTTTTATGAATTGAATAACAGCAACAAGAAGCAGCCTGCTAAGTTTGTTTCTTATCTGATTCAATGGATTGTATTTTCATTCCTAATTGCTCTTTATTAGCTCTGACATTTCTAGGTTTCGGGAAAACAAAAAAAATGCGTATTTACTTATGGTATTGTCTACTTTTCTCCTAAGGAAAATAAATGATGGTTCAAAAGCAATCCCTGAGAAATTCATCTCCAAGGGTAGATATCCTACCAAGTGACCATGCCCTCTGTAACCACGGCATATTGGGGATCATCTGGAAATTAAGAACACACACAAAAAAGATTCCTTACATTGCTTGCTTCCAGCTGGTAAACAAACAATTAAGCCTCAGAATCAGAACACATATTCTTTAATTAGATAGGAAAATAACAGTTGGATTATGTTATGACATTTGCTATTAATAAATAACAGTTCTCATAATTTTACAAAGAGTGGATATGACAATTCTAATTATTTTACCACATTGAAAGCGCTGTATCAGAGTCCCATGGGTAGCCAGTCATCTATTTATCATGAATAATTCAGAGAACTATGGCTATAATTCTGATTCAATGCTGATTGAAAATTTAGAGTTGTTAGACAAGATTTCTACAGACTGTTCTCTTGAGTGCTATTTCTGGAATTTGTATCTTTGCATATGCAAATTCTAGAAAGAATGTAAGCAATGAGATGGTTTTGCATTCATTAGTAAAGAACTTTCAGTTTTATCAGAGTCCACATCAACAAATACAACCTGTGTGGAACAGGACATGAAGATCATGTTCAGTTAATATTTGCTGTGCTAATTTTAAAAAATTATCATTATGAACATCTATACAATACCATCTGTCTAATAATATTATACACAGTGGGGGAAAATTCCCTTTTGGACCTTGCCAGTATTTTATAGAGCAACGGCAAGAGTCACAGTTGTTCTGGAAAATATTTCCAAGTCATAGTGACCAGAATTACAAGCTTTGGTTTGGAAGTTGCAACTACTATTTCTCTAAGTTTTCATTTACTTCTCTTTTTTTTTTTTTTTTTTTTGAGACATGGTCTTCCTCTGTCACCCAGGCTGGAGTGCAGTAGGATGATTATGGCTCACTTCAGCCTCAACATCTGGAGCTCAAGTGATCCTCCCACCTCAGCCTCCTGTGTAGCTGAGACTACAGGTGCGCATCACCACACTTGGTTAATTTTTTACTTTTTGTAGAGACAGGGTCTAGCTATGTTGCCACGCTAGTCTCAAACTCCTGGACCCAAGCGATCCTACTGCCTCAGCCTTCCAAAGTGCTGGGAGTACAAGGCATTAGCCACAGCACCCAGCTCTCATTTACTTCAATTACAGATCACTTTATTATCTAAATCACTTTTATCTATTATAGTCTCATATATAATCTGGAATAATTTACAAGTGTCAAACACCACATTTCAGTATTCAGCATGCAAGTCTATTTCATGACCAATTACTTAAATAAATAAACAAAGAAAGAAAGAAAGAAATGGATATAAATAATAATGAAGTGCATGGAATGATAGACAAGAGTTTACCTCCAAAGTTACAATAACCTGTTTGGACATATCCTGTGCAAATCCCTTTCCACTCAGACACATTCTGAGAGGCACTAAGTGAATTCAGAGAGGATAGAGAATGAAAAAAATTACTCATTTCAGAATTTGCTTATCTTTGACACAATCAACATATCTGATAGCCTGTTACAGACAAGGTACTAAAGGCAAGGCTGAGAGCATGGTCTCTGCCTTCCAGAGGCCCAGAGTCTAGACCAGTTAAATTCATGGAACTATACTCTCCAAATAAATCTACAGTTTACATGGTCTTTTATTTCACCAGCAGGCAAATTTTTGTCCCTGGGCAGCTTCCTAGAACTATTTATAGCCTGAGAACCAATTTATTTCTTCTTAGTAGATTTCTGTTCTCCTTTGAAATCTCAGCAGTACAAACCTGATTAGCAGGGAGGCCAGGTCCAAGTATTAATGAGATAATTATGATTGTTTTCTTATACCAGGCAACCAGCGACTTCTGGCGAGGACCAGTAGGATGAAAAGCAGGAGGTCAAGGGTAAAATGCTGGTTTCCAGAATTACTTGGGCTCTTTTATATCTTCCTTGAAGAAGCAAAATCCAATCATGAAGATCACAAAGACAATAGCACACAGCAGTGGGATGAAGAGCAATGAGTACAGAGCCCTGAGAAGGAAAAAGGACTTGTTAGAAGTTTGTCTGTGGCCTGGCATCCAAGGTTTATGAAACTTTTTTATGCATACACCCTGGCAAATATCTTCTATAACTACAGTGTGTTTAAAAAGAATTTTTTTCCTCACTGGGCATGTTGAGAGGTCACAAAATTCATCATGCTACCACTCAGAAATACATAGAAAATTTAATTTCTTAATTTTCTTTAAATATCTTTCACTTAAGCCCAAGACATTGGTTAGTGGAAGAAAGAGACAAAATGTTCCATTTAGTTTAATGTTTATTGAATCCATTAATTTATATACCTTTCCCTAAAATTGTGAGTGGATGGCACAAGAAGTGAATAGCTTACCTTTCCCTGTGGTGTGAGTCCTCAGGAATGTTCTGGTGCCTATAAGTACCCAGCACCATGCCCTTTGTTCCCCTAGGCAGTAGGCAGTGCTAGAGTTAGCATAAGAAAAAGGCAAAATTGAATGGCTATGGAGAAGTGTTCCAGATAAAGGCAGGCCAAATGAAAGGGCAAGAAGGCAAATGGCAACATGACATATTCAGGGCAACTGCAGATGATTCAATAGAAATGGATGGTAGAAGCTTATATGAGAATGTCAGAATAAATCTGGAAGTGCAAGCAAGGCCTGGAGCCAACGTTTTATCCTGTACATACATGACAGGTATGTATTTTGAACATATCACTCAATGTCTACCCCCAGGCCCCTGTAAACTTGTCTTTACATAATTATCATTTAAAGTTTTTGACTGTCACCAAGGGCTAAGGTAAAAAAATCAAAATAAAAACACTGAACGTGTAATCTGTAAGAATTTTTAGTAAAAAGAAAAAAGGCTTTGAGTAGATAATTTTGTGTGCTTGACTACATTTATAGATATGGTTACCAACCTGCAGGTTGAGGTTCATAATATTATTCAATGCTGTCATAATACATAAAGACATCATAATATATTCACCTCTAATCAAAGGACCAGGAAAAGGTTTGGGTTTTGTTTAATGAGCTAAAATAGGTACATCTTGTAGTTAGACAATAAGAACTACATCATCATCTAGTTTCCCTCTTGCCTGGGCTACTGAGAATCTGAGTATTAAGTTTAAGTTTAATGATGATACTATTCTTAGTCTGAGATTTGTTTTATTTTTGCTTCTCTTCTAGATGTCTGTCCTTCCCAACATTATTACTTTAACTTTTATTCTATGTTACTTGTCTCATCCATGTGCTCTCTATGAGCCATTTTAGACTTCCTCAAAAACTAGCGATTCCTGTGCTACTAGAGATCATAGAATCCTGCCCACTTACTAAGGGGCTTCTTGAGTTCTCAAGCTATATAAATATTTTGGCGGGATCATTTTTTTTCCTCAAAAGCAACATCAAATCTCCAGCTGCTGGGAAATGGTGCTTTTTCCCTATTATTGGAATCAATGAGTCAAGGCATATGTCTTTAATGGAAGTTTTGGCAAGCATGGTATTAGAGTTAATATTAGATTCAACTGAAGTAAACTGAATGGTTTGTTTTCTGCTCTGCAAGCACAAATCAATGGTTTTAATCAAACACTGCAGTTTATATCATGGTAGAAATATTTACACAAAGAGAAGCACTGATAGATGCACAGCACTTAAGACAAATGTAAGTTTTTAGAAGTCTCGGGAGCATAGATTACAGGAAAGGTAAGACACACACACGAAAAATCTCCCCAGCCAAAAACAGTATATAAACCTATGTTAGGAAATTGTGCTTCCCCTCAAAGAGTCTAGTTCAGTTAGCATCTTCTTGTTGCATGCAAAAAAAGATTTACTGTAGTTATCCCCAGAAATATGGGGGAGGGCAAGATGGTATACAGTGAATACAAATGCCATGGAATACAGGAAAAGTCAGACAACTCGAGTGGGATCCACAGCAGAGCCATGCTACAGAATTTCTACCTACAGGCTGAATTTCAAATCTGTAAATGTAGCCAAACAAATAATAAATACTTCACTGATATTGCATTACAATGTACAATAAAGTATTATCTATGTTTCCGGACTTTATGGCTGCCCTGTAGTGATATGC
The DNA here is from genome assembly GCF_000001405.40 of Homo sapiens. Taxonomy (NCBI): domain Eukaryota; kingdom Metazoa; phylum Chordata; class Mammalia; order Primates; family Hominidae; genus Homo; species Homo sapiens. The sequence continues at coordinate 40,310,693 of NC_000005.10, forward strand.
CATTAATATTTCTGCTTGGCATTTTCTGTCCCATCACTATTTTCTTATTTTTTTTTCTTTTTACCTTCATATATTTTCTTCTTTCTTCTTTAATATTTTCTACTTTTGTCCAACTCCAGCTTGGCCTTGACTTATGACCCCAAGCATATATTGTGAATGCTCCCTATATGTCCTTTGACGTACCTCCAATTTCTCTCTGCATTTCCTAATTTGGTTTATATGAAAAAAGTATGATTGGCCTGTACATTTTTTTGTACCAGGACACATTGTAGATAATTGGCTCATCTCTGGATTTGGGTAGGGAAGACTATGGGGTCACACAGTATACCTGCCCTGTAAGCTGTGAACAAAGAATTTTCACTTAGGAGGGACACAGGGCCTGGTACCAACACTGCTGGGACTAACATACAGTCCTCTACTTCACTCATGTAATAAGAAAGGGTCCAGTTCTCCTAACATGCTCCCTCTTAAGAAAAAGAAAAAGTAAAATTTCATCTTCTGAGTTTTAGGTGGATTTTCCTAATACTCAACATTGGCTTCTGGAGTGACTACATAAAGCCTAATCAAAATATAATTAATATTCAATAACGTAAAGCACATGTCTCTAATGAGAACAAGTTACCACCCTTAAAAAAGTTTCATATGCATTCCAAAAATAAATAGAAATGAATTTCTGATTATTGGGTGGTATTCTCTATCCTCATCACTCTTCCTTTGAGTGGCATACTCTCCTGCTGTAATTGATACCTCCAAAGGCATTATTACTCAACTCCTAATGCTTCACTTGCATATCTTGCATCTTGCAGGTTTCAAGAATTTGTGGAACAACACATCTTTGCTTCAAAGTACTGAAGAGGTTAAAGTTGCATGAACTTAATAAATGTGAATTAATATAATACAATATTATAAATAGACTTAGAGCTCATTGAAAGCAGGGACTATGTCTCTCTTATTCACTGCTCTGCCCCAGACACTAGTGCGATATGTGATACATAGTATGCGTTCAATATATTTTTCAAAATAAATAATCAATCAATTAATTCATGACTACCATATCTACTTGCCCACAACTTCTAAACAATGGGAAGCATGGAGATGAGAGTCTGGTGAGGGCCATTTTTGTAAATATCAAAGAGTACCTCTAGGTTCTACAGAATAACTTAGTAGAATATTAAACGAGAAGTGGAATAGGTTTAAATGCAGGTCTTCTAATTAAAAATGAGTTCCTAGATAAAAGCAAGAGTAAAACAAAAACTTGCAGAGGTACTTAATTATTCTTAGCCTCTCTGTCTCTCTCTGTCTCTCTCTCTGAAGGTAACTTCTACCAGCCAAAGCTTAATGTTTACTGTTTGGTCTTCTTAGAAGAAAAGATTCTTTAAAACAGCCATGAAACCCCTCATCAGGCCAGGGCAAGATCTATCCTCCAGCAGGAGTTAGAGTCTCATTGCCCATCTTGGAGCTGAGTTTGAAGGAAAAGTCCCTGCTCTGGGGTACCTCTCTCATCTCACTTGGTCAACACAGAGTTATTAGATTACTAAGCTCATATTCTCTCTCCAAATAGAAGTAACAAAAGGCAGAAAACCAACAGAATGTTATACGTTACTCATTTTCAACTTAGTGTGAATAATTTGGCAGAACTTGATAAGGGCAAAAGCATGATTTTGCTACTGATGAGAAATATTTACGTATGCTTTCATCACACAGCTGAGCACCCAAATGAGAGGCATTGTTCTGAACAATGCCACTGCCTTTCTCCTGAAAGCCTGTTGTCATTAACTGAAATCAGAGAAAGGGGCTGATTTCACCAACCTGAATCACTCACTTGATGGCCAAAGTTCTAGAAGTTTGTGCTCTGGGGCCCTGAGACTGGATTCTTTCTGCCTCTGATTTGGCAACTGATGCCCACTCATTTGTTAAGGATTAGAGGAACTCTTGAGTCTCTTCTTTTAAAATAAAAGCCAACTTTGCCATTTTGTTCTTTCACAAAGAACAATCTCTTTGCTGAATGAAAAAAAAATTGTAATTCTTCTAGCTGTTGAGCCATGATCTCTGCTAAGGGGTAAGAAGATCACAATATTCCCTTTCATGAAGTGTGTTAATGGTGTCCTCCCTCTGTAAAGGCCTGAATGTATAGTTTCTGCCTGGTTTAATGTATCATTTTTGAACAATATGTACCTGAGCCACTAAGGACCAATGAGTAGGGGCTGGCAGGTGGCCCTCAACCCTTCCTCTTGATACCTTTAATCCTCCTCCTTCAGCCAGAGAAGCTCTGCTTTACTTCTGTTTCATATGTTGAATTTCTGCAAAAGAAGTCATTTGACAAAATGATTTGGAGGTTTGGAAAAGATGGAAAACCAGCATGATGGGGAATGAACACTGAACGTAGAAAATCTGGATTCTAGTCCTGCTACTAGCCCCAGTTAGCTAGTAGACATTGAGAAATAACTTCAACTTTGTAGTGTCTGACTCCTCCTCTGTTAAAATGAGGCATCAAATGGGGGAACTCAAGCCAGGCCATACAGTGTTTTAGAGGTTCCTGAGAGGTCCTTAGGGTTTACTCTGAAAAGGAAGGTTGGAGGCTCCATTTCCTCAACCACTGCAAACAGCACAACTCTATTATATAGATACATAGAGAGAAATTTTATATAAAATTTAGTTTGAGAAAAGCTTTAAAAAATTGAAAAGCACTCAATTCTATATGAAAAACCTCTTTCATTCTAATAGTCAATTGCTCCATAATTCCTACTTTCCACTGGTTAAAAAAACAAAACAAAATACTTTTTAGTGACTTTCTTATTCATAGTATTATGCTATTTGTTGGTGCTGATGACCTAGATGACACAATAATATAACACACACACATATATGTATGTATGTATGTATGTATGTATATACAGATGTTCCTTGACTTACAATGGGTTACATTTTGATAAACCCATCATAAATTAAAAATATTGTAAGTGGAAAATGCATTTAATACACCCGGTCTATCAAACATCGTAGCTTAGCCTAGCCTACCTCAAATGTGCTCAGAATGCTTAATTAGCCTACGGTTGAGCAAAATCATGTAATGCAATGCCAATTTTGTAATAAAGTGTTGAAAATCTCATGTAATTTATTGAATACTCTACAGAAAGTGAAAAATAGAAGGGTTGTTTGGGTACCTGAAGTACTGTTTCTACTAAGTGTGTATCACTTTTGCACTACCGCAAAGTCAAAAAATCACAAGTCAAACTATTCACAAGTCAAGGACAGTCCGTATAAAACAGTATTTTTCTAAGTACTCAGAATATATATATATAATTACATATATGTGCAAATTTGTGTATATATACACAATTTGTAATTTCATACATATTTAAGTATATATTGGTTAGTATTAACATTCTCTATATTGTCTTCCTTGAAATACTTTTCTAGGAGATATTAGTGAGTATGCATGAAAAAAATGCCATATTCAAATGAGTTTAACAGATTATGCATATTTAATCTCCCTGTAGGTAATTCATAATATACATGTGCATGTTTAAGGCATCTCGTTGAGAAGAACTTCAATGGAAAAAATCTATTTGATCTGGTTTAACTTAGAGTTCCCAAACTTACCTAAGTGAAGCATTCTTTATCAACATTCTATTGAAATTGCACGAACCATGATTATGAAGCAAACTGGAAAACAATAACGTAGTATTTGTCCAGTGTGATGGACTGCATATTTGTGTTACCCTAAAATTCATGTATTGACTGAAGCCCTAACTCTCAGTATGATGGTATTTGGGGTGGAGCCTTTGGGAAGTAATTAGGTTTGAATGACATCATGAGGGTGGTGCCCTGATGATGGGATTAATGTCCTTATAAGAGGAAGAAGAGGCATTAAAGAGTTTTTTCTCTCTCTCACTCTCTTTCTCTCTCTCTTCACTGGCACAAAGAGGAGGTCATGTGAACCACAGTGCCTTCTGCAAGTGGCCATCTGCAAGCCAGGAAGAGGGCCCTCACCAAGAGCCAAATCCAGCACCTGAAACTTGGACTTCCCAGTGCCCAGAACTGTTAGAAATAAACATCTGTGCTTCAAGCCACCCAGTTTATAGTATATTGTTATGGCAGTCCAAGCAGGCTATAATATCCAGGTAAGAAAATTATGACTAGTGAATTGATTTGGCCACGGTTACAAAAACTACTGACACAAATAGCATTCTAAATTTCTACCTGAAAATCGATTTGAAAAGTCCAGTCAAGATGGTGAATGAACTTCATACTCTGACATCTAATTTTTATCCAAAATAATATTATTGAGAACTCTAAAAAATAAAATTCAACAATATACGTAGGGTTAAAAACAAAAACATCATTATGGACTATAATTGGAACAGAAACACAAAGCAGGGAACATGGCTAAATCCCACGGCCTGCAGGATCTATGATTAGGAAACAGGCAGGAGTGATGGCAAGTAAGGGAGATTGAAAATTCTATGCTAGACAAGGGACAGGATCCAGTCTCACTGCTTGAAGCCAGATGCTGGGATGGAGGTAGTTTCCCCTCCCCATTGCTCTTAGGAAAAGGCTAATAAAACTGCTTTCATCCTAGACCCAAGACCTTATACACTGTGGAATCAGCAAAGCTGGTTTACAAAGCATCACCCCACACTCAGGAACTGGCTGTCAGACTGTTATTATTTCCAGCATCACAACAAAGGAGGGGCCACAACACATCAAAACATCTGTTTCCAGACTAGAGATCCAGAGGGCTAGATGAAGGCAACAAAGAATACCACTGGACGAAGAGGAGATGAGCACAAAGGAGAAAAGACAGAAAATAAAATCATCCCACTCTGGAGGGAGACTGCATACCATGGGAGGAAAATGAGTGCTAAGTACGGCGGCCAAAAAAATCACAATGGGGATAATAATCCCCTTTGAGTGAGTAATATTCAAATAATATTCTGCCTAAAAATTTATAAAAATAATTTGGAATATCCAGAGAGATTAAAAAAGAGAAAATTTCTTTAAAGGGAATAATAAATTATGATAGAAAAATAGGAAAATAAGAATGAGTACATAAAAAACAATTGAAACTTCTTAAAAATAATGAAACACACACAAACAAAATTTAGATGAACCCAGGATTTGACAAAGAAGGAATTAATGAATAAAAAGATAGCACTCAGAAATTTCTTAAGATGCAGCCCAGAGTGACAAAGATGAAAATTTTGAAAGAGCATCTAGGACACAGGGTGTGAAATAAGAGACCCCAATGTCTGTCTGAAGGGATGCGGAAAGAAGAATGTCAAAAGAATGACAAAGGAAAAGTAGTGAAAATCATTTTACTTCTGCTCAAAATCCTTCACAACTTTCTGTATCACTCAGAGTGACATCTATTGTCCTGAAAATGCTGTGCAAAGCCTGTGAGCTCCCACACCCACTCTCACCTTCCAGCTTTCTGACCTCACCTTCTCCTGATTTTTGCTTTGCTCTCTGTTTCCAGTCACACTGTCCTCATTTCTTTTCTCCGAACTTTCCAGGCATGCCCCAGTACCAGAAATTTCACATTGGCTGTTCCCTCTGCCTGGAACTCTCCTCCTCCAGAATGCCATGTGCCTTACTCACTCACCTGTTTCAATTCTTTGCCCACATGTCATCTTCCTCAGAGGACCCTCCCCAACCACCTGTTTAAACTTGCATCTCCAGCCCCTCCCCACCGTCTTTTTTCCCTGCATTACTCTTCCCCTTAGAACTCAGTGCTATCTCACATACTATATGCTTCATACATTTACTTATGTCTGTCTCCCCACACTGGGCTTTAAACCCCTGAGAACAGAAGTGTTTTGTTTGTATTTACTTTTGTACTTCCACTGCCTGACACATTGTAGGTACCCTGTACCTAATTATTGATAGAATCCATAAATGACCCCTAGCATATGAGAAACACTCAATAAAGGTTAGTGCTGTGATAAAGCTCTACACATTAATAAAGGTTAGGTATTGCAACTTAGCCACACCCTTTCAATTATCAATAATTCCCTACTTAGACTGTTCTGCTAATCACTCTACTCCAGAAGAGTCAGTCACATTATTTTAATAATGGCAACCATCTGCGACATTTCTTATTTTACTTTAGCGTCAATTCCAAAGTGGGGAAATTATCTCCATCTTATTGTGATTATGAGACTGAGATATGGCAAAATTAATTTCCCCAGATTCATATACCCAGAGAATAGTAGAGAACATTTGGAACCTCAGACTGTTCACCTCCAGAGACTCTGCTGCCCTCTGCACTAGTGAATTGATCTGCTTGCTTCTCTGGCATTAGAATCCTCCATAACCACCATCTCTGCTCCATGCTGCCTCTTGTTTTGATAATCATCTTCCACAGTGACTCTAGCGAACACTGTTGCCATTCCTCCTCACTAAACCTTGCTTATCTGGATATCTCTCTCTTCTAAAGATAAATCTGGGCATCCCAAGGTCCAAGGGTAAATCTGGATTTATTTAAGCAAATCAGAAAGCTAAGGTGACATCATCAAAATTGGCAGAATAGGGAATTCTTAAGACTTTGTCATGTCGAGAAACCAAGTAATACACTGGCAAAGACTGTCGGAATCTGAGCCAATCATGGCAATCCATTCTCCTTGCCAGTGATTGGCTTAGGAATAGACATTTGATACAATTCCAGCCAATCAGACATGAGTTACCTGGAGTACTTCTGATGATAGTTCTCCACTCCTGAGTGGGAAAAACAGGAGGAATGGACTCTCCTTCCTCCAGACATGTTCATATTTAAATAAGATGCCTGAACTACTACCACCATCTTTTAAGCAACCCAAATATGAAATTAACACATGGAAGAGAACAGAACCAATAAAATCTCAGAGAAGTTAGAGACATTGTATACCAAGCTTAATGCCTGCATTACCCATGAAAGTTATGTGAAACTTATTAAAAGTGTATGGATGATATAAGAAAAGTTGAGTTGATTTTCTGTAGCTCTAACTGAAAACATCCTAATAATACATATCACCCCCTTTTCACCTGAGAAGTAGCCCAACCTCCAAAAATCACTTAAATGGATGTATCTTTATCTCTACTATTTGAACATTGACAAAAATTTGAAGCTCATAGTTTCTGAGATTGGATTGGTTACAGACCTGCCACTAAAATAACTTAAGGGGGAACTTTAGATTTTTCTCACAGAGCAGTTGAAAGTAGGGGTGGAAGAGTTCAGGTCAAAAATCAAGCTCTAGTTTTGTCATGGAGGGTGACATATAAAGTGGTCCATTGAGGCATAAAGAAGTTGAGTGATTTGGCCAAGCTCACCATGTTAGTTGATAGGCAAAGTGAGACCACAAGACAAGTTCCTCACCTTCTGTTACAAGACATTGCCCATGCCCAGGTTAAACCTAGCTGTATTCAGTGACATATAAAGCAATGCATTGAGGCACAAAGAAGTTAAGTGATTTGGCCAAGCTCACCATGTTAGTTGATGGCAAACTGAGACTATAAGACAAATTCCTCACCTTCCGTTGCAAGGCATTGTCCATGCCCATGTCAAACCTAGCTGTATTCATACTCCCAGATGCATTATGTAACTGAAAGAAGGGCAGAAAAAAGTTCAAAGATTTAACGGAATTCAATTATACCTGGAAGATAAATATTTTGCCTCCCAATGATTATTCTAGCAATGCAGAAACAAACTACCATTTAGAAATACGATTCTACAGATCTATTGACCCCTTGGTTGCATCTCTCTGTCAGGAGAACAATTAAACTACAACATCCACCCTCTTTGTCAAGAACATTTTGGAAAACCTAAGCCTGTTTCACTTCTTGCATCTTATTTGGCAAATGATTTCTTTTGACCTCATTACAGGAAAACAATTGTCCTTTGACATGCAAGTATAGTTCTCATAAGCCTGGCTCCTTTCTGACCTCTGAAGTCATTCTTGGGAGGATGTTTATTTATGCTTATATCAGAATTGTTTCAGAGCCTTAGGTCTGCTTTAAATGAATACATAAATATATAGATGTTTTTTAAATCATTGGAGGTAGAAAATGCCTTAAGTTGAAACTGTCTAATATTACAGCTAAAAATGCACACTCAGGGACTAGATCTACTGGCTTAAAATCTCAGCTTTACCATTTTCTAGCTGTATGATCTTGGACAAGTTATTTAATTTTTCTGCACCTTAATCTGCTCATTTTTAAAACCAAAACCTTTTACAATAGTACCTAACTACTTATGATGTGGACTAAATTACACCAAACTGTCTGTTAAAAATGTGTTAAATAATACTCATTTGTCATGTGGATTAAATGAGTTAATATATGTGAAGTTTCTAGAACTCGGCCTGGCACATGGTAGTCACTATACAAGTATTATCTATTATTATTATTATTTAGCACATTAGTGGCAGATACAACCAGCAAAGCAAACTGAGTGCTTGCTATATTGCAGGCACAGAGTTAGATGTCTCAAGTGCAATTGTTCATAGAGTGGAAATGCATAGTTCTTGCCCTCTTGCTTCACTCTGGGGATAAGTACCATAAACAGACAATTGCAAGGCAAAGTAATCAGTGCTGGGATGGAGGTAGTACAGAATGCCATGCTAAATGTGGGAAAGGAAAAGTGAGAAAAGGGAGGAAACATTACCTAAGCTGCAAGAAGCCTTTTTGAAGGGAGAGACTCCTCAGCTAGGACATGAAGTAAGGGCAGAAGTTAACTAAGCAAACAATTGAGGATGAAAGTGCCACAGGGAGAGAGAAGAGTGTGGTTTTTTTAGCCCAATAATAAAATAAAACAGCTCTCCTGCTGGTTCCACCCTCATCAATGAACACACTGAAAATGTCTTAGTTGTGTGCTGTTGCCCAGGTATAGGAGGAAGATGTGGTTTATTCCCTTCTTTTTGCCATGTTAACACATACCCAAATAAGATTCAGTCAACTATTGACAGTGGTTTACAGTGTACATTTCAACTATAGAGAGCTTGGGAAAGGGGTGAAATCAAGAAGGACTTTTCATAACAGTCTAATTCCTCCCACTGGTTGGAGACCCACTGCCCAGCCCTTCTGTGGCACCCCATGTGAATGCTTTCTAGTTAGTTGAGAATATTCCACACACACACCCATATTTCATCCTACTAACTCCTTTCCCCAATGCCCCACTTCTTTTAGCATCCTCTTCTAGATCAAAATCCTTATACCTTCCCTTTTTTAAACACAGTTGGATTATTTACCTAGTGGGTAGCAAGCTCTAAGTTTTCCTGTTCCTTAGAAATTTTTCCAGCTTCCTGAGCTGTGGGTCACAGCTATTCTTTCTAACTCTCATTCTGCTATAGGATAGAGAAACAGAAAGTTTGAGTGGAAAGGGAAGAAAAGGGCATTGGGGTGGTCTTGTGCCAGTTTCCTGATAGTCTTTTCTTTGGCTGACTGAAAAATATAATAATAATAACAGGCCTGGCGCAGTGGCTCATGCCTGTAATCCCAGCACTTTGGGAGACTGAGGCAGGCAGATCACATGAGGTCAGGAGTTTGAGACCAGCCTGGGCAACACGGCAAAATGCTGTCTCTACTAAAAATACAAATATTAGCTGGTTGTGGTGGCACATGCCTGTAGTCCCAGCTGCTCAGGAGGCCAAGGTGGGAGGATGGCTTCAGCCTGGGAGGTGGAGGTTGCAGTGAGCCGAGATGACACCACGGCACACCAGCCTGGGCAATAGAGCCAGACCTTGTCTCAATAATAAAAACAGCAACAAACATAATAATAATCACAGACACTACACATTGAGAAAGTCAATTACCTTCTAACAGCTATCTCCAGTGCTATGCCTCATGTTCCCAGCTCTAAGAGCATAAGTTTCAGATATCAATTGGCTAAAGAGAATCTTATTTCCTTTCAAATTACATTACATTGTCCTCCTCCATGAATTTAACCTTAAGTGTGTTTTTCTCAGCTCATGGATATCTCCTGCTTCCATCCCATGAGTTGAACATACAAGAAATAAGAAAGTCTCATTCAATAAAAAGATATTTATCAAAAACACTAATAGCGATATTTAACAGTGTGATTTAGTTTTTATGGGTTTCATTTATTTTTTTAGACCTAACAACGTTTCCATAAGATTTTTACAATATAATAAGAAATACTATTTTTTTAAGTGGGGGGTAACTGGCTTCAAAAGACACTCGGAGAAAAAGTAAGGACTTCTACCTAAAGAGGGTAGGCACACATGTATCATTTCCCTCAGGCCTGATCATCTTGGATTTCTAAAAATGACATCAAATTATCTTTTCAAACCATAACTACATTCAAAATCAAGAAAAGGAACCTCCATGGACCAGAAACCATTAGGAATCCCTGGATGAGTGATAAGCAGAAAGAGGTCATCAAATCTAAGGAATAAAATCAGGCTAGTGGGGGAAAAAAATACCATGAGAAAATAGTATTGAAATCAAAATTAAAACATTTCAATAATATGAATAGCAGGGGAAAAAACACAGCTGAAGGTGGATTGGTGAGCTAGGAGTCTGAATTGATGAATTTCCCAGCAAATATTGTAAAGGAATTTTCCAGAATATATCATAAAGAGATAAAGAATTAGAAAGTATGAAAGAAAAGTCAAGAAACATGAAGGATTCAGAACGTCCAGTAGTCACCTCCTCAGAAAATCAAAAAGGAGAAACTAAGATTTTTAGAGAGGAAAATTGACAGAAAAAAAAAGTAATTCTGGTCATTCCTAGACTCCTTTTTAATAATGAAGGAATCATTTTTAGAATTACTTAGTCATACTTCAGTCAACTCATATTTATTCAGATTTAACAATGTGTCAAGCACTGTGCAAGGAGCTGACAATCTAATAAGAGTAAAAAAATCCTCTCCCTGGAAAATGCATACATTCACAGATCACAATTTTCTACATTATTTTAGGGGTTAAGAGTTCATGGATTCATAATCTTTTATATTTTTATTTGGAACAGTTCACCTGTTTTGACTTGGCAAAAACAAGACTATTTTTTCCCTATTGAATTACTGGATTGTTTGACAAAGGGTATCTTAGCAACTGATTGTTTGAAGACATGAAATCATACAGAGACTCAGTTTAGAATAAAACTGGAATTGGTAAACTCACACTCTCAGTGCTATCCTACAATAGTTATAGAATGGTCATACTCACATTCTGAGTGTTATCCCACAGGGGTTATGGAATGGTCATCTTTCATCAATTGAAGTAAATTGAAGTCTCTGAACAATTGTTAATTACATTAGTAACAAAAATCACTAGTTTTCTACTAATGGTTAGTAGACATCTCACAGAGAATCTCAGCTGCAAAGAAAGTCAGCAACCTGAAAAGAAGACAATCAATCTACAGGATTTTGAGTGAGGAAAAATTTTGTTGGCACCACCTAGGGAGACTAGGGGGGAAAAGCACTTGTCTGAGATAATATCTGTAAATAAAGAGTTAACTATTGAATTAACTTCCAGAAAATTAAGTGTATTTAAGAATATCACCAATTTATATTGGAACATTCATTGAGTTTTAGATCAGATACTTATTGGCACAGAGAAAAGCTAGAGAAAATTAGGAAAGAATCATTTAAAAACAGCATCAAATAGAAAAGACTGATTTGATAAGAACTAAAGATGGAAGAATGGCTTTATAGATAGGCAGACAACCAACTTAAAAAAGACAAAAAGACAGGTTGGTCAAAATACTGGATTTACTAATAATGTAAGGAAATAACATTACACAATGGAACATAAATTACATAATCTAAAACAGAATAAAAACTGACTCCACTTGTGCAAGATGTGAATATATAAGAGAAGAACTACAGTAGTCTTTCAAGGGACCAATACAATATCTATCTACATGCCTATGCCCTGGCTTCTATACCCCAGTGGTCATAAACATAATATTTTAAGATCTGTATTTTTACAGAGCTTTCTGATTATGACATACTGAGTGAAAGGTATGGCATTTTATTATCAGCTTCAGAGTACACCCTGGAGGCAACAATTATAATCTGTTAAATAATTGTGGGGTTTTTTTGAACAGAATCTCACTCTATTGCCCAGGCTGGAGTACAGTGGTATGGCCATAGTTCACTGCAGCCTCAAACTCCTGAGCTCAAGTGATCCTCCTGCCTTAGCCTCCCAAATAGTTGGGACCACTGAGGTGCCCCACCACACCTGGCTAACTTTCTTTATTTTTTGTGGAGATGAGGTCTTACTGTGTTGCCCAATTCAATTTCAAGCTCCTGACCTCCAGGCACCCTCCTACCTTGCCTTCAAATGCACTGGGATTACACGCATAAGTTAAATAATTTTAGATATCAGCCTGGCTTCTCTGAAGTTATATGAAGACAGTGAAGTTGTCAAAATAATACTATCTGATCTATATTTGTTGTTATTAATTTATACCTCTGTGCACTCTAGGAATTACTTTTACTTATTGTTTAGTTTTCTTCTTTCTCAGAGTTCTTAAACTTTTGTGGTTCTTTCTGGGCTCCTAACAAATTATTAAAACTTGTTACATATTGTATTAGTCCATTTTCACACTGCTATAAAGAAATACCCAAGACTGGGTAATTTACAAAGAAAAGAAGTTTAATTGACTCACAGTTCTGCATGGCCAGGGAGGCCTCAGGAGACTTACAATCATGGCTGAAGGAGAAGGGGAAGCAAGGCAAGTCTTACTTACATGGCAGCAGGAGAAAGAGAGCAAAGGGGGAAGTGCAACACTTTTAAACCTTCAGATCTTCTAAGAACTCACTATCATGAGAACAATATGGGGGAAATCCACCCCTGTGATCCAATCACCTCCCACCAAGTTCCTCCCCTGACGCATGGGAATTACAGTTCGACATGAGATTTGGGTGGGACACAGAGCCAAACCATACCTTATATGGTCTGACAAAGACATTGTTAAGAAGATACTAAATTACATTAAATCTGTAGTGGAAAGAGGTAACTCACAAAGCTGGCCATCAAAGGTCAGGGTCCTTTAAGTAAGTACTCGAGACATGCTGAGGTCTTCAGAGTCAAATGCCTGTAGTAATTGCAACTGGGTTTTTTTTTTTTTTGCAACCACTGACCAATCACACTTTTCTGCCCATTCTTTGCCTGACTTCTTTGTTTTATGCAACATTTAATAACCATTTATCTTCTTTCGCATTGCCACCAAAGTATTTAGCCAAAATAAGCAGTTGGGTGATTTTAATAAAACTCAAGAAACATATCAACTATAAGCTGACTGTCTTGTAGAGGTTAAACCAAATTTTGAAATCTGATAACGTTCATCACAGTTATATCTTGCTTTGAAATATAAGTTAATTGCTAAGACTTGGATTTTTAGAAACAACAAAATAAATCAGTTTTATTAGCAACTTATGATGAAGGAGATTCCTATTAGGAAAAGGCTAATGGATTATGAGACCCAGTAACAACTTTGCAGGGCTCAAATGCTATTAGAAGCCTCTCCTTCCTAGTATTTATTAATTTTGCAATGAAAGAAGGTTGGGGCCTTTTCTAAGTACCAAGAACACTAATTAAAACTAATCAATCAAATTCCTTACAAACCATGAAACGGCAGAATAAACAGGAAGAGCACAGCGTGGCTAAGAATGCAAAGATGAACAGGAAATAAAACCAAATGATCCCCTGCTGCTGTCTGGGCACATCTCTTGCACAAACGTTGTATTTAATTCTGAGGTGATTATCTTTGATATGCCTGCCATAGGTGAGGGCAGATAACACATGAAGGAGTGAGCAGTCTCTGTGTAGCTAGCTAAAGGAAGAAACAGGTCCTCAGAGAGAAAACCGGCACTAAGAAAGCCATATTGTAAGAAAGAGGTACAGTGTGGTCAATGAGCTCTGTGCTTGCAATCAGAAGATTTGTGTTCAAGTCTTGGCTTTGCATGTTCCTATTTGGATGACTTTGGGTAAAGCACTGAATTGCAGTTTCTCAACTGTGTAGCATGAGATAACAATGCTCACTTTGACCTCTCCATATGAATGTTATAATGATCAATTAATCTATATATTTAAATTAAGATTTTTCACGTATAAATTTTTCATTTTAATAATAAAATAGTAGCATACTGTTATCAATACTGGTAGCAGTAACTAGGAAAGAGCAGTATATCATAGGCCAAAAGTTAAGAGCAAGACCAAAGGAGCTGACATACTACAGAAGCACCGTAATATAGAAGAAGCAAATGGTACAGCAATTGAGAGCCTAGACTTTGAAACCAGCCTGTCTAGATTTGAATCCCGGCTCTGCAATGTAGTAGATATATGACTGTGGTCAAGTTACTTATGCTATCTGTGCTTCAGTTTCCAAATCTATAAAATTCAGATAATAGCGTTAACTTCATGAGTTTGAGTATATATACATATTAGTGTTCAACATGGTACCTGGCACATAGTATATATTATACAAGTGTTTTGCTGGTATTACAATGCTGGCAACACTAAGTTGTTTAACTCCCTCCTCATTGGAAACTGGACTGATCACAAACTCTAGGATTGGGTTTGTGACTCCAGATATGAAGAATTAGAGGCACCCCATGCAGGCATCTAAGCAGGTTATTGCATCAGAAAGCTACTCCACATTGACCACAGCTCGGATTTTAATTCATGTGAGAAATGGACAGAAAAAGTTAACTTTTCCACCGCATTACTACATTCTAATCATATATTTGCACATAAGAAAGCAAAATAATTTGTTTAGGAAACTAGATAAACCCTGGTCATTGTCTCTATTGACCAAGTGAAAAAACTATGTACAATCAGTTTTATCATCTCCACTAAGCTGGTTTTACCTATTTTCACATTTGGTATCAAAGTAAAGGTATACATTTTTCTTATACATTGTATACCAGTTGTACAAGGCCCTTGGTTTTCTTGTTTTGTTTTATGTTTAGTGGTTTCCATTTATGTAACATATTTCTATTGATAAAAGAAAAACTTCAGCTGAATTAATCTAAAGAAGTTTAATTGAGCAATGAGAGATTCTTGAATCGGGCAGCCTCCAAAATCACAGCAGATTCACAGAGACTCCAGGGGTGCCTCGTGGTCCTCATGGTCAGAACAAATTTATAGACAAAAAGGTGAAGTGACTTACAGGAATTGGAAGTGAGGTACAGAAACAGTGAGATTGGTTAAGCTTGACGTTTGCCTTATTTGAATGCAGTTTGAACATTCAGCAGTCTGTGAGTGGTTGAAGTATGGCCACTGGGATTGGCCAACACTCAGCCATTGTTACAGGTGCATAGTATTAAGTTAGGTTTTCAATTTTGTCTGACTATTAAGCTAGGTTACAGTTCATTCACAAGGACTCAAATAGAGAAGTATGGAGTCCTTCTCAGGCCATATTTAGTTTGCTTTAACAATTCCCCACTTTTGGTCATTTTCTCAATTTTGAGAAAATGACCAAAATCTTAGTCATTCATGTTACTATTACTATCGTAAATGTACTTATATGGTTTTGAAACTCACTGGGAAACAATAGAATAGTGTGTTTTGCAAGGAGAGAATAAGGACTGAGTAGAGGGTACCTCCTTATGCTGGAACAACCTGTCCACAGGAGAAAAACAAAACCCTATCTGTTCTAGGATCTATGTGTTTCTTAAAGCCTTAGTTTGGTTATGTCACATTTAGCACACGTGACTCCATTTTAGTTTGGTTTGGTTTGTTGGGGCCTAGTGCATAAGCTCAGTCCAAAATAATGGCCTCCCATAATTTCGTTTAAAAAAAAAAAAACTCCCCCTTTTCAGCCAGGTTCTCACTTCGGTGAGAGTGTGACCAAAACTTAGGGCCTCAGCACTACTCTCAGTTACCATCATTTTGGGTTTCTGGTCTCAGTATGTCATTCATAGTTTATGGTGTCCTCATGGTCACACATTTCTTTCAGCTTTTGTCATTCTAGTTGAAGAGAGACCATTTGATGTTCTAGAGATGGCTGCATGCAAATACTTAAAACCTTTAAGAGAATACAGCGCACCAGGGAGACTATTACTGTGACCATCAGGAGGATAATACCAAGAGTTTGGAGTATGTGCCTTATCCAGAGTCCCCATAAACCAAACCACATAAAATTAAATAGATTAAAGAATGAGCTAGATGAAGAATCTACTCATTTGACTAAGTGTCCTTTTTATTGAAACCCTACAAATGAATTTTTATAATCTACATTTGATGTATTTCTCCATAGGCCACTAGTGTCAGCATCTGCACAGGTACTTTTCTATTTAGCCAATTGTATTATTTAGCATAACTTTCACAAGAGGATTTAAAGTCTGTTGTGTAATGATAGCCTTTAAGGTAGAATTTGCTGTAGAGCATATTGTGAGGGTGACATTTCTAATTATTGTCTCTTTTATTCTAAATCATGGAAAAAGGACCTAACAAATGATGTCCTTCTAGAAGAGTGAAGGCCTCCTGGCACTGTTCTCTTTAATCCTTGATGTGGATTAAGAGGAGTTTTGACCCCCGAAGTTTCTCACCTACATTGGGCTTTCATCTTTTATCTATTAAAGTATAAGGTTATTCATGTATAAGACTGGCTGCAAATTCCTTCACAAATAAAATATGCCCTATAAGTTCAAATAATAGACACCCTTTTTATAGAGGCATAAACAAAGAAAAAATATTCAAAGATAAGAGTCTGATGATAATAGAAGTCTTGATCTGTGATCTCGGGAAAAGTTGTTGACATCAAGGATGCCATCTTTTTCTGGGGAGAAACATTCCTGGTTAGTTTTACCTTAAGGTTTCCAATGGGTGCACAGTTCCAGGAGTGTGGTGGGACCCTTCTCAGTTGTGAGATTATGAACCCAAAGTTCAAGTCTCCAAAGATTTGCTGTAGTGTGGATGGCAAGGACAGTCTTTCTCCGATGTTTTCAGAAAATCCAATCTTCCAGTTCTAGATTGTGAAGGGATTGTCCTCAATGAATTTTACCTGGCAAAAAAACACTGTAGCATAATAATCTACTGTTATAACATCAGCTTTCTTGCATGGGAAAGCTTTTATACAACCAGAAAGCATGCGTTGAAAATGACAATTGAATGAAATCCCTTTATAAATGTTTAAATGGCCCATCGGGTAGCGAAATGTACCCGAAGCTTTGATTGTCTTCCCAGGAATATGGAACTGAACATTGGTTTTAAACTATTTCTGCAATTTATAAGTCACCACATCAATATATTCAGTTTGGATTATTTTATCTTTTCCATGATGAGTCATGGAATGCAGAACCTTTAATAACAAAAGCTTTAAGGACTCAAAAAGGACAAGCGTGGCTGTCCTGGTTGTTCCAGAGTCTGTGCTTAACATTGAACTTATGTCCTCTTGAATAGCAGTTGTTTCTCCAATTTAGGTGCATAGCACTGATAACTAATGGGTTATCACAGGTAATTTGACTTAGACCATGGAGTTCATTCAAATTGTATATTTAAACAATTTTAATATTGGCTGATTAAGCATGATAATCTCAAGCTTGATTTTGAAAGGTTTGTTAAATACCAAAGTCTTAAAAACATTGGATATTACAAAATAGAATCTTAGGACCATAAGTCATTCATTAGGCAAAATGATAACTCAAAATTTTTTTTAAGTAAAAAACATTATTCTGAGAGACAGGAGTCTCAGCTTTCCAAACAAGACCCAATGAAGACAGCATAAAGCCAACTGACTCTCTTTTCTTTCCCTGCTCCCCTTTTTCTTTTATAGTTTACTTAAGAGGTAAACAAAAACCTTTTGTTATCTTTTAATATTACATAAAAATCCTTTTTAAAAGGCCAAATTTTATGTTTCCATTAGCGTATTTTTAATGTTAAAGCTAGTTTTTTAATAACTTTTTATAAATCTATTCAGTTTTAATTAGTTTAACCATAAGGTAAGATTTTTATAAATCTTTTATAGCCCTTTACAATTTTTTCTCAGAGCAGTACAATGTTCTATGAAAACTCTGTTGTGCTTCTCTATTCCAATGTCCAATTTATGAAAAAAAAATCCTGAATAATGCCATTTTAACTTTAGCCAATATGTTCACACATAGAATCTCTTATAATTAGCTGTTATAAACCTTCCACAAATTTTTCAAACTTCATTTAACTTAAAACAGTCCTTTAACCCTCTAACCCAGGCAAAAATTTACATTCCCATACTTTCTTATAATCTCTTACAAAAAAACACACTTCATTCTCATTATACACCTTGCATGTAAACCTGTTTTTTCCGTAATCTCAATTACATATTACAATGTTGACTCTTAGAAACTTTTACTTTTGGTGAAAACCTTGGTAAGTAAGGGATTTTAATTATGTACTAGGTATGGAGTCTAGGACGCAGACAGAAATGCAGATAAGGTCTGACTCTTTCCAGCATCTAACGCCATGTGTCCCATGCCTTGCCTAGCTGTAAAACAGGCATCTGTACAGTTAAGAGTCATAGTGGCATTTTATGAAGCATTTGGGAGGCCTAATCACCTTTAAATTATACAACATTTCTGGCATGAACTTCTTTTCATAAATTCTTTCACAACTTACATAGACCATGTACAACATGTTTAGATATTCTGACTTGCCTTAAACATCCCCCTTTTTAAACAACTAGTCATTTTACTTTAGGACAAGAATTTACCGTATAACATCCTTTCTTATATAAAATCTCTTTTCTTTATAACATTCTTTGCATAGCTAGGGGGCATGGCTAATTCCATATATCTCCTGGTCTTATTTAGAACTTAATGCCTCCAAAATAAATTGAACAATTTTCAAAAGTCAAAGCAGTTTATGACGACCTAAAAGCAGTTAGCAAACCTAATATTTGACCTGCATAATTTAGACAAAAATGTATTCATTTTATCAATAATCTTTAAAGCTGTTTTTATTTCCTAAAGATTACTAAAGTTACATAAACTAAAAGGAATTACAGTTTTTATTTTGTTTTCAAAATATTTGATTTAAGCGCTTATTTTTATTTAAGCCAATTAATTAATTAGTGCTCTTTTATATAAACATTACACACAACACATATATAATTACACAGACAGAAGAAGATTACTTCAGTAGTTGTAAAATGTTTCATTTGCTGGTTTTTAAGTTTCTTAATTGGTTATTGGCTTTAGGGTGGAGCCCTTGGAAGAACAGGGCCAGGAAAGGGGTTTCAGTTGCCTCCTGTTTTTCCCAAGGCGTCCAGGCTGTTAGAGCTTGAATATCCACTTTTAATTAAGCTGACTTTTAACCATAGCACTCTTCAATAAAGTCCTTTTAAAATTTCTTACCACCCGATTTTAGCCAGGCCAGTGAATTTTCAAAAGAAAATGTCAAAGGTAACCTCCCAGGTGATCAGAGAAAAGACAATTTAAGATAGTTTATAGTGGAGAAGAGACAAGACAAGGTTATGCAGATATTAAACCAAAAAAGGACTTACTTCCTAAGCAGGAAATCAAACCCAGACCACCAGTGTGAAAGGCCAAAATCTTAGATACTGAGCTACAGCACAGGGCAGTCTCGACTGTCCTTCCCAGGAGTCTATAGAGTAGTTCCTTTTGAAATTGCAAAGGCTTTTAACTACTCGAGATAATTTTTAGAGCTAACTATGACATAAACCCCAAAATTCCTGTTCCCTGGAAGGTGGAATCCAAGAGAAAATACTGTCATGTGGTCATAAGGTCAAGTTCCCAAGGACCTAAAACAAGACAGAGACCCTATCTAGTTTTTTTGTTTGTTTCAGGGACTTGCAGGAAAGTTTGTTATTGACCAGCTTGCTGGGCCGTCTGGAGCAGCAAGCTTATGAGGGCCTAAGCCTATGTTTTATCCTAAGGTACCCCTCAACCCAGAAAAACAAATTCATAGTACAAATACATCAGTTTAAGACTAGCCTCAGAATTCTTTTCAACATTAATCAAAACCTTACAGAAGAGATAAACAGTGATTTTTACCATTCATTCAACTGTACAGAGAGAGAGAAACCAAAAATCTGACTGGTAAGAAATTCTTACCCTTTTGCCAGCATGCCAGGCTTCTGGGTTCCCTTTCCCTGAGCGGCCCTAGTGACTCAGCTTGCTGTATCATTGCAATGGGGCCAAGCTGCATGATAAAGGAAAATTATATTTTTTTGTTCTGGCCAGAGTAAAATATGTGTGATAAAACATAGACATTAGCCACTCTGCTTAGCACTTAATATCAAACTGGCAAGGCTTAAGTTTGCCCCTGGTTGGGCCCCATCATCATTAATCCAACCTCTGACCATGAGTTTCAACATGTGGTCTCTGGGCAAGATGGTTGCCCTGAGCAATAGGCAAGATAAGAAAGGGAAAGGAGAGAGAGAAAAGCATTGCCTGTGGCAGGGTGGGGAAGGCAAAAAGGCCAGAGAAGATCACCCCCCATTCCAGCGACACTGAAAAGTTCAGGTGGCTGCTTTTTTATAGCAAAGGGATCTTTTCCAGCAGTGTCATCATCTCTCATGTTTCCCCTTTTAGGGAGGAAAAAGCTCCCTATGTCCCACAATCCTGTACATTCCTAATCCTGTCACCTGCAGCCGTCAGGAAAGAGCGCAAGGCAGATTATTCCAAGGAGAATAGCAGTTGACATGCTGTAGTGCCAAACCCATTCTTAGCCAAAAGGAACTTTACTGAGAGCCCTCATTTTCAAATGTACTTCAATGCATTGTTGTTCATTCTGATGTTCCACTGTGAGTTATCTTTAGTAATATTTTGGTGTTTCTGTAAGACTTCGCTGCCTCCCAGACCTAATGTATAAGCCAGAAGGAACTCAGTTTTCCAGAAATTAAGGATCCCATTTTTACCTAAAATATTGACTTTACTCTCAGGTTCTCTTGATTAACTTAGCCAATGATTGTTTTTTTCCTACCTAAGCGCACAAGAAAAATGAAAAAAAGGGGTAGAACAGAAAAATTCCTGTGAATTTTCAAAAGACAAATTTTATAAACCCTGCAAAATACTGCTTACTACCAGTTCCTTTCTGACCTAGTCAGATATAAGAGGCCTCTAACTGGATTCAAACCAGTTAATTCCCAGATCAAATCCATTCTTGGACCCAGTCCAGTTTCTGTCACAACTCTAAACCCAGTTTGGATCAGAAATCTGCTCAAAGAAACTCGGAGAGCTCAAAACGCAAATCCGTGGAGCTCCAAAATCTGAGAGGGAGCTTAACCGTGATCCCCAGCTGCTCTGAGAGATCAATGGACACAAGTGAGTCCTGCAGGTATCTTGAGTGTTCACTCAGCACTTCTGGGGGTCACTGGAAGCTCCACTTCGGATCCTACTCCTGACACCATCTGAGAAAAGAAAAACTTCAGCCAAATTAATTTAAAGGAGTTTAATTAAGCAATGAAAGATTTGCAAATCGGGCAGCCCCCAGAATCACAGCAGATTCACAGAGACTCCAGGGGTGCCTCGTGGTCCTTGTGGTCAGAACAAATTTATAGACAAAAAAGTTAAAGTGACAAACAGGAATCGGAAATTAGGTACAGAAACAGTGAGATTGGTTACAGCTTGGTGTTTGCCTTATTTGAATGCAGTTTGAACATTCAGCAGTCTATGAGTGGTATAGCCACTGGGATTGGCCAACACTCAGCCATTGTTACAGGTGCCTACTATTAAGTTAGGTTTTCAATTGTGTCTGACTATTAAGATAGGTTACAGTTCATCCACAAGGACTCAAATATAGAAGTATGGAGTCTTTCTCAGGCCATATTTATCTTGCTTTAACTCTATCTTCTATTTTATAACCATTGGTTCCTCAATAACATCTAGAATGCCACAAATCACCACAAAAGTAAAAACTGGGTGATGGATTAAATGAGAGGGAGGGAGGGAGGGAGGGATGGATGGATGGATGGATGGATGGGAAGAGAGAGAGAAACATATGTCCTTGACTCTTTATTTTGGTGATTTACACCAAGAAAAGAAAGCTAACAAACTGTTTAATCAGAACTATATCAACTTTTAGGTTTAAAAAATTATTTTGTGAAAAATCCATTAGAATGTTTCAGAGATATGATGATTGGTATGCAGATAAATTTCATTTTTAAATATTTGGTTAGAAAAAGTTAGAATTTTTCAAAATATAAAATTATGAATTACATAAACACTCAATCATATTTTGTCCCTTTTGATAGATTATGTGAGTAAAAGAAACGCAAAAAGACAAAAGAATATAGATGGATTCAATGACATATAAAATCTTTATAATCTAAGCCAAATAAAATTATATAGCACTGGCAACTTTGTCATGACTAAATTTATGAGTGTAACACTAAATAATGAACTGTTTTGTGTGTGACTTATAAAGTAGACTCATTGTTGAATGGGAGAAATATATTATCCAATGCATTTTGAGCAAGATGAAATGTAAGGTACCATTTTTATAGAAATATTTTAGAGGAAGCTGTTCAACATTGGAGGATAATAGCCGTTACTTATAAAATACAGCATTTCCCCTCTGATTCATAGGAAAGTAACAAGATCTTTATCAGAATGTTCTCATTTCCACATAATTCAAATACCATGTATATCAAAAAATAACAAGTAAAGACAAAATTTATTAAATTTTAGAATATGAATGGCATTGATCATAGTGAATACATTTGACAAAATCAAATAACCAATGGAGCATATTCATTTTGGTGAGTATTCTTAGTAAAGTCTTTAGGTCTCAGTTTCTTTTGAAAAATAAACTGGTTGTGAATATTACATGAGATAAAATAAACGGAAAGGCACATTGTAAAAGAGTGATAAAGCAATACATAAATATAAATTCTAAATGTTATAACATTGTGCATAGTCATTGTGCATGTTAAATGTTCAAAAAATAACTGAGTTAATGATTGAGGCATTGCAGGAAGTCTGGGGTGAGGCACTTGGCAGGAACTGCCACACAGGACTATTTTCTTCACTATGACAATGCTCTAGCTGAGAGTGAATGTTTTTAATATAAATGGTTTTACTCAGCTTAACAACCTACTGGATTCACTATTACAGTCATGAGTCATTTAAGCACAGGGACATATTCTGAGAAATGTGTTGTTAGGCTATTTTGTCATGTGAACATCGCAGAGTGTACCTACATAAACCTAGATTGTGTAGCCTACTATGCTCCTAGGGTATTGCTCATAGGCTGCAAATCTGTACAGCATGCGATTGAACTGAATTTTGTAGGTAGTTGTAACAAAATGGTATTTGTGTGTATCTACACATAGCTCAATACAGAAAAAGTACAGTAAATATAGGTTATAAAATATTAAAAATGATATACCTGAATAGAGCACTTACCATGAATGGAGGTTACAGAACTAGTATTGGCTTGGGTGAATTTGTGAGTGAGTAATGAATGAAGGCTTAGGACAATACTGTACACTACAGTAGTGTCAGTAATGTTTAAACTGTGCACACTTAGGCTATGCTAAATTTATTCTTTTTAGTTTTCTTCAGTAGTAAATTAACCTTAGCTTACTGTAATTTTTTCTTCATAGACTTCGTAATTTTTTAACTTTTTAACTCTCTCATAACTACACTTAGCTTAAAACACGAACACTTTTTTCCTTTATATACTTATTCTATAAGGTTTTTCTATTATTAGGCATTTTTTTTTACTTTTTAAACTTTTTTGCTAAAAACTAAGACACAAACACACACATTAGTCTGGGCTTACAGGGGATCAGGATCATTAATATCACTGTCTTCCACTTCCAAATCTTGTCCAACTGGAAGGTCTTCACAGGTAGTAACATGCATGGAGCTGTCATCTCCTATGATAACAATGCCTTCTTCTGGAATACCTCCCGAAGGAGCTGCCTGAGGCTGTTTTACAGTTAGCTTTTTTGATTTTAATAAGTAGAAGAAATGCACTCTAAAATTACAATAAAAAGTATAATATAATAAAACATAAACCAGTAACATAGTTGTTTATTATCATTACCAAGTATTATGTACTATGCATAACTGTATGTGCTACACTTATATATTCCTGGCAGCACAGTAGGTTTGTTTACACCAGCATCACTATAAACATGTGAGTAGTGCCTTGCCCTACTACATTTGGATGGCTACAGTGTCACTAGGTGATAGCAATTATTCAGCTCTGTTATAATCTTATTCAACCACTTTAGTGTAAGCAGTTCATTGTTGACCAAAATGCTGTAATGCAATACATGACTGTATTTAATACTGTTTCCACTATTCAAGCACAACAGATCATTCATCATCACAATATTATTATAATCAATACTATTCAAAGGAGAAAACACAAGCTCTGGAAACAATTTCAAGATAGGAGTTTAACTCACTAATGCAAAAAAGACACATCATCAAAAAAGCAGTATTCAAAATGTGAGGTTGATGACACTTATGATATCATTATTCATAGGATGAAGAATTCTGGCATTTCCATTCATCTTTCTACCACCTATATGTCTAAGGCAGACATTGCAGAGCAACTACCTCAACAACCTTACAGCCCTTTTCCTTATGCCTTTCTATAATGCAGAAACAGGAAACTAAAACAAAATGACATTTCTCAGACTGCTTGCAGCTGAATTTTAAAATATGATTTAGATCCAGATGGGATTAAGACTTGGGCAACAGAATGAGAAAGAGGGCACCTTTCTGCTGCTTCAGATAATTCTGCTGGCAAACCCAATGGTGGTGGTAGTTGGATTTCCAAAGCAGCAGTACTAGAACTTGTAGACACAAACAGGGCAGGATTTGAATAGGTTTGGACATGTAATTTATTACACCTTATGTTTGCAAAAATCTTAAATATTAAAAAAGAATGAAATGAAAATTTTAGAACTAAAAAAAATACAACAATCAAAATAGCAACTCACTGGATGGACTCAATAGAGGATGGTCATCACAGAGGAAAGAATCAGTAAACTTGAAATTATCTGAACAACAAAATTTTATTCTAGAAAAATACAATAAACAGAATCTTAGAGACTTGTGGCAAAATATTAAAAGACCTACTATTCACATCATCCGAATCCCAAAAGGAAAGAAAGTTTGATGCAGAAAAATATTTAAAGTGATAATGCACTTTAAAAACTTCCAAAATTGAGTTGGGTGTGGTAGTGAATGACTATAGTCCCAGCTATTCAGGAGGCTGAGGCAGGAAGATTGTCTGAACCCAGAGGTAAAAATTCAGCTGGGGCAAAATAATAAGACCCCATCTCTAAAAAAAAAAAAAAAGAACAACAGGGAGGCTTCCAAGATGGCCAAATAGGACCAGCTCTGGTCTGCTACTCCCAGAGAGATCGACACAGATGGGTGATTTCTGCATTTCCAACTGAGGTACATGGTTCATCTCACTGCGGCTAGTTGGACAGTGGGTGCAGACAATGGAGGGCAAACTGAAGCAGGGCAGTGTGTCTCCTCATAGAGGAAGCACAAGGAGTTGGGGGATTTCCCTTTCCTAGCCAAGGGAAGACATGACAGACTGCACCTGGAGGAATGATACACTCCTGCCCAAATACTGCACTTTTCCCACAGTCTTAGCAACCAACAGACCAGGAGATCCCCTCCTGTGCCTGGATCGGCAGGTCACACGCTCACAAAGCCTTTCTCACCGCTAGCACAGCAGTCTGAGATTGACCTGCAATGCTGCAGATTGGCAAGGGAAGGGGTGTCCACCATTGCTGAGGCTTGAGTTGGCGGTTTTATGCTCACAAAGTGGCCAGGAAGCTCAAACTGGGCAGAGTCCACTGCAGCTCAGCAAGGCCTACTGCCTATCTAGATTCGACCTCTGTGGCAGAGCATAGCTAAACAAAAGAAAGACAGTCTCTGCAGGCTTAAACTTCCCTCTCTGACAGCTCTGAAGAGAGCAGTGGTTCTCCCAGCATGGTGTTCGAGCTCTGAGAACGGACAGACTGCCTCCTCAAGTGGGTCCCTGACCCCCGTGTAGCCTGACTGGGAGACAACTCCCAGTAGGGGCCAACAGACACCTCATACAGGTGGGTGCCCCTCTGGGATGAAGCTTCCAAGGGAAGGATCAGGCAGCAATATTTGGTGTACTGCAGCCTCCACTGGTGATACCCAGGGAAACAGGGTCTGGAGGGGACCTCCAGCAAACTCCAACAGACCTTCAACTGAAGAGCCTGACTATTAGAAGGAAAAGTAGCAAACAGAAAGGAATAGCATCAACATCAACAAAAAGGACATTCACACCAAAACCCCATCTGTAGGTCACCAACATCAAAGACCAAAGGTAGATAAAACCACAAAGATGGGTAGAAAACAGAGCAGAAAAGCTGAAAATTCCAAAAACCAGAGCGCCTCTTCTCCTTCAAAGGATCGCAGCTGCTCCCCAACAAGGGAACAAAACTGGACAGAGGAATGACTTTGACGAGTTGACAGAAGTAGGCTTCAGAAGGTCGGTAATAACAAACTTCTCTGAGCTAAAGGAGCATGTTCTAGCCAATCGCAAGGAAGCTAAAATCCTTGATAAAAGGTTAGACGAATGGCTAACAAGAATAAACAGTGTAGAGAACACCTTAAATGTACTGATGGAGCTGAAAACCAAAGCACAAGAACTTCGTGATGCATGCACAAGCTTCAGTAGCCAATTCAATCAAGTGGAAGAAAGGGTATCAGTGATTGAAGATCAAATTAATGAAATAAACCAAGAAGACAAGATTAGAGAAAAAAGAGTGAAAAAAATGAACAAAGTCTCCAAGAAATATGGGACTATGTGAAAAGACCAAATACACGTTTCATTGGTGTACCTGAAAGTGACAGGGAGTTAGAAAACACTCTTCAGGATATTATCCAGGAGAACTTCCCCAACCTAGCAAGGCAAACCAACATTCAAATTCAGGAAATACAGAGAACACCACAAAGATACTCCACAAGAAGAGCAACCCCAAGACACATAATTTTCAGATTCACCCAGGTTGAAATAAATGAAAAAAAAATGTTAAGGGCAGCCAGAGAGAAAGGTCAGATTACCCACAAAGGGAAGCCCATCAGACTAACAGCAGATCTCTCGGTGGAAACCCTACAAGCCAGAAGAGAGAGGGGGCCAATATTCAACATTCTTAAAGAAAAGAATGTTCAATCCAGAATCTGATATCCAGCCAAACTAAGCTTCATAAGTGAAGTGGAAATAACATCCTTTACAGACAGGCAAATGTCTAGAGATTTTGTCACCACTAGGCCTGCCTTACAAGAGCTCCTGAAAGAAGCACTAAACATGGAAAGGAACAACTGGTACCAGCCACTGCAAAAACATGCCAAATGGTAAAGACCATCGATGCTATGAAGAAACTGCACCAATCAACGGGCAAAATAACCAGCTAACATCATAATGATAGGATCAAATTCACACATAACAATATTAACCTTAAATGTAAATGGGCTAAATGCCCCAATTAAAAGACACAGACTAGCAAATTAGATAAAGAGTCAAGATCCATCAGTGTGCTGTATTCAGCAGACCCATCTCATGTGCAGAGACACACATAGGCTTAAAATAAAGGGATGGAGGAAGATCTACCAAGAAAATGGAAAGCAACAAAAAAGCAGTGGTTGCAATCCTAGTCTCTGATAAAACAGACTTTAAGCCAACAAAGATCAAAAGAGACAAAGAAGGCTAGTACATAATGGTAAAGGGATCCATTCAACAAGAAGAGCTAACTATCCCAAATATATATGCACCCAATACAGGAGCACCCAGATTCATAAAGCAAGTCCTTACAGACCTACAAGGAGACTTAGACTCCCACACAATGATAGTCAGAGACTTTAACTCCCCACTGTCAATATTACACAGATCAATGAGACAGAAGGTTAACAAGGATATTCAGTACATGAACGC
This sequence comes from Homo sapiens, assembly GCF_000001405.40. NCBI lineage: Eukaryota > Metazoa > Chordata > Mammalia > Primates > Hominidae > Homo > Homo sapiens. Next base: position 40,338,520 of record NC_000005.10, read on the forward strand.
AGCTCTGCACCAAGCAGACCTAACAGACATCTACAGAACTCTCCACCCCAAATCAACAGAATATACATTCTTCTCAGAAACACATCGCACTTATTCTAAAATTGACCACATAATTGGTACTAAAACTCTCCTCAGCAAATGTAACGGAAATCACAACAAACTATCTCTCAAACCACAGTGCAATCAAATTAGAACTCAGGATTAAGACACTCACTTAAAACCACACAACTACATGGAAACTGAACAAACTGCTCCTGAATGACTACTGGGTACATAATGAAATGAAGGCAGAAATAAAGGTGTTCTTTGAAAACAATGAGAACAAAGACACAGCATACCAGAATCTCTGGGACACATTTAAAGCAGTGTGTAGAGGGAAATTTACAGCACTAAATGCCCACAAGAGAAAGGAAGAAAGATCTAAAATCAACACCCTAACATCACAATTAAAAGAACTAGAGAAGCAAGAGCAAACACATTCAAAAGCTAGCAGAAGGCAAGAAATAACTAAGATCAGAGCAGAACTGAAGGAGATAGACACAGAAAAAACCCTTCAAAAAATCAATGAATCCAAGAGCTGGTTTTTTGAAAAGATCAACAAAATAGACAGACCAATAGCAAGACTAATAAAGAAAAAAATAGAGAAGAAACAAATAGATGCAATAAAAACTGATTAAGGGGATATCACCACCAATCCCACAGAAATACAAGCTACCATCAGAGAATAGTACAAACACCTATACACAAATAAACTAGAAAATCTAGAAGAAATGAATAAATTCCTGGACACATTGGATTAGTCCCGAGACTAATCCAGGAAGAAGTCAAATCTCTGAATAGACCAACAACAAGTTCTGAAATTGAGGCACTAATTAATAGCCTACCAACCAAAAAAAGTCCAGGACCAGACAGATTGACAGTGAATTCTACCAGAGGTATAAAGAGGAGCTGGTACCATTCCTTCTGAAACTATTCCAATCAATAGAAAAAGAGGGAATCCTCCCTAACTCATTTTATGAGGCCAGCATCATCCTGATACCAAAGCCTGGCAGAGACACAACAAAAGAAGAATTTTAGGCCAATATCCCTGATGAATATTCATGCAAAAATCCTCAATAAAATACTGGCAAACTGAATCCAGCAGCACATCAAAAAGCTTATCCACCATGATCAAGCTGGTTTCATCCCTGGGATGCAAGGCTGGTTCAACATACGCAAATCAATAAACATTTTCCAGCATATAAACAGAACCAATGACAAAAATCACATGATTATCTCAATAGATGCAGAAAGGGCCTTAGACAAAATTCAACAGCCCTTTATGCTAAAAACTCTCAATAAACTAGATATTGATGGATTGTATCTCAAAATAATAAGAGCTATTTGTGACAAACCCACAGCCAATATCATACTGAATGGGCAAAAACTAGAATCATTCCCTTTGAAAACCAGAACAAGACAAGGATGCCCTCTCTCACCACTCTGATTCAACATAGTGTTGGAAGTTCTGGTCAGGGCTATCAGGAAAGAGAAAGAAATAAAGGGTATTCAATTAGGAAAAGAGGAAATCAAGTTGTCTCTGTTTGCAAATGACATGATTGTAGATTTAGAAAATCCCATCATCTCAGCCCAAAATCTCCTTAAGCTGATAAGCAACTTCAGCAAAGTCTCAGGATACAAAATCAACATGCAAAAATCACAAGCATTCCTATACACCAATAACAGACAAACAGAGAGCCAAATCATGAGTGAACTCCCATTCACAATTACTACAAAGAGAATAAAATACCTAGGAATCCAACTTACAAGGGATGTGAAGGACCTCTTCAAGGAGAACTACAAACCACTGCTCAGCAAAATAAAAGAGGACACAAACAAATGGAAGAACATTCCATGCTCATGGATAGGAAGAATCAATATCATGAAAATGGCCATTTTGCCCAAGATAATTTATAGATTCAATGCCATCCCCATCAAGCTACCACTGACTTTCTTCACAGAATTGGAAAAAAACTAAAGTTCATGTGGAATCAAAAAAGAGCTCACCTAGCCAAGACAATCCTAAATAAAAAGAGCAAAGCTGGAGGCATCACACTACCTGTCTTCAAACTATACTACAAGGCTACAGTAACCAAAACAGCAAGGTACTGGTACCAAAACAAATATGTAGACCAATGGAACAGAACAGAGGCCTCAGAAATAACACCACACATCTACAACCATCTGATCTTTGACAAACCTGACAAAAACAAGAAATGGGGAAAGGATTCCCTATTTAATAAATGGTGCTGGGAAAACTGGCTAACCATATGTAGGAAAGCTGAAACTGGATTCCTTCCTTACACCATATACAAAAATTAACTCAAGATGGATTAAAGACTTAAATGTAAGACCTAACACCATAAAAACCCTAGAAGAAAATCTAGGCAATACCATTCAGCATATAGGCATGGGCAAAGACTTCATGACTAAAACACCAAAAGCAATGGCAACAAAAGCCAAAATACAAACATGGGATCTAATTAAACTAAAGAGCTTCTGCACAGCAAAAGAAACTATCATCAGAGGGAACAGGCTACCTACAGAATGGGAGAAAATTTTTGCAATCTACCCATCTGACAAAGGGCTAATATCCGGAATCTACAAAGAACTTAAACAAATTTACAAGGAAAAAACAAACAACCCCATCAAAAAGTGGGTGAAGGATATGAACAGACACTTCTCAAAAGAAGACATTTATGCAGCCCACAGACATATGAAAAAATGCTCATCATCACTGGTCATCAGAGAAATGCAAATCAAAATCACAACGAGATACCATCTCACGCCAGTTAGAATGACGATCATTAACATGTCAGGAAACAACAGATGCTGGAGAGGATGTGGAGAAATAGGAAAGCTTTTACACTGTTGGTGGGAGTGTAAATTAGTTCAATCATTGTGGAAGACAGTGTGGCGATTCCTCAAGGATCTAGAACAAGAAATACAATTTGACCCAGCCATCCCATTACTGGGTGTTACCCAAAGGATTATAAATCATGCTACTATAAAGACACATGCACACGTATGTTTATTGTGGCACTATTCACAATAGCAAAGACTTGGAACCAACCCAAATGTCCATCAATGATAGACTGGATTAAGAAAATATGGCATATATACACCATGGAATACTATGCAGCCATAAAAAAAGATGAGTTCATGTCCTTTGCAGGGACATGGATGAAGCTGGAAACCATCATTCTAAGCAAACTATCACAAGGACAGAAAACCAAACATCACATGTTCTCACTTATAGATGGGAGCTGAACAATGAGAACATATTGACACAGGGTAGGGAACATCACACACTGGGGCCTGTCAGTGGGTGGGGGGTTAGGGGAGGGATAGCATTAGGAAAAATACCTAATGTAAATGACGAGTTGATGGTTGCATCAAACCAACATGGCACATGTATACATGTGTAACAAACCTGCACATTGTGCACATGTACCATAGAACTTAAAGTATAATAAAAAAAAAAAACAGGGAAAACATCAACAACAACAAAACAAACAAACCTTCATGAACTTAATTAAACTAAAAAGCTTCTGCACAGCAAAAGAAATAATCAGCAGAGTAGACAGACAACCCACAGAGTGGGCTAAAATCTTTGCAAACTATGCATACAACAAAGGACTAGTATATGGAACCTACAACAATCTCAAACAAATCATCAAGAATAAAACAAACAATCCCATCAAAATGTGGCCTAAAGACATAAGTAGACAATTATCAAAAGAAGATATATAAATGGGCAACAAGTATATGGAAAAATGCTCAACATCACTAATGATCAGGAAAAAGCAAATCAAAACCACAGTACAATACCACCTTACTCCTCAAAGAATGGCGATAATTTAAAAATTAAAAAAAAATAATAGATGTTGGTGTGGATTGGGTGAAAAGGGATCACTTTTACACTGTTGATGAGAATGTAAACTAATACAACCGCTATGAAAAACAGTGTGGAGACACATGTTTATAGCAGCACCATTCACAATTGCAAAAATATGGAACCAGCCCAAATGCCCATTAATCAATGAGCGGGTAAAGAAAATGTGATCTATCTATCTTATCTATCTATCCATCACATTAATTACTACTGAGTCTTAAAAAGGAATGAAATAATGGCATTCACAGCAACCTGGATGGAATTGAAGACCATTATTCAAAGTGAAGTAACTCAGGAACAGAAAACCAAACATCGTATGTTCTCAGTTATAAGTGGGAGCTAAGCTATAAGGACACAAAAGCATAAGAATGATAAAATGCACTTTGGGGACTTGAGGGGAGGGAATGCAGAAGGGAGTAAGGGACAAAAGACTACACATCGGGTACATTGTACACAGCTCGGGTGATGGGTGCACCAAACTCTCAGAAATCACCGCTAAAGAACTTATCCATGTAACCAAACACCACCTGTTCCCCAAGAACCTATCGAAATATAAAAAAGAAAAAGAATAACAGAATTGGAAGACTCATACTACCTGATTTTAACAAGAGCTACAATAATTAAAAAGGTGTGGTAGTATTAATTAAAGGATAGACACATACGTCAATGGGACAGAACAGAGAGTCCAGAAAAAGACCCACACACATATGATCAACTGGGTTTTGACAAAAGTAAAAAGGTAACTCAATAGAAAAAGGATAATCTTTTCAACAAAATAGGTTGGAAAATTTAGACATACATATGTAAGGAAAAAAAAAGATCCTCAACTAAGATGCCTTAGGTATGACATAAAAAGCGTGATTCATAAAGAAAATGTAATAAATTTTATTTCACCAAAATTAAAAACTTTTTGTGTGTAAGGCCTTATTAGACAATAAAAATGACAGTTACAGACTGGGGAAAAATTATTGCATATCGCACATGCAGTAAAAGACTAGTGTCCATAACCTCTCACCTTAAGATCCTAGCAAAAGAAAAGCAAACTAAACCCAAAGCTAAAGAAAGGAAACAATAAAAATTAAAATGGAGTTTTTAAAAATCGAGAGTAGAGAAATAAGAGAAAGCCAATAAAACCAAAAGTTCTTTCTTTGAAAATATCAACAAAATTGACAAACCTTTATTTACAATTACCAAGAAAAAAATAGAAATAATTCAAATTATTAAAATCAAGAATGAAAGGTGGAACATCACCACCAATCTTACAGAAGTAAAAAGAACGTATAAGATAATGTCATAAATAAATGTATGCCAACAAATTAGATAACTAATATGCAATGGAAATATTACTACAAAAACACAAATTACCAAAACTGACTCAATAAGAAACAAAAAATCTGAGCAGACCTATAACAGTTAAAGGGATTGAATCAGTAATCAAAAAACTTCCAACAAAGAAAAGCCCAGGGCCATATGGCTTCTTAGTGAATTCTACTAAATATTTAAAGAGGAATTAACACCAATCCTTCTCAAACTCTTTTTAAAAATGGCATAGATATAAACACTTCTTAATTTATTTTATAGGGCTAGTATTATCCTGATAGCAAAATCAGATTGACATTAAAAAAACTACAGATCAATATTCTTTATCAATACAGATGCAAAAATCCTTAACAAAATACTAGCAAATCAAATCCAGTAGCATATTTAAGAAATTATAAACCACACACCATGACCAAGAAGAAATTTTATCCCAGAAGCATAAGGCTTAGTTTAACATTCTAAAATTAGTTAATGTAATACACTATATTAATGAATGAAGAGAAAAATATCTCGATAGATGAAGAAAAGGCATTTAAAAAAATCCAGTTGTCATGACAAACACCTCAAATAAAGGAAAACTTCAACTTGAAAAAGAAAATTTATGAAAAATCCACAGCTAATATCATACTTAATGTAGAAAAACTAAATAATTTTCTGCCAAGAAGAAGAAAAAGATAAAGATGTCCACTCTCACTACTTCTAATGGAAATTGTGCTAAAATATCTATCCAGAGAAAATAGGGAAAAACAGTGCATATAAAAACCTGCACATAAATTTTCATAGAAGCACTATTCATAATAGCTCAAAATTGGGAGCAACCAATTATCTATCAACTTATAAATGGATAAACAAAAAAACAAAAAATACACAATAAATATATATATCCATACAATTAATATATATATATCCATACAATGAAAAAATATATATATACATCTCCATATAATAAATATATCCATACCTTGAAATATTGTTTGGCAATAAATATAAATGAAGTACTGATATGTGCTACAATATGGGTGAAACTTGAAAATATTCTGTTAAGTGATAAAAGCCAGGCACAAAAAAACACATACCGTATGATCCCATTTGTGTAAAATGTTTTTCATTTCTCTTGTTTTGCTTTTCTGTTTTCCATAGAATAGCTTACTATTGCAGGGGGGGGGTAGGGTGGGAATTAGTATTATGTCCTGAATTTTTATGTGTATTTTTCTATAATGTACAAAGAGTTACATCCTCAAGTGAAAAGTTATGCCCCTTTTCTGTCATCTTTTTTCATTACAGCTAACAGGTTTTGTTTTTCTAATTTCTCAATAATTTTAATATTAGAGATGCCATAATTCTTACAACAGGGAAGGAATCTCAGGAGGTCAGGCTGTCAGAGAAGAACACACAATTTGTTACATAGAACGTAACTATTAATGGGAAAAAGGGTTCTATTAGTAAAATGCAAGGAAGATAACACTTAACAGCTAGAAATTTTCTCCAAACGATCTATGTTTCTATTTTAAATTGTATCATGGATATTCAGTATGTCTTCTAGCTGATTCTATTTGTTAACTGAATTTGCACTAGAAATTTGTTCATATTACATTATGTGATATGATAAATAATTTTCTGTGGCCATGCCAAGTTCATGAACTCTACAATATTCCCTGATATAGCACATATCTACTAGCTCATATGAAATATGTGGGCATTATTTCTTTTCTAAGAAATATGCCAAAATCCCATCCCCTGATTCACCAGTGGTTATTTTAGTGGTGCCCTAAATATTTTTCTTTTCTTAGTGTCACACAGAATCTGATAATATAAAAATTAAATGCTAACCATGGTTAAGTGAATGAAACATATGTAATTTAGAGGCATTTATATAGAAATGATTCACCAAACTGAATATTGACCTTAAAAATATTAATGGATGCCATTAGAAAAAATAGATAGGTACAATTAAATCAAAGTATACTATTGGAAATTTTTTAAATCTAACTTTAAACACTAAATTAGTGTAATTACTACTAACTCTCTTCAATTATTTCACAAATATTTATTGAGTGGGTACGATATGGAAGGTAGTAGGTCAAGAACTGTGTAAGATATGAAGATGAATAAGATAAGATCCTGCCCTCTAGAGTTTATAATATAGAACCAGAGATAGGACATGAACAAAAACTATCACTGTACTTGAAAGTACAATGTGCCAAACAGCAAAACGTAAGTACAGATAAGCTGCTATAGATATTTCTCATCTCAGGGACTCATTCTACTGCCTTAAGGTAACTGGTAGAAAGGCTGTCTTTTTCTTGCCTGCATTTATTACTAATGTTATACTCCTTTATTCAAATCATAATCTAAGAAATTAATTTAAGAAAGTAATCAACAGAAGCTGGGCATTATATCTATACCAGGAAAAAGTAGAAAAAAACACCTGTACACTAAATAAATGGGAAATAAATTATTACACAATGATTTGATGAAGTAGGATGAAATCATTATATAATGTTCAACTAAGTATAGACATATGCAGCATAATTTTTAAATGTAAACAGGAAATTAGTTTTATTAGGATAGTGAGACTATGGGTATTATTTGGGAGGCAATCTTTAATGTTGTGATATTTTTATGATGGAAAAAATAAAAGAACATACATTGGCATTTATTTACTGAGGTATCACATCAAAGTATTCTGTTTTCCACATTATGCAGAAAAATTAAAAGATTAATTACCGAGGAAGCATTACTTCTATACTCAACTGCACATCTGTATTGATAGTGTGGTTGACCCAGTAGCACCTAGATTATGATTAAGACAGACGCACATAGCAACCAGGCATTATGAGGTTATGACATGATATTCCATGGAGTTCTCCAAACAGCTCCAAGAGCATTTACACTTTACTGGCAAACCATGTCCTTAAGATGGATAGTCATGAAGCTAACCAACCCCAGATTATTGCTGGTTTTTTTTTTACAAAAATTAAAACATCTGCTTTCTTTTTATCTATGTCCCTCCCTCTACTTTCATTGAAAAAAAAGAAAAACAATATGTTTATATCTTGCCTAAACAGTTTAGTAGATGGATAAGTGTTGATCATTATACTAATAACTAGAAATGTTAATACAGAAAATTATTAAAATTTCATATTATATCCCTTTTCACTAATTGTACTCCCAAACAGGCTTATGTAATAAAAGTTGCCTTCAAGCCAAGTCCTAATGTCTACAGTCACATGGAATGGTTATCCACATTTCTTCCTCTTAAAGTTTTATTTTCTGATTTGGAAAGTATTACTTATTGAGCCAACTTTTCATTAAATACTAAATTTTTTCTTAGCCAGCTCCCAGAGGGGAGGTAGTTTTATTGCAATATATGAACACATGGAATTTGCAGATATTTGTGGGCAAGCCCCTGCAACTATCTCATAGTTCACTGTACCAAATTTTTTATATCACGAGCCAAGTTTATTCTTCCTCATCCAGGATAGAGTTCCCTTCTAGAGGCTGACACACACAAAAAAGGAGGAGATATTGTGTATCACACCTAAATCTAAAAACCCAAACCATGTTAAAATAGATTTTCACAACAAGAAGTAGACAGCAGTTTACTATGAGTAGAGTTTTTAAAACTAGTGCAGTGCCTCCAATTTTCTAAATTCAATCATAGAAGTATCAGGGAAAATTGACGTTTCATCTTTGTACCTCACATTCGTGTTTAATTATTTACTAATTCATTCATTCATTCAATCATTATTTGTTGAGTGCTGACTATGGGTTAAAACACTCTGTTAGGCACTAGGAACATATTGCTAAACCGAAAGAAGATCGTTTCTATCTTCACAGAGGTGAATCCAGACATTGAAGAACCAATTACAGAATTGCTTATTTAAATACACGCTATGAAGAAGAACTACAAATTTTTGATAGTATGTAACTGAGGTGGTTTTGCAAGATTCCTCTGGGGGAAAAAATAGCACATATTCTGAAATATGAAGGACAAACAAACCTAGGCAAGGTCAAGCTGCGAATAAGGAGACAGGAAAAAAGCAACAAAGGACATTTCAGATGAGAAAAAAGCATGTGCATAGGCTCTGAGGCAGAAAGAAAAAAAAGGAAAGAAAGCAAAGAAAGAAAGAAAGGAAAGGAAAGGAAGGAAGGAAGGAAGGAAAGAAAAGGAAGGAAGGAGCAAACTAGAGACAAGGAGGGCGGGGGTTGAAGATGGCTGATTAGAAGCATTTTAAGCCTGCTGCTAAACTTAGAAGAACTAGAGTAGTGTAGTGCATAGATAGTTACACTTTGAGTTTATTTTCCAAGAGAGAACACTGAATTCAACAGGGAAGTGACAGGAGGCACCAAAAGTGGGAGTCGGTGGGGCGGATGGGAGAAGAGGCAACCTCCCTGGCCGGGATTGGCTGCAAGCCTGGAGTGACTTCTCAACACAGGGAAGGGATGAGTAAAAGACTTCCAGCAGCCCACATCCCCACCATGCAATCACGCAATTCTGGCCTACGGAGATGCCCTCATTTCTCTCAACCCCTGAAATAACGTAGGAAGCTGCTGGGAGACTGTGGGATGGAACTCCTCCAGGGAGGGAGCTCATACGGTATCTCACACCCTTTCTAAGACCTATGCAGCTACAGCAAGTTGTCATTTTCAAAACTAGCTCTGGTACTGCACACTGTTCTGGGACCCAGGGGCACTGGGAATGAGGCATTACTGAAACCCAAGCTGTCATTGCTGGGACAGCAGAGCAAGCCTGGAGCACTGCCACCGCCAGGGCTAGAAAGCAAGCAAGGAGTAGGCAGCAGTTTCCAGTCATGGGAAGCAAGTGCTTAGCTGCTGAGATCTAAGATGGGGATGCGAGCATAGTGTGAATTGCCACTGGGACTTGGTCATAAACTGGGCGTAGTCTCCTGTAGCCAGAGCAAGAGACAAGCCCTGAAGGGACTGGGGTGTGAATGAGATCCACGTCGCCCACATATCAGCTGAGACCACTGAGGGAGGCCCCAATCTCTGCCATGGCAGTGCCTCAGCTTTTCTGCTATTGCCCTTTATTCCAAGCACTGCTCCTGGGACCTGAAGATCACCCCACCCTGGCCCTCCACATCTGGTGCCCACTTTCACCATGGTGGGGGGTTGGGGGCACACCTAAGCACAAGCTCATGCAGCCCAGCTTTGGCCCCCTCAGGACAGTGCACATAGCCTGAGGTTCTGGGGATCACTAATCCACCATCTTGGGTACCTGAGCACTCCTCCTGGGGGCCTAAGGTCAGACCTAACCTCCCAGCTGCTACCACCTCAGCTGCCACCCACCTGCAAGTTCCACTTGTGGGCCTGTAGACTCGCTCACCCAACCCCTCACAGCCATAGCCAACAGCAACACATACCACTTGAGACCCAGAGAATTTTCCCACCATTGCCACTATTATCACCCAATCCACACCAGCTGTCAGGGACGTGAGTACTTACCAGCCTGCCCAGTCCACTGCGTCATTATCAGCATTTGAGCATGCCACCTAGAGACCCAAGAATAGACCCACCAGTAACTGCCAACACAGGTGCCACTGGGGCACAAAGGTAGGCACACTCAGCCTATGGCTGCCACTACTGGGGCCTGAGGACCAGCCCACCTGGTATCCTAGTCTCCAGAACAACTTTACCATAGCCTCCGTAATAGCCACACCCTAACCCACCAAGTGAATCAAAGACACCACTAATATCAAAGAAATCATACAGAGAGACTACACTACCGAACATGTCCAGAATCAGAGCCAGAGTAACTTATCCAACCAACACCATAGATACATCTTTGGAAAAAGATCCTCCCTCAATGAAAGTATATTCAAAAATAGTAAGAACCGACTGTTAACAACAAATGCGTAAATGTCAATGTATGTAAGAACAAATGAAGAATGAAAAAGCAAGGAAATATAACACTTGCAAAGGAACACAATAATTCTCCAGGAATAGATCTTAATCAAAATGAAATTTTCAAAACCCCAGATAAAGAATTAAAAACATTGATTTTAAAGAAACTCAGTGAGATCCAAGGGAATTCTGAAAAACAGTACAAAAAATCAGAAATATAAATCAGAAATATAGTTCAGGTTATGAGTGAGAATTATACTGAAAAGATGGATATTTTTAAAAGAATCAAATAGAAATTCCTGAACTGAAGAATTTATTGAAGGAAATCCAAAATACATTTGAAAGCTTCAACAATAGACTAGGTTACACAGAAGACAGAGCCTCATAACTTGAAGACATCTTTTAAAATAATCCAAACTGAAAAAAGAAGAAAAAAGGAAAAACAAGAATAAGCAAAGCCATTGTGACATTTGAGACAACATAAAGTGACTGAATATACAAATTATTGCCTCCCTGGGAATGAAGAAACAAGGAAAGGATCAGAAAACATATTTAACAAAATAATGGATGAAAACATCCCAAGTCTAGCAAGAGGTTTAGACATTTATATTCAGGAGGCTCAATCCCCAGATAGATAAATACAAAAAATCTTCCCCAGGGCACATTAAAATCAGAATGTCTAAAGTCAAAGTTAAAGAGAAAATCCTAAAAACACCAAGAGAAAGCTATTTAATAACGTACAGAGAAAACCCTGGCAGACAGGGGTTTTAAATCCCATGGATTTAAACAGGGCTTTAGACCAAATGGACCTAACAGACATTTACAGAGCATTCTATCCAACAGCTTCAAAATATACATTCTTTTCGTCAACACTTTCTCCAGGATGGACCATATGTTAGGCCACAAAACAAGACATAATTACTTTTAAAAGTCAAAATCATGAAGTATCCTCTCACACTACAATGTAATAAAACCAGAAATCAATACAAAGGGAAGCTTGAAACTATACAAATACAGGAAATTAAACAACATGTTTCTGAATGACCACTGGGTCAACAAAAATATTTCAAGATGGAAATCAAAAAATTTCTTGAAACAAATAAAAATGGAAACACAGTATACCAAAACCTGTGGGACACAGCAAAAGCAGTGCTAAAAGGGAAGTTTACAGCAATAAACACCAATTTCAAAAAAAGTAGAAAGATGAGAAACTAACGATCTAAGAGTGCATTTCAAGTGACTAAAAAGCAAGAACAAACCAAATGCAAAATTAGCAGAAGAAAAGAAATAATAAAGACCAGAACTGAGCTAAATTAAATAGAAATTAAAAATAAAAATACGAAGAATCAATGAAATTAACAGTTGGTTCTTTGAAAAGAAACAAAATTAATAAACCAGTAGTTAGATTAATCAAGAAAAGAAGAGAGAAGACCCAAACAAACAAAATCAGAAATGAAAAAAAAGAGACATTACAACTGATACCACAGAAATACGAAAGATCATCAAAGACTACTATGAACAACTACACACTGACAGACTGGAAAACCTAGAGGAAATAAATTCCTGGAAACATACAACCTACTAAGATGAATCAAGAAGAAAGAGAAAACCAGAGCATACCAATAACGAAAAGTGAAATTGAATCAGTAATAAAAAATGTCTCCCAGCAAAGAAAAGTCCAGGACCGATGGATTCATAACCAAATTTTACCAAATGTACAAAGAAGAACTAATGTCAATCCTCCTGAAACTATTCCAAAACAGCAAAGAGATAATTCCTCCCAACTCAATTTACTTGCCCAGTATTACCGTGATACTAAAACCAAACTAGGACATGCCAAAACAAAAACATGCAGGTCAATATCCCTGAAGAACACAAACACAAAAATCCTCAACAAAATACTAGCAAACTGAATCCAACAGCACATAAATAAGATAATACACTATAATAAGGTAGAATTTTCAATAAATGTAATACATCACATCAACAAAATGAAGGACAAAACCATATGATCATCTCAATAGACTCATAAAAAATTTTAATAAAAATCATTATAATAAAAGCCATATATGATAAGCCCACAGCTTACATCCTACTGAATGGGGAAAAGTTGAAAGCATTTTCTCTAAGACTGGAACAAGACAAGGATGCCCACTTTCACCACTCCTAATAAACGTATTACTGAAAGTTCAGGCCAGACTAATCAGGCAAAAGAAAAAGAAAAGAAAAGGCACCAAATTGGAAAAGAGGAAGGCAAACTCACTCTCTTTGTTAATGAAAGGATCTTATATCTAGAAAAACCTAAAGAATCCACTAAAATACTCTTAGATCTGATAAATAAATTCAGTAAAGTTGCGGACCACAAAATCAATATACAAAAATTAACATTTCCATATATCAACATTGATTGAGCTGAGAAAAAAAATCAAGAAAACAATCCTTGGGCTGAGTGCAGTGGCCCACATCCGTAACCTCAACAATTTGGGAGAAGGAGATGGGAGGATTACTTGAAGCCAGTTCAAGTCCAGCCTGGGCAGCATATCAAGACCCTGTCTTTACAAAAAATATACACTAAAATTTAAAAAAATAAGCTGGGTAGAGTGATGTGTGTCTGTAGTCCCAGCTACTCAGGAGACTGAGGCAGGAGGATCACTTGAATCCAGGAATTCAAGGCTGCAGCGAGCTATAATCACCACTTTACTCCAGCCTGGGTGACAGACTGAGACTCTGTCAGTCTGTCAGAGAAAAATCAATAAATAAAAGCGATCTCATTTGCAATAGATACAAAACAAATACCTAGGAATAAATTTAACCAATGAGATAAAAGATCTCTACAAGGAAAACTACAAAAAGGTGATGAAAATAATTGAAAGTGACACAAACAAATGGAAAAACATCCCATGTTTATGGATTGGAAGAGTTTATATTGTTAATATGACTATGTTGCCCAAAGCAATCTACATATTCAATACAATTCCTATGAAAATACCAATGTCATTCACAGACTTAGTAAAAACAATTCTAAAATGTATTAATATATGAAACAAAAAAGCCCAAATAAATAATGTAATCCTGAGCAAAAAGAACAAAGCTAGAGGTATCACATTAAAAGTCTATAGTAACTGAAACAATATGTTATTAGTATAAAAATAGACATATAGATCAATGGAAGAGAATAGAGCACGCAAAAATAAAGCCACATATTTACAGCCAACCGATATTTGATAAAACTGACAAGAACTTACACTGGACAAAAGACACTCTCTTCAATAAATGCTGTTGGGAAAATTAAATAGCCACATGCAGAAGAATGAAACTGGATATTTATCTTTCACCATACACAAAAATCAACCAAGATAGATTAAAGACTTAAATGTAAGACCTGAAACTATAAAAGTACTAGAAGAAAATCTAAAGAAAACTCTCCTGGACATTGGTCTAGGCAAAGAATTTATGACTAATATCTCCAAAGCACAGGCAACAACAACAAAACAATAGAACAATGGAAATTAATTAAACTGAAAAGCTTTTGTACAAAGACATAATCAGTAATGAAGAGAGAACCTTTTGAATGGGAGAAAATATTTACAAAGTATCCAAGAATGGACTAATATTCAGAATATACAAGAAATTCAAACAAGTCAACAGGAAAAAATAAATCCCATTAAAAGGATGCAATGGACATGAAGAGACATTTCTCAAAAGTACAAATAACTAATAGATACATTAAAAAAACTCTACTAATCATTGGAGAAATGCAAATCAAAACCACAATTAGATAATATTTTACCCCAGTTAGAAAGCCTATTATTAAAAATACAAAAATAACGAATATTGGCCAGGATACAGGGTTCCCTTTGGGTATTTACCCAAAGGAAAATAAATCAACATATGGAGTGACACCTGCACTCCTATGTCTATTGAAGCACTATTCACAATAGCAAAGATATGGAATTAACCTAAGTGTTAATTGACATAATATTGACAATGACGTAATATTCAGTCATTAAAAAAATGTCATTTGCAATAACATGGATGGAACTGGAGGTCACTATCTTAAGTGAAATAAACCAGGCACAAAAAGACAAATATCTCATGTTCTCACTTGGATAGCTAGGATACACAGAGGGTAAGGACAGAATGTTGTGAAGTGAGACTAATGGACGAGTAGAGGCAGGTGAAGTCAAGCATAATAGGTCATAGTAGGATTTGGCTTTTGTTCTAAAAGCAGTGTAGCTCCACTAAAGTGACAGGTCATGTCTCATTATCAAATAACTATGGCATCATCAGTGACCTCTGGCTTCTCAGCGCTTCCACGGTTTTTATTGTCTGCATCAGGAATCAGTCATGTAATCAATTTCTACCTTGTATTATTCACGAGTTTATATCATTTTGATGGCAGCAGCAGCCCATCTGGAGTGGCCACTGCCATGATGTCAGCTGCAGTGGGGAAGTTGCAGCCAGGGCTGCTCACTCCATGGAGCCAGTGGGAGCTAGGAACAGGTGGAATCCCCGCCCCATTCCAAGTTGGAGTGGTGGGAGCCCCACCTTCCTGGGCGCAGCTGCAACTGCCCAGCCCCAGCTGCAAACCCAGCCATCTCTGCACTCCTGGGGACTCAGGAAGCCCCCCTCCCCAGGAAGGCTTGAAAGTGCCTGCTCCTGCTACCTGTCTTCTCCCCACTCCCAGTGCCCACTCCGATTTTGAAGCAAAGTTGTGGCTGAGCCCAGGCACTATCATGAGTCGGCCGGGTGTGTGTACACTCAGGACAAACTGACATGTCAACCCCCTGCCACCTTGGCCCACTCCGGACTTTGGGTGCCAACAAGCACAAGAGGGAGGCCAAGGGGGTGCTAAGGGTGACTTAACATGGGCCTTAAGGCACCCCTTGGCATGAACAGCCTGGGTGCCATGGGCATCATGGATGGCAGGTAAATGGCAGCAGGAGGCAGACAGGTTCCTGGGCAGAAAGAGTCAGGTCCTCAGTAAAACCCCACTTTTAGGCCAGGGATGGCCTGAGGCCTGGGGGCTGGTTTGCCAGCTCCACAGACCCGAGTGAGAACTTAAGAGTGCTTTTTCGGAGCCTGCCCATGGCCACCCATGGACCAATCAGCACGCATTTCCTACCTTCTGAAGCCAATAAAAACACCAGATTCAGGCAGACTTGGGCAGATGACAGGACAACCTGCCTGTGGAGAGGAGCTACTGACTGTGGGTCTCCTCTCTGCTGAGAGGTGGACACTCGTCAAGATGATCTGCCTGCGGACAGGAGCTACCTACTGCAGGTCTCCTCTGAGCTGTTCTGTCACTCAATAAAGCACCTTTTCACCTTGCTCACCCTCCACTTGTCCATATGCTTCATTCTTCCTGGACACAATACAAGAACTCAGGACCCACCAAATGGTAGGGCTAAAAGAGCTGTAACACAAACGGCTGAAACACGTCCCTTACTTGCCATGTTGGGGGTGACAAGAAGGAAAGGAGGGAGAAGGAGAGAAGACTTATGGCCCTTCAGAGAGCCCAGACCAATGGGCTCCCTGAAGGCTGTGACACCCTCTTCGGGATCTGTGGTTCCTGGCATCTCCAAGCTTAGGGACAACACTGCATTCCCCGGTGCCAGCCATGGAAGCTGCTTGCAGTACGCTTGGTCAAGCCAAAGCCTCTCAGGGAGTTGGCACCCATGCCAGTGCCTGGAGCTGCCCACCCCACCACAGCTGGTGTGCCTGGCTGTGCACTGTGGCTGGACCCCATGCTCACTCACTCACACACCCCACACACCCCTCACCACTTCGTGTCTGGCTTGCCCTTGGCAGGCCAGGGGATCCTGGCTGGTAGCACAAGCCAAGTGCAGCCTGCCAGGCCAAGTGGGTGGAACAAGCCCAGCATGCGTGAGCAAAACATGGGCAAAGGTGTCACCACCCACAGAGGTTTCTGGCCGGAAAAGCAATGCCCCAAGGCTCCTGTGAGGTTTTCATTTAAATTTCCAACATTGACATGGACTAAGAGTCAAGGGGAAAGGGAACCTCATTTATTGAGTACTTATTCAATTGAAAGCATTGTGTAGGAACTTTGAATATATCATCTTATTTAATCTTCATAAAAGCCCATGAGATCAATATCTCCATATTGTTACCAGAAAGTGGTCCCAATTTAGACCCCAAGAGAGGGTTCTTGGATCTTGTGCAAGAAAGAATTCGGGGAGAGTCCATAGAGTAAAGTGAAACCAAGTTTATTAAGAAAATAAAGGAATAAAAACTGGTTACTCCACAGGCAGAGCAGCCCCAAGGGCTGCTGGTTGCCCATTTTATGGTTATTTCTTGGCTATATGCTAAACAAGGGGTGGATTATTCATGAGTTTTCAGGGAAAGGGATGGGCGATTCTGAGAACTGAGGGTTCCTTCCCTTTTTAGACCGTATGGGATAACTTACTTCCTGACGTTCCCATGGCATTTGTGAACTGTCATGGCACTGGTGGGAGTGTCTTCTACCATGCTAATGCATTATAATTAGCATATAACGAGCAGTGAGGACAACTACAGGTTACTCTTGTCACCATCTTGGTTTTGGTGGGTTTTGGCCAGCTTCTTTACTGTAACCTGTTTTATCAGCAACATCTTGTGCTGACCTCCTATGTTATCCTGTGACTTAGAGTGATCTGTAGCTTGTGCCTAACCTCCTGGGAATACAACCCAATAGGTCTCAGCCTAATTTTACCCAGCCCCTATTCAAGATGGAGTTTTTCTGGTTTAAATGCTTCTGACAGTATGACAAAAGAGGTCGACTCAAGAACAATCCCCAATCAACAACAGTCCAAGCTTACTGACCTCTAGTAAACTGTGAGTCTGGGTGCTTTTGCAATAAGATCACAAATTGCAGAAGTGTTCAAACACTGCATATATCACTGGTATGTCTTCTCCCAATTCTTAGAAGACTAGGTCTATTTCCTATTTAGTATAGCCTGATCCAAAAGGCAGTTTGCCCTTGTTAATCAGTTTTTTTTTTTTTTCAAATCTGCGGGGCTTAAGAAAAGTAGAGAAATGTTAATACTTGGTTTTTTAGGAAAATTCTATTATAAGGCACATTTTTGTGATCATGCCACTGCACTCCAGCCTGAGGAACAAAGTGAGACTCCTTCTTCCCCCTCATCACCCAAAAAAAGATTCTAGGAATCATTTTTCACAATAAAGTCATCAACAAATGTCCATTTGCAAGGAAAAATGGCTAGTGGCTGATTTTCAAGTGTTCTTTGGAAATATGATTTTAAACACTTCATAAGCTTAACAATAGAACAGCACTGGCCTGTCTGTTGTTAACCTTTACATAATAAAATTAATTAGGAATAATAACTCAACCCATGCAGAATTTGTCCATGATTTAAATGAAGAGAATGTTGTTAGCCCAGTTTATATCAGAAAATTAGCAATTTTACTTGGTAATGCGAATCTTCTGGTTATATTTGTTTGTGTGTTTGTTGGCTTGCTTGCCTTAAATTTATGATTTACTTAATGATGTCAAACTAAGTATGTGCTTTAGCTTAGGTTTACAACAAAATAATAGGCTAAATTCACAGAGCGCCATGGTGTCTCGAATTAGAAAATAATTTGCCTTTGCTTTTCTTGAAATAGAGGAAACAGTTTTGCTTTAAAGTACCAGTGCAGTGTTTTCTAAAAGAGGTCAAGCTGAAACTGGTGTTTAACCTGGAGAGGCTTCCGTGAATTTCTAATGGAGTTTTAGAAAGACTGTATTTCCTGATTTAATAATACATATGACTGCAGTGAAGGAGCATTTTAATATGACTCTGAATCTGAGTGCAACACACAGTCTTATGAGAGAGAAACAAGAGGGAGGGAAGGAAGGAAAAAAAGGAGGGAGGGAGAGAAAGGAAAGGAAAATAGGATATATTATTCAAATTTGTTGTTACAATACTATGTGAATGTGAAGTTAAGGATTTAAAGTAGCTAGCAGAAATATATATTCTGTAGGACATTATTTTTAGTCTGATGCCAATGATGCAATAATAATTATAGTCACTACCATTTACTGAGTTCTGACTAGGAGGTGGGCGCTGTGGTAGGCATCATTCATTATGCCAGCTGGTCCTCACCATACCCCAAGAAGTGGATATGAATTATACACACATTTTAAAGACAAAAAGCCTGCAGCTTAAGAGAGCTATGGAGCTTGAGGAAGGTGCCAGAACTAGAAATGGAAAGCAAAAGCCCTCTCAGGTCCAACTCCGGAGTTTAACACTCATTACATGTTCATCCATTTATCTTATTTGTTTTATGCTTTTCAGTTTTCATTTGTTATTCTTTTTGGGGAGAAGGTACACATTTAAAAGTGCTTACTGAAGAAAATAATCTTTTGTTTTAAACCCTAGGGCTCGCCAGACATTTTTTTTTTTTTTTTTTGAGAAGGAGTCTTGCTCTGTCACCCAGGCTGTGGAATGCAGTGGCACAATCTCGGCTCATGGCAACCTCCACCTCCTGGGTTCAAGTGATTCTCCTGCCTCAGCCTCCTAAGTAGCTGGGATTACAGGCATGTGCCACAACGCCTGGCTAATTTTTGTATTTTTAGTAGAGATGAGGTTTCACCATGTTGGTCAGGCTGGTCTCAAACTCCCGACCTCCTGATCCACCTGACTCGGCCTCCCAAAGTGCTGGGATTACAGGCGTGAGCCACTGCGCCCAGCCCCAAGACAAACTTCTAAGGGACCATATAATTTATTCAAATATATCTGTGAATATAGCAAGCATTCACATACACACACACACACGCACACACACACACACACACGCAGCATGTCTCTTCCTGCACATCCTTAAAAATCACATCAAACCCTGCAAAAGAAAAGTCATACATAATAATAAGAATCTGGATTTCATGTCTGTGTTATTTTACTTATCTATCTCACCTGCATCTCTCAGATTACTATTACATTTTAGCAAGTAAAATAATAGATAATAGGAGAGAATGTAAATCTGCTATATCCTAAGATATATACTTGTTACTCTTATGAAGGTATACTATACTCTTTAGAGCAAACTGTACTTGGTAAATCATCTTTTTGAGTTCCTCAAAATGTTGCTAATAAAATAAAATGTAAAGTTTGCAAGTCCATTTTCGTAAAAATTCCCAGTCTGCAATTTTATAAAACTAGCACCTAATTTAAAATCAGCCTTCAACTATGTGAACCTGGAGAGAATACATGCATTACCTGAAGGCCAAATCCCTGTATTCTACAATTCTTTGTAGGACTTTCTTAGCATGTAATTTTAGAGTATCCAAACTATTTCTTTCCTCCACCTACATCATCATTTTACACACAGCGAAATGTGGTCATTTTTTCTGCTTAAGTGGTACATACTACAGATCTTATGACAGAATGTGCTAAAGTGGACACACTTTTCATGTTCATAAAAGTGGGGAAGATGCCACTCTTGTTGTAACTTTTTAGTTTAAAAAAGAAAGACAATGCCAAAATTCTTCCAAAGAAGGACTGTAAAGAGAAAAGGGGAGAAGGGGACATATTCCCCCATGCCAGCAGTGGTAGTGAGGGAGCAGAGTTGGAACATAGCTTCAGACAGTGGTGATAGGAGGCAACAGGAAATGCCATTGCTCTACCCACATTTCTTTGGATTCTTTACCAACTCTTGCACTCATCCTCCCTGTGTACTATCCCCTACAACAGTCAGCACCTGTATCTCTTAATTTGCGAGGTGGCCTCAGACTGCTAGATCCCCTTTGAGAACTGATGTAAAGTTGGAATCTCCTGGATATTTATATCACTCCTGGGGAAGCCTTTAACTACAGATTAATCTGTAGCTACCCCTACTCCCTTCCCTCTATGGAGGAGGGATCTAAGGTGTGACCTTTGAATCTGCACTTCAAAACTGAGCCAAAGTTTTCTTAGCAGAACTTTGATACTATGCCCTTGCTTGGCCAAATTTTCTTTCCACTCCCATTTCTTCACACCCCAATTTTTCCAGCGAACACTAACTATGTTCTTTTCATATAAATTTTCATGTCAGTGTCTGCTTCTGAAGAAATAACATGGTGTTGAGTCTCTGCCAAGTAGGGGCTGCACTGGCTACTCTGCCTAAAGTAAGAGACTGAAATAATGGTCTTTTCAGTGGAAGAAGCCCCACTAGCCTAGGGAAACAGAAAGAATTTCTCTGAATGGAAATAAGAAAAAGAAAATGCTACCATGAGAAAGTGAGACCCATGCCTCCAAAACATGCACATATGAAATCAGAATTTACATGCTTGTCGAGAACAAGAATCCTCAAGCTAAGAAATTAACATTAAAAAACTTGTCTTGAGTGGGTAAGATGCAGATGGAAATTCAAAACTACCCTGCAAAATTTCTGCCATGCACAAGACAAGCAACTCCCATAGGAGGGAGGGTAGGGAGAGGATGTGGTGGATAATGACAGAAGCTCACAGTCCAAAAAATTACAGACCACACAAAGAAATGGTTTCACATCGATGAAGTCTCATTTCAACAACTGGATGATTCTATGATCTGAAAAAAGAAAAAACCTATATAATCAGTATGTTTAAAATGATTGAAGAAAGTAATATAGAATGCAAATCATAATGAAAGAAAATTCATCATAAAATAACAGACACTTAAAGAAGACTGTAGTATAACATCTATAAAGATTATGATGGCAGATTAAACACACGCCCAGAATTTATTCACTCCAGAAACGCTGCCAAAATTACAAGCCCCAAAAAACCTTTTAATCCACAAAGATGAAGAGAGCAGCAGGGGAGACAACAGTGACAGGTCTTTGAAACCTGAAAAGCAGATAACCAGTGTCAGTGACTTGTGAAACCTGTGAAAGATGAATAAAAATTGGCTGAAAAACTAATAACAAAATCCATTCCACCACAGAGTCTTCCAAAGATTCTGGAACTACCAACACCCAATTAACTCTAGACTTGTAATTTAGGGAAAAGTGACTCCATGAAAAAGAGTGAGAAAAGCTGTTTCTGAAGCAGCTAGATTTCTACTAGATTCCTTCTCCTTTCCCTTTCCCAGTTTGTTCTTCAGAACTATTAACTCTGCCCAAGAAATTTGAAGGACTTTTTCCTGGAAAGGATAAAAACAAAAAGTTTTAGGGACTGCTAATTGCCAGTCAGAGTTGAAGGTCTGTATGGGAAATAATACCAAGAAAAGGAAAGTGAAGTGATCATATGAATACTAAATGCTGAATGGTTTGGCTCCCAGACAAAACACATCAGACCTTTGCTATCCAGTAGACTCATAGAGTAGACTTCGGAGTATGTAATCCACCCATAAGGAAAACGCACAGATACTGATAATCCCATTGAGATATTCAAATTTGACCAGTCTCACTTATGCACTCAGATCTTTCAATCAGTTTTTAAGGCCCCATCCCTTAATCATGAATAACCAGTCAATAGAGGACAAAAGATCCACACAAAAATATTACCAAAGAAAACTTTAAATTAAGAAGTATTAATAAGTAAAACCATTATTAATATCCCCAAAGAAAGAAGACTATATTTGGATTCATAAAAAGAATAGATTCTATAGAAACAACATGAACATTCAGATAACACGGGAAAAAAAGTTTGTGGAAATCTGTTTTTTTTTTAATTATTGTAAAAATGAAACTCTCAATAAAAGAGTTGGTAGATAAAGTTAAGGAAATCTTTCTGAAAGTAGAGCAAAAAGAGATGGAAAAAAAAGAAAATTAGAAGACTATCCCAGAAAGTCTAAGATCAAGGATGAGGAAATACAGGAAGAGAGAAAACATAACAATTGAAAGAATTAAAGATGAAATATTGCAAGCAATATTACCCCAAAATGAGAATTATAAATTTCCAGATTGAAAGGGACTCCATGAGTGCTCAGCATAATGAAAGAAATTAGATTCTCACCCACATCAACACATCAACATCGCAGCAACAAGTCAGAACACAGGAAATAAAAAGAAGATGCCGCAAACACCTAAAGAGAAAAAACAAATGAACAACTTTTGATATGAGTAAAGTAACCACATAATCTATTATCCTAACCAGAACACTTTAAAATTAATGTTTTTAAATTTTTTGATTGACAAATTGGTTTATGTCATTGGCAGACTTATGAAATAGTTCTATTTGAAAACTTGTTTTAAAAATCAAATTGCTTCAAAAATATAGCACTTATCTGTTGCATTGAAGCAAAAAAACTTTATATAAATTTTCTGAACATTAAATAATAACAAACAGAATAACTGTTTTGGCAATATTCATTTACAGTAATCATTTTTAGCTGTTTCTATATACTTTTTAGCTATCTATTAATACTAAGATGTCATTTGTATTTTTCTCAAGAATGCTTCTTTTTATTGTGGTCATATGGTTTTCATCATTTATATGAAATTTTCATCAATCCTCTACACTTAATAGTTAATAAATTAGAAAATGTTTACGCTCTTGCTTGGCTCTTCTCTGTAGACCATATTTTTCATTGAAAGACTACTTTCCCCATAGATGGTGAAGAAGTTGATAATATCAGATAAATTTTAATTTTTCCTAATGGAATTATATGATTATTTCAGCTCAAATATTTTCATTAAGTATCTTAATTTGTAATTATTTTCTCAGTAAACATTTTATTGAACATTTACTATGTGCTGAGCACTATCTCTGATCTGTTGTAATTGTTGTTGTTCATTTAGAAAATTCCACTTTTTGTAATCCCAGATTTTGGGAAGCTGAGGCGGGCAGATCACTTGAGGTCAGGAGTTCGAGACCAGCCTGGCCAACATGGTGAAACCCCGTCTCTACTCAAAATACAAAAACTAGCCGGGCATGGTGGTGCACACCTGTAGTCCCACCTACTCGGGAGGCTGAGGCAGGAGAATTGCTTGAATCTGGGAAGCAGAGGTTGCAGTGAGCCGAGATCATGCCACTGCACTACAGCCTGGGCGATAGAGTGAGCCTCCATCTCAAAAAAAAAAAAAAAAAAAGAAAAGAAAATTCCACTTTTTATTTTAGGTTCAGAGATACATGTGCAAGCTTGTTATAAAGGTATATTACGTGTAATAGGGGTTTGATGTGCAGATTATTTCATCACTCAGGTAATAAGCATTAATAGTTAATAGGTACTTTTTCAATCCTTACCCTCTTCCCACCCTCCACCCTCCACCCTCCAGTAGGCCCTTGATGTCTGCTGTTTCCTTCTTTGTGTTCATGTGTACTCAAAGTTTAGCTCCACTTATGAGTGAGAACCTGTGGCATTTGGTTTTATGTTCCTGCCTTAGTTTGCTTAGGATAATGACTTCCAGCTCCATCCATGCTGCTGCAAAGATACAATCTTGTTCTTTTTTATGGCTGTGTAGTATTCCACAATGTATGCATACCATATTTTATTTATCCAGTCTACTATTTATGGGAATTTAGGTTGACTTCATGTTTTTGCTATTGTGAATAGTGCTGACCTATGGAGTGGTACTATGATGATGGGAAAGGCCAAGCAGAAGCCACGATAACTGCCTCTACCTAAAAAAAGTAAGCCAAAAATGATACCACATTCCTGGAAGGATTGAAGAGATTAGTGCCATCATCAAGAATTTGAAATATGTTGGAGTGATGAAACCTATTCAACTCTCCTATTTATCCTGTACTAAAGACAGGTTGATCTTGGAGAATGACAGTGCATTATCATAAGCCTAACAAGGTGGTGGCTCCTATTGCAGCTGCTACATCAGATGTGGTTTTATTGCTTGACCAAATTAATACATCCCCTCATACTGGACATACAGTTAATGATCAGGCAAATGTTGTATTCTCCATCCCCTTTAATAAATAAAATAAAGCCCATCAGAAGCAGTTCACTTTTAGCTAGTAAGGCCACCAATACACCTCCACAGTCCTACATTAGGGGTATATCAACTCTCTAGCCCTATGTTCATAATTTAGTTTGCAGAGATCTTGATCACCTTTCCCTTTCATAAGATATCACGCTGGTCTATTTCTTGATGAAATTATGCTGATTGAACCTAGTGAGTAAGAATTAGCAACTACTCTAGACTTATTGGTAAGACATTTGCCTATCAGAAGGTGGAAAATAAATTTGATAAATATTGAGGGGTCTTCTATCAGTGAAATTTCCTGAAGACCACTGGTGTCGGCCATGTCAAGGTATGCCTTCTAAGATGAAGAACAAATTGTTGCCTTGACCCCTTTACAACTGATATGGTTTGGATGTCTTAGCCAAATCTCATGTTGAAATGTAATCCCCAGTGTTAGAGGTGGAGCCTGATAGGAGGTGATTGGATCATGAATGCAGTTTCTCATACCATCCCTGTCCTCACAATAGTGAGTGAGTTCTTGTGACCATTTAAAAGTGTGTAGCAACTCTTGCTTGTCTTTCTTACTCCTGTGCTGGCCATGTGATATGCCTGCTCCCCCTTTACCTTCTGCCATGATTGTAAGTTTCCTGAGGCCTCCCCATAAGCAGAGCAGATGCCAGTATCATGCTTCCTGTGTAGCCTGCAGAACGATGAGCCAATTAAACCTCTTTTCTTTATAAATTACCCAGTCTCAGGTATTTCTTTATAGCAATACAAGAATGATCTAATACAACAACCAAAAAAAAAGCAGCACCAAGCCTAGTGGGCTTCTTGAGATTTTGGAGGCAACACATTCCTCATTTCGGTGCACTACTCCATTCCCATTTACTGAATAACTCAAAAACTTCTAGTTTTGAGTGAGGCCCAGAACAAGAGAAGACTCTGCAGCAGATCCATGTAAGCTGCTCTGCCACTTGGGCCATATGATCCAGCATATCCAATAGTGCTTGAAGTGTAAGTGGCAAACAGGGAAGCCGTTTGTGGCCTTTGGTATACCGCTACAGATGAATCAAAGAGCAGGCCCTTGGGATTTTGGAGCAGTCTTGCCATCCCCTGCAGATAACTACTCTCCTTTTGAGAAACAATTCTTAGCCTGCTATTGTGTCTTAGCAGAAACTGAACATTTAACCACAGCTCACTAACTCAGCATGCAACCTGAGCTTCCCATTGTGAAATGGATGTTAACTGACAAACCAACCCATAAAGTTGGGCATGCACAGCAGCACTCCATTATCAAATGGAAGTATTATAGATAGGATCAGGCCTGAGCAGGCCCGGAAGGCATAAGTAAGTTACATGAAGAAGTGGCTCAAATGCCCATGATCCCTTATTACTCTACCTCGACTCTCCCAGCTTGCACCTATCGCCTCATAGAAAGTTTCCTACCATCAGTTGACAGAAAGAGAAAACTCGGGCATGATTTTATTCTTACTGGAATAGACACTTACTCTGCATATAAATTTTCAATTCCTGCACACAATGTTTCTTCCAAAACTGTCATCCATGGAGTTACAGAATACCTTATCTACTGTCCCAGTATTTTACACAGTATTGCTTCTGATCAAGGAACTCACTTACCAGTAAATAAAGTGCATCAATTGGCCCATGCTTATGGAATTCCATGGACTTAGCCATGTTTCCCACTATGCTAAAACAGCTAGCCTGGTGGGACAATGGAATGGCCTTTTGAAGACTCAGCTGCATTGCTAGCTAGGTGGCAACACCTTGCAAGGCTGAGGCAAGGTTCTCTAGGAGGTTCTGAGTCAGCACCTAGTACATGGTGCTGTTTCTCCTGTAGTCAGGATTCATGGATCCAGGAATCAAGAAATAGAAATAGGAGCAGCACCACTCACTATAATTCCTGGTGACCCACTAGCATAATGTTTGCCTCCTGTTCTCATGACCTTGTGCTCTGCTTGCCTATAAGTCTTAGTTCTAGAGTGTTCTAGAGGGAAGAAACACAACAATGATTTCATTGAACTGGAAGTTAATACTAACACAACTACTTTAGTGTCCTCATGTCTCTAAATCAAAGGGCAAAGAAGAGAGTTACTGTGCTGGCTGGGGTGATTCATCCAGGCTACCAAGATGAAAATGGACTGCTATTTTACAAAGGATATAGAGAAGAGCATGTCTGAAAAAAAGAGATCCCTTAGATGCCTCTTACCATACCCTGTGATTAAGGTCAATAAAAAACTACATCTCAGTTCAGACACGGCTACTAATGACCCAGATTCTTCAAGAATGAAAGTTTGGGTTACCCCACCAGGTAAAAAACCATGCCAGCTTAGGTGCCTGCTGAAAGCAAAGGCAATACAAAAGGAGTAGTGAAAGAAGTTTGTTATAAATACCAGCTATGCTCAGAGGATCAGTTATGAAAGAAGGACTCTAACTGTCACGAGTATTTCTTCCTTATTTTGTTATGAATATGTTTGTGTGTGTGTATACATAGCAAATGTCTTTGTTTTCTTCACTTTCTTAGCCCATTACAATGTAACATAAGAAGTATTGACTTTGTATTTAAGATAAGTTTATTTAAGTACTTAAGTATTGGTAACTTTATATCATAGTATTTACCTTATGGAATGCCAAGGAAAAGGGTAAACACCACCCAAGAACTTTGTATCCTCTTCTGAGGAGAGGGTTAGTGTGTTTTTGCTTGTACTCAAGACAGGTGTATCATATTAGGTTGAATTATGACATTTTTATTGTCTTTATTTGGAGATTAAGGATAGTTTAAAGAGATGCATATGGGTGCCAGATTGATAAGGAGTAGAATTGTGAGAGCTAATTTTATGTGTCAATTTGGCTGGGCCATAGTGCCCAGATGTCTGGTCAAACATTATTCTGGATGTTTTGGTGAGGGTCTTCCAGATGAAATTAACATTTAAATCAGTGGATTTTGAGTAAAGTATATCGCCCTCCGTAATGTGGGTGGGCCTCATCCGATAAGTTGAAGGCTTACATAGAACAAAGGACTATCTATCTATCTATCTATCTATCTATCTATCTATCTATCTGTATCTCTATCTAGCTACCCCTACACATATCCTATTGGTTATGTTTCTCTGGAGAATGCTGGCTAATGAAAATGGTTAACAAAAAGTCAGGACAATGGTTACCAGTGGAGGAAAGTATGATTGAGAGAGACACACAGGAGGAGTCTAAGGTATTGATAATATTCTATTTTTTTACCTAAGTAGAGGTGCATGCATTTTATATTACCACTATATATGTTTAACACATTTTTCTGTATGAATACTGAATATCACACATGTAGACACACACAAATTTAACTCGAAAAGTATAAAATAGAAGACTATCAGCTGAAGATGAAAATAGCAAACTAAAACATACATGTAAAAAATTATACAAAATATATGAGAAGATAAAGAAATGTAAAATATGAGAGATTAAGAAACAGAAACAAGAGAATGAGAAAGTCAAGCTCAAATAAGAATTATGAGAGGATAACATATAATTAGTGGCCAAGGGGAAATATTTAAGAAGATCATGGCTGATAGATGGTCATATAAAATAAGCAGAAGCAGCAGGATTAATAAAATAAATACAAATAAACATATGTGTAGAATAACATCTTATTCCATTTGGTGCTGCAATGACAGAATCCTTAAGACTGAATAATTTATAAAAAACAGAAATATATGTCTCACAGTTCTGGAGACTGAGAAGGTGATGATTATGGCACTAGCATCTGGTGGGCCTTCTTGCTTGTTACCACGTGGCAGAAGGCAGAAAGGCAAAAGAGAATTGTATCAGTCCTTTCTTATGCTGCTAATAAAGACATACCTAACACTAAATAATTTATAAAGGAAAGAGGTTTAATTGACTCACAGTTTAACATAGCTGAAGAGGCCTCAAGAAACTTACAATCATGGTGGAAGGGGAAGCAAATATGTCCTTCCTCACATGGTGGCAGCAAAGAGAAATGCTGAGCAGAAGGGTGAAAACCCCTTATAAAACCATCAGATCTCATAATAATTCACTCACAATCATGACAAAAGCATAAAGGTAACTGCCCCCATTATTCAATTACCTCCCACTGGGTCCCTCCTATGACACGTGTGGATTACGGGATGAGATTTGGGTCAGGACACAGCCAAACCATATAAAAAATGAACTCACTTCCATAAGCCCTTTTTAAAGCAGCATTAATCCTTTTATGAGGGCAGATCCCTCAGGACTTAAACACTTCCCTCAAGGCCCTACCTCTCAATACCATTGCACGGGGATCAAGTTGCCAACACATAAATTTGGGGGACATATTCAGATCATACCATTCCACCCTGGGCCCTCAAATTTCATTTCCTTCTCACATGCAAAATACGTTTATTCCAACCCAGTAGCCCTAAGTCTTAACTCACTCCAGCACCAACTTTAAAGTTTAAGTCCAGAGTCTCATCTACATCAAATATGTGTGTGAAGTACTTCATACTGAGGCAAAATGCTCTCCAGCTGTGAGCCTATAAAATCAAACAAATTATGTACTTTTAAAATATAATGGTGTCTCAGACGTATGATAGACATTCTCATTTCAAGAAAGAGAAATACAAAAGAAAAGAATAACAAGTTTCAAGTAAGTAAAAATCCCAATAGGGCAAATGACATTGAATCTCAAGGCTTGAGAATAGTCTCTTTGGACTCCATGTTCTGCCTTCTGGCGCACTAGAAGGCTGGAGTTGGGTTTCAAGGCCTCAGACAACCCGTGTGTCAGTCCTCACACATTTAAGTCAAAAGCTTATGGTTTTCTCAGGCTTGTGCTGCATACTGGTAGCTCGGCAGTTCTGGGGTCTTGGGAGGAGCCTTGCTCCCATGGCTGCACTAGGCATTATCCTAGTGAGGACTCTCTGTGGCAGCCCCCACCCCGCATTTCCGCTGGATATTGCTCTAATGGAGGCTCTCTGTGGTCACTCCAATTCTGCAGCAGGTCTCTGCCTGGGCTCCGAGACTGCCTGAGACATCCATTGAAATCTAGCTGGAGGTAGCTATGCCTCCATAGCTCTTGCTCTCTGGGTCAGTGATGAGAGGAGCAGGCTTGAAGATCTCCAAAATGACTTTGGGGCTACTCTCCCATTGTCTTGATGAATAGCGCCTGACTTCCTTCTATTCACACTAATTTCCTTATCAAACAGTTACTTGGCCATACCCTTGGCTGCTTTTCCTAAAGATGCTTTTTTGTTCTTGACATGGCCAGGCTAAGAATTTTCCAAATCTTTACATTCTGCTTCCCTTTTGATTATAAATTCTATCTTTAAATACTTTCTCTCTTTTCACCTTTTACTATAAGCAATTAAAAGACGCCACACAGCACCCTACATTTTTTGCTACCTGGAGATTTCTTCTGCCAGATATCCTGGTTCATTGTTAAGTTCTGTCTTTCACAAAGTCTTAGGACAAAAACACAATTCAGTCAAGTTCTTTGCCTCTTCATAGCAAGGATCACCTTTTCTCTAGTTTGTACTACCTTGTTCCTCCTTTCAATCTGAGACCTCATTGAAATGGCCTTTACTGTCCATATTTCTACATTCTCTTCATAATCACTTAAGTAATCTCTAAGAAGATACAGGTTTTGGCTTACAGCTCTTCTCTTCTTTTAAGACTTCACCAGAATTGCCCTTAATGCTCCATTTATGGAAATACAGGCTTCTTCAGCACTCAGTTCAAAACTGTCTCAGCCTCTACTCACTACATAGTTTAAATGCTGCTTCCACATTTTTAGATATTGGTTGTAACAAAGCCTCACTATTCTGATTCCAATTTTTGTCTTAGTTTGTTTGGTGTTGCTATAACAGAATACTTGAGACTGGGTAATCTATAAAGAACAAAAATTCATTTCTTACAGTTCTTGAGGCTGGGAAGGTGAGGATCATGGCACCAGCATCTGGTGAGGGCCTTCTTGTGGTGCCCTCACATGAAAGAAGGTGGAAGGCCAAAAGAGAATGAACCCATTCCCACAAGCCCTTTCTATAGCAGCATTAATCCATTCATCAGGGTGAAGCCCTCATCACCTAAACACCTCCCAAAAGGCCCTGCCTCTCGACACTGCTGGGCTGGGGATCAAGTTTCCAATGCATCATCTGGAAGACACAATCAGACTAAATATCAAATACTGAAAGAAACTATAGTAAATGAAGTCTTAAAGGAAACAAAAAGAAAACAATTAGATGTACAAGAGATTTTACATCAGAAAGAGATTCTATACCTAGAAAATCCTAAAGACTGCCAAAAAGCTCCTAGAATTTATTAACAACTTTAGTAAAGTTTCAAGGTACAAAATCTATGTAAAAAAATTAGTAGCATTTCTATACACAAACAACATCCAGGCTGAGAGTGAAATCAAGAATACAATTCCACTTACAATAGCCACAAAGAAAATGAAATACCTAGAAATACAGCCTGGTATTTACCAAGGAGGTAAAATATCTCTACAAGGAGAACTGCAAAACATTGCTGAAAGAAATCAGAGACTACACAAATAAATGGAAAAATATTCTATGCTCATATATTAGAAGAATCAATATTGTAAAAATGGCCATACTGCCCAAAGCAATTTACCGACTCAGTGCTATTCCTATCAAACTACCAATGTCATTCATCACAGAATTAGAAAAAAAATATCTAAAATTCATATGCAACCAAAAAAGACCCTGAATAGCCAAAGCAATCCTAAACAAAGAGAACAAAGACATCATACTACCTGACTTCAAACTATGGTTTAAAGCCACAGTAAACAAAACAGGTTAGTACTGGTACAAAAACAGACAAATAGACTGATGGAACAGAATGCAAAACTCAGAAATAAAGTCACACACCTACAACTATCTAATCTTCAACAAGGCCAACAAAAACAAACTATGGGGAAAGGACTCCTTTTTCAATAAATGTTGCTGGGACAACTGGCTAACCATATGCAGACGACTGAAGCTGGACAATTTCCTTTCACCATATACAAAAATTAACTCAAAATGGATTAAAGCTTTAAATGTAGGACTTCAAACTATAAAAATAATAGAAGAAAACCTAGGAAATACTCTTCTCAACATTGGCCTTGGCAAGGAATTTTTGGCTGAGTCCCCAAAAGCAATTGCAACGAAAACAAAAATAGACAAGAAATAGACAAGTGGGACTTAATTTAACTAAAGAGCTTCTATACAGTGAAAGAAACTATCAACAGAATAAACAGACAACCTACAGAATGGAAGAAGATTTTCACAAACTATGCATCCAACAGAATCCTCATATCCAGAATCTACAGAGAACTTAAACAAATCAATGGGCAAAAACCAAATAATACCATTAAAAAATGGGCAAAGTACATGAACAGACACTTCTCAAAAGAAGGCATACAAATGACCAACAAACAAAGAAATGCCCAGCATCACTAATTATCAGAGAAATGCAAATAAAAGTCTCAATGAGATAACATCTCACACCAGTCAGAATGGCCATTATTAAAAAGTCAAAAACAACAGATGTTGGTAAGGCTACGGAGAAAAGGGGAATGCTTATACACTGCTGGTGGGAATGTAAATGCTATTCACAATAGCACAGACATGGAATTAGCCCTGGTACCCATCAATAGTAGACTAGATAAAGAAAATGTGGTACATAGAATACTACACAGTCATGAAAAGAATGAAATCATGTCATCTTTAGCAATATGGATGGAATTGGAAGGCATAATCCTAAGCAAATTAACACAGGAAAAGAAAACCAAATACTGCATGTTCTCACTTATAAGTTGGAGCTAAGCATTGAGCACACATGGACACAAATATTAGAACAGTAGACACTGCAGACTACCAGAGGATGAAGGTAGGGTGGGTTAAAAAACTACCTATCTGGAACTATGCTCACTACCAGGGTGACAGGATCCATACGGCGAACCTCAGCATGACACAATATTCCCATGTATTAATAACAAATCTGCACATGTACTCCTGTATCTAAAGTAAAACTTAAAATTTTCAAAAAAAGAGACAAAGGAGATATCTACTAAAGTGTGCTAGGAGAAAATAACTGTCAATCTAGAGCTCTATTCCCAGATGAACAATCATTTAAAAGTTGAGAAACAAAACATGTTGATGGAAGGAAAGATTGAGCTTATTCTTTGAGACTCTTACTAAAAGAATCAGAGGAAGATATATTCTGTTTAAAAATAAATTAAACCTCTAATAAGGTAAGCTACCAAAAAATAGCAGTGGGAAAATAAAGTAATACAGATTAGGTAAGTCTAAATTAAAACTAATGGTACAAACAATTAATGTAAAAGATTTAAAAAAAACAAGTTGGAAGTAAAGTACTAGAAAAATATTATATGGATTGTAGGAGAAAAAATAGAAATAATTACTCTAACATTTTTGTATCATTTGGGAGGAGGGTAAATATACTTATTAACTTGAAACTTTGATTAAGTGCATATGCCAAATATTTCAGAGAATCATTGAGGTAGTAGACTGTGCAATTTCCCAAAGTGTAGAGGATGAGAAAAGAAAACTTTATTCAACATGAAACAAGAAAGGAGGAAGGTATAAAGCAACAAAAAGGTGATCATAAGAAGAAAACGTGATAGTAGGAATATATCCAAGCATATCAGTAAGCATATTTCATAATAAACACAAACAGTTTTAACTGACAAACCCACAAACCTATTAGTACATTTTAACATTAGAAACTCTAACTCTTAGAAATTAGAGAGAATGGCACTCAAAAAATTAATATAGACACTACAATTTAGAAATTTGATCTAATGGTTAATATGGTTCATTCTTTTGAAAACTTGCATCCAACAATTAGACATTAAGCTTTTTTTTTCCAAGCACACAAAGAATACTTATAAAACCTGATCATTCACATAGATTATTTTGGAAAAGTATGGCAAGCACTGCCTCTTGCCTGCCCAATGCAGTGTCTGTCTCAATTCCTTATTAGATGAGCCTGGTTTTTCTGTTCAGGAGATAAAAAGCGTTTCCTTGGTCTGTAGCAAGGGATGCCTCTCCCCAACTCCAGAGAGTGACTAATGATCAGCTCCAACTATTTTATACCTACACATTGTTGGCGTATAGGTATGCACATTATTTTTTTTCTTTTCTTTTTCTTTATTTCAAACACCGTCTTGCTCTGTCACCCAGCCTGGAATGCAGTGGCACAATCGTAGCTCGCTGTAGCCTCAAAGTCCTGGGCTGAAGTGATCCTCCTGCCTCAGCCTCCCCAGTCACTGGGACTACAGGTATACACCACCATGCCTGGTTAATTATTATTATTATTATTATTATTATTATTATTTGTAAAAATGAAGTCTCACTATGCTGCCCAGGGTGGTCTCAAACTCCTAAGCTCAAGCGATCCTCTGCCTCAGCCTCCCAAAGTGCTGGGATTACAGTTGTGAGCGACCACACTCAGTTCTGATATTCTTATATTAATCCAACAATGATATTAAAAAAAAAAAACAAAAAACCTCTCTAGTTTTCTATGTGGAGAATCATGTGGTATGCAAATTAGTGTTTTGTTTCTTTTCAGTTCTTATGTATCTTCTTTGTTTCTGATGCACAACTATCCCTATAATACCTACTACCATATGAATCTATATAGATGTACCTACAGATGAACTCATACACTGATAGCAAACATTATTACTTTATTCCTAATTTTCAAGGGAAGATTTTTAATACGTCACCAAGAAGAACAATGTTTATAATAGGTTTTTAGTGGATTGCCTTTAATAGAATAAGGAAGTTTCTTGCTATTCTTGGTCTGCTATGAGTTTTGTCTATTGTCATGAGTGATGATTGAATGCTAATACTTCTTCTCCTGAATCTATTGAAGCAATCATAAGATTTTTTCCTTTAATCTACTATTGTGCTAATTAACATAAATCATTTTAGTATTTCAACTTAGAAATCTACACAAATAATTTGGAAAAATGGGATAAATCCGACTTGGTCAAGATACATTTGTTTATGCATTCATCTATTAATTTCACATTTCGATATGTATGTATATGAACATATATGCATATGTACATAGAATAAACACTCCTGCATTTAATTTATTATTTTTTCAGGATTTAAAAATCTATGTTCATGAGTGAGATTGATTTATAAATTTTCCTGACCCATATTTTGTCTGTTTTTTATACCAAAATCTTATTGAACTCATAAAAATTTAATGTTCTAATCTTCATATGCTCTCTAATTTTTGCACATCGTTTCTCAGATCTGAGAGACATTTATGAAAATCCTGTCAACTTTTCCTTTCAATTTTGCCAACTTTTACTTTATATATTTTAATGCTATGCTATTAGATGTCTAGAATTCAGAATTGTTAGATCTTTCTGTTGAAATACATATTTCAGTATTATGAAGTAATCCCTTTAATCTCTAAACACACTTTGCCTTAAAGTTTATTTTGTCTGAAAATACTATTGATTTATAACTGACACCAGCTTTTTTTATTTAACATTTTTCCATCATATATTTTGCATCCTAAAATCCAGCCTGCCAATCATTGTTAACTGTCGAAATTAGAACATTTGCATTTATTACAATCACTGATGTGATTGAAATTATTTCTACGATTTTATTCTGTATTTTAATTCTTTTAGCTTTTTCCCATTTACCCCCTGCCTTTCTCTTCAAATATTACAATTCCTGCAATTCCCTCTTATAGTTTCCTGATATATGTATGTTAGATCTTTTAGTTTTCTCCATGTTCCTGAACTTCCCTTTCAGAATAGATTGGAGAAGGCACAATGTTGTTAAATTCTTTGTCTTCTAGTGGTGTGTTTTTCATAATTCCTCCAGATCCTATCTTCTTGCAAGCTCAGCCATGCATTTACAAGACTGTTTGTTGTATTTTATCCAATATTTCTAGGCGTTTGAAGTGGGGAGGTTTCCAGGAATAGTTTGCCGTGTTCCCAGGCTGCAAGTTGCATTAACAAGAGATCCACACTCCAGTCTCAGCTTCTTCCCTATAGAGCTATGGAATTATAGTCAAGTCACTTAGCCTCTCTTAGCTTGTTCATCTTCAAGGTTATCAAGCTGAGGAAGGCAACTTGGTGCAGCTCGGAGCTTTTAAAACATATGATCAGATGACTTATCTTCTTTTTTTTTTTTTTTTTTTTTTTCCGAGATGGAGTCTCGCTCTGTCTCCAGGCTGGAGAGCAGTGGCGTGATCTCCGCTCACCGCAACGTTCGGACTCTCTGGTTCAAGTGATTCTCCTACCTCAGCCTCCCGAATAGCTGGGATTACATGCATGCGCCATCACACCCAGCTAATTTTTGTATTTTTAGTAGAAATGGGATTTCACTATGTTGGCCAGGATGGTCTCAATCTCCTGACCTCGTGATCCTCCTGCCGCGGCCTCCCAAAGTGCTGGGATTACAGGCGTGAGTCAACAGATCACTCTGCAGTATAACATTGAATGTCTTCTTTGTTTTGTTTTCCAAGGTTTTATTAAATGCTAAAAATAATCACTCACTCTCTTTTAGGGTCTAGAGGTGACTGCACATTTGGGAGTCACGAAACAGTCTGTTCCTAAAGCTGTGCCAGTTATGTGAATTTGACCAAGTCACTTAAAGCCTGTTTACCTTTACTTCCTTTCCTCTGTTGTAGAAGTTATTGCTTTAAAAAATGCACATAAATAGCACGGGACTAAATCTTGGCAATCTAATCCACTTGTGAAAAGGAAGTGAGGACTTTAAAGGGAAAGAAATTAGGAAGAAAACAGGAGTTCCTATCTTCCTATTATTACTGGCAGCCCCTTCTTTCAATTTCTCTTGTTGAATTTTAGATAAAAGTAAAGGGAAAGAGAGAAAGCATAGCATTTTAGCTCTATCCTTGACCGTGAGTTATTTATGAACAGGAAATATCAAGATTCTAATGATGACAGGAGCACCTTTAGCAATTCTACGGGCAGTGCCAGAACATTGTTGACAAGGTGGGCCCCAGTAGAATCAACCTGAAAGTTGGTTCATCACATTTTAATTTAAAAGGTTGAGGTAGAAGAATGGCCAGGGAGTATCCCTTTCACTCTTGCTCAGAAGAGCTTTGTCTTAATTATTGTGGCCCCATCCTATTCTAAATGATGTCCTTAATAACTGCCCTCCTACTCTCCCGTTGTTTCCCCGTCACATATAAACAGTGACGTGGTCTCAGCTTCAGATTGATCCCATAGGGACCACTGGAGCCTGAGTTGTTCACAGAGTTATTCCACCTTGAGGTGTGGGGGTTGGCTTTAAGAAAACCTGTGTCAGTCACTTGTTGGCTGAAAACTGCTCCTAGGGGCAGGGGCTATAACCTCCCATGATGTGGCCGCTGGTTGAGGCACTTCCCGAGAGAAGAGGGTAGCTGCAAGCTTTTATGAAGTACTCACCATACCTAGAGTGAAAGTAGGGAAATGTAATAGCTAGTAATGAAGACCTAGATGGGGACATACAGAATTCACTACAGTTTCCAGATTTCATATTCCTGTTGCAAACTCTGCACATTAACCCTGCCTACATGGTGATCGTGGCCCTGTGAATGATATTAAAAGGAACAATTAGGCTTTCCAACTCTCACATTTGCCCTAGAGTTTACTGTCAACTTTTCAATAGTCAATACCCTCTTCATAGTATGGAAACATGTATTTAGTTTAGAGGGAGTGGATAGAGAAAAGAGGAAGATGTTTCTAAAGACTCCTCCGAAAACTGCAGTTCCACCACAGTATTTTGCTGTCTTATTTTAAAGATCATATTTTGAAACTCATAGAAAAAGCCAGAGCTAATTTCAGACTTTTTATGCCTTGCAAAGGGCAGAATAGACTTTATAAGGAAAATATATTTGTATCAGGATACACACATACCCAATAAATTCCATTAAGTACAGCAAGTTCTTTATCATCTGGGTTTAACCATATTGAACTGCCATATAAATTTAATATGCAACAAGGTAATGTTTGGCACAAATACTAGAGCCATAAAATATGTCTCACAGTACTAAGACTAGATGGAGGGCAAATTTTAGCTACGGTCTTAGGAAACTAACAACAGACATATATGTATCAAAGTGGCAGAACCTCAGGTCCTGGTGAAAAATAATAATTCTTCTTAGCAGTATAGATGGGAGAGATTCAGATTTAAAAACACTTTTAAGTGCAATTTGGGGGAAATGTCTTTTTGCTTGTTGCTGGTGGGTGCACTAATTTTCTCTAAGATATTTGAGGAACTGGTAACTTTAGTTACCTGTGAGAGGCAAACTTTGTAGCTGAGAAAAGTGAGCGATACAAAGACTTTCAGGTTTTACTTCCTTTTTTTGCTTTTTGAATTTTATTATTTATTTATTTATTTTAGCAGAGATGGTGTTTCACCATGTTGCCCATGCTGATCTTGAACTCATAAGCTCAAACTGATCCACCTGCTTTGGCCTCTCAAAGTGCTGGGATTACAGGTCTGAGCCACTGCACCCAGCCTGCTTTTTGAATTTTAAAGCATGAGAATATATTATATATTCAATAGTTATTAAGAGTGTTTTGTCCTTTTGAAATTCCCCGAAATATCTGAATTTTGGTTTGGGGGAGCATGCTTAAAATGGTTTATATTGATATAGGTAGAGGTTAGAATAAACTTTTATTGAGGAATAAGTATAATGATATCATAATTCATCAGTTGCTTATTACGAGGTAGCTATTTTGCTAAGAGATTTAGGTACTTTCTTATTTAATCCTCACCACAAAATATGGAGTATGCGATTATATTTTCCCCATTGTACAAATAAGGGAATTAATGTTTATTATGGATAAGCAGCTTATCTGAGATTTCATAGCTAGTAAGTAACTGGTATAAAATGTTGCTGTCACCCAGACAGTCTAACTATAGGTCCTTGAAGCTATAACCAAGTTAGTAGACATCTCCCAATCTGAGCCCTCCTTTTCTGTAACATTCATTGGTAGGTGCAGGTTAATGGTTTGGTAATCATTCATTGCCCTTCAAATTAGCGTTAGGAAAATTTACCTCGGTCACTGTCATCCTGCTTGGATGGGTCTAAATCAGACCTGAAGAAAGCAGGCCTCCACGGGATGCTCGCCAGGTTAACCCTTAGGCCAAAGGATGGACTAATGTTGAGGGACAGTCTCTTTCCCCATGTTTTGTGTTTCATGTTTTCCCTAAAATTATTTGATCTACAGACCTCAAAGTCACCTAACCAATAACATTTAAGTTTCTAACAGGCCATTGGGATTGGTAAGACAGATGGTATAAAACAATCATCACTTGACCTAGTTCATCTCATTATTGTATATTTTGCATAAACTCATCTATGTTATGACTTATTTTCATAAATATATGAATATATAGCCAGTGTTAAGCCATGGTAATTACAAGCGAACAAGGGACTTCCCA
Source organism: Homo sapiens (assembly GCF_000001405.40). Taxonomy (NCBI): domain Eukaryota; kingdom Metazoa; phylum Chordata; class Mammalia; order Primates; family Hominidae; genus Homo; species Homo sapiens. The sequence goes on from NC_000005.10 coordinate 40,377,910, forward strand.
GACAGAATTGACCTGTGTGTTATTCTGTTCTAATTCTGAAGTCAGGAATTACTCTACCAGACCCATCCATTGCTAAAAACATTCTGGTCTTGTGTCTTGCCCATTCCAGGTGAGAAGAACCTGCTTAGTCCTACCTGTGGATTCAACCACAGACCCTGGCCACAAACATAGTGTCCTGGAAGAAAATTTATTGAACCTGTTTATCTCATTTCCTCCTGAAATATGTTAGACATAGTAATAAGAAGACCTTTGGAGTATTCTAGGCAAAGTATGGTAGAATCGAATATAGGACAATGGCAATAGGAAGGAAGAAGGAAGAGGATGAATTGTGGATGTTTCAAGGGTGAAATCTATTGGACCTGAATAATGATAGGATGAGAAGCCTGAGTAAGGAAAAAAAAAAAAGTCAAAAAAAAAAAAAAAAAAAAGACTACCAGATTTCCCAGTAAGGTAATGAAGGAGATAATTTGTGCCATCTATGGAGGCACTGAGAAAGAAGCTGAGGTTTTTGGCTGTTGATTTTGGCTTTCATTTGGTTTCACTTATGTTTGGTTGCTTTTTATTTTGGTGAGTTATTATGTTGGTGCAAAAGTGAGTGCATTAAAGGTAATGGCAAAAACCACAATTACATTTGTACCAACCTAATAGACGGTGGTTAGAGTGAGATGACTGACTTCATTTCAACTACAACAAGCACTAACTAACCAACTTCTCATTTCCTTCTCTTTGGTTTCTAGTCAACACTTTGTGGTTCTCTAAGGAACACAAAGAGAGACCCCAAAGCACTCACAAGACAGAAGTCCGGAAGTTCCTACATCCAAAAAGTTTCCTAAGGCCAGATGTTACCAACTGGCAACCATCAGACTGACTCTAGCCTTCACAGCATTAATACCTTTCATATACCTTTGAAATTATTTGCCAAGGTTTAAAAGTAGAGACGTTTTATTTTAAAATATAGATTTTTATTTTCTATGTTTGAGAAATAAGCACAGATTCCCACCAGGCATTATCAGTAGGAGCTGACCCTTCACACAGGGAATCTGCCCTTCGTTTTACCACTGCCTCCTCCATTCAGTTTCGTTTTTGAATAGTGCCTGCCTGCCTTCCCTAGGCATGCTATTTTAAATATCCGGCCTTAGGCCAAAAGCCTCAATAAGCTTCATAACCCCTTCCCCACTCTTTAAATGTTATCCCTCAGCTCCCCCTAGCCCAGGTTTGTGATTACCCCTAAGGACCATCCAAAGTAAAGGAGGAGAAATATTTTCTTCTTAATTACAGGGTGGACATTATTTTTTCTCTAACCACTGGATTCTGGGTAGGTGCCAATACTGTTTCACATTTCCATGGTGGCCCCAAATTCTCTCTCCACCTGTAGCCATTATTAGGCCTTTAGTTAACACTGTTTACCCCAAAGGAGACTTAATAGAGAGAGAAAATATAAAATGGGTACAGCTCAGGTGTTACATGCCTGGGGTCTCTGGATTTGGGCTAAACCTCATCTGATGAGTCCTCTTATAACCTGCTGTTTCCTGATGTTGAATTCCTAGACACCTAGGCCTAATCTGCCAGGTTAGACACCTAAATCCAACCATCCATAACAAACACTTGATTCCAAACACAGTATTTGCTCTTGGTAACTGTTACCTCTCAGTGCCCTCCTGCCCCATTCAAAACACCGGACATTAAGCCAACAGCATATCTCAGTGAGTCTAGCAGAAAATATGGGTATGAGTTGTAGCAGAATTATATATGGTTGAGGGAGAGCTTCCAGTGAAAAACTCTGTTATAGTTAGTTCTTCTTACTGCTGGAAATCTGCCTAATCTCTTGGGTGGCTTGAGGCAGAAAACATATTCAGAATCACTGGTGTATATGATTCTTGTTTTAGTCCATTCTTGCTGCTATAACAAAATACCACAGACTGAGTAATTTATGAACAGTAGAAATTTATTTCTCGCAGTTCTGGAGGGTGGGAAGTCCAAGATCACAGCACCAGCAGATTTTGTGTCTGGTGAGGGCCTTTTCCATAAATGGCATTTTCTCATGGTGTTCTCAAATGGTAGAGAAAACCAAAGGTACAATTGCTGTGTTCTCACCTGGCAGATGGGATGGAAGGGCAGACTGCTCTTTGAAGCCTCTTTTATAAGGATAGTAATCTCATTCATGAGAGTGGAGTGCTCATGGCCTAATCACATCCCAAAGATTCTACCTCTTAATACCATTACCTTGAGATTTAAGGTCTAACATGAATCTTGGAGGGACACAAACCCTCCATAGCAGTCCCCTTAAGTAACTCTACCTTCTCCCAATATCCACTTACTTGTGGACTAAAGCCGTCCCTCATGAGTTTCCTATCATGCCATTACTTCCTGGTTCCTAGGTCCAATACCTACTTCTTTCTCACTGGTAGCCCTGGAAAGCTGGCCACTACCCTGTCTTCTAATCACATTTTGACTTCAAGTGTGTGAGGATGCATAGCCAGTTATAAATCTGAGAAAACTACAATTGGATCTGAAAAACTAATTTTATCATGTGAAAGTTTTCTTATTCATTCATTCAACATGAATTGAGCATCTAATATATGCCATGTGATAGAAATGCAGAAATGAGTAAGACATAATAATTGACCTAGTAGAACTGGCAAAATGTATGAATTCTGTAATTCAACATGGTAAATGCTCTAATAGAGGCAGATCACAGCTTTATGGTATATTAGAAGGCATAAACAAGGGGCATCTGACTTATAGAACAGTGTTCCTCAAACTTTATCATGCTTCTGAATCACAAAAAATCTTGTTAAAATGAAGACGCTGGTCTTGAGCAGGGCTGAGAACCTGCATTTCTAACAAGCTCCCAGGTTATGTCAATGGTGCTGATCCGTGGACCAGTCTTGTAACAAATTCTAGTGACTTGAAAATTAGCATGAAGAATGTTAGAATTGGGCTCCCTCTCTGGTGAAATTAACAGTGTTTGAGACATTTGGAATAACTAAATATTTTAGAAACAGTCTCCACCTTTGTCTTCATAAGAAACCACTGAGACCTATACCCTGAGTTCCTTAGGGAAAGCACTGACTTTAGTCACTAATGAGTTGGTGTCCAGCCAATAGTTTAGGACGGCACAAGAGCCAACCTCTGAATGTCACCATGTGTGCTTCGGGTGAATATTTCTTCTGTGTTGTTAAAGAACCTCCAATGATAGTTCACTTGAACTTCGTCAGACTTACAGACTCATTTGGTGCCTGCTCCTCTAATAAATGTCCATATGTATAATAGACCATTATCTGAAATATGCTGTCATTACAACCTGGGCTTGCAGTTATGGGGAGTGGCTAATCCTCAACGACTCACTCTTTGATTGCTCCTGTTTTCAACTAAAACCTGAAGAGTTGTTGGCTAAGTTTGGTCAGTTAACAATATCATATCTGTAAAATCAAGGTAAAAATGCTCACCCTGCCTACTTTACACAACAAATTGAGATGAGATGTGCTTTGAAAACTTGAAATATAATGAAAGTACTAGCTGTAATTAAAAGAACGTAGATGCTTTTCCTACAGTATCTAGTTAAGATAAAAGTTTCTGAATTTGTGATTATAAGAATAGTCTAAGGTTCCCATTAAAAAATACATACTCTTGGGTCTTATCATTGGAAATTTTGGTTTAGTAGTCTGGGGGAACTATATATGTACGTACAATATATGTAATAAGCACCCCTAAATGATCCTTGTAATTGTGTCACCTGCATTTTACAGATATGATGTTGTTAACCGATCTAACTCCACCAACAACTCCTCGGGTTTTGACCAAAAACAGGCGCACTCAAAGAGTGAATGAAATAGTGAGAAGTTAAGAAATTCTGCATTGAACAATGGAATTTAGTGCACACAAGAGAACTCTACCTCCCATCACCAGTTTAATTATGCCAGATAGTACGTCTATACCATTACCATTACTACAAATGACTCATGGCAAATCCTTCCCACTCACTTAGCTCCTTTCCTCCTGAGAGTTTGTATAAAACATTAGAGACTACGTTGACAGTATGCATAATACAACCTACAAAAATATGTGAGAAGATAAAATTTGAGACTTCCAATATAATAACTTTTTTTCTTAATCATTTTATAATCAAGAAATTGCCCTTGCCTGGAAGTTATATCATTTGAACTTTTATCCCCAAGATCTTCAAAAAACAATGAGTCACTTAAAGATGTCATCTGGTAACTATTTCATTCTAAAGCTGTGCTATATTATGTTCCTTAAAGGTGTGGCCACCAGAAGAACATTACTTTATGATGAATAAATATCCTCTGTTACACTTATGTTTATGTAAAGTATCTATGACTAAAACAAACTTACAAGGTCATCTATGTACCAAATTATAACTGCCACCTAAAGACTCACAGGTGGAGAGTACACATGGATTACTTAAGTAAATTTCTTACCTGAGAGTCACAACTGGCTGGATGAATCCTCTTTTACCTCCTTCAGAGAAACAGACCTATGACTCTAACTAGACAAAATTTCAGACTGAATCTCTTAGAGAATGCAATCAAGTCTATTGATTCAATTATAAAGTGCTACTTTGGTTACAGGGTGACAAACTTCCAGATATTATTATCCCTAAAGGTTATATAGGCTGAAAATCTCAGTCGATTTAAGATAAATCTGGGCTGAAAGATCATAAATGGGGAAATGTAGGACATTCCAGATACAGCCTTTACTTGAAGGTTGACAGAAGGAGGATAAACAGATGCCTGCAGGATGATCCATGGTGACACTGTCACAGGTAAACTGAAGAGACTGTGTCCAAGTCAATCAGTATGTGTGGAGGATTTGTTGCTATTTGTTCTTCTCATTTTTCCAATGTGATCGAAGTTCCTTAGGTTTAGCCCAATAAACATCTCCCTCACTACTAGTGACCACAGCAAAAAAAAAAAAAAAATGTGTGTAACAAAATATGCACTATAGAGGATCAAACTGTTTTACAAAATCTTCAAAAACCTAAATGTTTTCTTAGCAAATGATGGCATGTCCTTCAAACACTAGAACACTATATTGTTTATTTTGCTTTCAGGCTGATTATAAGGTAAATTCAACTCAGAGAGACTTGATCTTCTTCCTAATTTACCTGCTTCAACAAGAAACCATGAGTGTTCATTATCAACCATATTTTGAAAATTGAATAATAAATAATGGTAACTACTTTATTAATAAAACAAATATGTTTTTAATTAAGTGACTGTGGCTGCCAGGCTCCAGAAAGTTAAAATGCCATCAATAGATAGGCAGTGAAATTCTGAAAGCAGTTAAATTGCAGAGTACTTGAGAACTGGTAATTTTAGATGAAAGACAGCTAAGACACAAATTTAAAAGCCTATCCATTGTTCCTTTTTTAAAATGATATGAAGAGATATTGTACATCACAACTGCTATGGACTGAATATTTGTGTCCTCCCAAAATTCATATTAAAGCCTATATCCCCAATGTGATGGTATTGGGAGGTTGGACTTTTGGGAACTTACTAGGTCATGATGGTGGAACCATCCCCTAATCTCATTCATCCTCCACCATGAATGAGATTAGTGCCTCTATAATAAGAGGCAAACAAGAGATCATCTCTCTCTGCCATGTTAAGATATAACAAAAAAACAGCTGTCTGCAAACTAGGAAGAGTGCACTCACCAGATACCAGATCTACCAGTGCTCTGATCTTAGACTTCCCAGCCTTCAAATTGCATAGTATTTTGTTTAGTCTATGGTATTTTGTTGTAGCAGCCTGAGCTGATTAAGACAATTTTCTTCATAGATCATTTTCTTGGGAATGGTGGTAAGATGCTCATAAATGCTTAAAACTACACATAACAATCACACAGCTAGAAGAGATCCCAGAAAATCTTTCAAAGAAAATTCAGAACCAAAGTTCTGGCTCTCACTTTATCTCCAGCCTTAAATGAGCTGGAGAGTCAGTTATGTAACTAAATGTCTCATGCCTCAGATTCCTCATGCATTCATTGGGAAGAATGCCTGTGCAATGTGTCTTTAGGGTTACCATAGAGATGAATGAGGTAATGTATAGAAGAAGCACAATCCCAAATAATATTTCCCTTACCATAACTTTTCTGCTAAATAACATCTAAAATTTTAGCCCTTGTTTAATTTAGCCTCATATTTCTCGTCTCTTGCCCTTTGTAACTACTGTGCCAAACTTTCCACTTTATGATATACAGTAAGTCCACTTAATGCTGTCGATAGGTTCTTGGAAACTGTGACTTAAAGTGAAATGACATACAACAGGTCTTTGAATAATATCATTTCTTTCAACATCCTTGATAAGAATAAAACATTGGTTTCATTCTATGTTGTTTTGTTTCAAGTCACAGTTTCCAAGAACCTATCAACAACATTAAGTGAGGACTTACTGTATAGGGTTTCCTTTATTTTCATTTTCTATTTTGCCAACATAACCACCAGCCTTTGCTTTAGTACAGTACCTACTCTTGAAGCTACCCCATCAGTGTTCACTGATTAAATATGAGGAGAAGGGAGAGGTAGGCTGCTGCTCAGGGACTTTTCACACTAAGACAAGAAACCAGAGCAAAGGTGATTCCCCCTTGCGTGGCTAAACTATGGTTGCTGAAGCAAAAGGCATTGGAGCAGAAATATTTCCCTTCTAATCACTAGTAATGCCTCAGGCAATAATGGATGCTTCATAAGCAAAGGAATTCCCACTAAACCATCAGGAAGTCTAGTGTAATAGCCTATTTCCAACCTGCCAGATTCATTGAGTGAATTGGAGCAAATCTCATCTATACTTCTCACTTTCTGATATAATTTTATAGAGACTAAATAGTAATGTTCACCATAATGTTGGATGAGCCTCACTTGTGAAGCATTCACTCAGTATATACCTGGCATAATCTCCTCAGATTGGTACTTTTTCAGATTTAAGAGGGAAATAGCTTGAAATTGAGAACTAATAGCAAATTACATGCCCTTAAGATGATACACCCTTCAATGACAAAACACTGTAGCACACCTCCAGGTCTGAAGTTAACAAAGAGGGCTGTCACTTCATTCAGCTGAATCCCTCCTGCCCTCCCCCTGCATACACCCCAGGCAACCTTTGCCCTACTACAATCTAGCTCATTAATTTGGTCAATGCAATTGTTTCTCATTTAAATCTTCCTGTAAAACATAGAATAGTCACTTCACTATTACATTGTCCCCAATTTTTTCAAAAGCTTGCCGTGAAGGGAAGGAAGCTAAGTAAGAAAAAGGTCAATGAAGCCAGTTGCAAAGAAGATTATGAAATGTTGCTCATTTCTGCTTTTTTTTTTCTTTTGAACCTCTGAATTACTTCATCTTTCCATCTGTCTACAAAGTTGTGGGTGCACATTAAGATATACAGACAGAATTCACAAACCCTTTGGTAAATTCACTCTTAGCACTAAATATCAACGGAGGAGAAAAAAAAAACGTACTATGTTTCCCAAAAGAAGTATGGGGAGACTATTTTCTATGATTAAAAGCATAAGAAAAAAAATAAAACTGATCCAAGAGCCCAGAGACTATTTTTATATGTGAAAAATATATACTTTAGTCAGGATTTGTAACTTCAGTAACTCCCTTTGGAAACCAAATTTCCACCCTCTCACAGTGTTTGGTTATTTAGGACTGAGTCAATTTGAGCATGATGAGTTTGGAATGCCAGCTGGCTGCAGAAGTGTGAAGAAACCTGTGTGGTCACCAACACTTTAAACATCACTCACAGTTCTGAAGTAGGGCTATCCCAGGAGCACTTCCTGGATGCTGGTGATCCACAAACACCAGACTATTTCCACTCCTCAAAAGGAAAAAGAATGGGGCCCTACCTTGCCAGGAAGAGGAATCTGGCAAGCAGGCTGAGAACAAGCACCACACAAGGCAATTTTTGCCAAGTGAGTCACCCATACCCCCTGGGTACAGGTGAAGCTCAAGGAAAGGACCATTCAAACTTCCAGCCTGCAGGAGCTGCAAAATCAGCTCCTGAACTCCAGTATTCAACTCATCTAGAAACACATTTTTATTCAAATCTTTAAAGCCAAAGAAGGTATCTAACCATTGTCCCAGCCTTCTCTTCTTTTATAGTATCACTAATTCCATAGTTATGTAAGTGCCTTTTATGTGAATGCACTGTACTAGACCCTTGATAGAGAATGGTTAGCAGAAAAATTAAAAAAGCAACCAAGATTCTACATTCTTGATTCTCATGGGAAAAATAGAGAAGAACTGAGAAAAGTCCTAAGAAGAAAACACTAAGATAGACACTAACAGGGAAAGTTTTACTCAAGGTGGTCTTATGTTCTAATTTTAATGTGATCACTTGGGGATCCTGTTTTAAAAAAAAAAAAGAAACATAGATTCCAGTACTAAATGCAGATTTGATATGTCTTGGGGAGAGTCTGGGACTATGCATTTTTTACAGGCTCCCAGCTGCTGCTGCTGTTGCTGCTCCACAAACCACATTTTTTAATAACAAGCCTCTAGGGTTTCTCTACATCTGTGGTTGTAGTTCTCTAAGTGTGGTCACCAGACCAGCAGCTACAGTGTTACTGGGAAACTTCTTAGAAATGCAAATTCTCAAGCCTCACCCCAGACCTACCGAATCAAAAGCTGGAGAGGGGGACAGGGCGGCAAGGATGCCAACACTCTATATTTTAACAAACTCTCAAGGTGATTATGACGCCTGCTAAACCCCATTCATCCAATACTAGTCATGAGCCACATGTGGCAATTGAGCACTCAAAATGTGGCTAGTTTGAATTGAAATATGCTGTTAGGATAAATTATATGCTAGATTTCAAGGACTTGAAAAAAGAATATAAAAATCCCTTATTAATATTTTTTATATTAAGTGCATGTGGAAATACTATCTTGGATATAGGAATTAAATTATATTATTAAGATTAGTTTCACCTGTTTCATTTTGCTTATTTTAATGTGGCTACTAAAAATTTTTTAATTACATATGCTTGTAATGGTTAGCATTATGTTTCTACTGGGCAATGTTGCACTAACCTTTGAGAATTATTGCTATAGAGCAATGGTTTTCAAGTGAGGCAATTTTGCCCCCTAGCAGACATTTGGCAATATTCGAAGACATTTTTGATTTTTACAGATGGGGTCAGGGGTTCTGTAAGTAAAGGCCAAGATGCTGCTAAACATCCTATAATGCACAGGACTGCTTGCTACAACAAAAGACTCTCCAGTCCAAAGTGTCAATAGTGTGGAAGTTAAGAAATCTGTTCTATTACACTGATTCTGCTCATTAGAAACACTTTAGGAGAGTTAAAAATACTGATGTTCTTGGTTTATCCCCAGATTAATTAAATTGGAATCTCTGGTACAGAAGCCGTGGCATCGGTTGTTCATTTTGTTTTGTTTTAAGTTCCCTGTGGATTATAAGGTGCTGCCAGGGTCAAGAACCTCTTTTTCTAGTGGAATGGACAGAGGCCCCTCATTCATTCGTCTCTGTACTGCCAACACTCATCACCTCCAGACCTGGGAACTGGCATTTCCAACAAGTGTCCAGTGATGCTGAAGCTGCTGCTCTGGTTTCCTCTGGAGAATTTTACGTCCCGTTCCACATAATGCTACACACTTCAACTCTCCAGATGGCCCAGGGAGCCTCATCAGACCTGGGCAGTTGTTCCCCACTCAGAAGACAGTCCCACCACCAACGATTCCCCTTCCAGACTCAATCAAAATGACTTCCCATTCAGCTGAGGTAGAAGCAGCTCTTTTATCAAGGGCATGGGGGCATGGTTAAAGGAGACATAAACTAAGTCCTTTCTGTTTGCACTCCAAGCAGGAAACAAATTTTTCTGTTACTGGGTCATCTTAGGGAAACCTGTTTCATTCAACTATTTAATTTTTACCAATATATAACTTAAATCACTTTAAAATAAATTTGTACAGATTACAAAATGACATAGATTAAAACAACTTCTCAGCCAGGTGCGGTGGTTCACACCTGTAATCCCAGCACTTTGGGAGGCTGAGGCAGGCAGATCACGAGATCAGGAGTTCGAGACCAGCCTGGCCAACATGATGAAACCCCGTCTCTACTAAAAATACAAAAATTAGCTGGGCATGGTGGTGGGCGCCTGTAAGCCCAGCTACTCAGGAGGCTGAGGCAGGAGAATCATTTGAACCTGTGAGGCAGAGTTTGCAGTGAGATGGCGCCATTGCACTCCAGCCTGGGCAACAGGGCTAGACTCCATCTCAAAAAAAAAAAAAAAAAAAAAAAGTTCTCCCTAAAACTAATCCCCTAAGAAAGTAGGAACTAGAGAAATTTGAACTTTAAATATTTTATGGTCCTTCCTCCTTCATAATTAACTTTTGAAAAAATATATATATACATAAATCTAAAATCGTTGGCCCTACATGATCTCTCTCTCACACACATGCGTGTGCGCACACACGCACACACACACTCTATTATCTTCATGAACACATCACCTACTTTGCTCCAGTCCAGCTGACAGCCTTAGGCCCTTCGCACTAAGTGTCTTTCCCCAACATCATCTGAATGCATAACTTCCCCACTCTTGTCTCCCCTGGTCTTTGCCCAGATGTTATCTGCTCCCTCCCATCTGGGTTCCTCTTTCTCAACCTTCTTCTCTCTGCCTGATTGGTTTTTTCATAGTACTTATTATATTTTTAAAGTACCACCTAATTTACTTATTCTGTTTATTGTTTACTGTCTTTCTCCCATGCTGGAATCCTCGCAATCTTTTTGTTCATTTACATTTCTCAAATGTCTAACAGGACACCTGGCACTCAGTAGGTCTGTAATAAAAAATTTCTGATTGAATAGGTGTTTCTAAAAATCTAAAAATCTTTCCTTTTTCTCACAACTTTATTGCATTTGTTAAATAAATTCTTTGCAAAATTGTTTTTGAAGTTCTTTTAAAGTATCTTTGCTATACACTAAGCAAGTGATTAGAATGCCTATTTGACAGCCATAGCCAAATACACTGAGAATTCAAGCAGCTTCTAGAACTCAAATGATGTCACAGTAGCTGCATTGTGGTGAGTAAGGGGAAATTACTATAGTGAAGGTCAAAGAAATACACAGAGGCCAGGCTGCTGAGGGTCTTGTGAGCCAGGGCAAGGAGTCTGAATTATGTTTTCAGGTAATCAGGAAGCTACTGGAGGTTTTAGGCAGGAGGTAGACGAAGACACTGAGCATCATAGAATATGGTTGATAAGGCCCACTGGATTGCTCTGAGGGTGGCATTGTCCATTTTTTTTTTATTCAATGTCCCTCATCTTCTGATGATGCATAATTTAGCAAGCTTGGTTGTGCTGGATAGTAGAGCACTAGCTAGAAGTGTAGGGTCAAACCAACTTTGGGGTGCTGAATTTCACCCCTGGATCCTCACTAACTAAAGTGTGGTCTGTGGGTTCATAAAACATGCAGAATCCCAGGCCCCATGCTGGACCTACCAAACTGGAATTTGCATTTTAACAAGATCTCCAGGTGATTTGGAGGCACACTAAAGATGAAGCGGCACTGTCTTAAGGCATAGAATATTGATTGAGCCCCTCACTTCTAGCTATGTAAGGACAATACTGGGGAGGGTTGGATGAGAGAATTCTTTCTTTCCAGAGTCTGGGCTACATGTTGACCCGCTCCCTATGGCAGTGACTTCTATCCTTGGCTAAGAGCATAAAAGTGTCCACGGATCAGAAAGCTTGAGAACTACTAAATTAGATCAAAGTAAAATAAAGCCTCTTGCGGGAAACAAGAAACTTTTTGAGTAGGCTTTTGGGTAAGCAGGATGGAATGTACTGACGAGAAGAAAGAAATGACAAGAAGAAAGAAGAGTCAACCTGCTTCTAAAACAAATAAACACACCATGAGAAGGAATGTCAGGGTCTAAATTTGGATCTCAATGTCCTCTTCATTGTGACGTTTTCTTTGTCATACATAACTGACTTGCTAAAACCAGGCACTCTCCCCCACTTAGGGCCCTGCTGTTCTCTCTGCCCCAAATGCTCTTCTACCAGGTAGCCATATAATTAATTCCCTTTCCTCCTTCAAGATTTTTATCAAGATTTACCATCCCAATGATGCCCACCTGAACACTCAACTGAAAATTATAATCCACCTCACTGCATTCACCACATTCCCAACTCCCTTCACCTAGCTTTGCTTTTCTTTTTCCATATTACTCACAACATGCTAAACTTCCATATAACTTATTTATTTATTATGTCTACTGATACTGTACTCTCTCCTGGCTAAAATAGAAGCTCCATGAGGAAAGGCTTTTTATTTGTTCTCTGATCTATCCCAAGCATCTACTCCAGAGCAATGCCTGATACATTGTACATCCACAATAAATATTTTTTAATTGAAGAAGAGAGTTTTGCAGATAGAGGCAGTGGAGCTTAAGAGATCAAAGTCGGCTGTTAGACTCAGGCCGAACCTGAATTTGAATTCTGGTTCAGGCAATTATCAGGCTCATGATCTTTGGCAAGTTATTAAGCTCTCTAGACCTCAATTTCCTCACATGTAAAAATCTGCTTCACAGTGTTGTGGTAAGAATAAATAAGATAATATCTGAACACCGCATATCACCTGGCACTTAGTAATTGGTCATACACTATGGTTGTCACATCATTATTAGCTACTTTATCTTTTATGCTCCCAGGAGTTTGTGTCCAACTGCTTCCTGATTGGATTAAAGGCAACAGGCAGCCCCAGGTTCTCTTTGGCTACATAAAGACTAGCTCAATTTTCCACTGCTCAAGAAGATAATATTGTTCCAAACTCAAGGATATGAATAAAACACATTTACCTCACAGCATGTCTGTGCCAAAAACATTGTGAGAGGTCATTTAGTTGAAACTTTATATTACTTTAACAGGTGAGGAAGGCCTGAGGCCGAGAGATTTTCTAAAAGTCACATCGCTTGTTAGTGTAGAGTAGAACCTGAAATCCAGGCTTTTAGATTCCCAGGCCAGCTCAATTTTCCATTACTCAAGAAGAAAATATTGTCCCAAACTCAGGGATATGAATAAAACACATTTACTTCACAGCACGTCTGTGCTAAAAGCATTGTGAGAGGTCATGTAGTTGAAACTTTATATTACTTTAACAGGTAAGGAAGGACTGAGGCAAAGAGATTAAAAGTCCCACCACTTGTTAGTGTAGAGTAGAACCTGAAATCCAGGCTTTTAGATTCCCAGGCCAACATTCTTTCCACTTCATTCAGCATGGAAACTGTTGTAAAAAGTTCCAAAGTTTTCACCCTATACAAGGTTAGCATAGAGAAGTAGAAGATAATTGAGATCATGTCTGGGAATGACCCAGGGTGCCTCTCTTGCACTCAGTAGCCCCTGCCAAAACATGCCCATCATCGTTGTAATTCATAATTAATGATCTGCACATGAATAAACATTAGACAAACCCTGCCTATAACCTGCAAGAACACTAAAGTCCTTTATACGGTCATATAGAAGATCCTAATCAAGCACAGATAAGTCCATCAAGGAATTGCTGCAGCAATTTTTCAACCCTAGGATAGTAATTTTAAATACCTTAGGCTATACCTATAATTGCATATTTGGATTGAGATTTATTAACCCATGTAGTAAACTATTTTGGCTGACTTTTTTTCCCAGAATATTGTTTAAAAGTGTCAGAAAAGTAAAATCTGTGGGATTTAGATATATGTAAGTAATTATAAAGTTGGTTCTTCCACTTGTACAGCCAAATGACCAAATAACATACAGTAAAAGAGAAGCTGTATAAAAATTCAAATATGCAAGATATAACAGACCAGTCTGTGATTAAGCAAACCTAAATTACTAAAAATAAAACAAAACAAGGAAGCAAACAAAACAGTTGTTATGGAAATATGTTTGAATCATTGAAAGCAAATTAAAGATCCCTCCTATTTGCCAAACATTACACTCAGACTCCACTGCACAGTACAAGCCTGTGCAAATCAACATCACAAAACAATACATGGAATGCAGTACCATAGTAGACCTCCAAGACATAGCAAAACAGTGGATAATATGAAAGTCCCCATGGGTAGTTGATTATGAAGTTCTTTACCTGAAGAATCTAATCTTCTAATCCATTTTAAGCTCATTCTTTTTTTCATAAATATTTATTAAGCATCTCCCACGTAGGGTTTGAAACATCAGGAATTCAAAGATAGATAATGTTTTTATATATTCCAAACCCAGTTTAGAACTTAGGGAAGAAAGTCTAGACAGAGTTTGTTCTCAAAGCGATGGGTAGATTAGGAAATGAAAATAAAAACATCCATGTTTAGCTGGGGCAGATGTCCCACAGCCCTCACTGTCAGGCAAAGGCTAAATATATAATTATACGGGGCTGATTTGGAAGGCAAATAAACAAACAGGAAATGTAAGCATTGTTTTAAAAGACTAAATCTAAGTTTCAGGGATTGAATAGGAAATACAAGCAGTAATTTCCTTGTGGCTAGGCAGGAAATATATAATCAAGGAAAGTCAAGCTTCTGCCTAGAACAAATGACAAGTAGGTAGAATGTGAGGAAATAGATAAATGCCAGCCTGAGTCTGAAGTGTATTAGAGCTTCCACTGAGGAAGCCAGCCATGGCATTATCACAGATGAGCACTCTTCTGCATAGGGATCAGGACATCTCTGATATAAGACAGGTTTATTCCCATCACATTTCTTACCCCAGTAGACAGTACCCAGAGAGACCCAACACAGAAATATGCAACAGATCAGGCAGGACATGGCAAAATGCCTAATAATAGAATAACAGAAAGTTATTGGGGTCATTCTAGCCATCTGAGAATCAAATGAGTAAACATTACCTATGTGTTTAGCTCTGGAATAGTGAAGGAATAGGGAGTGTTTGACAATGCAACTTACCTTCTCTAGCTGCAAATGAAAGATTCTAGAAGTTTTGGGGAGGATTTTAAGGTCCTGAACTCCCAGGTGCCAGTTCCTAAATAATGGTAGTCAACTATTTCTTAATCCCACAAACACAATTAGACCAGCTCACTCCCATTTATCTGCTTGTAAGTTTCTGCAGATGGTCTCCCTAAGACAACATCAAGCATTGCAGTAGGAGCACAAACTGAAATTGGACAGCCTGGGTCAGAATCAGGCCCAACCCTACTGGTTGTGTGATCTTAGAAGAGTTAACATAGCTAAGCCTCAATTTCTTCGTGTTTTAAAGGGGGAAGTTAGTAGAAAACTAACAGAGATTACCGTGAGGCTTGAAAAAAGTTATCACATGTTTAAAGTTCAGTTACCTTCATCATCATTAGTGTACAGTGTCCTCGGCAATGTTGAGTGTGGTGCCAGTGGCCATCAGGATGCAGTCAGTGTGGCATTTTTAATATTTTGTTGTCATTCTTACTGGTATCCTTGCTAAATGCATTCAAATATTGACTAATATGTACTATTTAGCTCATCCACACCAGACGGCCCCGAGTGGTCCTTCAGGGTCTCTCCATATATCCTTATCCCCCCTGAACTAATACCTAGAAGGATTGTGCCTCTGTATTCTCCATGAGTTAGGCTCTCAGTAAATTAGTTCCCATTTCAGACTTCATTTGATATCCAAGGAAGGCAGATTCCATGACTGAATCCTCAATTTCAACATCATTCAGTAGGGATTGGACAGTGGGTGTCCTCAGGGCATTACCCTGTTCAGCCAGGCTAGGGGCAAAGTTCCAGGAGCAGTGATGGCTTCTAGACCCAAGGGATCCTGGGGGTCATCGTTGTATGGTTTCCTTCTATACATATCCGTACCTAGACAACATACTATTCTCCTTAACATTCCTTTATGTGTGCTCACAATGTGCACATTATGTTCAATGTACAATAATTAATTGGATCTTCAAATTATCAAGACAAAGATAGCTTGATAATTTGAAAATTTACTTTGAAAAAGTAAAAGCAACCAAAAAGGTACTTCAAGTAAGAGCAAAACATTGAGGAGCAGAAACATCTTTCCTGTCCTTGGGTCCTTTTTTTAACAGAATGTTTCATCTGTTCAGCCCTTAATCTCAATACAACATGATCTTGAAATCTTATACCAAGTTTAGATACAAATTCCAGAGCCATTACTGAAACTTGAATTGCCGATGCTTAGAATGTAGAATTAGAAAATGTCAAAGTCCGGGTCCCTCTAAATCAAGACTGTGTAGCATTATAAAAACATGGTGAAATTGTCCCAACTGTCTCTCTATCCTGAGGCACTCTCTTCAGTTCGTCTTATGCAGAGAGCTGAAGGACAATTTGATGGTTTATGAATCTATCCTATTTCTTCCACACACACCAAGCAACTGTACTTTATACTTCTAGGCCTAATGATGATGGAAATTGCTGTAAGGACATCATGCCTAAAAGAGGATTGACTTGAAGCAAACACTTTACAAATGTGTATCTTTTAAGAGTTGCCACGGTAAGAATTAAAATAAAGCACATATGTGTCTCCTAAAACATAATAAAGCATACATTTGTATTACTAGTGTATATTTGCTATTATAATAAGACAAATACTCTTATGAGGCAAAGACTGATTGAAGTATATCAGTTCCAAATGGAGACAGATGTGTTTTCCTTCAGCCATTTCTTTTTTTTAAAAAAAAAACGCATATTTCAAACATTTATGTGCTCTTTCATTAACAGCAGTATGAATTCAATTTTCCAGACATTCTCATTATGTGTTGGTAAGATTACCATTTTCATTTTGTCTGTGAATAACTGAAGACCAAGGAGAACAGATAGCTGTTTGGGTAAGACAACCAGATAACGTGGAAAGCAAAGCTACTCTCCAAAGCAGCTGGAAAAGCTCATTAAAATAATCTGAGAGAAGGCCAACTCACTATGCTGGTGGTTGTCAAAACCTGCAGCGTATAAAAATCACCTAGGAGTCTTGTAAAAACTACAGATTCCCAGGACCCCACTTTCTTGAGATTCCGATTTAGGAGCCTGAGGAATAAGGCGCAGAAATGTGCACTTATGACAAGCATTGCAGGAATATGATTGATATATGATTAAAGGGTTGGAAATAAAGCCTTCAGGGAAAAGCCAAAGAATGTGAGTTATTTAGACAAAAGAAAGATTGGATTTCATTTTCTTAAAGTACTGTATATATAGATTACAGATGAAGATATATAGATAATAAAGAAACAATTCTATATTTCCACCAGACATGACAACTTAGAATTGCAACATTTACATAAGGCACTATTTACATAATAACACTACGTTATTTGGCTAATTATAATAGGGAATGGGAGTTACAGATTTTCATCTGGAAAGATGACGAGAACGAAGTACCAAGAGTTCTTTCCACGTTTTTTAAGAGCAGGGCTCTCTAGAAAACGGGAGACAAGGAGTTTACCTGGACAGTGGTATCATCTGACTCTGCTATTATTATTTTATGAAAGAAAAAGGCATCTTTCCAAGGACTCCTGATGTTATTGTAAAACTGCTCTCACATGTTGGACACATGACTGCAACACTGCTTGCAGCTGTTCGTCCTGCTCTTGCCAATCATTATTTATGCCTGTGAAGAGTTGAATAAGATGCAAAAGAGTCAGTGTCAAATTAGTCCTGAAGAAACTGTATTTCTTTTGCCTTGATGCTATGTAGTGGGGAAAAGCTGGCTTTTAAGTATATTCTTGATGTTCTTAAACCCAGGATAAGGAAGATACACAATCTTATACCTCTGCTTCCAGGAAACACATGCAGCCCAAGCAAGTTCCAAAAAAAAAAAAAAAAAAAAAAAACCGTAACAATATCTTCAATGTGAGTAAACCCCATTTCACATACAATAGCATGACTGTTGTGAAAGAATAACAATAACTTTGGAAGGAGGAATAAAAATATGCTCATTTTCCTCTAATTGCCATATAGAAATTTTTGTAAAAATGACATTAATTTCCAACGTGTCTTATTAGTAGAGGGTTTCTCAACCTTGGCACCACTGACATTCTAGGCCAGATAATTGCTTTGGGGGCTGTTCTGTGCATTTTCAGATGTTTAGCAGCATCTTTAGCCGCTACAAACTGTATGACAAAAGCATCCCCATCCTCCTTGTGATGATCAAAAATGCCTCCAGACATTGTCCATGAGGGCAAAATGACCACTGGTTAGAATAATAGTCCATGGTGGTAATCACATAACCTGCTTTTACCTGACTGAAGTAGCCCAGTATAGACTGGAATTTACCCATTCCTGGAATGCCCTAATTAGTACCATATTGCTTTCCCTATACTGTTGTTTAAACATAGCAATACTCAGACAAAGAAAGGCAAGCTGTTAGTAGTTGTCATAAAGAGGGTACACACAAGCAGGAGAAGACCACTACAATCACAATCTACCACAGAAACCTCAGAGTGAAAACACACTGGGATTGATTCAAAGTGCTTCCTAGTATCCATAACTTATCCATAACCAAGGGTGACCAAAGAAGGGGACTGGAGCCATGGCTCTACCACTACCTATCCCTTATTTGGCATGATCCTCTTATGTACCCAGGTCTGAATGTACATAAAGATATGGTGTAAACAGTGTTTGTTTTGATTGTCCCCTTGGTGACTTGATGTTCTCAAGTCATGGGCTTTGGAGTCACACTAACAGAAGTTCATATTCTAGTTATGCCACTAACTGGTTCTGCGATCTTTAATAAGTTATTTAACCTCTTCAAGTCTCAGTTCCTTTATCTAGAAGGTGAGAATAATAAATCAAGCCCATAAGGTATGGTGACAATAAAGAAAGTATGTAAAACACAGGCATAACATAAGCACCCAATGAAAACAAATTTTTCATTGTTTTTGCTGTTGCTTTTGCTGCTATGGTAATCATTGGCATTATTATCATTATACCAATTGATGTTAAGTTTCTTAAACCCCAGTGAGTTCAGGAATTTCAAGGCAAGGACTACTGCCCCAGCCCATTCCTCTTTTTCTCTTTCATATTTAGGAAATCCCTACATCCTTCTAACTTAGATGAGTGATTTCATAGAAAAATGTTATCATCTTGGTCACTAACCAAGCCACCACCACCAATTTTATGAATATCTTTAAAAGAATGCCCTCCATGACTTAATTTGAAGCCCTAATCCTCATGATGGAAATTTTGGCATTTCAGCAGATTTGCGGTCCTAGAATTTGGAGGTTAGGAGGATCTTTCAGTGGTCCTCCATTCACATTAGCTTGTAAGATGTCACCTAAGAGTAAGAAGAATCAGCTCTTCTAGCATCTTAGTGCTGGGTGAAGAGAGGATAAAGACAATTGAGACAGAGAATTTGGCTAGTGACAACACGTGATTACAAATTTCCACTTTCAATCCCCCTTTCATCCTTCCACCCTTGACACTTGCCAGAGAAATTGCATACTTCCCACAGCCTGAAAAGCCATGTTCCTCTTCCCTCCCTAGGGAAATCTTACCCATTCTTCAAAGATGAACTCAAAAGTAGTTTTCTGTGAAGCCTTCCCTGCTAAACCCAAGTTGAGGGTAATCGCTCACAGAACTTTAGAACTGGACAAAATCTCTGTATTTTTATAGTTAGGGTCCATGTTTTGGAGGTATGATTAAAGAGATTTTAGTAGGAAAAAGGACTGACTGATTCCAGCTGTTGGTATTCTATTTGGAATTATGATTGTTATTTTTAATGCTTTTAAATTGCACTAGATTCTAAGTTGTTGGGGTGGAATCCCTGTTGTACTCAATATTGTCTGTCCATAGCATCTAAAACAGTGCATGAACCGTAGTTCATACTTAATAAATACCAGTTGAATGAATTAACCCTATATTATTAACCAAGCAGGTTTAATAGACACTATTTGCTGCTTCTTATCAATGTCAGCTTAATTGTTCCTCCTGAGTATCCATGGATATCTACCAGCCACATTGATCATGTTAAAGGTCATGAGGAGCAGTTTTACAAAAATCATGTATTACTTAAGTTTTTTTGGTTTTCTTACTATTATTCACTCCAACACAAGAATTTTAAAAAATTGAAATAGAATAATAATAAAAATCAACACGAGTAGTGCTATCTAAACCAAGTGATTTGGTGTACATTTTCTCATTTAATCTTCAGAGCAACTTGTAGTTAACATAATTATTCCCAGTCTACAGAAGGTTAAGCTGAGGATGCTTTGCTCATAATCACATGGCCAAGCAGAGACCATGTTTCTCAGCGCCAACCACATGTCTTTCTTACTTCATTGTTAGATTCACTGTGACTAGGGAGTACATAATCTCTCAAACCCATCCACACTCATTGAAGTCTATGGAAAACAAACTGGAGACAAAAACACCCATAGGCAACAATGAGTTGACTCTTTCTGTGGTTAGTTTTTCTCTGTATTTTTTCAAATCTATTCATTCTTCCTGACTACAGCATCATTTGCCATAGTCTTCTCCTAAGTCAATGTCATACTTCCTCTCAACCACTTGAGAGATTGCAGATCTTTGTCATTCAACATCATTTAATTTCCTGAATAAAGAAACAAAAAAAATGGAAGAGGTTTAGGTATACATCTAGAGTTGATTTTAATTTCCTGTTTGCCCTTGTAATTATGGTTTTTCTTCTTTGCTTTTGAAAACTATAATGAGTGTTTGAAGTATTACAATTACTTTCGATTGCAAAAACTGCAATTACTTTTGCACCGGCCTAATATATGTTCTATGTGGTCTTTCTCATCTTTAAAAGAGCAAGCAATTGATTATAACACAATGGTGTCAACAGCCATTGGATATCTACCAATTATCCAATAGGACAATTTATCTAATGAATTACCTTTTAGGTTACCTATATGCTTAAATTTGGTTACAACACACTTTTACACTGGTATATGTAAGATAGAAGAACATACAGCTCAAATCTCGAGTTCTCTTGCTGCCAATATTGATGGAGTTTATGAAAAATTAAAATGATGAAGCATACTTCAGGTGTTCATTTCCAAATGCAATGCATTTTCTATTTTTTCCATTTTAAAAATAATATGCACCCATTGTAAAAAGAAACTTCATCATTATCATCGTTAAATAAACAGAGGCAATTTCCTTCATAACCTCTTCTGTTCCACCTTCACCTCCAAGTCAACTCCCACTCCAGTGGTATTATGTTAATAATTTGTGTGTTTGCGTGTTTGTGTGTGTGTGTGTGTGTGTATACACGTGTTTCCAGGAAGAGACAGAAAAAATGCAGATATATAGAAAGCATGATACACATTTTTAATTTGATTATCTTTGCTTACTAATATATCATAAACGTCTCTCTTACCAGTATAATACAAATTGACCTCATGCTTTTTAATAGCTTCATAGTGTTTTATGGAATGCTTATACTACAAATTTGCTAAATCATTCCCCTACTAGTGATATTTTGACATACATTGACAGATATTTTTAATTTTTTTTATTGTGTGACAATCCACAGAGGACATCTTCATGTTTACATCTTTGTGCTCATTTGGGCATTACTACTAAAGAAAGTCTTAGACAAAGAATTCCTGATTCAAAGTGTATGCATTTTTAAAATGCAAGTCATGAGCTTTAGAGTCACACTGACAGTTCATATTACTTTCTTACTTCATAAGCCTGTTCAATTACCCTCCAAAGGGCTATGAAAATTTCTGCTTTCCACACAATGTATGAGTCGCCTTATTTCTTTACACCCTCACAGTGTGGATATCATCAACTGGCTTCACTTGAATTCCCCTGAAAGCAGGTCCTGAGACAAAAATGTGAAGGCAATACAGATGGTCACTGACTTCCAATGATTCCACTTATACTTTTTCAACTTTACAATGGTGCACAAACTATAGACATTCAGTAGAAAACAGTGTGATTCTCTCACATGATGCTGGGCCATGCAGTAAGCTGCAGCTCTCACTCAGCCACACAAAGGTAAAAATACCAGTACTGTACAGTACATTGTGTTGCCAGATGATTTTGCCCAACTATAGGCCAATGTAAGTGTTCCAAGCATGTTTAAGGTGGGCTAAGCTAAAGTATGATGTTTGGTAGGTTAGGTATATTAAATGCATTTTTGACTTAGTCATATTTTCAACTTACAATGGTTTATCAGGACATAACCCCATTGTAAATGGGGGAGCATCTGTAGTTTATTTTGAAGTTAATTCCAGGAATCACTATGAGGTTGCAAGGAGTAAGACAAGAAGTGGGGAACAAATAGACAGAACATTGACTAGCCAGTTACCTCTATTCGTAGTGTGGTCAACTATCACAGTTTGCATGGAATCAATGGGGTGTCCCAGGACACAGAATTTCCAATGCTAAAATTGGGACAGTTCTAGAAAAGCAGAGATAAGTTGGTTACCCTACTGTATGGGCAATTGGGCTCAATTATTCTGGAGACCCATGGAAAGGCCATATGGAACACAACTTAGGATTGTTCCAACAAAAGGCAAAGATGTGAAGTATTTATTCACCAGCCCTTAGTAGTTTGGAGGTACTCCAAGGCATTCTGGCTCAGTTACTTCCCATCTGACCTGTGCAGGGACAAAGCATGCTCCTGTGTCCAAAGATAGCCCACTGGAGGAAAGGTGCAGGAATTTGTTGTCATGTCTGAGAAATGTCTGCAGACAAACTCTGGGATCGGCCAAAAGGATGTGGGGGTGGGAGTGCCAATACCATCTATGCATGATTATTTGTCCCTAGTCTGATCAGCAAAATGATGCTATCTCAATATTGTTCTCATTTACATTCTCTAATGAGTGGGAATTTTGGACATAACTTCATATTTGCATCCCTTTTTGAGACTCAAGTTTTCAAGCATTTAAATACAGTTTTAGGGTAGGTTATTTTCTTGGCCTGGGACAACCAACTTCCATAATAGAAAAAAAATTTCAATCAGTTTACCTAAAATATGTGTGTATTGGAATGGAATGGGATGGGATAGGGGAGCAGGGTAAACTCTTCCAGGTGAATTAAAGGTGAGAATTAATGATTTAATTATAGTATTTTCAAGGCCACAATCCTTGTTAGACTTTCCTTTACCTTATTTTTAAAAAACTGTACATATGTATGGGGTAAGTATATACATATGTGTCATTATACATATTTATCATGTACATATTATCATATATTGTATACATATACATATCATTATATATTGTACAGTTTTATGTACAGTTTTTTAAAAAGGTACGTATGTATGGGGTACAATGTATAGTGATCAAGTCAGGGTAGTTAGTATATCCATCACCTCAAATACTTATCATTTCTTTGTGTTGGGAATATTTCAAGTCTTCTCCTCCAGGTATTTTGAAATATACAATAAATTATTGTTAACTATAGTCACCCTACAGTGCTGAAGCGGAATTGAGCTCCTTAAGTTTTGTACATCATGTTTTTTTAGGTTCCCACTGAGCTGATTTTTGGCCATGATTCACACATATCTCTCCTCCAAGGCTCCTCTCACAAAGCATTTCCTCCCAGTCACGTTTTCAAATAGCTTCTCATTCCCTGTATGCCTGTGTGTGCATGGCCTCATCTCACTTTCGCTGTGACCATTGCTGCTCATTTCTATTTCCTTCAAGCCTCATTTACTGCTGCCTAATTTGCCTTCTAGCTCAGAGGAAAGCAGAGATGTTTAATGGAGCTCTCAGAATCATCATTACTGAAACTTGACACAGTCAAATCCCTTGTGTCCCTTAATACGCATAATATTGCTTAGCCTAAAAGCCACAGTCTGGGAGACTCACTGTATCATAATGAGAACATTCAGAAGATAACTAAATCATAAATTTAAACTTCAGATTCTATCACTTCATTGATTAAGCTCTCAGACATTTCCCCAACTACCTAAGACCTGTCATTATTAATCTTACCTGTTTTATTAATTCCATTTCACTGTGTTTCTTAACACATATGTTACAGCCTCCCACCAAGTCTATCCTCCAATCATGATTACAAACTGGCAGTACCTTAGAATGATGATCTTTTGATAGTTTTATTACCGAGCAGAAAGCAATCTGTATAGTTTCTGTCTCACAAATTAATTGCTTAGACTTTTCCTGCTAAGCTTCCACCTCAGAACTTGTCCCCATTTCAAAGAGTAAACCAACCCTCATTTTACAAAGATAGCAACTAAAATTCCAAGACATTAAATGACTTGCCTGAGGCTACACAACTCATGGCCACAGACAGAACTCTTCCTCCTAGGCTACTTGTGTTATGTCAGGGTGATTCATCTTCTCTATGCTTCTCTGAAAAAAACAGAATCTGTCAAGCAGTCATCTCCCCATCCCCCCACCTGCCTCAGACCCTGTGCTTCAGTTCTGTTCTCTACCACGACTCTACCCTACCCTTCAATCACTTCACTTCAGAGAAGCTAAGACCCCTTCAGAGCATTAGCATGTCCACAGG
This sequence comes from Homo sapiens, assembly GCF_000001405.40. Lineage (NCBI taxonomy): Eukaryota > Metazoa > Chordata > Mammalia > Primates > Hominidae > Homo > Homo sapiens. The sequence goes on from NC_000005.10 coordinate 40,402,330, forward strand.
CATGGCATGAACTCCAGTCTTCTCCAGATACTTGGGCACTCACAGTGTCCTATCTGGATAGTCATTCACCTCTTTGTGAATAATGCATCTGCCTGAACAACTTAAATTCAAGGCCCCTGAGTGCATATATATTTATAGAATTCCTTGCACTCACCATTGTGCCTAAATGCCTATCGCAATTCATATGGTAGATATTTCACAAGTATTTAATGAGGATGATAATTATAACAATGTCATGGGAAGAATCAATTTTTAAAATTGTGTTGTGGAAAAAATATACACACATATATAATATACATATATAATACACATATACATATAGCTGTATATATATACATATATGTATATGTACATATACATATATAATACACATATACATATAGCTGTAGTTTTCTATTCTTAAGAATAAAATTAATCATATTGGGCTTGAAAGAATGGTAAGAGATAATGGCTTACCAACATAGTGCTGCCTGTACAGAGACCAGACCGGATTTCACAAGGGTGTGTATTTGTAAGAAGGTAAGGAACTTGTTTCTTTTTTTGTCTTGCTTTTGTTTTTGTGTTGCTGTTTATTAGAGCAACTGAATTACAAACCTGAAGAGATGAATTTAGGTTTAGAAAGCTGACAATTTTAGTAGACCCCTGATGTAAAATGCCTTTTTCAGTATACTTCCCCAGAGACGGCAAAGATCCTGGACCTAAAGTCAAATTCTGCAACATTAGGCAACTGATGAATCCCAAAGGTGATTGCCTGGTTGATGGGTGATGGTCAAAGGAGTATCAGACACAGGAGACCACTTCTGTGGGTCAATGAACAATAAGGCCAGGAAAAGGCAACTCACATGTGTAATCTTGCCACAGTTTTGGTAAGTAAGATGTTAGGAGTTTGAAATTCAGCCTACATCTCTGCCTTAAGGTATATGTGGAGATCTTTAAAGTGAGTGGTGAAGAAAGGGTTAAGAAATAGGATTTAATGGGGAATAGATTAAAAAAAATGAGAAGGAGTCTTAGCTAAACAAAAGAAGAAAGCGGGTTTTATTTTTGTTTTTGTTTTTGTTTTTTAATTTTCTGGGTGTTTAAAGGTAAGCAATGGTTTTTCATTTCTACCAGACTAAGACAGATTGCAATTGCCTTAGAGCAGTTGGGAATTTTGTAGGCAAAGGAGAAACCATATTAGGAAAAAAGAATATATCGCTAAGCTGACAAGATACTGTAAATACCCAAAACTAGGACTTATACAAGCCGAGGGGGTTAAGCTGCCCCTTGATAGACTGGTACAATGAGAAAAAACAAAGTTCGCATGTCTGATTATGCACGAATTTCCTGAGTGAAAATCTTAGCTTGGATTTGTAACCCAAGTCTTTTAATGCATTGAGGAAAGATTAACAGTAAGAGCCTAATATGGTTTGGATCTGTGTCCTCACCCACATCTCATGTCGAATTCTCCAGTGCTGGAAGAGGGGCCTGGTGGGATGTGATTGGATCATGGGAACAGACTTCCCCTTGCTGTTCTCATGACAGTGAGTTCGTTCTTACAAGATCTGCTTCTTGTTGTTGTTGTTGTTGTTGTTGTTGTTGTTGTTGTTTTTGAGATGGAGTCTCGCATTTTCCCCTGGGCTGGAGTGCAATGGTGTGATCTTGGCTCACTGCAACCTCTGCCTCCTGGGTTCAGGTGATTCTCCTGCCTCAGTCTCCTGAGTAGCTGGGATTACAGGTGCCTGCCGCCATGCCCGGCTAATTTTTTGTATTTTTAGTAAAGACTGGGTTTCTCTATGTTGGCCAGGCTGGTCTTGAACTCCTGACCTCGTGATCCACCCACCTCCGCCTCCCAAAGTGCTGGGATTACAGGCATGAGCCACCGTGCCCAGCCACAACATCTGCTTGTTTAATAGTGTGTCGCACCTCCCACTTCGCTCTCTTCCTGCTACTTTGGCCATATAAGACATGCCTCCTTCCTCTTCACCTTCCACCATGACCATAATTTTACTGAGGCCTCCCCAGCCATGCTTCAATTAAACCTCTTTTCTTTATAAATGACCCAGTCTCAGGTAGTTATTTATATTGCAATCTTTGCCATTATTTTCAATTACTTTTGCACCAACCTAAATAGCAGTGTGAGAATAGACTAATACACAGCCCAGTGTTTCAAAGGACCCTGAATAAGTGGCCTCTGAAGATAACTGCTTTTAACAATACATTGAGGGTAACTCATTCAGCATTTCTGAAGCCATCAGAGTGTCTTTCAATCAGAGGCAAGGCATTTAGGCCTTTCAGGCTTAAAATTACCAGTTTGAAATTAGCCAACAAAAATTAATAAATGCAATGAACTATGCCCAACTACAGAATATAAACAGAAAGATACTGGCACAAGACATTAAACCACTCATACTCATTCTATCTTTTCAGATGCAAAGAGCTAGAAAGAATCAGAGGACTAGGAAATGCCACAGAAACCTCCATTGATCACATGGTTCTGTCATATGAAAGAGAAAGCAAAATAGAAAACTTCACATTTATGAAGATTAGGAAACACATGTATACATACATATAGTTCATGAGGCAGTGTAAAATGAGGAAATCTATTTTTTCTACTTGGATAGAACTGGTAGAGTTTGGCACAATTCCACTTTAAAAAATAAAGTATTCAGTATTCCTTGTGTAAGGTGTTGCCAGAAGAAGAAATTTGCTGAGAAAAAAATTCATCCTTTCTTTGCAAGGAAGATCTTAGGACAGTGGCATCAACATGAGGCACTGCATTGACAATGCTTTTGCATTCTGCTTTGATTTCTTTTTGGAAGTTGGTAGAGGTAAATCACAATTTATTTTTAATAATATGAAACTGTGAAAGTTAAGTATGGATAATGACAAGGAAAAGTATTTAATTCTGTCTTTATACCTGGACTTGAAAAAGAACAGTAACCATTCTAGCCATTTAATGGAATTTCTAAACCATATTATCCTTCCCCAGAAATGGACATCAAGTTCTATGGATCAAAAAGCTGTAGCTGACCTTAGACTCCAAAAAGAACCCAGTAGGCTGGACTTAAGCATGCTGGAGGATGTTCACATTCTTAAGTCAGGGTTATCGTAAGTTATTTCCTGCATTTCATCATAACTGGTCACATGTGGCCACTTGTCAGATCTGGGACAAGCATTTCCAAAAGCAAATAAAAGTGTGTATTTTTTTCATCTTTCTAAACAGCTCTGAGTTCAGATCCTGTCAAGGTTACCTTCCTATGATTCGTGAAGATGTCATCCTAAAATATAAAAGGAAAGTACATTGGTAAAAAGTCAACCTTTGAATTTTGTGCTTGGAGTCTTTAGGAGTCACTGATTAGACTACAAACACCCTTGTCAGCTCTATTCTTTTAGGTCTCATCAGGACTTTCTTGGCCACCAGCACACAGCAAAGCTCGGAGGGACCGGGACCCATGTTTAGTACCAAGGTGGTAGGTTGCGATGACGGCAAGTAGACACCACAAGAAGCTGAAAGGGAATTCAGGGTAATATAACCTCTTTGGAATTTCAAGAGAATGAAGAACAAAATTTGTCTTTTCAGAGGGCTGAGATTTAAAAACCACCCTGTCAATGACTCCTGAAAAACCAAGAGAAGTTTGGATAAAACTCCTAGTGATTAGTTCCCCAACTGCTTATACCAGGTAAGAAATGATAGCTCTTCAGAGCTCCCTTTCCATATCTAAAGAACTTGAATTGTTCTTTGAGGCAATTTGAGGCCACTGTCCCAGTGGAAAGCTTATTTTCAAATTGTGTAGCGTGCTACTATATCAGACTCTGAAACACTGCATGTGCTAAAGTAAGTCAGAGATGCCTAGTCAGATTAGGAAAAAAATATTGTAGGCAGGCAACCAGACAAATTTGGCAAGAAAGGATGTCAGGGGGATTTCCAAAGTCTCCTAACTGAGGGACAATCGTAGTGACTATGAATAATTCAGAGTGAGTTAACGAAGAGGATCCACCAATTTCAGAAACTATATAATATTTTTGAAGAAAAAGAGAGTTTAAGGACTATGAAAACACATGTCAAGAAATATTATTCTTCTTTTAATTGTTTTCAACAAGAAGGTCCCCCTTAAATATCAATTCTGCCATGAAGAAAAATAAAGGAAAAGCTGTTTCATAGAAAAGCTCTCCTCCTGGCAAGATCTTACCACAGATGTTTTTCAGATCTTTAAAGATGGATTATTAATGGTTTAGCTCTCCACTACATTATAAAGCATTTTTCAAAGGTTTGTTCTATCTCTGTTTACACTATCTGATAATAATAAAGCAGAGTTCGTTTTTAGCCAATGAAAATGACTCTTCACAAGGCTGTACATTTGTTTGAACCCAGACAAGCCACAAAAAGTACAAACTCTTCTGCATGTTCAAAGTTCTCGAAACACACATGCCTAACACCACCAACAACAAAGACAGGAACCGCGGACCAGTTCTCCAGTCCCAGCCTCAATTTTTTGAGTAACTGCTTCACCATGTAGAGACCTTGCTCTGATCCATCTCTGCATCAGAGAGAAAAGAAAGAAAAGAAAAACGTACACTCCTATTTTCATCACTAAGACAGGCCCTTTCCTTTCTCTGTGTGAAAACATTAAGAGTTTATGGTTGCCTGGAGAAAATTTACAATCTGGCCCCACAACCTCATGTGACTTTTTATAGAACAAGGAAGTACGGGAGCCTATATGCAACAGTGACAATGTGCTGTGGCCGCTCAGTGTTGGCCACAACAGCTTCAGTTACTGAAAACTCTGACCAACAGGGGAAATGTACAAGGAGGCTATCAGGCATTAGCTGTGGGAGAAGAAAACAAGTTCCCCTCGGGGCACAAAGAGAAAGCAACTGTTATGGCAGGTCAAGGCCTAGAGCTGAAAGAAAAGGAAATACAATTACAAAACCAGATGCAAGGCAGCAGAAGGGTCTGGATTTCTCTTTCAGCTGGTGAATCTACATATGGCTATAACCTTGCTGACCTCTCTGGTCATCAAACCACAGCAGAAGGAGTGCCCCAGATGATGAAGAAATATTATAGTGTTTGGAACACCTTACCTGTCCATAAAATGTTGATGTATTTAAATATCTATATCCTGTGTGCTTATCATTTGTGTTCTTCTTGTGTGTTACAAGTGACTAGATTTTCTCCAAAAAATTCTATAAACCAGGCCCTAAACTGACATTATCTTAGCTTGTGTTTTCTTTAGCTATTTCTACACAGTGAAAGACAGGGCTGATTCTTCTTTCCAATGAATGAAAAAAATAAATTAGGCCAGGTGTGGTGGCTCACACCTGTAATCCCAGCAGTTTGGGAGGCTAAGAAGGGCAGACTGTTTGAGCCCAGGAGTTCAAAACCAGCCTGGGCAACAGGGTGGAACCCCACTCTACAAAAAATAGAAAAATTAGTTGAGCATGGTGGCAGGTACCTGTAGTCCCAGCTACTCGGGAGACTGAGGTGGGAGGATCACTTGAGCCCAGGAGGCCAAGGCTGCAGTGAGCCATGATTGTACCACTGTACTCTGGCCTAGGTGACAGAGTGAGACCTTGCCTCAAAGAAAAAAAAAAGTATATCTTCCAAATGATATTATGTAAGATGTCCTTAAGTATAGTATATAGGAATGTAGTTTAGAACTTCTCTCCCGGAGAGCTGGGGTTCAGGGTGGGCCTGCAGGCCTCCTAGCTTCTCTTTTAAGTATTTTAGGAGGTGAAGTAGACTGTTTTGGGGAAGAATCACTTTCTGAAAAAGGTACCCAGTGTCCTTTGGCTATTCCCTCATAACCCTGCCCAGTCTGAGCTGGTCCTCTCTTTGTCTAGACACCTGACAATTCCAGGGCTCAGAAATGAGAACATAAAAGACAGTTTAAGAAAGATAATATGTTAGAAGGACAAAGGAGGCTGTCCTACATAACGGAAATAAGTGAAGTTAAAAATCAAACTAGAAGCGCCCTATGGCAGATTAAAGATGGCCACAAATTCTTTAACACTCTTCCTTTTGAGAGATGGGGTCTATTTCCCCTCCTTTTGAATCTGAGCTTGCTTGTAACTGCTTTGATGCATGCAGTGTGGCCGAAATGACACTCTGCCCTCTGGGCGTTAACTCTAAGAGAACTGGCAGTCTCCACCTTGGTCTCTGGGAGCTTTGAGCCGCCACAGCTCTGACTGCCTTGCTCAAGAGATCATACGGAGAGGCCCTGAGACTATATGGAGAAGGGGCCAGCTGAGCCCCCTTTCCCACCATCCCCATCAAGGCAGCAGGCACAGAACCCTCCAGAGCAGCCTGGGCACCGGCTGAATACTTCTCCAGTAATGCCAGTGAAACCGTGTGGAGCAGAAGAATCCCCAGCTAAGCCCTGCCTGAATTCCTAATCCACAAAAGTATGTCATATAAATAAATAATTTATTAAAATGGTTATTATTTTAAATCACTGGGTTTGGGGTAACTTGCATGCAGTAATAGATAACCAGTACACAGCCTCTGAGTAGAGTACATAATTTTTAGAATAAAATCTCCAATTGTGGAAAGTGTGATAAATTCCAAATTTTTGTGGTCAGTTAAAAAGAAGATTACATTCTAGGTGTGTATGTTCCACAACATGTATACAGAGAAGAGAAAAGCTAAGGAGAAAAGACATGAATCTCTTGCCTGCTGGCAAAGCTTCCCCAAACAGATATTCTTCCAAAGGCTGCATAGAAGCTGGATCATTGTAAATCTCTCCAACAAATATCTACTGAGTAACTGCTACAAGTACATCACTGTGTTAACCACTAAGGTTTTAATAATGATAAAAATATAATTTCTGCCCTGGGAAATTTTTCTCTCTTGTGTACCATTAGCAAATTAATATGTAAATTTTAAAATTGGTTTAAATCAGAGGTTGACAAACTTTTTCTGTAAAGAGCCAGAGAGTGAATGTTTCAGCTTTGTAGGCCAACTCTGCCAGTGTAGTGCAAAAACAACATTTTAGACAATACATAAACAAATGAAAGCAATGGAATCCCAATAAAACTTTATTTGTGGATGCCAAAATTGGAATTTCACATGATTTTCATGTGTCTTGAAATATTATTCTTCTTTTAATTGTTTTCAACAATTTGAAAATATAAAATTGGTCTTTAATACACAGGCTGTACAAGAGGCAGTGGGCTGAATTTGATCCTCAGGTATAGTTTGCCAACCTCTTTTTAAAATTCTTATCAGATGGGCCTAAAGCAGGTAGAACTTGCAAAAAGTTAAAGAGCATTATCAGACGAATTTAATGTTCTGGATTGTCATGGATACAAATAACCTGCCTTCTATTTCCAGTATTCTCCATGCATAAGGAAGGGCATGAACTTATAGCCTGCAAGAGCAGCTTAGAGTTTTACCAGGGAGGAGCTCTGGGAAGCATCAAGACCCCAGAGGAGGGGAGGACTCAGCCCAAGGAAGGAGAGAAGGAACCATAGAGATGAGTGGGAGGGCACGTCTGCAAAGGCAGCCGGATGTTGTGCAAACATTCAGCAAGAAGCACTCAAAGAGCGAAAGTGGGACTTCATGGAGAAAGAACAGTGTGACAATATTTTTTAAAAATTTTCCCCCTTTGTAAATTCCTAGTGCCTTCGAGTAAAGCTGTTCATGGAGCATATTTAAGACATCTAGAGCCAAGTAAATTGGAAGCACAGAAATGAATACAGAAGAAAATTTAGGACATCCTTTTTATTGAAAGGAGTTCATCAGGTTGCCACCTACCCTTCCTTTAAATTTTGCTATTCCACTTTATGCTGAAATAAGCTCATTTTGGCAAAAGACTTGCTAAAGACTTGATGCTTTGTATATTAATGTTTTGTATTTGCTTTGTTTTTATATAAAGAGCCTTCAAAAACTATTGTAAAAATTAAAAATATATGCAATAGATCTCCACAGTAACAGTGCACAAACATGCACCCTGCCCCACACCATCCGCCAAGTACGATTATATGATTGCTTAAATGAGCTAACTCAGAAGAAAAAGGAAGTCTGAGACACACACATTTCTACGCTTTGTATTCAGAGATGATGTGTCTCCTGGTGTATATTCCCCCTGCATCCTTCTCATGCTTTCAACGTCATGAAGGTATAAAAGTGTACTCCCTATCACCAGGGTAGCAGCCGTGACCTACATTTTCTTCATGTTCTGATGCTGTTTGTGGCTTCCTCTTCCCTTCAGGCAGCGCATGATGTCTTTGTTCAAAGCACTCTTTCCAATAGCTGATGACTTAGTGTCAGGCAAGTCCACAGCTGTTTCAATCATTCTGTCCACACAGACACCAAACAACAGGAATTAGGTATGCATGGAAACCAACCTAAGATAAGAGTAGTCTGCTCTGGGGAAAAAATAGAAAGTCATTTCACGATATACAGGCAACATTTTGTGTGATTTATTTGACATCAACTGGATGACTAATCGCTGTGGATTTCTTTTCACTCAGATCACATGATTCTTCTCTAGGGTCTCAATCAACTATTTCCATTTTGCTTAACGTAAAAAAATCAGAAGCCTCCAACAGTCAACAGTACCATTTTTAAAGTAAATTTTGTACACCTCCCCCACTCCCCAATCATGCCCTTTTTAATTACTGCTTTCGCTCTCATTAAAAGAATATAAGTTTAAAATTTCGAATGTGGATGTCAAGTTTTGCTGTTATCTTTAGTGTTGTTTTCTATATGAATGAGCCTAGCTTTCACACTATGGACACAGCCTGTTTAGACAAGAGCAGTGCTTATGTAATCATAGCTTCCCAAACCACAGCAACAGCACAAATTTGGCAGCTAGAAGGAAGGAAGTGAGGGTGGGGAAGGGAAAAGGAAAGAAAGGGAGTTTCTGTTTCAATCAAAGATATATTTGGCTCATATTTCCACCTCTTTTAACTGAGATTCCAACTCTACAGGAGGTCCTCTCCACTCATCCCTCCATGCCTGACCTGAGGAGCAGCTTGGCTTTTCCCTCGCTAAGGGAAAAACCTTTAGTACCTTCCTTCTCTACAAACATTAGAAACAGCTTAATCAAGTTGTCCTCAGGCAACAAGGATACTTCAGGCTTTCCAGGTATGACACAGCCTCTTCCCCTCCTATCTGCTAGCCAGCTAACAGCTCTTCCACTACTAGTGCTCTGCCAGTGTGCGTGACTGCCAAAGGCATCTCACTGGCCAAGTGGAAGGAAGCTTTCCTTCCAAGTCAAACATCCAGTCTTCAATGAATAAGCCCTATGTGCTGAAACATGCCTCTTTTCCCCAGTCACCTTACTCTTTAGGAAACTGTGGTAGGCAAGTAAAGACTCCCCAAAATACTTATATTCATATCCTACTCCCTGGAACCTATGAATATGTTGGGTTACATGGAAAAAGGGAACCAAGATGGAATTGAGGTTTCTAATAAGCTGACTTTAGAATAGAGAGATCATCCTCCATTATCTGAGTGGGCACAACATAATCACAAGGGTTCTTAAAAGTGGAAGAGAAAGACAGAAGAGAAGATCAAAGTGATACCATGTGAACAGAACTCAACCAGCCATTGCTGGCTTTGAAGATGGAGAAAGGGGACCATGAGGAAAGGAATGTGGGCAGCCTCTAAAAGTTGGAAAAAGCAAAGAAGAGGATTCTCCCCTAGAGCTTCCAGAAATGTACACAGCCCTGCTGATGCTTTGAGTTTAGCCCAGTAAGACCTGTATCAGACTTCCTACCTGCAGAACTGTAAGACTATAAATTTGTGTTGCTTTAGCTACTAAGTTTGTGGTAATTGTTATAGTAGCAATTAAAAACTAATACAAAAACCATTGGTTCAAGGCAAGTCCATACTGCTTGGGAAGCCACCTTCCATTTATCAAAGACTCTCCATTGAGGCCCAGGTGCACAGCTCATTCCATCTGGGCATGTGGTTCCAAGTCTCTCCATTGTACCCTGGAGATTGACACCAGACCACATCTGCACTGCCATTGCTTACATTTTTCTTTCATGTTGGTCTTCCCTAGAAATTTAAAGAATTACAGATCAAGAAAAGCTGGATGCAGTGTTGCACACCTGCAGTCCCAGCTACTTGGGACTTGGGAGGCTGAGGTGGGAGGATTGTTTGAGCCCGAGAATTTGAGTCCAGCCTAGGCAACATAGCAAGACCTGATCTCTAAAACATAATTAAAACAAAAACAAAAACAAACAAACAAAAAAAACAAGCTCTAAGTGGCATGAAGTTCATGGCTTTGCCTCCATAAGAACTTGTCTTAATATGAAAATCTCTTTGTTTAGCAAAAGCATAAATGAGTTTTCCAGAAAACCAGCCCTTTACTAGTGATATAGTGCAGGGTGAAGGTCTAGACCCCAGGGCCTTCTGCTCTGAGAAGATCAGACTGCTCAGGTCCAGACAATCCTGGCTATTTCTCACAAGCTATAGGAGGAGACAAGTTATTTAACACCTTACTTCTCTATTTTCCCATGTGTAAAATGGGAAAGGTAATAATATCTACTACATAGGGTAGTTGTAAGATGAAATAAGTTAATTCATATAAGAAGCTTAGAGCAGTACCTGGCACAGAGCAAGTCTCTTTGATCACCGTCATACTTTGTCATGTCTTTGGTTCTCCCATCATCATGATTTTGCATATCCTGATAGCATCTGTTCTTGCCAAAGGTCTGACTTTCCAACACACACTTTCCAAAAGGAAATAAAATGATGTACTTGTTTCCAGTGGCCATCCAAATGTAAAATCCATGTTTGGAAAACTTTGCAATGCTTCTTTTATACTTCTAAGTGCCCCTTGATTAAGGTTAAAGTAAGTTCCTCCAGTGGTTTTAAAGCATAGGTCACTCAAAATTAACTCCCATAAGCTATTTTACAAACTTCCTTTTGAGAAGTAATTCCTCAAAATGTAAAAGGCAGAATATTAGCTTCAAAAGTACGTGGAGTATTCATTAAAATGTAAACTATTGGGCTTTACTGAAGATTTAACGGAGGCCCACAAGTCTGAATATTAACAAACATATTACATATAGCATGTGATTGTTATGCATACAAAGGTTAAGAATCATTGCCTTAACATATCTTTAGTTTAAAGCCTACCCTAATTTTATTATACTAGATAGTTTGGCAGGTAAAAACAACTAAAAAAAAAGGCCAGGTTTAGCAGATTTGTACATCATTCTCTCATAAGATGTTTAAAGCAAATCAGCCATTTACTTTCTCAAGAAAGAGAAATAGGAAGGCCTGGCATAGTAAAAAAAAGTGATTCACTAAAAGAGAAGTGCATTTATTATCTTCTCATAGCACAGACACAACTGTATGTGTGTCTGTGTATATACATGTAAAATATATACACATATGGATATAGAACAAGTGAGTTTTATAATGCAGTCTTTGCAACACAATTATATGTGGTTTTCACAATGGACCTTCCATTATCAAAATCTAGATTCTAATATTGGAGTATTTGAAAAGAACCCACGTATGATAATAATATTGAAAATGCTACTTGTAACTGAATGCAATCCTTATTAACTTTCCTTTAACTTGTGATATAATTGACATACAATTATCAGCTCATAAAACGAAAAGAACATTGCCTCAGCATGTATATTGTGAAATAAAGGGATTACGTGTCAAAAATGTGCCAGGAATAGAAGGGTTGACATCATCTACAGCTTGGTGATGAGTTTTCCTTACAGATTTCCAAAAAAGGAAAAGCAAAACTATGTTTTGGGAGGCAACATCAAATATTTTTTAGTACTTTCTTCATCTTATTGGTTGTTTTATTTTCGTAGTGATAAATTAGTGTTCAACTCCAAATATTTAATGAAAATGTTTTATGGCACATATGTGTTCATGTGGCTATATTTTTCCCCCAAAGTGTGAATAGTAGAGTATCTACATCAGAATCTTCTTTTCTTTCTTTCAAACAAGTATCTCCAACCTTACCCTAAGCCTCTCATATTAGGGCCTAGAAACCCACATTTTTAGCAAGCTTGTCAGGTGATCCTTGCGCACATTTAATTTTGAGAACCACTTCTTTGAGAATATATAATGGAATTTAAATTTAATGATGTATTTTTTCTTATTTTTGAAGTATTTTTTAATTATCTTAATGTTTTATCTAAACTCAATAAAAATTTCTCTTTACCTAAACTCAATAAACAGAAATCTAGCAAACTCATTCATGGGATATCCCACTTCACAAAAAATCATGACTAAAACTTTATAAGAATCAATTAATATTTGCCAAATAAATGAATAAACTAATTAATCAACACATGAGGAAATAAAATTCAGACGATGAGCTATGAATTCTTTGACTTGACAGAAAAATAAATCATTAAGTCTACATCATCTCTATTAAACTTGTACTCATAGGCCTAAGCAACACAGATTTATCTTAAAACCTATATATCCCACTGATACCTGCCCTTCATTTTCTCTTACTTGTCAAGGTGGGTGGGGGAAGGGGGCGGGAAGCATATTATTTATTCTCCAAAAACAGAAATGAATGGAATGTAAAATAAGTCAACAAAGTTTGAAATTTCTTGTTGTTGTTGTTGTGGTGGTGGTGGTGGTGGTGGTGGTGGTGGTATTATCTTTGTTTTGATTTTATGGATTTTTCCTGACACAGGTAGTATCACTCAAAAATTAGTTACCATCTGCATGAGTTCTTCTTCATGGAGGCCACGGTCTGTGTATGCTCAGGGGTTTGTTTTTGGCCCCATAACTCAAGAGTCTAGTTCACTGGCAATGCAGGTAGGAATCATCTGACTTGCTACTCCTCCCACGATATGTGTTTGTTCAAGTCTGTTTGAGAAATGATGTTTGCTTCCACTCAATGCCAACAGCAGTGCTGCAAGCATCTCAGCCTCTATCCACCGCCAAACAGGTGAGCAGGACTATCTATAGCACTTATCATTCGCATTAAGATGCCTGAGTCTGTGAATTATCTCTTTTACATTATGAGTTTCCTATTTAAAACTATAAAGAAATATTTTTAAGTGGTAGAAAATTCATAACATGGAAATGTTTTTAAACATTGTGACATTACTTCATGTGCTTTTTACAATTACAAATACATTTTTAGTTATTATTCTCCTTTTTCACTTAACAATATATATAGCTATTTTTCATAGCTACATTTTAAAAATAACAGTATAATGTTCCTTCAAATAAGCAAAGCATAGTTTACCTAAATTTCCCCTATTTTTAGGCATTTATCTTGCTTCCAATGTTTTACTATTATAAATTATGTTTTGATAATTACCAATTATATTTTGATGAGTATTTGTGGTGTTTTCTATATTTGGGGTTATTATCTTCGCACAGATTCCCAGTTCTGGGATTAATAAGGCAAAAGCAGAATACTTTTGTTGATTTTTTTGGAAAAGCTTACACCAGTTTATAGAACCCTAACAGAGGTAATAACATTCACTTTTTTTTCATCTTCCTTGTCAAAATTGGAAATACTTTGTCGTTTTTGCTAATTAAGTGAAGTCCCTTTGCTGCTACAGTAATCTTCAGTACTTTGTTATTTTGTTCCCAAAGCACATTTATTGTAAAGCTTCTTGAAAGCTGGAACCAGGGAAGAACTGATGCACAAAACAATTGCAACCAGCCAGGGAAGAACGCCTGAGACTGGGACATAATGCAGAAAAAGGAAAAGGCCAACTGAGTGAAAACAGAATGGGTTCAGGGTAGGGAAGAGCTCTACAGGGGAGGTCACAGGGCTGGGACTGGAGAATAAGAATGAGAACTCATAATTGTTGAACGCCTACTGTGTGCCAGCAACTATGCTAGATAATTCACATTATATTATTTAATCCTTGCAATAGTCCTGTATGCTAGTATACTGGGTTAAATAGTATCCTCTTAAGATTACATGTCTATCCAGAACCTCAGAATGTGAACCTATTTGGAAATAGAGTCTTTGTGGATGTAATTAGTTAAGATGTGACCACATTAGATTAGAGTGGACCATAAATCCAATGACTAATGTCCTTATAAAAGGCCATGTGAAGACACACACAAAGAAGATCATGTAATAATAGAGTTAGAGAGTGGACTGGTGCAGCTATAAACCTAGGAACCTCAAGAACTGCTGGCAACTACCAGAAACTAGAAAGAGGCAGGAAAGGATCTTTCTCTAGAGCCTTCAAAAGGAGCAGGGTCCTGCTGACTGTTTGATTTTAGACTTCTAGCCCCCAGAACTATGAAAGAATACATTTCTGTCATTTTAAGCCACCCAGTTGGTGATAATGTGTGATGGCATCCTTAGGAAACTAATACAACTAAGTATTTAGTCATGGTCTTCAAATGAAAATACACTTCAGAGAGACTCAATAACCTCTAAGGATATGTAAGTGGCAGAACCAGGATTCAAACTAAAGCAGCCTGACTCCAACTGTGTTCTTTCTTTCACATTTTGCTGTTTCATAGGAACCTTTGTAACCATAAAGCATTTACTGCCAATGTTCACAGCAAGTCAATACACTGAGACACCAGGTAGAGCAGAGAAAGAGGTTTAATCATAGGGCTACCAAACAAGGAAAGAGGAGGAAACTTCAAACATGTCACCCCAGGGAGTTTAGGGCCAAGGATTTTAAAGGTTTTGGGTTGAACCAAAGGGTGGCAATCATTGATGAATCAGAATGCAGGGTGAAGTCAAGGGACAGAGAGATGAAGAAATTGCATTCTCCAGATGATGGAGACCACCAGGATCAGTTCCTCTGTGGGGGTCTTCACTGGTTAGCATTTACTGTTCTGCTGGAATTTGTCACCAGAAAAACATCTTAATTCTTAAACAAATGCCTTATAATTTTAACCTCAGAAATCCATCCTGTAGGAACAATGGGGATGCAAATGGTCAATATGTGACTTTTAGTTACAAGGAAGTGGACCAAAGTGCAGCCTGATTCATCTTTAATTTATTTTTAATTATACTTTACGTTCTAGGGTGCACGTGCACAACATGCAGGTTTGTTACATAGGTACACGTGTGCCAAGTTGGTTTGCTGCACCCATTAACTCGTCATTTACATTGTGCATTTCTCCTAATGCTATCCCTCCCCCAGCCCCTCATCCCCCAAATGGCCCCAGTGTGTGATGTTCACCGCTCTGTGTCCAGCTGTTCTCATTGTTCAATTCCCACCTATGAGTGAGAACAAGCGGTGTTTGGTTTTCTGTCTTGTGATAGTTTGCTGAGAATGATAGTTTCCAGCTTCATCTATGTCCCTGCAAAGAACATGAACTCATCCTTTTTTATGGCTGCATAGTATTCCATGGTGTATATGTGCCACATTTTCTTAATCCAGTCTACCATTGATGGACATTTGGGTTGGTTCCAACCACAATAAACATACGTGTGCATGTGTCTTTATAGTAGCATGATTTATAATCCTTTGGGTATATACCCAGTAATGGGATCACCGGGTCAATTTGGTATTTCTAGTTCTAGATCCTTGAGGAATCACCACACTGTCTTCCACAATGGTTGAACTAGTTTACACTCCCATCAACAGTGTAAGAACATTCCTATTTCTCCACATCCTCTCCAGCATCTGTTGTTTCCTGACTTTTTAATGATTGCCATTCTAACTGGTGTGAGATGGTATCTCACTGTGGTTTTGATTTACATTTCTCTGATGGCCAGTGATGATGAGCATTTTTTCATGTGTCTTTTGGCTGCATAAATGTCTTCTTTGGAGAAGTGTCTGTTCATATGCTTTGCCCACTTTTTGATGGGGTTGTTTGTTTTTTTCTTGTAAATTTGTTTAAGTTATTTGTAGATTCTGAATATTAGCCCTTTGTCAGATGGGTAGATTGCAGAAATTTACTCCCATTCTGTAGGTTTCCTGTTCACTCTGACGGTAGCTTCTTTTTCTGGCAGAAGCTCTTTAGTATAATTAGGTTACCATTTTGGCTTTTGTTGCCATTGCTTTTGGTGTTTTAGTCATGAAGTCCTTCCCATGCCTATGACCTGACTGGTATTACCTAGGTTTTCTTCTAGGGTTTTTATGGTTTTAGGTCTAACATTTAAGTCTTTAATCCATCTTGAATTAATTTTTGTGTAAGGTATAAAGAAGGGATCTAGTTTCAGCTCTCTACATATGCCTAGCAAGTTTCCCAGAACCATTTATTAAATAGAAAATCCTTTCCCCATTTCTTGTTTTTGTCAGGTTTGTCAAAGATCAGATTGTTGTAGATGCATGGTGTTATTTCTGAGGCCTCTGTTCTCTTCCATTGTCTATATATCTGCTTTGGTACCAGTACCATGCTGTTTTGGTTACTGTAGCCTTGTAGTATAGTTTGAAGTCAGGTAGTGTGAAGTCTCCAGCTTTGTTCTTTTTGCTTAGGATTGTCTTGGCAATCCAGGCTCTTTTTTGGTTCCATATGAACTTTAAAGTAGCTTTTTCCAATTCTGTGAAGAAAGTCATCAGTAGCTTGATGGGGACGGCATTGAATCTATAAATTACCTTGGGAGGTATGGCTATTTTCATGATACTGATTCTTCCTATCCATTAGCATGGAATGATCTTCCATTTGTTTGTGTCCTCCTTTATTTCTATGAGCAGTGGCTTGTAGTCCTCCTCAAAGAGGTCCTTCACATTCCTTGTAAGTTGGATTCCTAGGTATTTTACTCTCTTTGTAGCAATTGTGAATGGGAGTTCACTCATTATTTGGCTCTCTGTTTGTCTGTTATTTGTATATATGAATGCTTGTGTTTTTTTGGACATGATTTTGTATCCTGAGACTTTGCTGAAGTTGCTTATAAGCTTAAGGAGATTTTGGGCTGAGATGATGGGATTTTCTAAATATACAATTATGTCATCTGCAAACAAGGACAATTTGACTTCCTCTTTTCCTAATTGAATACTCTTTATTTCTTTCTCCTGCCTGATTGCCCCAGCCAGAACTTCCAACACTATGTTGAATAGGAGTGGTGAGAGAAGACATCCCTGTCTTGTGGCAGTTTTCAAAGGAAATGCTTCCAGTTTTTGCCCATTCATTATGATATTGGCTGTGGGTTTGTCATAAATAGCTCTCATTATTTTGAGATACGTTCCATCAATACCTAGTTTATTGAGATATTTTAGCATAAAGGGCTGTTGAATTTTGTTGAAGGCCTTTTCTGCATCTATTGAGATAATCATGTGGTTTTTGTCATTGATTCTGTTTATATGATGGATTACATTTATTGATTTGCTTATGTTGAACCAGCTTTGCATCCCAGGGATGAAGCCAAGTTGATCATGGTGGATAAGCTTTTTCATGTGTTGCTGGATTCGGTTTGTCAGTCTTTTGTTGAGGATTTCTCATCGATGTTCATCAGGGATATTGGTCTAAAATTCTCTTTTTTTGTGGTGTCTCTGCCAGGCTTTGGTATCAGGATGATGCTGGCCTCATAAAATGAGTTAGGGAGGATTCCCTCTTTTTCTATTCATTGGAATAGTATCAGAAGGAATGATACCAGCTCCACTTTGTACCTCTGGTAGAATTCGGCTGTGAATCCATCTTGTCCTGGACTTTTTTTGGTTCTTAGGCTATTGATTATTGCCTCAATTTCAGAGCCTGTTATTGGTCTATTCAGAGATTCAACTTCTTCCTGGTTTAGCCTTGGGAGGGTGTACATATCCAGGAATTTATCCATTTCTTCTAGATTTTCTAGTTTATTTGCATAGAGGTGTTTATAGTATTCTCTGATGGTAGTTTGTGTTTCTGTGGGTTCGGTGGTGATAACCCCTTTATCATTGTTTATAGCATCTGTTTGATTTCTCTCTCTTTTCTTCTTTATTAGTCTTGCTAGCAGTCTATCAGTTGGCTTGATCTTTTCAAAAAAACAGGTCCTGGATTCATTGATCTTTTGAAGGGTTTTTGTGTCTCTATCTCCTTCAGTTCTGCTCTGATCTTAGTTATTTCTTGCCTTCTGCTAGCTTTTGAATGTGTTTGCTCTTGCTTCTCTAGTTCTTTTAATTGTGATGTTAGGGTGTCAACTTTAGATCTTTCCTACTTTCTCTTGTGGGCATTTAGTGCTATAAATTTCCCTCTACACACTGCTTTAAATGTGTCCCAGAGATTCTGGTATGTTGTGTCTTTGTTCTCACTGATTTCAAAGAACGTCTTTATTTCTACCTTCATTTTGTTATTTACCCAGTAGTCATTCAGGAGCAGGTTGTTCAGTTTTCATGTAGTTGTGCGGTTTTGAGTGAGTTTCTTAATCTTGAGTTCTAATTTGATTGCACTGTGGTCTGATACACTGTTTGTTGTGATTTCTGTTGTTGTTTTACATTTGCTGAGGAATGCTTTACTTCCAACTCTGAGGTCAATTTTGGAATAAGTGTGATGTGTTTCTGAGAAGAATGTATATTCTGTTGATTTGGGGCAGAGAGTTCTTTAGATGTCTATTAGGTCCACTTGGTCCTGGATATCCTCGTTAACCTTTTGCCTCATTGATCTGTCCAATATTGACAGTTGGGGTATTAAAGTCTCCCATTATTATTGTGTGGGAGTCTAAGTCTCTTTGTAGGTCTCTAGGGACTTGCTTTATCAATCTGGGTTCTCCTGTATTGGGTGCATATATATTTAGGATAGTTAGCTCTTCTTGTTGAATTGATCCCTTTACCATTATGTAATGGCCTTCTTTGTCTCTTTTGATCTTTGTTGTTTTAAAGTCTATTTTATCAGAGACTAGAATTGCAACCCCAGCTTGTTTTTGCTTTCCATTTGCTTGGTAGATCTTCCTCCATCCCTTTATTTTGAGCCTATGTGTGTCTCTGGATGTGAGATGGGTCTCCTGTATACAGCACACTGATGGTTCTTGACTCTTTATCCAATTTGCCAGTCTGTGTCTTTTAATTGGGGCATTTAGCCCATTTACATTTAAGGTTAATATTGTTATGTGTGAATTTGATACTGACATTATGATGTTACCTGATTATTTTGCCCATTAGTTAATGCAGCTTCTTCCTAGCATCTATGGTCTTTACAATTTGGAATATTTTTGCAGTGGCTGGTACCAGTTGTTCCTTTCTATGTTTAGTACTTCCTTCAGGAACTCTTGTAAGGCAGGCCTGATGGTGACAAAATCTCTCAGCATTTGCTTGTCTATAAAGGATTTTATTTCTCCTTCACTTATGAAGCTTAGATTGGTTGGATATGAAATTCTGGGTTGAAAATTCTTTTCTTTAAGAATGTTGAATATTGGCCCCCACTCTCTAACGGCTTGTAGAGTTTCTGCTGAGAGATCCGCTGTTAGTCTGATGGGCTTCCCTTTGTGGGTTACCCGACTTTTCTCTCTGGCTGCCCTTAACATTTTTTCCTCTTTTCAACCTTGGTGAATCTGACAATTATGCGTCTTTGGGTTGCTCTTCTCAAGGAGTATCTTTGGGGTGTTCTCTGTATTTCCTGAATTTGAATGTTGGCCTGTCTTGCTAGGTTGGGGAAGTTCTCCTGGATAATATCCTGAAGAGTGTTTTCCAACTTAATTTCATTGTCCTGTCACTCAGGTACACCAATCAAATGTAGATTTTGTCCTTTCACATAGTCCCGTATTGCTTGGAGGCTTTGTTTGTTTCTTTTTACTCTTTTTTCTCTAATCTTCTTTTCTCACTTTATTTCATTAATTTGATCTTCAATCACTGGTACCCTTTCTTCCACTTGATCAAATCAGCTACTGAAGCTTCTGCATGTGTCACGTAGTTCTCATGCCATGGTTTTTAGCTCTATCAGGTCATTTAAGGTCTTCTCTACACTGTTTATTCTAGTTAGCCTTTTATCTAATCTTTTTTCAAGGTTTTCAGCTTCCTTGCGATGGGTTTGAACATCTTCCTTTAGCTCGGAGAAGTTTGTTATTACCGACCTTCTGAAGCCTACTTCTGTCAACTTGTCAAAGTCATTCTCCATCCAGTTTTGTTCCCTTGCTGGCAAGGAGCAGCAGTCCTTTGGAGGAGAAGAGCTGCTCTGCATTTTTGGAATGCTCAGCTTTTCTGCTCTGGTTTCTCCCCATCTTTGTGGTTTTATCTACCTTTGGTCTTTGATGTTGGTGACCTACAGATGGGGTTTTGGTGTGGATATCCTTTTTGTTGATGTTGATGCTATTCCTTTCAGTTTGTTAGTTTTCCTTCTAACAGTCAGGTCCCTCAGCTGCAGGTCTTTTGGAGTTTGCTGGAGGTCCATTCCAGACCCTGTTTGCCTGGATATCACCAGCGGAGGCTGCAGAACAACAAATATTGCAGAACAGCAAACATTGCTGCCTGATCCTTCCTCTGGAAGCTTCATCCCCGAGGGGCACCCACCTGTATGAGGTGTCAGTTGGCCCCTACTGGGAGGTGTCTCCCAGTTAGGCTACACAGGGGTCAGGGACCCACTTGAGGAGGAAGTCTGTCCATTCTCAAAACTCAAATGCCATCCTGGGAGAACCACTGCTCTCTTCAGAGCTGTCAGACAGGGACTTTTAAGTCTGCAGAAGTTTCTACTGCCTTTTGTTCAGCTATGCCCTGCATCCAGAGGTGGAGTCAACAGAGGAAGAAGGCCTTGCTGAGCTGCAGTGGGCTCCACCCAGTTCGAGCTTCCCAGGCTGCTTTGTTTACCTACTCAAGCCTCAGCAATGGCAGATGCCCCTCCCCCTGCCAGGCTGCTGCCTTGCAGGTCGATCTCAGACTGCTGCGCTAGTAGTGAGCAAGGCTCTGTGGCTGTGGGACCCACTGAGCCAGGTGCAGGATATAATCTCCTGGTGTGCCATTTGCTAAAACCATTGGAAAAGTGCAGTATTTAGGCAGGAATGTCCCATTTTTCCAGGTACAGTCTGTCATGGCTTCCCTTGGCTAGGAAAGGGAAATCCCCCAACCTTTTGAGCTTCCCAGCTGAGGCGATGCCCCGCCCTGCTTCGGCTCATCCTCCATGGGCTGCACCCACTGTCAAACCAGTCCCAATGAGATGAACTAGGTACCTCAGTTGGTAATGCAGAAATCACCCATCTTCTGCGTTGATCACACTGGGAGCTGCAGACCAGAGCTGTTCCTATATGGCCATCTTGGAACAGACCCCTCATCCTTAATTGTAAAATTCTTAACTCTGTGAAGATGGATTCAGCTTTAGTTCTAAGCCTGATTTTGCCACCAATTCTCTGTGTGACCTTGAGAATTTCATGTAATCTCTTTTTGACCTTAGTTCCCTGTGTGTAAAACAAAATTACTTGATAAGGTGATTTCTGAGGTCCTTCTTCCTCTACAACATTCTGCAGGCAATCCTGGGAGCACTCCTAAGGGGGGATGTTCAAGAACCCTGGAGAATCTTTGCTGGCAACTCCATTCAAGGCATTTTCAATGCCTTACCTGCACCTACATAATTCAGGTCCACAATAGGTATGTGGAAAAAGACATAGAAGAAAGAAATAAGGCTTGAGATCCTTAATATCATGGTGTCTAAATCTGCTGTTATCAAGGCTAGGTCATATCATATTAAAGAAATAACTTAAGATAAAATCACCATGCTCAGAGTGGAATACCCTGCAACCAAATTTTTCCCCTATACCTGACTTCAGTAACTGGTTTTGCCAATATAATGCCATTCCTACACCAAGATTCACAGTATGTCTTCATGCTGTGGTGGTTATAAACACCTCATACTGGACTTACTATGCCTTTATAAATTGTAAGTAAAGGCCAGCATGAATAATTTTACTTCCTCTGAATAAACCATTAATAACATCTCTGTATTTTCAATGAGAAATAAAATAATGGCAATAATAGCTTCCAATTACACAGTGTTTGTCATGCACCAGGTGATAAATAAGCACTATACATACTAATCTCATTCAAGCCTCAGAACTCTGGGCACTATAGTTGTTGCTATTATTCTCATTTTTTTCTGGAAACTATTTGAGAACCAAGAAGTTCAAAGTTACTTATTCATTTAACATACATTTATTAAATATATCTATGTACCAGGTGCTAGGGATAAAAAGAACAAACATGACATAGTCACTCAATAATAACAATTTTGATTAAATATATAACTACAGAGAGAAGAATCTGGAACAGTGTATCACAAAATGTTACGAGCTATGGATGACTTTTATTTTCTCTCTTATTCTTCCATTTTCCTACACGAATATTGATTACCTCTGTAATCACAAAAGAAAATAATTTTTTACAAGGCAACAGCTTCACCTTCAAGGGACTTGCAATATAATGAGGGAGCCAATTTATCAACAACCATAACTTACTTGGTCTCATAGAGCTCATTAGCAATGAGGCCAGATTTGAACCTAGGGCTGTCAGAATTCCAAATTCCATTTTATCTTCCCCACCCCATACTGTCTCTGGCAAAAATATTCATTTGCCTGGAGGTGTGCTTACATTTGTTTTCCTTTATTGAAGTTAAGTTATAGACGTCAGAGGGAAGTGCCAACAATGCAATCTGAAGGACTTGCCATTTATGGGCTCACTCAAGGCTGATGGTGGCCCTCTCTCTTTCCCTTCTCCACCCACAGATCTTCATCTCAAAGAAAATGTGGAGGTGGTGAGCAATTTATCTGATACCCTGGCCCCGTAAATAGGTGCTTCAGATGCAATTAAGAGCTTCTAAAATATTCATCACACAAATTATATTTTACCTGCCCATCACTTAAATCCGAAATATGATACATATTCCTTAATGATAATTATATCATCCTAACCAGCCTAAGACTACAGCTGGCAGAAGAACGTTCAAAAGGAAATGCCAAACTCTTTCTCCTTCTCTAATTTCTTCACTTGCAAAACATATATTTATTGAGATCCTAATATGTCCAAATCTGTCTTTCTTAAATACTCACTAAGTCACAGGATGTGAGTTTTGATATATGTCCACCTATGTTTGATTTGCTTTCTGGTCCTACTGCAATAGACTCATGGGGATTTTCAGAATTATTTTGATTTTTCTAATTTATTAATGTTTTTAGTCTCCTGTCTGTTGGAAGCAGCCCCCCCAAAATCTGGCCATAAACTGGCCCCAAAACTGGCCATAAACAAAATCTCTGCAGCACTGTAACATGTTCATAATGGCCATAAAGCCCACGCTGGAAGGTTGTGGGTTTACCAGAATGAGGGCAAGGAACACCTGGCCCGCCCAGGGCAGAAAACCGCTTAAAGGCATTCTTAAGTCACAAACAATAGCATGAGTGATCTGTGCCTTAAGGACATGCTCCTGCTGCAGTTAACTAGCCCAACCAATTCCTTTAATTCAGTCCATCCCTTCGTTTCCCATAAGGGATACTTTTAGTTAATTTAATATCTATAGAAACAATGCGAATCACTGGCTTGCTGTTAATAAATATGTGGGTAAATCTCTGTTCAGGGCTCTCAGCTCTGAAAGCTGTGAGACCCTTGATTTCCCACTTCACACCTCTATATTTCTGTGTGTGTGTAATTCCTCTAGCACCCCTGGGTTAGGGTCTCCCTGACCGAGCTGGTCTTGGCACCTGTCTTAGAATCAGGTCAGAGATTATGATGAATATGTCTATATTCCTGACAGTCCTTGTTATAGTACTAAGCACAGAGTGAGTAATGGATAAACGCTGACCAGCAGAGTAATTTATTGTTGTAATTAGGCTTAAGGGATCTTTTGCTAAATCTCAAAAATGATACAGAATCATCATTTGCCCATTATAAACTACGCAATGATTAACTCTTAATCTTACATTTATTCAGTGGAAAATTCTCCCAAATTCCCTGCTTTACCTTTCTGATATCTCTGCCATCTCCTTCCTCTGCTTGATGCAGAGTGGAATTCTTAACTGCTTAGTTTTTGTAAAAAGCAACTAAAGCATGGACAGGAAGCTGAGTCCATTTTGGACTATACTATTTCCCTGTCCTCCTGTAACATTTTTCTTTTCGTATTCAGTTCAGTTTCTGTGTAAAATATTGTTTGACATTGAAACTCTGTCAATTAGGGTCATTTGCTGCTCAAAAATAAGAAGCAATGCAGGAGTCTAAGAAGGGCCCATGTAATTTAGAAGGTCACAAAGTGACTTGAGCTCACATCATTACACCACAACATGACTCCCTCTGTACAATGAGTTCTTCCTTCTGCAGTCACAAAAAAAAGGAAGGAAGGAAAGAAGAAAGGAAGGAAGGAAGGAAGGAAGGAAGGAAGGAAGGAAGGAAGGAAGGAAGGAGGGGCAAAAAGTAAAGATTATTAAAAAGGAGAGTAAAAGGAAAGAGAAGTATAAGAAAACAAAATGGGATTTTTTTGAATTCTGTCTCCAAATGGAGCTTTTCCCTGACCAAGGGATTAAGAAATTGGCAAATGGTAAACAGATTTGATTTTCTGGTATCTTCTGTTATCACCATGACTTCAGAGAGACAGCACATGCTGGGGAAATTGAGCAGGAACCCACGAAAACGGTTTTATTACTTTCCATGAGGGATGTACTCAGGGTTATTTTTTCTATTCATAAATTGGATTATTTCAAATGTTAAATAACTTGGATGAAGAATAGAAATGACAGCCACTGGACAAAATGATAGTATTGTGCTACTGGCTGAGACCAATGGTGAATGTAAACTAAAATATATTTTAAAGCAGCTATTTAAATCACAGTCATTTTCAAAGGCAAGCACTACATTGAAATACACATACACTTGTCCTTCAGTTTCCACAAGGGATTGGTTTTAGGACACCCTCACTCCCACCCCATCCAACAAATACCAAAATCTGAGAATGCTCAAGTCCCTGATATAAAATAGTATAGTATTTGCATATAACCTATGTACATCCTACCACTTTAAATCATCTCTAGATTACTTATAATATCTAAAACAATGTAAATGCTATGTCAATAGTTGTTTTACTGTATTGTTTAGGACATCGTGACAAAAAATAGTCTGCACATGTTTAAAACAAATACAATTTTTATTTCTAATATTTTCAATCCTCAGTTGGTTGAACCTACAGTTGATTGAACCCATAGATTCTGATACATATATATATAGAGAGAGAGAGCAAGGTCTCACTCTGTCACCCAGGCTGGAGTGCAGTGGTGCCATCATGGCTCACTGTAGCCTCAAACTTCTGGGCTCAAGCGAATCTCCCACCTCAGCCTCCCAAGTAGCTAGGACTACAGGTGTGTGCCACCACACCTGGCTATTTTTTTTAGTTTTTAAAAATGTTTTGTAAGGACAGGATCCCACTATGTTGCTCAGTCTGGTCTCAAACTCCTAGGCTCAAGTGATCCTCTTGTCTTGGCCTCCCAAAGTACTGGGATTATAGGCCTGAGCCACCTTGCCTGGCCATATTTTTAAAGCTCACATGTAGAATTTCATATTTAAAAATGTCCTTCAGAGAATTCAGCTGAAAATAATGCTAAAGAGAGTTTGAGGTGATAGCATCTAAAAACCAAAGTCCAAAACAGAAACATACCTACTGGCAGCCATGGCTTTTCCCCAGTCCATCTCAACCTATTCATTTCATGAGCAACTTTTCTCAATTCAGCTCATTTTTGCATGCCTCACACCCCTAACCCTCATCTGTTGCTATAAATCCTTATTGGCAGCCTCAAACCATAAATCTGCCCTAGGCTTGGGCCTTTTCTCCTTTAACGATGCCAGCCCCATCAAGCCTATTGTCTAGTGCTAACATAATATCACCCTAATATTGAGTGTTACTCCCAAAATACTATATTCCAGACTCATAATTCTGCCCATTCAGGCTTCCAAATTATGTAAAATTAACTTATCATTGATTTATCATGTGTGAAATTTAAAAATCTTCTATGGTTGGAATTTCCTTAGCAAAAATGGTAATAGTAGCTAGCTAACTTTCACTGAGTACTTAAGTGGTGTCAGAAGCAGTTCCTATGTATAATAATATCTCATTTTATCCTCACAAAACTCCATAAGGGTGACACTCATATTATGCCATACTTTGCAATTATTCAAGGGCCTAGAGTAGCTAAGTGGCTGTTAGGACTGGCAAAGCTGAATTTCAAACGCAGTCAGCTGTCCTCTGGGGACCCACCTCTGACTCACCATGTTAGACTGCCTTGCATAACTGATAGACAGCTGAATAACCAACAAATTTCTGACACCAATGCAAGGCCTGACCACAGAAAGCAGTACATAGTAAGCAAATCAACTAAAAATGATTATTTTCCTGGCATTTTCTTTAAATTATACATTTTCCCCCTTTGAGTTATAAACTAATGAATTAATATACAACTTCAAAGAATGCCCCAATTATTTCTTTTCCAGGTCCCAATCAAAAAGTGTTACAAACTTCTAGAGCTTTATGAAAGGTATCATGAGGCCTCTCAATAATTGTTTTGAGAATACAATGATTTTCTACTAGCACTGATACATAGCCAGCAAAGTACAAAAGAGTTGATGCACTAGAGTGAGCTTTTAAAGCCATAAATCAGAGAGCCTCAGTTCCATGTTGGAAATTCACAAGGCTTCCCAGTCAGCAGAGATTGAAGCCCCCCACCACTATCCAGCCCCAGACACTGTCTTATTTCATTTCCTCCACACTCTCCTCCCGCCCCAGGTCTTCCTTAGGTTACCTCTCGAACTTAATGCAAGTTTCTACTTAATCACTTTTTCTCATATCTCTCTCTCTACCTGAAATTGTATTTTATGTTCACCTGTTTCCCTGTTTTTCTCTCCCTCCAGCATACTTCATGAGGTCTAACCCTTGATTCTTTTACTACAGTAACCCTAGGCCCTAATAAATATCTGTTGACACAAAATAAATACATATGGAATGTTTGACTCATTCAGGACCCAGAAATGTATAGAATACACCTTAGCTGATGATCTGGAGAAAAAATTCACTTTACCCTTGTATCCCCTTGCCCATCTCAATACGTTAGTGGTCAATTATATTCTAATTCCACACCAAGGGGCTAGAAGGTAAAAATCAAACCGTTCCCTTCCACTCTTGGTTATTTGGCTCCTTTCTTTTTCTGTAGTTGTCAGCACTTGGAAAATGACTTTCTTCCTTTAGGCCCAGCCAGGTTATAATAACCTCAAATCTTGACATTTTTTTCACAGCAAAAGCCCTATGGAGTTGAAATGCTGAAAGAGCATTTCACACACACATGCACACACACATACACATGGTTACACATGCAGTGAAAACCTGCTAGAAAACACCTACCCAGGGCACCAGGGTTAAGTAGAAGGAGACATCAGAAAATATATCACAATCCCATATGCTATCTTACAACTGAAAAATAAGAACTGTGATTCCACAACAGATAAAATGAAAATGTCACTGCCATTAGAGAAATAATTTTTACCAAGCTGCACCTATCTGTCTTCAAATCTAGTGCAAACCCAGAAAAAGCCACAGATGCAATCAATAGAACCACTCATGACAAAACTGGCAAGTAAAGGGAATGTGGTAGTTCCAAGAACTTACATACCCAAGCCTTGCCTGAACATGTTCTAACAGTCAATGATAACTGCATATTCCAAACCCTGATTTTATCTTCAAGGAAACTTGTATTACCCATATAAATTGAGCTGGAAACTGTAAAATATAGATAATTGTAAAGATAAAGTTCTTAAAGTGTCTTAATTTCCACTTTCCCAGGCAACATGCGCTTTGTCTAGAAAACTTAGTGCCTCTCTCTCTCTTGCAGGTCATCTGGCACAGACTATTAAATGACTAGCACTTCCCGTTCTCAGGGTGATGTATCTGCTTCCTGATGGTGTTGGCTCTGACTATCTTCCTACTTCCACCCAGTGGCTCCAGCTGTGGCTGCCAAGAAAACCCCAGCTGATGGAGGATGAGAGGTGAAATCAGGACACACAAAGACCTGTTACCATCATCTTTCACCTGGATTCTCCTAAAGCAACAGCTGCTCATCTCATCACTCTGAGTTACTAATCCTTCTTTCTGAGACAAAAGCCCAAAAGGCAAATGGGAAATGACTTGTCAGATGACATCACCAATAATTGAACATAAAGCAGACTCAAATTAGGACAAAATCTTTTGTATTTACTCAGTTTATATCAGTAATATGATTATCTCAAAGTTCTAACAAAGCAGTCTGCCACAAGGGGTAACAAAAAACATAGTCACTGATTTGTCCCAGAGCATCTCCAGCTGGGACAACTTATTCTACCATCTCTGCTCTGCCCAGACGACCACACACATTGCCTTGCCTAGGGAAAGGGGCAGGGAAATGATGCAGGCTTTACTGTTCCATTGACCCTTGCAGCTAATCCAAAGGGACATAAAAATCTCTCATTTCAGACTTTTATGACATAGCGTAGCCCTCCCTGGAGATAAGTAGGAACACTGGTCTCCCGTCCCCACTTGCCCTTTGGGAAAGATCATCACATCAGCCAGGCAGAGAACAGCCCCAGCTGACCCAATGTACTTTCTCTTTAGCCTCTCAACCCTTCTTCCTTTGGTTGTTCATGACAACCTGAGTTTTCAGGGAATTTCAAATTGATGATGACAAGCTGTTTGTCCTGTCTCAATCTGCTGAAGATGTTTAAAATAAGGAGCTATAGTGAACAGAGAGTTGAAAAAAAAATTCTTTGGGGTGGATGACACATTGACCCAAACCATTCTGATCACACACAACTCTAAGCTCCTATTTGGTGGATGACATTAAATGCTGAAAAGGTTTGGAGTGCACATATATTAGCTACTTTTCACAGCCTGTGTACAAAAAGTCCCATGCCCTACTCTGCCATACATGTTGACTGACTAGCTTCATTAGCAAGGAAGAACAAAATAGTCAATGCAATCTTTTTCTGTGAGTTCAGTGAAGTCCTAGATCTCCTTTTGGTGTCAAACCATCACCTTCCATGAAAGGTTTTTGTGAGGTGGACACAATTTTCAGAAGGTAGGGTCCAGGTTCTCTGACATTAGTGTTAACCTACTTGAAATCTTCCTACTTAATGGCTAGACACAGTATTACTTAGGAATTAAGCTTCAAGCAACATTCTTAAAGAACAGGTTATAGAATTTATTATTTGTTAGAATTTCTTTATGCAAAAGTGGGAAGTATCTTTAAAAATATTTTAGCCAAACTACATGTCTTGAATAACTTTAATGTTATCAATGTGAGCCTGTTTCTAGTATCCATCATGTTACCTAGCCACAAATGTCACAAATTAAAGAAATATATCTGACATTCATTATGCTAACCAACTGTCTGGTGTTGATCCTCGTATGGATAGCTGAAATGCTTTTGGTAGCCAACTTGGGAAGATGGCTTTTCTGATATAATGCTTGCGATCCACCTATTCTCCCTTAGGGCACTTGACAATTTTAAGAGTCAAAGTGCTAGCTAACTAGAAATTATATAATATCACATTGTTCCAGGATGCAATATTTAAAATTAAATAACCTGCATCATAGCTAGATCTGGAAGAATAGAGTTTCAATCATCAATTGTTAGCAAGAATTATTTTTAAAGTAACTCAACTCTTCTCCTCATTCAGTTGTTAGACATGAAAGAAAGTAAGGTGAAAGCTCAGAGATTTCTGCCTTTGGCCCAAGGAGCAGAGCCTACAAAAATACATATATAAGGTCTTCTTGCTACTAGGGAGTGAGGTCAGAGCAATGAAATAGCATGGGTGTGTGCATGCATGCATGCTGTGTGTGTGTGTGTCCTTTGCCCAGAGGTAAATATTTTCTTTTGATTTTTATTGCGCTTTGTTCCCTGTATTGGTTGAGTTTAACTTCCAACCTCCACTCCACCCCATAGTAGAAGAATTCTTCTTGGAAAAGGATGCCTGAAATAAGGCAAAATTATTGAAGTTAAATATAGGTCCAAGAGACTCTAGCACTTAGAATTGCAGAAGCTTCCATTTAAAGCTGCTTCATCCTTTTGATTCAAAGCCAGAAAAAAGACATTCAGTAGGACTAACAACTGTTCATGAATGTACTGTTAAGCTAATTACTTAATGCTAAAATTATTTAAAAGGCATTACTTGGAAATGTTTACAGTATGTGATTTGATTAACAAAACTATTAAGGGTATGCTTACTATCATCAATAATTTTTACTATACATTTATTTGTATTGGGAATACATTACTTGTTCCCTTAGAATTCTGACAAATATAATCTTAGCTTCAATTCGGAGAAGTTGTTCTGCTGGAGATAAATTTGATTGATTTTTATTGCTCCTGGAGGCAAAACTTAATGAGTGGAAACAACCTGAGAATCTTTCTCACCATCAGAGCTGTCCAACAGTGGAGTGTAATTTTTTGAAACACATAATTCTCTCTTTTTCCTGTATTTCCAGTTGCTTTATGCTCCTGCATTACTTTTCTTCCTGGTCCACTGACATTTCTCCACCTCCATTTCCAAACATAAATCCATAAACACAAACCCATGCAACCCTCTCTATGTATCATCCCGAATATATATACATCTTGACTTCTTCTGAGTTAAGATTCTAAAGGAAATTTTAATAATAAATGAAGTGTGTAGCAGAAGAAGAGGGAGAGAATAAAGCACAGGGATACGATAAGAGACCCAGTTGTGAAACATAATTGGTCTGTAAACTGAAGAAAGTCGTTTTTCAGGGTCCAGTTGGGGCCTCAAAGCCTCCTTAATTCTGTTTCCTAATTGAACCACCAAGACCATCATTTCTGACTCTGATCCACTTTGCCCTCTGCAAATCCTGTTCTTACTTTTACCCCCAGAGATTCTCTCTCTGAATTGTGAATACCATAGAATTACCCCTTTTCTCTCCCTTGAAGATCACTATTACTGGACCCCTGGAGTGCCTTGTCATGCTTATTTCCTGAGACAAGTACTAGGGCAAGTGTTGACTGATATCTTTTACGAAAGTTAAACTATTTTGTCCACTGACATTTACCCTTGATAGCAGATGCCACACTTCTCAAAGTCTGTCTACTCATCAAGT
This sequence comes from Homo sapiens, assembly GCF_000001405.40. Lineage (NCBI taxonomy): Eukaryota > Metazoa > Chordata > Mammalia > Primates > Hominidae > Homo > Homo sapiens. The sequence continues at coordinate 40,433,186 of NC_000005.10, forward strand.
CTCTTCCTATTTTGAAGGCTACCTTCCCTTTTGAGCTGTCTCTTTTTTCCACTGGTGGTTACTTCCAACACAGCTCACTCAAGAATTGGAGGTAATTGGCATCACTTAAACCAAGTCAATTAAGCCCAGATTGACCCAGGGTGGTAACTGTCAACTTCTCCAGGTTCTCTTTAGGTAACTCAAATTTTGGCAATTTTCAAGGTGGTAGTTTACCAAACTCTTATTTCTATAGTGTTGGGATAGTAAAATACTTGGTAATGTGTTGAGTGAGAGACACATTCTCTTCCCCTAAAGGAAGAAGGAAATTTCATTATTTCACTTAAAGGTGCCTTTCAATGTGACATAATTAAGTGATTAAAAAGCACAGCCTTTGTCTAGATAAGAAGCTTTAAGCACAGGTAGCATGAAATCAATGCAAAAAATCTAAAATATGTATTCAAAAACTGTGTTCTAAGAAATATTTAGAATATGTGACCCCTGAGCCTGTGCAAAATGGGTTGTAGGGAAACTGGAAAGTCAAGGAAAAAGGTCTTCTTGGAGGTTCTAAGCTATGACCCTTAATTCCCATGATGTATGTCAGAAAGTACTCATAGGAAAATAGACACAAAAAGTGAAGACTAGGACAAACTCAGCCTAATGAGACCTTTTCAAACTAAACTCATTTTCTGAAAGGAAAGCTAGAACAGCTCTTGCTGTGTGGGGAATTTCTAGTCATTCCCCTTACTGCTGAAAGTTATAGAGAAAAGAAAGGAAACTGGGACACTCTATAGCAATGGTCCACTAATAGAATTAAGAAATTTGGAGAGTAAACAACATATAAAGCCTGGAAGAAGTTGGTTCAACATACACATCTACCACAATGGCACCCAACCAGCAGTCTCAAGCAGCAAAGATGTCACGGAGGAATTCACGTCACCCCTCTTCATTCTGCCCTCCATTCATCAGGGCTTTTATGCAGCACTTTGTGGTATAAGTGAAAGTTCAGTTCCATCACTGATGTACTCCTATACATCAAAGTGTGTTTTCTGATTGATTACTGTTTTTGGCATTACAGTACTTCTTCTACTTTTCAAATTGATTCCTTTTATCTATAAGTTTTCTTCCTCCTCCCTTTTCATTGATGATATTCATGACATAATGAATTCAAATAACGTTTAAAGAGGTCTCTACAGTGGATTTTTTTGGTATTTACTGAGAGAGAAACAAAAATAAACTTGGCAGTTCTTTACACTCTAACATATAAAATAAAACATTATACTGTAAATTTAAGTAAAAACTATAATATACAATAAATGCAAAATATAATTCATATAAATGCAACCAACTCAAAGTAGTAAATACAATTATAATAAATAATACAACACATATATAATAAAGAAATGCAAAACAATAAGCATAAGTGAATACACAAATACAATATACAATAAATTCAAGTAAGAAATACAAGATACAAAATTTTAAAATGCAAAATATATTCAAGAAACAAATGCAATATACATTTAAGTAATTCAAGTAATTTACACTCTAGCATACACAATAAAGCACTAAATTTAATACCCATTATGAGTGATGTAAGAATTGAGCTTTCCATTCCTCTGTTCTTCAAGTGGAAAATTCAACTAATATTTCTGGTCTTCAGTACTCTCATCTGTAAAATGAGAAGGCAATGTTGGTTTGTGTTGTCTCTAAGGTTTTTATAACTATAAATATCCTACAGGTCTACAAATATTTCATGTTTGAGGAGGAAGCGTGGAAGAGTAGCAAATGCTCGTGGTGACCAAGGCAAAGTCTCCTTATTCCTTGGTAAGAGAAGCCCAGTTTTATCTGGGACAGCAATATGCATGTGATAGAGGTTGGCATGTAAGATCTAATAATGAGATATAAACAGACATTGTTGAGTGGAGCTTTAGGGAAAATCGTTTAGGATAGAGATTTAACTGGCATTCCTCTTTGGCCCTTTACTCTTTATCCATTTTCAAATGCCCCAATAATGTACAGGAGTCTGAGGGTTCCACAGCTAGCTGTGATCATGAGGTGGCAAACGAGAGGTCCAATTTTACATTTTGAAGACAGGAACAGAAAGAATCAGCCTGAGTCCCTAATGGCATCCCTGAATTACCTACCCCCAGATTGTGTGTGTGTGTGTGTGTGTGTGTGTGTGTGTGTGTGTCTGTGTTTATAACACAAATAAATTCCTATTTATGTAAGCCACTGCTAGTTGAGTTTTATGTAATTCCTAAGGTAAACCTAATTCTAAATAAAAGAGAGTGAAGATAGAAGCACACCCATATAATTGTCATCATTATATAATATTTAAAATAAAACATAATTATCTTTGTCTGAAATGACTTAGTTTTCTTTGGAAAGAGATCACATAAGAAAACACGAATTTTAAAAAATCCTACCATGATTTATAAAGAAACATGCAGCTGCAAGAGTGAGGCATTTTTTTTTTTATTACACTTTAAGTTCTAGGGTACATGTGCACAACATGCAGGTTTGTTACATATGTATACATGTGCCATTTTGGTGTGCTGCACCCATTAACTTGTCATTTACATTAGGTATATCTCCTAATGCTATCCCTCTCCCCTCCCCCCACCCCACAACAGGCCCCGGTGTGTGATGTTCCCCTTCCTGTGTTCAAGTGTTCTCATTATTCAATTCCCACCTATGAGTGAGAACATGCGGTGTTTGGTTTTTTTTTTCCTTGCGATAGTTTGCTGAGAGTGAGGCATTTTTGAAGCACCCTAACTTTTGAAACCTGTGAATACTTTTATATTGTCTGGCACCACTTCTTATTTCAATGACAACTAATTTGCTTTTGTTCATTCCAATTAGGTCCACATCCATAACATCCAGTAGGTCATTCTCTGGAGATAAGAGTTTGTGATACCAGCAGAACCTTTGTCCTCCGTGACTGGTCAGTGGGGTAGTGGCTCTGAGTGGAGGGCAAGCTTACGTGGAGGACAATGTGAATTTGGGTTCAACATTGAGATAGACAGGACAGGACTCCCCTATAAATATGTAGGCATCAAATTGCAAATTGTACTGTTGTTCCCCCAAAAATCAGCAGACCAGTTAAAATGAAAAACTGACTTTTTTTGAAAAATTACATAAGAAATTATTCCTTAGGACATCCCCAGAGCTTTATCCAGTTCTTAGATATAACCCAAAGGAAAACTTTCATTCTTTATTCCTTTTCCCTAATAAGAAAGAGTAATTTGGGGGATAAAAACCATGTTTTGTTTTCCACCCTTACCTGCTACCCCACAACAGGCATGGGCACGCGCACACACACACACACACACACACACACACACACGCAGGCTCCTTTCCCAACTGGAAATTTAAGCACTTTGAAGGCAATGGATTTTTTTCTGAGATTATAATAGAAGCAATACAAAAACCGAAAATTAAACCTCAGACTCACTGTTTGAAAAAGTACTAGCCATTTCCTGCCATGAATAACTTCTCGCTGGTTTGTTCCCCACTCAGCCCCATAACATCTCTTCCGCCTCTCTGGTTCCTTTCCTCTGGTTCCTAGCTGCAGCCTGTCACACGTCAATCCTGTTAATGTCTTACGCATAACATTTTAGTTCTCAACCATCTACCTCAAGCTTAATTCCACACTGAGGTTTCTATATCCAAAAGTTTAAAGGCCTTCTCCTTTCCACTTTTTTGAGCTCAAAGAACAGGCAGGTATTTGGAAATGACAGATTATGGAGTTAGATTCCCTACCCACTAGTCCCTTTAAGAAGAAGCTCCTGTACATCACGAGTTCTCTTTTCCTCTTTCTGCCTCATACACCTAATGAAGGAGACCTACTCAATTCATCAAACCTTTATTAACCACTGTCGACATAGCAGATGCTGCTCAGTATCAGAGAAACTGAAGGAAAAACATGCAGTCCCTTACCTTGAGAAGTTCAGAGTCAACATCTGTGGAGACACAGATGTTGACACACAACGGTAAAACCTTGTGGTCATCACCACAAGAAAATCATGTATAAACGATTATGAGGACAAAGCTAAATATTTTTCAAATATAATCTTCAAAATCTTAAATATACCTACAGCACAGGTATGGACACCTTGGTCAGGTGACAACACACCTGCACAAATACCTTTTGACATGCCAGTGAATCTATGTAAATTCTTCTTTCACCCAATTGTGCTAGGCTTCAGCCTTGTAGAAATTATCATAAGCTTATTGTTAGTATTTCTTTAAATTAAATGTTTACATTTGAAATTACTGGTAAAAGTAGGCAGTAACATTTTCACTTCTGCAGTGGGATTTCCTTCATGTTTCACTAAACAGGTAATATCAGTGGCTTCCCCTTATACTCTTTCTTGAGTCAAACCAGTGATGTAACCCTACGGTAGCTCATACACAGATAGCACAATGCTGCAGGCTAGAACCCACCCATTTCACTGCACCCACCTAGCTTTTATCAGTCAAATTATCAGCTTGACAAACACCGATTCAGCAATTTTCAGTATTTCCTGGTGTGAAAGGGCCATCACACTCAGTATTTCTCAAGATGAAAATCATCAAGTGGTTAGAGTGCAACTGTGAGTCACAGAGATGCTAATGCTAGCCCTGGCCCTGACTCACTCTTTGACCGCTGTCCTGTACTCTCCACCCGTAGGTTCCCCAACATATCAGTTACATTTTCCTATTTACTTGTCATAAGGAAGGAGCTATACTTAGAGATTATTTGAAAATTGGCTATTGTTGTGGAAACCTAAATAGCTGTTCATAATAAATAGTTTTCCGAGGCTTAAATTTATCTATTGGAGAAAGGACCCAAGTTTAGAAATTAAGAAAACAAAATCCAAGTCTACAAAAAGCAGGTCCAGGTCATCACCTCTATCTCCTGCCTTTGAGACACATGCATACTGAAGCCCAGACAGCTAACAAATCTTCCCCAAAAGGCCCAGCTCTGCAGTGCCTAAATCAGCACCATCCAATAAAAATATAATGTGGGCCACAAGTGCAAACCGTGTGTGTGTGTGTGTGTGTATATATATATATATATATATATACACACACATACTATATATAGTGTTTTTTTTGAGACAGAGTCTTGCTAATGTGGGCCACAAGTGCAAATCGTGTGTGTGTGTGTGTGTGTGTGTGTGTGTGTATATTTTGAGACGGAGTCTCGCTTTGTTGCCCAGACTGGAGTGCAGTGGCTCAATCTTGGCTGACTGCAACCTCTGCCTCCCGGGTTCAAGTGATTCTCCTGCCTCAGCCTCCCAGGTAGCTGGGAATGCAGACACATGCCACCGAGAGGTGACAGTGTGCTGGCAGTCCTCACAGCCCTCGCTGGCTCTCGGCGCCTCCTCTGCCTGGGCTCCCACTTTGGCGGCACTTGAGGAGCCCTTCAGCCCGCCGCTGCACTGTGGGAGCCCCTTTCTGGGCTGGCCAAGGCTGGAGCCCACTCCCTCAGCTTGCAGGGAGGTGTGGAGGGAGAGGCACGAGCGGGAACCAGGGCTGCCTGCGGCGCTTGCAGGCCAGCTGGAGTTCCGGGTGGGCGTCGGCTTGGCGGGCCCCGCACTCGGAGCAGCCAGCCAGCCCTGCTGGCCCAGGGCAATGAGGGACTTAGCACCCGGGCCAGTGGCTGCGGAGGGTGTACTGAGTCCCCCAGCAGTGCCAGCCCACCGACGCTGCACTCGATTTCTCACCGAGCCTTAGCCGCCTTCCCGCGGGGCAGGGCTCGGGACCTGCAGCCCGCCATGCCTGAGCCTCCCACCCACTCCATGGGCTCCTGTGCGGCCCAAGCCTCCCCAACGAGCACCACCCCCTGCTCCACGGCACCCAGTCCCATCGACTACCCAAGGGCTGAGGAATGCGAGCGCATGGCGCGGGACTGGCAGGCAGCTCCACCTGCAGCCCCGGTGCGGGATCCACTAGGTGAAGCCAGCAGGGCTCCTGAGTCTGGTGGGGACGTGGAGAGTCTTTATGTCTAGCTCTGGGATTGTAAATACACCAATCAGCACTCTGTATCTAGCTCAAGGTTTGTAAACACACCAATCAGCACCCTGTGTTTAGCTCAAGGTTTGTGAATGCACCAATGGACACTCTGTATCTAGCTGCTCTGGTGGGGCCCTCTGGTGGGGCCTTGGAGAACCTGTGTGTTGAAACTCTACATCTAACTAATCTGATGGGGAGGTGGAGAACCTTTGTATCTAGCTCAGGGATTGTAAACGCACCAATCAGCGCCCTGACAAAACAGGCCACTAGGCTCTACCAATCAGCAGGATGTGGGTGGGGGCCAGATAAGAGAATAAAAGCAGGCTGCCAGAGCCAGCAGTGGCAACCCACTCCGGTCCTCTTCCACACTGTGGAAGCTTTGTTCTTTCGCTCTTTGCAATAAAATCTTGCTACTGCTCACTTTTTGGGTCCACGCTGCTTTTATGAGCTGTAACACTCACTACGAAGGTCTGCAGCTTCACTCCTGAGCCCAGCAAGACCACGAGCCCACCGGGAGGAAGGAACAACTCCAGACGCGCTACCTTAAGGGTTGTAACACTCATCGCAAAGGTCTGCAGCTTCACTCCTGAGCCAGCGAGACCACAAACCCACCAGAAGGAAGAAATTCCGAACACATCTGAACATCAGAAGGGACAGACTCCAGATGCGCCACCTTAAGAGCTGTAACACTCACCGCGAGGGTCCGCAGCTTCATTCTTGAAGTCAGTGAGACCAAGAACCCACCAGTTCAGACACACCACCACGTCTGGCTAATTTTTTGTATTTTTAGTAGAGACGGGGTTTCACTGTGTTAGCCAGGATGATCTTCATCTCCTGACCTTGTGATCTGCCCATCTCAGCCTCCCAAAGTACTGGGATTACAGGCGTGAGCCACCACGCCCGGCCACCATGTGTATAATTTTTAGTTTTCTAGTAAAAAGGGTAAAAAAGAAATAAGTGACATTAACTTCAATAATATATTTTACTTAACCTAATATGTTCAAAATATTATTGCTCCAACATGTAGTCAATTTTTTAGAATTATCAGTTTGTTGCACTCTTTTTATACTAAGTCTTTATTCACACTAAATTTTCATACTAAAATACAGTGACTATTTCACACTTACAGTATATCTCAATTTAGACTAGCCACATATCAAGTGTTCCAGTAGCCACATGTGACTAGTGGCTACCGTATTGGACAACATAAGCCTAACCTAACTCCAGTGATTCAGTCTCCTAGCAGAGGTCAGCATCAACTAACAGGATAAAATGAAAAGCAGCATAACTTCTTTAAGCTTATCAGAGCCCTACTGCTACCTCTTCTTGTATTCTCTATGACCCTTTTAAAAAAAGAATATCATTCTTCTGTATAACAACATTCTCCCTCCCTATTCCATTCTGGGACTTCACTCTGATTAAATCCTTTTGAAATTCACTTTAAAAAAATCCCTTTTCTGTTTACCTGGGCTCCCTGAGTATGCCTAGGGAAATTATCAGTAGGAATTTTCTTATTGCTTGTAAATTATGTTTAATTCCTAAATTTCCCTTTTTCTGCCTTGTCTGAAAGCATTCCAAACAGAAACTAGTCAAAGAAACTAATTTTTTTGTTTTTCCATCAGTTGGTGACCTCATAGGTAGAACCGAAAAGGTCATTGTGATTATAAACCCTCTCAAGAGGTTGTTCTAACTTTGTCAACATAAGGTTCATTCTCAATAATAATGTGTCTTAAAATGATGTTTCCTTGGATCCTTAAACAGAATAATGCATGACTTCAAGTTAGGAATTTCCAGTGATGAATATTTCAAGTGAGTAGGATTACAACAAACTTAGATGTCCACAGAAAGTTAAAGGGTGAGTGGACAAGATCTGGGGAGCACACTACTTTTTTCTGACTTTCCAGGAGAAACCATATTCCTGGGACTGCCAGCTTCACTGCAGACAGGTGTGAGGACTACAATGACCCCAGTAAGCTATTCAATGTGCAACAGGGCTGTACATCACATTTCTCTTGGCATTGACTTTTTTTGTGGACAAACAACAGAATGTAACCTAAGTAGCTCCTAAGCAAAAATACGAAGTCTACAAAATTAGATTCCATGCCACATGAATTCATTGTCCCACTTACACACCACTATCTAATATGTGTTACGGATAAGAGGTTGGATTCCAGCTGAAAGGCAGAAAGGCCATGACATCAAGAAAAGGAGAATTTGAGGGAAGACTTTCAAAAAATCAAGAGGCCAGACGTGTCTCAGAGAAAAAAACATTTCGGTGGCTAACGAAAGGGTGTGTGTGTTTAAAATAAAAAAGAAGAATGTCTCAGAACATATTTTTAATCATCATGGAACCTCCTAGCCTTACAAAACAGAGGGTAGATGCCAGAAAAGAGGGATGAATTGGTCTACCAGGGGCTACTGGAAGGACAGTATTGGATTGTGGATACCTGCGTTCTCCTCGCAGCTCTGTCTTTAGGGTATTGTAGGACTTGATCATAGAGCTAACTTTTGTTTGCACAGTTTAACTGATTTTTAAGTTCCGTTAATGCTCAACAATGGAAAATTTATTAATAGAAGCACAGAGATGTCTTAGAAAAGCTTATGAGAAAGAGGCGGGGCAACTGGCAGGAAAGAAACTAGATGTTGTTAACACCCATCCCACATATTTCCAACCACACCACCTCCTTTCAGAGAACAAATTTCCTCTGCCTCTGGCACTCAGCTAGATCTCACAAAGGTTAGAGCAAAAAAAAAAAAAAAAAATCCTGCTGCCCCCTCAGTTCACATCCAGCCACGCTTGCTATCACCAAGGACATCCTGGAAACATAAAGGTAATATAACAAGGACAGACTGGGAGGCAGAGCCAGACACGGAAGTCTATGCTAGTACAATAGCACTGTACATGTTACTACTGCCTCCTCCCGCACCCCCTTTCAGGTACTTCATGCCCAGCCCTGTCTGTCTGAGGGTTGCTATGATTATAAAAGCACCATAAATTGGACATAAAATATAAATGTGTTTTATTGTTGATAAAGTATCAACTGTCATAATCTTTAAATCTATAGTCTACACTGAATGCCATAATCACTAACAGGTCAGTATGACATCTATTTTTTTTATCAAAGTATTAGTTCCCAAAATAAGTTCACCCAGCTTTAATCCTTGGGAGAGAAACTGCCTCAATCTTTGGTATCCCCAAGGAACAACATAAAGTAATAAGACATCAAATACTAGCTGTAGTCTGAGAAGCCCACGACATCATATGATTAAAATGTACTATTTGTTTGCTATCACGACATGAATTCTCCTTCCCTGTGGTGCTGCTCACTTCCTCTCTAACATCTGAACTGTTTTGAAATACATTGTATGCATAGCAATAGCTAGTATGAAAGGGCTTCAAGAAAGCCTTGTTGTTTCATGAGATTTGGGGCCACAAAAGTTAAACATTTAACCTGGCAGGAACTCAAAGTCCAGGCAGACTCAAGTGTTTGAGCTAATTGTGTTTTAAAAGTATGTAGATTAGTGTTTTGAACTTGGATACAAATTGCAACAGAAACATTACTGTGAATGGTGGTTAGGTTCGAGATCCAGCATGATGTCCAGTGTAGCTGCCATACTAAACTTTCATAATAAATATAGTTGGAAAGAGTATTGTTTTAAAAATTTTGTGTAATGATTCAGCTCTGTATATGCCCCTGCTTGCCATTGCTCCTTGGAATATTGAAATGAACCTTCATTCATTCAGGCTCAGTATATTAATTCAGTATAAACTATGATAAAGGATAACTAACACGTCTTTAATATAATGTGGGCATGGGACATGTATTTTGTTTTGGAAATATCCAAAATTATTCAGACTCAGGTCTAATGAATGAAGTAGAATGAACTTGTCTTCCAAATTAAAAATTAAATACCACAGCAAGAATAGTTGGGGATTTCCATATTCCACTTTCAATGGATAGAACAAATAGGCAGAGGATCAACAAGGAAATAGAAGACTTCAATAACACTACAAACTAACAAGACATAACATACATCTCTGTATAAAATACTCCACCAATCAGGGAGAATATGTATTCCTGTAACGTACACATGGAACATTCCTCAGGAAAGAACATACACTAGGCCATAAAATGAATCTTGCTACATTTTAAAGGGCTGAAATCAAAGCATATTCTCTGACCACAATGGAATGAAATTAGGAATCAATAACACAGAAATTTGCTTCTCAACAGATAATGGGTTAAAGAAAAAATCAAAGAGGAAATTAGAAAATATTTTGAGATGAATAAAATGAAAATACAACATACCAAAACACATAGAATTTAGCTGAATAAGTTCTTACAGAAACACCTACAGTTGTAAATACCTATGTTAGAAAAGAATAAAGATCTCGAATAAATAACCTAATCTTCAAACAACCTTAAGACATTAGAAAAAGAAGAGAAATCTAAACCTAAAGCAAGAAGAAGGAAGGGAAAACTAAAGATCAGCATGGAAATAAATAACATAGAGAAAATAGAGAAAAATAATAAAACAAATAATGAAAATCAACAAAATTGACAAACTTTTAACTAGATTGACCAACAAAAAATTACATAATACTAACATTTCAAATTACTAGAATCAGAAATGAAAGAGGAGAAATTAATAATAACTTTGCAGGAATAGAAAGAATAATAAACAAATACTATGAACCATTGTATACCAATAAAAGGGACAAGTTCCTAGAAAAGCACAGACTACCAAAACTGACTCAAGAAGAAATACACATTCTGAATACACCTATAACAAGTAAAGAGATTGAATTTATAATAAAAAGCTATTCACACAACAAAACTCCAGGTCCAGATGGCTTTACCGATAAATTCTGCCAAACATTTAACCATGCATTAATACCAATTCTTCACGAACTCTTCAAAAAATAGTTGAGAAGAATACACTTCATAACTCTTTTTTTTAGGAAAGTATAATCCTGATGCCAAAGCCAGATAAGAAAAGAAAACTATAGACCAATATTTCTTATAAATTTGGGTGCAAAAATTCTCAACAAAATCGTAAACTAAATCCGGCAACATATAATACAAATTATATCATGACCCAGTGGGATTTATCCCAGGAATCCAAGATTGAATTAACATCTGAAAATCAAGTAATGCAATACACCATATCAATAAAATATAAATAGAATAAAAAATTAAAACCACAAGATTTTTTTCAATAGATGCATAAAAAGTATTTGACAAAATCTAATACCCTTTAATGATAAAAACACCCAACAAACTAGGCAAATAAGGGAACTTCCTCAACCAAATAAAAGTTGTCTAGAAATACCCACAGCTAGCATCATACTTAATGGTGAAAGACTGGATGCTTTTCCCCTAAGATCAGGAACAAGATCAGGACACTATCAAGAAAGTAAAAAGATAACCCACAGTATGGGAGAAAATTTTCAAAAATTACATATAAGAGATTTATATCTACAATATATAAAGAATTTTTACAACTTGAGAATAAAAGGCAAATTAACCAATTTAAAATGGGCATAGGCTATGAATAGGTGTTTTAGCAAAGAAGATATATAAATGGCTCATAAGCACATGAAAAATTATCAAAATTATTGGTTATCATGGAAATATAAATAGAAATCACAATGAGATACCACTTCACACCTACCAGGATGGCTAGAATTACAAAGTTCAGTTAAAAACAAGTGTTGGCAAAGATGTGGAGAAATAAGAACCTTCATACACGTATGAGAATATGGGAATGTAAATTGGTGTGACCACTTTAGAAAACAGTTTGAAAGTTCCTCAAGTAGTTAAACAGGATTACCACATAACCCAGAATTTCACTTCCAGATATATACCCAAGAGAAATGAAAGCATGTGTCCACACAAAAACTTGGACATGGATGTTCATGTAAGCATTATTCTTAAGAGCCAAAAAGTGGAAACAATGCACATGTTCATCAACTAATGAAAGGATAAATGAATGTGGTAAGTCCATACATTGGAATATTATTCAGCAATAAGAAGGTAAAGCATTAATACACAGTTAGTACTTTACTAATCATGGTTACTCAAAGCTGAGTGTATGGAAGGATAGGAGGATTGGGAGGTGATAGCGGAAAGATAAAGGGTTTTTTTTTTTTGGAAGTGATGAAATTTTTTTAAATTGTGTTGATGGTTGCATATGTCTTTGAATACACAGGAAAACATTGACTTGTACACATTCAATTGGTAAATTACATGATAACTTGAATTACATCTCAACAAATCTTTAAAAAAAAAGCTTAACACTAAACAAGCTTTAGAAACCTACCCAGTTCTCTGCTGTCTGTGAAAGCTTCTCTTTGCAACTCCTCTTCCTATTCTCTCAATTCAGAGTATGTGGGCAATTTTGGAGTTTGTATTAGCAGATTGCCTAGGTTATAGTGAACAATAGATTTTGTTGCATTTTCTACAAACATGCTAACTTAATTCTTTATCTTATCTCAATTGCCAATCTTTGAGAGTAATGCTTGATTCTCTGAAGGAAATCCTGGTGCTGAATTGATTTGGTATAAATTAAAAAATAGAATACAAAGACAAAGGAGGACTTAATCTCTAAGATTTTCATGGTTATTTGAAGGAGAAAGCAGATAGATTAATGGAAAAGAAAGATAATGGGCCAGGCATGGTGGCTCACACCTATAATCCCAGCACTTTCGGAGGCCAAGACAAGCAGATCAGTTGAGGTCAGGAGTTCAAAACCAGCCTGGCCAACATGGTGAAACCCCATCTCTACTAAAATATATATATATATATACAAAAATTAGCCAAGCGTGGTGGTGCGTGCCTGTAGTCCCACCTACTTGGGAGACTGAGGTGGGAGAATTGCTTGATCCTGGGAGGCGGAGGTTGTAGTGAGATGAGATCACACCACTGCATTCTGGCCTGGGCAATAGAGTGAGAATTTATCTCAAAAAAAATAAAAATTAAATAAGAACAAGAAAGATCATGACTTTGAGATAAACTCTTATGTTAGACCTGCAAGGAGCTTCAGACATCTGTATTAGTCCATTCTCATGTTGCTATGAAGAAATACCCAAGATTGGGTAATTTACAAAGAAAAGAGGTTTAGTCCAGGCGCGGTGGCTCACGCCTGTAATCCCAGCACTTTGGGAGGCTGAGGCGCGCAGATCACGAGGTCAGGAGATCCAGACCATCCTGGCTAACACAGTGAAACCCCGTCTCTACTAAAAATACAAAAACAAAATTAGCCGGGCGTTGGGGCGGGCGCCTGTAGCCCCAGCTACCTGGGAGGCTGAGGCAGGAGAATGACGTGAACCTGGGAGGCAGAGCTTGCAGTGAGCAGAGATCATGCCACTGCACTCCAGAGCCTGGGTAACAGAGCAAGACTCCATCTCAAAAAAAAAAAAAAAAAAAAAAAAAAGAAAGAAAGAAAAGAAAAGAGGTTTAATTGACTCACAGTTCCCCATGACTGGGGAAACCTCAGGATACTTACAATCATGGCAGAAGGCACCTCTTCACAGGGCGGCAGGAGAGAGAATGAGCACAAGCAGGGGAAATGCCAGAAGTTCATAAAACCATCAAATCTTATGAAATTCATTTATCACGAGAACAGCATGGGGGAAACCACTCCCATGATTCAATTACCTCCACCTGGTCCCTCCCACAACATGCAGGGATTATGGGAACTACAATTCAAGATAAGATTTAGGTGGGGACACAGCAAAACTATATCAACATCTAATCCATCCTCTTTGCTTTACACATGAGGAACCCAAAACTGGTAAATTGAGTGTCTAATTCAAGATCATGCACCTAACTGCTGACCCACTACACTGGTTGACCCAGGACTTGGAGGTAGTGGGATGGGGAAAACGATAACCAATGGGAGGGAAGAAGACAGTTCTCAGTGCAAATACTGGGAAAATCCTGGGTGAGCCAGCATGAGTCATCCTATGTTGACAGCACCAGTCAGAGTCAACATACCTCCTGACTCCTCATCCAGTCTGGTGCTCTTTCTTCAAGGGCATGTTTTCTCAGACAGACAGCTCTCTACTCTGAGAGATCTTATAAGCCCACTTTCCAATGACTGCTCTCTGGATGAGAATTTTCCAAAATGCAAATTACCTTGTGAGTTAATTTTATTATATGAATAAATACTTATATTTCAAGACCTTACATTAGTTTTTTCCTATGAGTCAATAATTTTACCATGATATTTAACATAAACCTAACATCTTATCACTTTTCTTCTCATTTATCAAATTAATTCCAGTGAGACTTAAGTTTTTAAATATACTGAACAGACGTTTGCTACAGCATGCTGCTATGGAATAGGTATGTGGTCTTCAGAGTCTTTGTTATCACTGAAATAATCCACACTAGAAACACAAAAACATGAAAACTGTTTTATGTGACTAATCCACCACATTCCCTAGAGGCTGCTGTTCTTATTTCATCACAAACACAAAGTTATTGATATGGAATTCATTTCTTCCTGCTTACTTTAACCAACTACCTACCTAGCCACATGGCCATTATAGAGTTAAAATCTACCATGAGAAAGAAATAGAGCCCTTCATGGCCTAAGGCCATGTGGGGTTTCTTTGTGTTTTGTTTTGTTTTTAACATTGATCTATTTTTTAATTAACAAATAAAATTATATATATTATGCACAGCATTTTATTTTAGAAATATGTATACATTATGGAATGACGCGAGCTAATTAGCGTATGTATTACCTGACATACTTATCATTTTTTAATGTACATGATCTTATTTTATTTTATTTTTTATTTTAAGTTCTGGGATACATGTGCAGAACATGCAGGTTTGTTATGTAGGTCTACATGTGCCATGGTAGTTTGCTGTACTTATTGACCCATCATCTAGGTTTCCTCCCCTTGCCCTGCACCCCCCCAACAGGTCCCAGCATGTCTTGTTCCCCTCCCTGTGTCCATATGTTTTCATTGTTTAGCTCCCACTTATGAGGGAGGACATATGATGTTTGGCTTTTTGTTCCAGTGTTACTTTGCTGAGGATGATGGCTTCCAGCTTCATCCATGTCCCTGCAAAGGACATGATCTTATTCCTTTTTATGGCTGCATAGTATTCCATGGTGTATATATACCACATTTTCTTTATCCAGTCTATCACTGATGGGCATTTGGGTTAGTTTCATGACTTTGCTATTGTGAATAGTGCTGTACTAAACATATGTGTGCATGTGTCTTTATAGTAGAATGGTTTATATTCTTTTGGGTATATACTCAGTAATGGGATTGCTGGCTCAAATGGTATTTCTGGTTCTAGATCCTTGAGGAATCACCACATTGTCTTCCACAATAGTAGAACCAATTTACACTCCTACCAACAGTGTAAAACTGTTCCTATTTCTCCACAGCCTCGCCAGCATCTATTGTTTCCTGACTTTCTAATAATCGCCATTCCGACTGGTGTGAGATGGTATCTCATTGTGGTTTTGGTTTGGATTTCTTTAATGATCGGGGATGTTGAGCTTTTTTTCATGTTTGTTGGCTGCACAATGTCTTCTTTTGAAAAGTGTCTTTTCATATCCTTTGCTCACTTTTTGATGGCCTTGTTTTTTTCTTGTAAATTTGTTTAAGTTCCTTGCAGATTCTGGATATTAGTCCTTTGTCAGATGGGTAGATTGCAAAAATTTTCTCCCATTCTGTACATTGCCTGTTCAATCTGATGATAGTTTTTTTTGCTGTGCAGAAGCTCTTTAGTTTAAGTAGATTCCGCCTGTCAATTTTGGCTTTTGTTGCAATTGTTTTTGGCATTTTAGTCATGAAGTCCTTGCCCATGCCTATGTCCTGAATGGTATTGCCTAGGTTTTCTTCTAGGGGTTTTATGGTTTTGGGTTTTCCATTTAAGTCTTTAATCCATCTTGAGTTAATTTTTGTATAAGGTGTAAGGGAGGGGTCCAGTTTCTATTTTCTGCATATGGCTAGCCAGTTTTCCCAGAACCATTTATTGAATAGGAAATCCTTTCAACATTGCTTATTTTTGTCAGGTTTGTTGAAGATCACATGGTTTTAGATATGTCTTGTTATTTCTGGTGTCTCTGTTCTGTTCCATAGGTCTATATGTCTGTTTTGTTACCAGAACCATGCTGTTTTTGTTACTGTAGCCTTGTTGTTTAGTTTGAAGTCAGCTCACGTGATGCCTCTGGCTTTGTTCTTTTTGCTTAGAATTGTCTTGGCTATAGGGGCTCTTCTTTGGTTCCGTAAGAAATTTAAAGTAGTTTGTTCTAATTCTGTGAAGAATGTCAATGGTAGTTTGATGGGAATAGCATTGAATCTGTAAATTACTTTGGGCAGTATGGCCATTTTCATGATATTGTTTCTTCCTATCCATAAGGATGAAATGTTTTTCAATTTGTTTGTGTCCTCTCTTATTTTCTTGAGCAGAGGTTTGTAGTTCTCCTTGAAGAAGTCCTTCACATCCCTTGTTAGGTGTCTTTCTAGGTATTTTATTCTCTTTGTAGGAATTGTGAATGGGAGTTCATTTATGATTTGGCTCTCTGCTTGTCTATTGTGGCTATATAGGAATGCTTGTGATTTTTGCACAATGATTTTGTATCCTGAGACTTTGCTAAAGTTGCTTATCAGTTCAAGGAGTTTTTGGGCTGAGATGATGGGGTTTTCTAAATAAAGAATCATGTTGTCTGCAAACAGAGACAATTTGACATCCTTTCTTTCTATTTGAATACACTTTATCACTTTATCTTGCCTGATTGCCCCGGCCAGAACTTCCAATACTATGTTGAATAGGAGTAGTGAGAGAAGGCATCCTTGTCTTGTATCCGCTTTCAAAGGGGATGTTTCCAGCTTTTGTTCATTCAATATGATATTGGCTGTGCATTTGTCATAAATAGCTCTTATTATTTTGAGATATGTTCCACAAATACCAAACTGTTTATTGAGAGTTTTCAACATGAAGGGATGTTGAATTTTATCAAAGGGCTTTACTGCATCTATTGAGATAAATATGGTTTTCGTATTTCGTTCTGTTTATGTGATGGATTACATTTATTGATTTGCGTATGTTGACCCAGCCTTGCATCCCAGGGATGAAGCTGACTTGATCATGGTGGATAAGTTTTTGGATGTGCTGCTGGATTCAGTTTGCCAGTATTTTATTGAGGATTTTCGCATCAATGTTGGCCTGAAGTTTTCTATTTTTGTTGTGTCTCTGCCACGTTTTGGTATCAGGATGATGCTGGCCTTATAAAATGATTTGGGTAGGAGTCCTTCCTTTTCAATTGTTTGGAATAGTTTCAGAAGGAATGGTACCAGCTCCTCTTTGTACCTCTTGTAGAATTTGGCTGTGAATCCATCTGGTCCAGGGCTTTTTTTGTTTGTTAGGCTGTTAATTACTGCTTCATTTCAGAACTTGCTCTTGGTCTATTCAGGGATTTGACTTCTTCCTGGTTTAGTCTTAGGAGGGTGTATGTGTCCAGGCATTTATCCAGTTCTTCTAGATTTTCTAGTTTATTTGCATAGAGGTGTTTACAGTATTCTCTGATGGTAGTTTTTATTTCCGTGGGGTCTGTGGTGCTATCCCCTTTATCAGTTTTTTATTGTCTCTTTTTGATTGTTCTCTCTTTCTTCTTTATTAGTCTAGCTAGTGGTCTATCTATTTTGTTAATTTTTTCAAAATCCAGCTCCTGGATTAATTTGTTTGGCCAGGGGTGGTGAGGTGTTGTGTCTCTATCGCCTTCAATTCTGCACTGATGTTAGTTATTTCTTGTCTTCTGCTAGCTTTTGGATTTGTTTGTGCTTGGTTCTCTAGTTCTTTTAGTTGTGATGTTAGAATGTCAATTTGAGACCTTTCTAGCTTTTCAATGTGGACATTTAGTAGTATAAATTTCCCTCGTAACACTGCTTTAGTGATGTCCCAGAGATTCGGGTACATTGTCTCTTTGTTCTCATTGGTTTCAAAGAGCTTCTTGATTTCTGCCTTAATTTCATTATTTACCTAGGAGTCATTCAGGAGCAGATTGTTCAATTTCCATGTAATTGTGTGGTTTCGAGTGAGTTTCTTCATCCTGAGTTGTGATTTGATTGCACTGTGGTCTGAGAGAATGTTGGTTATGATTTCTGTTCTTTTGCACTTGCTGAGGAGTGTTTTACTTCCAATTATGTGGTCAATTTTAGAATATGTGCCATGTGGCACTGAGAAGAATGTATATCCTGTTGATTTGGGGTGGAAAGTTTGGTAGATGTCTATTAAGACCACTTGATCCGAGGCTGAGTTCAAGTCCTGAATATCCTTGTTAATTTTCTGTCTGGTTGATCCAATATTGACAGTGAGGTGTTAAAGCCTCCCACTATTATTGTGTGGGAGTCTAAGTCTCTTTGTATGCCTCTAATAATTTGTTTTATGAATCTGGGTGCTCCTGTATTGGGTGTGTATATACTTAGGATAATTAGCTCTTCTTGTTGAATTTATTCCTTTACCATTATGTAATGTACTTCTTTGTCTTTTTTGATCTTTGTTGGTTTAAAGTATTTTGTCAGAGACTAGGATTGCAACCCCTGCTTTTTTTTGCTTTCCATTTGCTTGGTAAATTTTCCTCCATCTCTTTATTTTGAGCCTATGTATGTCTTTGCATGTGAGATGGGTCCCCTGAATACAGCATACCAATGGGTCTTGACTCTTAATCTAATTTGCCAATCTGTGTCTTTTAATTGGGGCATTTGGCCCATCTACATTTAAGTTTCATGTTGTTATGTGTGAATTTGATCCTGTCATCATGATGCTATCTGGTTATTTTGCACACTAGTTGATGCAATATCTTCATAGTGTCATTGGTCTTTATATTTTGGTGTGTTTTTGCAGTGGAAGGTACCAGTTTTTTCTTTCCACATTTAGTGCTACCTTTAGGAGCTCTTGCAAAGCAGGCCTCATGGTGATGAAATTCCTCTGCATTTGCTTGTCTGGAAATTTTATTTCTCCTTTACTTATGAAGTTAGTTTGGCTGGATATGAAATTCTGGATTGAAAATTCTTTTCTTTAAGAATGTTGAAAATTGGCTCCCACCTTCTTCTGGCTTGTAAGGTTTCTGCTGAGAGTCCACTGTTAGTCTTGGGGCTTCCCTTTGTAGGTGACCTTGCCTTTCTCTCTGGCTGCCCTTAACATTTTTTCCTTCATTTTGACGTTGGAGAATGTGATGATTATACGTCTTGGGGTTGATCTTCTCATGGAGTATCTTAGGGGTGTTCTCTGTATTTCCTGAATTTGAATGTTGACCTGTCTTGCTAGGTTGGGGAAGTTCTCCTAGATAATATCCTGAAGTGTGTTTTCCAGCTTATTTCCATTCTCCCAATCTCTTTCAGGTATTCCAATCAATGGTATGTTTGGTCTTTTTACATAGTCCCATATTTCTCAGAGGCTTTGTTTGTTCCTTTTCATTCTTTTTTCTCTAATCTTGTCTGCATGCCTTATTTCAGCAAGGTGGTTTTCAAACTCTGATACCCTTTTTTCTGCTTGGTCAATTCAGCTATTGATACTTGTGTATGCTTCACAAAGTTCTCATGCTGTGTTTTTCACTCCATCAGGTCATTTACATTCCTCTCTAAATTGGTTATTCTAGGTAGCAGCTCCTCTAACCTTTTATCAAGGTTTTTAGCTTCTTTGCATTGGGTTAGAACATACTCCTTTAACTCAGTGGAGTTTGTTATTACGCATCTTCTGAAGCCTACTTCTGTCAATTCATGCATCAGACCCTCCATCCAGTTCTGCGCCCTTGCTAGAAAGGTGTTGTGATCATTTGGAGAAGAGGCATTCTGGCCTTTTGGGTTTTCAGTGGCTTTTTTGGTTGATTCTTTCTCATCTTCATGAGTTTGTCTAATTTCAATCTTTGAGGCTGTTGGCCCTTGGATGGGGTTTTTATGGGGACTTTTTATGTTATTGATGCTGTTGTTGTTGCTTTCTGTTTTTCTTTCAATGGTCAGGTCCCTTTTCTGTAGGGCTGCTGCAGTTCGCTGGGGGTTCACTTCAGGCCCTATTTATTTGGTTCACTCTCACAACTGGAGATGTCACTCAAGGGGGCTGGAGAACAACAAAGACGGGTACCTGCTCCTTCCTCTGGGATCTCTGGCTGCAAGGGACTTCAAACTGATGCCAGTATGATCATTCCTGAATAGGGTGTCTGACAACCCTTGTTGGAGGGTTTCACCCTGTTGGGTGGCACAGGGAACAAGACCCAGTTAATGAAGCACTTTGACTGTGATTTGGTGGAGGAAGTGTGCTTCGCTGGGGGGAACCCACTTATCTGGGCTGTCTGGATTCCTCAGAACTACCAGGAGGAAAGGCTAAGTCTGCTGGTCTGCAGAGACTGAGGCCACCCTTCTCCCTAGAGGCTCAGGCCCAGGGAGATGAGAAATCTGTCCCTGAGCCCCTGGCTGGAATTGTTGGAGTTTCTTCAGGGAGGCCTCACCCAGTGAAAAGGGATGGGTCAGGATCAGGCCTGAAGAGGCATTCTGGTCACAGTCTGCCACAGCCAGTGTATTGGCCTGTGTGGGACACCTCATGGGACCAAGCCATCCAGTCTCCTTGGCTCCAGCAGGGGAAAAGGGTGGCCTGGAGCTATAGAGATAGCTGCCCCCCTTCTTCCACCCAGGGAGGTTAGCATGTTAGGCAGCTATCAGTCCCAGTGCTGGGTGCTGCCCCTCCCCCAAGGAGCTCAAAGGGCTTAGACAACAGGCAGCCACAGCTGTGGTGCTCATTGCCTCTCCCCCTGGGAACTTGGCAGGCTTAAGCAGATTCTAGCTGAGATGCTGTTGAGAATATGTGTGCCTCTGGGGTTGGGACCCTAGGCCCCAGTGACATGGGTTCACGAGTGGGATCTTCCAATCCATGGGTTGCACATTTCCATGGAAAAAGCACAGTTTCCCTGGCTGGGTAGAACACTCACTCACCACCTCCCTTGGCTGGGGGTTGGAGGCTCCCCTCCCTTGTGTGTCCCTCAGGTCAGCTGCTGCACCACACCTTTCTTCCTTCTTTTCCATGGGTTACACCAGCCACCTAGTCAGTTCTGGTGAGAGAACCTGGATACCTCAGTTGCTTCTGCAGGATTCACATGCTATTATGGTTCTTTTTGATGGGGGCCTCCAATCGCCACTGCTTCTAGTCAGCCATCTTCGCCCTGCCCCAATGTCATACTTATTTTTTGTGATGAGAACCTTAAAATATACTCTTTTAGCAATTTTTAAGAATATAATACATTGTTATTATAGTCACCATGTTGTACAATAGATCTCTTGAACTTACTTCTCCTGTCTAACTGAAATTTTGTATCTTGTGACCAACATCTCACTGACCCCTCCCCATCCACCCCTGATAGCCATTTTTCTCTCTAGTTCCATTAGTTCAAGTATTTTAGATTCCACATGTAAATGACATCATGCAATATTTGCCTTTCTGTGGCTGGCTTAATTCACTTAATATAATGTTTATATATTACATTCTCCAGTTTCATCCTTGTTGTTCCAAATGGCAGGATTTTTTTCTGTTTAAATGATGAATAGTATTCCGTTGTGGATATATACCATGTTTTCTTTATCCATTCATCCACTGGACACTTAGGTTGACTCCATGTCTTGACTGTTGTGAATAGCACTGCAATGAATATGGGAGTGCACACACCTCTTTAACACACTGATTTCATTTTCTTTGGATACATTGCCAGTAGTGGGATCATATCACTTGGGCCTTCCTAATCTGGTGTCTATAACAGACCTGGGAAGTGTGAGGAGCCTATGCAGCATGTGAAATATATGTCAACATTTTTCTGTACACCTTGGAATTACAGAGAAACTATAGCAATTTTTATATTCTCAAAGAAGTCCTTCAACCCAAAATAGTTAAGAAATTTAGCCTTAAGTCTTCCCTAGAACAATATTATTCATACTCTTTGCACAAGACACAAAAAAATGTAAAGTAGCTAAGTCTGACTCAGTGGAGAAGATTGATTAATCCTTGATTAGCTCTCCAAAGACTAAAGAGACATTAGTACACTAAGTAAGAAAATAAATTTGGAATAAAAGTACTGAGAGGAGAAAGGGAACAAAACAGAAACTTAAAATCATTTCTGATGCATAAGGAAGAAAATGAACATGAAGGGGAAAGATGCCATTACAGTTAAGGAATTTATCTACCTTAAGTGATTGAGGCAGTTGGGACCATCCTGAAATCTAATTAGGGAAAACATAAATGTCTCAAAGTACAGTGAGAAAAATGTAAACACTCGACAAGTTTTCTCAAGGAAGTCATGATAAGTTATTCCACTTCATCACTTGCACCTTTTTTACTTCTCACTATTGAAAAACACATTTCAATATTGAGATAAAACAGCCTCCCTTCCCTGAAAATACTGAGGAGACATACTGGAAAGCTTGCAACATCATAAACCACTGAAGCAGACAATAACCTTTTTTTCCAAAACCAATCTTTGTATGACTGTGCCCAGAGACAAATGTAGAGATGGAAGAAGATGAAGTTGTCTTTTATGCTTTAATTTTCTGAGGGACTGTATTAAAAAGAATAACTCAACTGTATTCTCATCATCCCTTGTGTTCTCAAACATCTAAATACAGATTGAATATTTGAGGTACAACCCAGAAAAGGCAATGTGAATATTAATCATATGCAAGCAATTGATATTGGAATGAAGCAATATTGTTATAAATTTAACACCAAAACTTGTCATTCTTGCAGTAAAAGAAAGAAAAACACTGGTTTTCAAATCAATACATTTGATCTTGTAATGATAAATTTCTGAATATATTACAAACCAGACTTAATTTTTGTTCCAAGGCCTTTCCTCTGTTCTATTTCTTCATTTCATACTTAGTCTCATAAATCAGTGGTTTCAATTAAGAGTTTTCCAGCATGCATTTCCTAAAACATATGTATAGACAATATATCACAAATGATTGTGTGAATATGTTTACTATATTTGCCCAGCCAGATCATTTCATGGCTGTCTACAAATGTTATATAGGAAAATAACATAATTTATTATAAATCCTGGCCCTTCTAAAAGTGGGTTATGCTCATTAGGTGCGATGTTTATGTAAATACAAGTTTCTAGAGAGCAGAAATTCTGTCTTTTGAATAATTTGTGCCTACTCTAATCCCACGCATATCTAGGCACTTAACATTATTCAATGAGACATAATAATATAATAATGCCATCTTATTGATATTCATCTATTTTTTACACCAACGCTTTTTCAGCTACTTGTTAGACAATTTCAATGAGAACATTTTTGTAAATTCAAAACCTGAAAGAAAAGCTCAATTCAACTTATCTAATGTTGGGATATTTCTATATGTTGAATAATATGTTAAGTGCTATTGAGCTTACAAACGCAATATACGATATTTTATCTGCCCTCAAGGAGCTTAATAGATTGTTGAAAATACAGAACAAACACAGAGACCAGTTGGAAAACAACACAAACTAGTATAATCAAATGTTAAATGTGAGATAAAAACAATAAATTCCTGAGAATTCAGAACAAAGATACATCTCCATGAGTAAAATAAATTGAGATAGGTTTCAGGGAAGAGATCAGACAAGAGCTGGCATTTAAAAAATAATAAAAAGAGAAATTTAGAAATCTTAGAACATAATCCAAAGAAAGAAATGGAATTAGTAAAACCAGGCAGGCATGGACCTCATGCATAAGGGAGGGTAACGAAAATGACTGGAAGAAACAGGCTTTATTCCAGCAAAAGAAAGTACCAAGTTACAGGGTCAATAGGTAACAAAGGACTATAATGGGAATGACTGTGAGGATTATGTGATAAAAACAAATAAATACGACTTGAAATGGACTCTAATCCTCAGCATGTAAAATGTCACAAAACACCTTTTTGTTTAATGCCAAGAAAACTCGTTGTGGAAATTCCATTTTTTAACACACTGTTAGTTTTCAATTAAGACTAATTGAAGGGGTAAAAAAATTACTCACGAGCTTTTTCCTATAACTTGTGCCTGTCTTTGGTGTCTAAAACATCCTTCTCAGACCAAGTGCCAGAATCTTTGGAAAGGAACATAATATGCCTAATTGGAAAAGGCTCTGCACGCACCCTGCTTCAGAAGAGAACCATAGCAGAAGGGCTTTGGAAGACCACATAATGGGTCTTTAATCAACAACACACTGCAGGACCGATATATTTTCCTTGCCCAATGTGCCTGACATTTAAATGCACAGAGTAGGTCTCTTCCCCCATATCCTGCTATTCTCACAAAACGTATGACTTGAGTTTTATTCTAACTTGCTGCAAAGAAACAAAATATCTCAACCAGAAGCAAGCAACTGAAGTTAATTATTGTGACACATGGAAACATAATAAAACCAGGTGTCAAAAAAAATACAGAAACGTCGTAGGTTTATAGCCTATGTTAACCTTCTGTGGCATAGATTCTGGCATTATCTTCTGGTATTACTATATTCCTTTAAAGATTTTGTAAGTGGAAAGAAAAATTGATCCTTAGATTGAAAGGTCATCAGATAGTAATAGACAGACAAGCTCATCTTATTATGTAATGAATGGATATTTTATTAATTCTACATTTTAGTAAAGCATTCATAGCTTTTGTTTTTATCTTTGTTTATTGTTATGAGCTCAGAACATTCTGGGTTGAAGTATATTTACTAATGCAGGGAAATAAAAATTTGCAACATGACACATACTGTGGATACCCAGAAAGTACCACATCTTGATTTGGTGACCACCAGCACAGCCAACAAATGGTCCTGGTAGATACTAGAGACCAAAGAAACAGGACTGCTACAGTTTGAATGTCCCCTCCAAAACTTATGATGAAATTTGTCATTGGAACAGAATTATGAGGTGGGGCTTTTAAGAAGTAATTAGGTCTTGGAGGGAGGTCCACTTTCATGAATAGATTAATGCCATTATCATGGGAGTGGGTGAGTTATCACGGGAGTGGCTTTGTTCTAAAGTTGAGCTCCCACTCACCTGCACTTTCTTGCCCTTCACCGTATTTCATTGCAGCAAAAACGTCCTCATCATATGCTGAGCAGATGCCAGTACCATGCTCTTGGACTTCCCAGCTTTCAGAACTGTGAGCCAAATATATCACTTTTTAAATAAATTACCTAGCCTATGGTATTCTAGTATAGCAGTAGAAAATAAACTACAATGGTTTGAATGTTTGTCCCCTCTGAAACTTATGTTAAAACATAACACCCAATGTGGCAGTATTGAGAGGTGAGGCCTTTAAGAGGTGACTAGGATGCTAGGGTTCTGTCCTTATGAATGGATTAACACACTTATGGATTAATAGACTCATGGATTAATAGACTAATGTGTTAATAGATTAATGGATTATCATGGGACTGAGACTGGTGACTTTATAAGAGAAAGAAACTCTACAGAGAGTACCCAACTATAAGAAAGACCTCACCAGAAGTGGGCCCCTGACCTTGAACTTTCGAGCCTCCAGAAATGTTTTTTAAATAAATTATTCAAATAAAATATTTTTTAATAAATTACCCAGTTTCAAGTATTCTGTTATAAGCAACCAAAAATGGTCTAACACAGAAAATTGACACTGGGAGTAGGACATTGTTAATAATGAACATGTGAAAACGGGGATGTCACTTTGCAACTGGATAATGGGTAGAGGCTGGAACAATTTGAAGCAGCTGGTTAGTAAATGCTCAGATTCTGGTGAGGGCTTGGAAGACAAGACCAGGGAAAGTTTTAAACACTTTAGAGAATGGTTAAGTGGTCATGATCAGAATGTTGATAGAAATGTGGTCAGCAGGAAACATTGTGATGAAGTTTTAGGAGAAACTGAGGAAAAAGATATTGGAAAGTCAAGTAAAGGCCATTCTTGTTATAAATTGTCAAAGCACTTAGCTGGACTCTGTCTGTGACTGAGGTCTTTGTGGAAGTCCAAACTTGAGAAAGATGTACTAGAATATCTGGCACAAAAAAAAATTAAGTAAGGTATAGAAGGCATTCATAGTTACCTTTGGCCATTTACACTGAGATACAAGAGCAAAGTAATAATTTAAAGACAGAATTAATAGTTAAAAAGGAAGCAGAGCAGAAAAATTTGGAAAACCATTTGACCACAAAAAGAATGAAAAAAATGTTTTCAGGAGAGAAACGGAGTGTAGCTGATGGACCACTTTCTAAGGAGATTAGCAGAGACAGAAGGCAGCCATGTGCTATTTGTCAAGACAATGGAAGAAATACCCCCAAAGATATTGCCCAGATATTTGAAGATGCCACTCCCATCACAGGCTTAGGAGAGCAGAATGGTGTCAAGGAACAGCCCCAGAGTACACAGATTCACTTGTCAGGGCCATTTTGGGACTCTGCTACCCACACCCCAGCACAGCAGTTCTGCAGCTGCCTTAGCCATGGCTCAAGAAGCCTCAGGTGCAGCTCATGCTGCAGCTCCAGAAGGTACAAGTTATAAATTTTGACAACATCCATGTGGTACTAATTCTGCAGGCTTGCAGAAAGCAAGAGCTATGGAAGATTGACAACTTCCACCCAAATTTCAAAAGATGTTGCTGAAAGCCTAGAGACCCAGGCAGAGCTACTGTAAAGATCCCTGGTATAATAAAGCAGAGGAGAAATGTGAAGTTGGAGCTGCCACCAAGAGTCCCTGTTAGAGTAATGCCTAAGGAACTCAGGACTACCACTGAGATCTCAGAATTATGGAACCACCAGCAGCATGAAACATCTACCAAAGGAAGCCTTAGGCAAAGGACTTTATTCTGCATAAGCAGTCACGTGGGCTGCACCAAGCAAAGCCCATAGGACTGCCTAAGGCCTTGGGGGCCCAAACCCCATCCCAGTGTGTCCAGAAGGTGACACATGGAGTCAAAAGAAATCATTCCTCAGCTTAAAGATTTAATGTCTGTCCTACTCAGTTTCTAACATGCTTGAGCTTGTTACTCATTTCTCTTTGCCTATTCCTCCCTGTTAAAATAGAAGTGTCTGTCTTATGCCTGAACCACTACTGTATGTTGGAAGTTAATAACTAGTCTTAATTAGCCGGGTGCAGTGGCAGGTGCTTGTAATCCCAGCTATTCGGGAGGCTGAGGCAGGAGAATCGCTTGAACTCGGAGGGCAGAGTTTGCAGTGAGCTGAGATCGCGCCACTGCACTCCAGCCTGGCGACAGTGAGATTCCGTCTCAAAAAAAAAAAAAAAAAAAAACTAGTCTTGATTTCACAGGCTCACAGATGGGATTCTGAACTTTGGACTTTTGAGTTGGGGCTAGTATTAGTTAAGACTTTGGGGTTAACTTTGGAAAGTTTGGAAGGGGTGATTGTTCCACTCAATGGAAGGACATAAGAAACAGGAAAAAGCAAGGAAATGTAACTCTACTAAAGGAAAACTTTTTAGTAACAAACCCCAATAAAAGGAAAATTAATGGAGAACCAGAAAAGGAATTCAAAATTATGATCTTAAGGAAACTGAATGAGGTATAAAAAATACAGTTAGACAATTCAACAAAATCAGGAAAAAACATATGCATGAGAAATTCAACAAAAAGACAGATATAAAAAAGAAAAAAAACAAATCATGCAACTAAAGAATTCAATGAATGAAATAAAAAAACAACACAGAGCTTCAACAGCAGATTTGATCAAACAGAAGAATCTCTGAACTTGAAGGCAGGTCATTTGAAATTATTTGGTTAGAAAAAATAAGAATGGAAAATAGCTCTTAAAAGATTGTAAACTTATGAGACACCATTAAGTAGACAAATATTCATTATAGACATTCCAGAATGAAAAAAAATGGAAAAAATGCATAGAAAACCTATTTAATAAAATAATAGCTGAAAATTTCCCAAATCTGGAGACAGATATAAACATCCAGATCCAGGAAGTCCAAAGATCCCAAACTATATTTCAATCAGAAAGGTACTGTCCAAGGTAAAAAATAGTCAAAATATCAAAAGTCAAAGACAAAAAGAATTCTAAAACAAGAGAAAAGCACCAAGTCACATATAAAGGAATATTCATTAGACTCACATTAGGTTTCTCTTCAGAAACCTTACAGGTCAGGAGAGAATAAAATGATATATTCAAAGTACTGAAAGAAGAAATTGACAGTCAAGAATACTATACTCAACAAAGCTATTTCTTAGACTGAGGGAGGAATAAAGCCATTCCCAGACAAGCAAAAGTATAAGGAAATCTATCACTAGACTGACTTTACAAAAAATGCTGAAAAGAGTCCTGCATCTGGAGACAAAAAGGTGATAATCACAATCATGAAAACATGCAAAAATATATAACTCATTGATAGGGCAGATAAACAAAGAAGAAATAAAAAAAAGTTCATACCATTCAAATAATCTATAGATTCAATGTAGTGCCTATCAAAATGCCAATAATATTCTTCACAGAAATAGAAAAAAAAATCCTAAAATTTGTAGAGAACCACAGAAGACCCCAAATAAATCAAAGGATTGTGAGCAAAAAGAACAAAGCTGGAAGCATCACACTACCCAACTTCAAAATGTACTACAAATCTTTAGTAACCAAAACTGCATGGTACCAGCATAAAAACAGACACATAGACCAAAGGAACAAAATAGACAACCTAGAAATCAATCCACATATTTACAGCCAACTCAATTTTGACACAGGCACAAAGAACATTCAGTGCAGAAAAGACAGTCTATTCAATAAGTGATACTGGAAAAACTGGATATCCTTATGCAGAAAAACGAAACTAGACCTCTATCCTTCACCATATACAAAACTCAAATCAAAATGGTTTAATACTTAAATTCAAGACCTGAAGCTATGAAAGTACCAGAAGAAAACATGGGAAAACAATTCAGAACATTAATCTGCAAAAAGATTTCTTGTATAAGAGCTAAAATGCACAGGTAACAAAATCAAACATAGACAAATGGGATTACATCAAGCTAAAAAGTTTCTGTACAGCAAAGGGTGCAATCAACAGAGTGAAGAGACAACATACAAAATGGAAGAAAACACTTGCAAACTATCCTTCCAACAAGAGGTTCATGACTATAATATATTAGCAATTCAAATAACTCAATATCAAAAGAACAAATAATCCAATTTAAAAATGGGTAAAAGACTTAGAGATTTTTCAAAAGCAGACATAAAACGACCAACAAACATATGGAAAAAATGCTCAACATCACTAATCATCAGAGAAATGCAAATCAAAACCACAATGAGTTATCACTTCACTCCAGTTAGAATGACTATTATCAAAAAGCCAAAAAAAAAAAAAAAAAAGCTAGCAAGGATTTAGAGAGAGGGGAACTCTTATGCACTGCTGGTAGAAATGTAAATTAGTACAGCCACTATGGAAAACAACATAGAGGTTCCTCAAAAAACTAAAAATATATCTACTATATGATCCAGCAATCCCACTGCTGGAATATATCCAAAATAAAGAACATTGGTATGTTGAAGAGATATCTGCATGTCCATATTTATTGCAGCACTATTCACAATAACCAAGACATAAAATAACCTCAGTGTCTATCAATCTATGAATATGGAATATATACATGATAAAATATTTTTAAATGATAAAAAGAATGAAATTCTGTCACAGCAAAATGAATGGAACTGGAAATTATTATTTTAAGTGAAATGTGCCAAGGAAAGAAAGAAAAATATTTCATGTTCTCATTCATATATGGGAGCTAAAAAAGTTGATCTCATGGAGGTAGAGAGTAGAATGATAGTTACCAGAGGCTGGGAAGGCTCGTGGAAGGGGTAAAGAGAGGCTGGTTAATGGGTTAAAAACACAGTTAGATAGAAAAAAGAAGTTCTAGTTATCAATAGCACAGCAAGGTGACTATAGGTAATAATAATTTACTGTATATTTCAAAGTAGCTAGAACAGAATATTTGCAATGTTCCCAATACAAAGAAATGATAAATGCTTGAGGTTATAAATATCTTAATTATCTTTGATTACTACACATTGCATGTATCAAAATTATCACATGTACCCCATAAATATGTACAATTATTATGTGTCATTTTTTAAAACCTTGGGGCTATAAGAATAGAATTAATGTATTTGTGAGAAGAACATACGTTTTGGAGAGCCAGGGGGAGAATTACATAGATTTAATAGTTGTTCCTTCTGAAACCCATGTTGAAATGTAATCCCCAGTGTGGCAGTTTAGGGAGGTGGGACCTTTAAGAGGTGATTGGATTGACAGGGCTTTTCTCTGATGAATGGATTAATCTACTCATCGCTTAACTGATTGATGGGTTAAAAGATTAATGGGTAAGCATGGGAGTGGAACTGGGGGCTTTATAAGAAGAAGAGGAGCCTGAGATAGCAAGCTCAGCCCATTGCCCTGTGATCCCCTGCAGCACCTCAGGACTGCAGTGTCCTCACGGATGAGAAGACTCACATAAGAATCAATCTCTCACCCCTGGACTTCCCAGCCTCCAGAACTGTAAGAAATGTGTTTTGTTGTTATTGTTGTTGTTGTTATTGTTTTACTAAATTACCCAGTTTCAGGTATCCTGCTACGAGCAACAGATATCTGACTAAGACAGAAACTAAGACAAGAACTTTCTTCATACTTATTTTTTAGGTGGCCTGGAGAGTCAGATTTTATTTAAAAAGAGAAAATAATGGAGTTTTGAACCACATTTCCTTGATTCTAAAATACAATCTGTCAATTTTAATGTTTCTAAAATCAGGATACCTCTTTCATTGGGCATGTACCTTTGATATAGAAACTTTTCTTCTGAAGATATTATTAAATAGATAATATATCTTAAAATTTATTGTACCTTATAATTGAGTATAACAGTATGAAAAAATGATATGGGAATATTTGTGGTGATTTGTGAATACGCAGGACAGTTCATGGTAAGATTGATGAGCATACACTGTGGCTTCATTCCCACCTCCACCCTTTAAATACAAGCCTTCAAATAAGGAATTCCTGACAATACCTCCACACAGCCATGTGTTTATGATGAGATCCATCTCACACGTGAAGGATGGTGCATAAAAATATAAAATGATTTGAGCAATGCCAAGTATTGAAAAGCCAGAAGTATAACGTAGTGTTCTGACTTCATCTTACAGTAAGTAATTACCTTTTCCACCCCTACCTCCCATTTGTGTAATCAATTATCAACCTACCTTATGGCAAACAATGTAAAACATTTTCCCTCTTGTTTCAGTAAAGATAGAAATTCATGGAAGCAAATTTCAGGTCAACTGCTTGTATCATATTAGGAAACAGAATGCTGTTTTAAAAAAGGAGCATAATTCAGAGAGAAAAAGCAAGTATCACGATGGAAGGATTTGGGTTTTAACCCTGGCTTCTTCACCTGGGTTTATATAAGTGATTTAATTTTTCCTCGAATTCTTTTGACTGTCCCCAGCTAATAACATCCGAAAGAGAATAATAAAATACTGACTCACTTCCCAGAGATATTTTAACCAGAGATGAGTAATATTTTCAAAGGTTTTTCACTGCTACTCTTAAAGCGTATTTCAAAATCAAAATAGCATAATTTTCTTCAAGCTCTTGCTTCTACAAAAGCATAATGCTCTTGTGTTTAATAGCTTAATCAGAGACAAAACTAAATTTGAGAAGATGGGGAAAGAAGAATAGAGTATGTAGTAAAGAAAATAGCTGCAGAAGCCAGATTTGTAAGCTCAAATAAATAATCTATTGTCAACCATGAGCTACTTCAAGCAGTAAGCTTCCCTTCAAATATAAAACTTCTTAACTACCCCTCACAGTGCACCTGGAATGTCAGTGATGGTAGAGTTCACAGATTCAAAGCTTAGTAGCTGCCTAGATCTGAAAAACAAGGCTTTCATCTTTAAGAATGTTCCAATAATTGTTTTTGAGAAGCTCAGAGTGAAGGGCAAATAGCTACAAACAACGGGCAGTTACCTTGTGATCACATTGAAGCCATTAACGTAAATAAATATTCTTTCCCTGAGGAAACACGTGGAGAACAATCATGATTGGGTTGTCTTCATAAAGGGAAAAAGCCCTAATTGTAAATCGAGTAGCTATCAGTAGATCAATATCAGATTCAATCATGGAAACACTTCTGAATTCAAGTGGAAGTAACCTTGACAAAAATCAAGCCTATTTGATGTGAAGGGAAAAATTTGAAAGCTCACAGCACACATAAATGCTCTTTCTTCTTAATTACCAGTGTTTCCAGAAGTACATTTGGTCTAGTTAGCATAACTTACCTGGAATTGCTAAACTACCCTACTGGATACATGTCAGCTTCCCAGAAGAGTCCCTACCTGATAATATGATATGATATAAAATTAAAGTTTATTGTTTGAGGCAGCTTTATGGTTTTCCAGTAGTACTTCCCTCATCAACCAGAGGAAACGCTCCTTGAAGTAATATTGCTGGAGACTTCCTCTGCATAACAAGAATCTTGGCTTCCACCAAGTCCCCTTATCTTAACCTAAGCACTTCTTTCTGCTGATTTCAACTCTTTAGGCAAAACTTAACTCTTTCAACCAATTGCCAGTCAGGAAATCTTTGAATCCATCTGTGACCTGAAAGGCCCCACTTCATCCCACCTTTCCAGACTGAACCAATGTACACCTTACATGAATTGATGATGTCTGCCTGTAACTTCTGCCCCCTCTAAAATGTATAAAATCAAGCTGTGACCCAACCACCTTGGGCGCTTGTTCTCAGGGCCTCCTGAGGCTGTGTTATGGGCATGTATATAACCTTGGTAAAATAAACTTCAAATTTGGGGAAAAAAAGTGTCTACAGAAGTAAAAAAGTCTGCCTGCTCTATCTCAAATGTATCTCTCTCTCTCTCCCTCTCTCTTTCTCTCTCTCTCTCTCTCACACACACACATTCATGCCTTCTCACACTTGATGATTAACAAAGATTGATAGACTCAATCAATAGTACTATTTCCCTAATAAATATAGGAGATTTTTTTCTCTATTTTATCACAAAATAACTCAAAAAATAGTGAAAAAAAATTATGAAAGGAATGAAGATGTTACACTAGAAACCACTTAATGCAAAAGAAAGTGGTAAAGCAGAAAAACAGGAACATAAAAGACATGAGACAAAGAAAATGAAGCATAAAATAGCAAATGTAAACCCAGTTATATGAACAATTGAATGAAATGTGAATGAATTAAAGAACTCAAAATCAGAGATTATTAGACTATATAAAAACAAGATCCAACTACATGCTATCTACAGAAGAACCTTGTCTAGGTTCAAAGACAAAATGTTAGAAGTAAAAGGATGTAAAATATATATATTGTGCAAACAGCAAACACAAGAAAGCTGGAGTAGTTACACTAATATTATTCCAAACAGACTTTAGAACAAAAATTAATTACTCAAAATAAAGATAGACATTTTATAATAATAAAATGGTCCATCCAGGAGAAAGTTATGAAATTGATAAACATACAGACATTTAACAACAGAGCTTCAAATTATATAAAGCAAAAGCTGATAAAATCAAGGAGAAATTAGGTGATTCAACAATAATAGCTATTTCTTTCTAGAAAAGTAGAAAAACTAGAGAGAAGATTTTAAAATAAATGGAAAATTTGAACATTATAAGAAACTAGACCTAACAAACATCTATAGAATGCTGTAAAGAACAGCAGCAGAATACACATTTTTTCTAAGCACACACAGAAATTTCTTCAGAATTCACCGTATGTTAGATGATAAAGCAAGTCTTGATAAACTTAAATGACTGAAATTATGCAAAATGCACACACCAACCATAATAGCATGTGATTAGAAACCAATAGCAAAAAGAAATTTGGAAAACTTGTGAATATGAGGAAATTAACATCTTTCTGAATAGTCAGTGGCTCAAAGTTAAAAATCACAATAGAAATTTTAAAATCTTTGAGATGAATGAAAATAAAAGCATGACATCAAAATTTATGGGACACTGCTAACGCAGGACTTAGAGAAAAATTTATAGATGGAAATGCCTATATTTAAAAAGTGGGACAATCTCAAAATCAGTAACCAAACCTTCACCTTAAAGCACTGAAAACAGAACAAGTCGAGCCCATTTAAGCAGAAGGAAGAAAATAATAAACTTTTGACTGGAAATTAAGGGGAACAGAAAAGCAAAAGAGAAAATAAATAAAACCAAAAATTTGTCCTCTGAAAGGATTAGAAAATATTGACAAACTTTTAGCTATACTGACTAAGAAAAAATAAGAGAAGACCCAAACTACTAAAATAAAAAATGAAAGAGGAAACATCATTGTCAACCTCACAAAATTTAAAAGAATTATAAAGAAATACTCTCAACTAATGACAACAAATTAAATAATTTAAGTCAAATGGACACAATTTTAGAAGTAAAACTGTCTCAGGAAAAAAAGAATTCTGAATGGACCTATAAAAAGTAAGGAAATTACATTAATAATTTTAAAACTTCCATAATGAAAACCTAAACACATATGGATTCACAGTTGAATTCTACTATTTAAAGAAGAATTAATATCAATTTTTTACAAATTGTTACAAAAAGGGAAAGGAAATATTTCCCAAATAATACTATATGTCCAGTGTTATCCTAATAACAAAACCAGACAAAAACATTACAAGAAAAGAAAAACACAGATCAATATATCCTATGTATATAAACTCAGAAATCTTCAACAAAATGCTGTCATATCAAATCCAGCAACATATAAAAAGGATTATACACCATGATCAAGAGAATTTATCCCCAGAATGAAAGATTAGTTTAACATACTTCTTATCAATAAAATAAAGAACAAACTTACATGACCATCTTAGTAAATGCAGAAAAAGCATTTGACAAAATTTAACCTACTTTCCCTTTTAAAAAACTCAACACACTGAATAGAAGAAACCTCATCAACCTCCTAAAAGGCATCTATGAAGAAAACACACACACACACACAGTACTGGAGGCTTTAACTAGGGAAAATAGGCAAGCAAAAGAAATAAAAGGCATTTAAATTGGAAAGGAAGAAGTAAATCTCTGCAGATGGAATGGTCTTACATGTAGAAAATCCTAAGAAATCCATTAAAGAACTATTGTAGCTAATGCATAAGCTGATAACTCTCCATGGTATGAGATCAAGATACAAAAATCAAAGTATTTCTATACATTAACAATGAACAATCAAAAATGAAGTTAACCATTCCAATTACAATAATAATAAACATAATACAATATTTAGGATAAACTTTAAAAAAGTTTAAAACTTATACTCTGAAAATCCCAAAACACTATTGAAAGAAAAATTTTAAAGATCTAAATAAATGTGAAAGATCTAAATAAATGAATGGAAAGGCTTAACAATCTTTGAGATGGTAATGCTTCCCAAAATGTTCTACAAAATAAATGCAATCTCAGTCAAAATCTCAGCTGATATTTTGCAGAAATGTATAAGCATGTAATCAAATTCATATGCAAATTCAAGGAATCCAGTATAGCCAAGACAATTTTGTTTGGTTTTTTTTTTGGTTTTTTTATTATTTTATTATTATTATACTTTAAGTTTTAGGGTACATGTGCACAATGTGCAGGTTAGTTACATATGTATACATGTGCCATGCTGGTGTGCTGCACCCATTAACTCGTCATTTAGCATTAGATGTATCTCCTAATGCTATCCCTCCCCCCTACCCCCACCCCACAACAGTCCCCAGAGTGTGTTGTTCCCCTTCCTGTGTCCATGTGTTCTCATTGTTCAACTCCCACCTATGAGTGAGAACATGTGGTGTTTGGTTTTTTGTCCTTGCGATAGTTTACTGAGAATGATGGTTTCCAATTTCATCCATGTCCCTACAAAGGACATGAACTCATCCTTTTTTATGGCTGCATAGTATTCCATGGTGTATATGTGCCACATTTTCTTAATCCAGTCTATCATTGTTGGACATTTGGGTTGGTTCAAAGTCTTTGCTATTGTGAATAGTGCCGCAATAAACATATGTGTGCATGTGTCTTTATAGCAGCATGATTTATAGTCCTTTGGGTATATACCCAGTAATGGGATGGCTGGGTCAAATGGTGTTTCTGGTTCTAGCTCCTTGAGGAATCGCCACACTGTCTTCCACAATGGTTGAACTAATTCACACTCCCACCAACAGTGTAAAAGTGTTCCTATTTCTCCACATCCTCTCCAGCACCTGTTGTTTCCTGACTTTTTAATGATCGCCATCCTAACTGCTGTGAGATGGTATCTCATTGCGGTTTTGATTTGCATTTCTCTGATGGCCAGTGATGATGAGCCTTTTTTCATGTGTCTTTTGGCTGCATAGATGTCTTCTTTTGAGAAGTGTCTGTTCATATCCTTCACCCACTTTTTGATGGGGTTGTTTGTTTTTTTCTTGTAAATTTGTTTGAGTTCATTGTAGATTCTGGATATTAGCCCTTTGTCAGATGAGTAGGTTGCAAAAATTTACTCCCATTCTGTAGGTTGTCTGTTCACTCTGATGGTAGTTTCTTTTGCTGTGCAGGAGCTCTTTAGTTTAATTAGATTCCATTGGTCAATTTAGGCTTTTGTTGCCATTGCTTTTGGTGCTTTTAGACATGAAGTCCTTGCCCATGCCTATGTCCTGAATGGTATTGCCTAGGTTTTCTTCTAGGGTTTTTATGGTTTTAGGTCTAACATTTCAGTCTTTATCCCTCTTGAATTAATTTTTGTATAAGGTGTAGGGAAAGGATCCAGTTTCAGCTTTCTACATATGTCTAGCCAGTTTCCCCAACACCACTTATTAAGTAGAAAATCCTTTCCCCATTTCTTGTTTTTGTCAGGTTTGTCAAATATCAGATAGTTGTAGATGTGTGATGTTATTTCGGAGGCCTCTATTCTGTCCATTGGTGTATATATCTGTTTTAGTGCCAGTACTATGATGTTCGGTTACTGTAGTCTTGTGGTAAAGTTTGAAGTCAGGTAGTGTGATGCCTCCAGCTTTGTTCTTTTTGCTTAGGATTGTCTTGGCAACGTGGGCTCTTTTTTGGTTCCATATGAACTTTAAAGCAGTTTTTTCCAATTCTGTGAAGAAAGTGAATGGTAGCTTGATGGGGATGGCATTGAATCTATAAATTACCTTGGGCAGTATGGCCATTTTCATGATACTAACTCTTCCTGTTCAAGACCATGGAATGTTCATCCATTTCTTTGTGTCCTCTTTTATGTCATTGAGCAGTGGTTTGTAGTTCTCCTTGAAGAGGTCCCTCACATCCCTTGTAAGTTGGATTCGTAGGTATTTTATTCCCTTTGTAGCAATTGTAAATGAGAGATTACTCATGATTTGGCTGTTTGTCTGTTATTGGTGTATAGGAATGCTTGTGATTTTTGCACATCGATTTTCTATCCTGAGACCTTTGCTGAAGTTGCTTATCAGCTTAAGGAGATTTTGGGCTGAAACAATGGGGTTTTCTAAATATACAATCATGTCATCTGCAAACAGGGACAATTTGACTTCCTCTTTTCCTAGTTGAATACCCTTTATTTCTTTCTCTTGCCTGATTGCCTTGGCCAGAATTTCCAACACTATGTTGAATAGGAGTGGTGAGACAGGGCATCCTTGTCCTGTGCTGGCTTTCAAAGGGAATGCTTCCAGTTTTTGCCCATACAATATGATATTGGCTGTGGGATTGTCATAAATAGCTCTTATTATTTTGAGATACGTTCCATCAATACTTAGTTTATTGAGACTTTTTAACATGAAGGGCTGTTGAATTTTGTCAAAGGCCTTTTCTGCATCTATTGAGATATCGTGTGGTTTTTGTCATTGGTTCTGTTTATGTGGTGGTTAACATTTATTGATTTGCATATGTTGAATCAGCCTTGCATCCCAGAGATGAGGCCGACTTGATCGTGGTGGATAAGCTTTTTGATGTGCTGCTGGATTCGGTTTGCCAGTATTTTACTGAGGATTTTTGCATTGATGTTCATCAGGGATATTGGTCTAAAATTCTCTTTTTTTGTTGTGTCTCTGCCAGGTTTTGGCATCAGGATGATGCTGACCTCATAAAATGAGTTAGGGAGGATTCCCTCTTTTTCTATTGATCAGAGTAGTTTCAGAAGGAATGGTACCAGCTCCTCCTTGTACCTCTGGTAGAATTCGGCTGCGAATCCATCTGGTCCTGGACTTTTTTTGGTTGTTAGGCTATCAATTATTGCCTCAATTTCAGAGCCTGTTATTGATCTACTCAAAGAGTCAACTTCTTCCCGGTTTGGTCTTGGGAGGGTGTACGTGTACAGGAATTTATCCATTTCTTCTAGGTTTTCTAGTTCATTTGCATAGAGGTGTTTATAGTATTCTCTGATGGTAGTTTGTATTTCTGTGGGATCAGTGGTGATATTCCCTTTATCATTTTTTATTGTGTCTATTTGATTCTTCTCTCATTTCTTCTTTATTAGTCTTGCTAGTGGTCTATTTTGTTGATCTTTTCAAAAAACCAGCTCCTGGATTCATTGATTTTTTGAAGGGTTTTTGTGTCTCTATCTCCTTTCAGTTCTGCTCTAATCTTAGTTATTTCTTGCCTTCTGCTAGCTTTTGAATGTGTTTGCTCTTGCTTCTCTAGTTCTTTTAATTGTGATGTTGGGGTGTCGATTTTAGATCTTTTCTGCTCTCTCTTGTGGACATTTAGTGCTATAAATTTCCCTCTACACACTGCTTTAAATGTGTTCCAGAGATTCTGGTACGTTGTGTCTTTGTTCTCATTGGTTTCAAAGAACATTTTTATTTCTAGCTTCATTTCGTTATGTACCCAGTAGTCATTCTGGAGCAGGTTGTTCAGTTTCCATGTAGTTGAGTGGTTTTGAGTTGATGGTTTCTTAACGCTGAGTTCTAATTTGTTTGCGCTGTCGTCTGAGAGACAGTTTGTTCTGATTTCTGTTCTTTTACGTTTTCTGAGGAGTGCTTCACTTCCAATTATGTGGTCAATTTTAGAATAAGTGTGATGTGCTGCCGAGAAGAATGTATATTCTGTTGATTTGGGGTGTAGAGTTCTGTAGATGTCTATTAGGTCCACTTGGTGCAGAGCTGAGTTCAAGTCCTAGATATCCTTGTTAACCTTCTGTCTTATTGATCTGTCTAATATTGACAGTGGGGCATTAAAGTCTCCCATTATTATTGTGTGGGTATCTAAATCTCTTTGTAAGTCTCTAAGGACTAGCTTTATGAATCTGGGTGCTCCGGTATTGGTTGCATATATATTTAGGATAGTTAGCTCTTCTTGTTGAATTGATCCCTTTACCATTAGGTAGTGGCCTTCTTTGTGTCTTTTGATCTTTGTTGGTTTAAAGTCTCTTTTATCAGAGACTAGGATTGCAACCACTGCTTGTTTTTGCTTTTCATTTGCTTTGTAGGTCTTCCTCCATCTCTTTATTTTGAGCCTATATGCATCTCTGAACATGAGATGTGTCTCCTGAATACAGCACACTGAGGGGTCTTGACTGTTTATCCAATTTGCCAGTCTGTGTCTTTTAATTGGGGCATTTAGCCCATTTACATTTAAGGTTAATATTGTGTGAATTTGATCCTGTCATTATGATGTTAGCTGGCTATTTTGCACGTTAATTGATGCAGTTTCTTCATAGCATCAATGGTCTTCACCATTTGGCATGTTTTTGCAGTGGCTGGTACCAATTGTTCCTTTCCATGTTTAGTGCTTCCTGCAGGAGCTCCTGTAAGGCAGGCCTGGTGGTGACAAAATCTCTCCGCATTTCTTGTGGTGTAAAGGATTTTATTTCTCCTTCACTTATGAAACTTAGTTTGGTT
This sequence comes from Homo sapiens, assembly GCF_000001405.40. Taxonomy (NCBI): domain Eukaryota; kingdom Metazoa; phylum Chordata; class Mammalia; order Primates; family Hominidae; genus Homo; species Homo sapiens. Next base: position 40,473,006 of record NC_000005.10, read on the forward strand.
AGATATGAGATTCTGGATTGAAAATTATTTTCTTTATGAAGGTTGAATACTGGCCCCAACTCTCTTCTGGCTTGTAGGGTTTCTGCCAAGAGATCCGCTGTAAGTCTGATGGGCTTCCCTTTGTGGGTAATCTGACCTTTCTCTCTGGCTGCCCTTAACATTTTTTCCTTCATTTCAACCTCGGTGAATCTGACAATTATGTGTCTTGGGGTTGCTCTTCTCGAGGAATATCTTTGTGGTGTTCTCTGTATTTCCCAAATTTGAACATTGGCCTGGCTTGCTATATTGGGGACGTTCTGGATAATATCCTGATGAGTGTTTTCCAACTTGGTTCCATTCTCCTCGCCACTTTCAGGTACACCAATCAAACGTAGATTTGGTCTTTTCACATAGTCCCATATTTCTTGGAGGCTTTGTTTTTTCTCTTTTTTTTTTTTTTTTTTTGCTCTTTTTTTCTCCAATCTTGTCTTCCTGCTTTATTTCATTCATTTGATCTTCACTCCCTGTATCCTTTCTTCCACTTGATCAAATCAGCTATTGAAGCTTATGCACACATCACAAAGTTCTCGTGCCATGGTTTTCAGCTCCGTCAGGTCATTTAAGGTCTTCTCTACACAGTTTATTCTAGTTAGTCATTCATCTAATCTTTTTTCAAGGTTTTTATCTTCCTTGTGATGGGTTCAAACATGCTTACTTAGCTCAGAGAAGTTTGTTATTACCGACCTTCTGAAACCTACTTCTGTCAGCTTGTCAAAGTCATTCTCTATCCAGCTTTGTTCCATTGCTGGCGAGGAGCTGCAATCCTTTGGAGGAGAAGAGGTTCTCTGGCTTTTAGAATTTTCAGCTTTTCTCCCCATCTTTGTGGTTTTATCTACTATCTTTGATGTTGGTGACCTAGAGATGAAGTTTTGGTGTGGATGTCCTTTTTGTTGATGTTGATGCTGTTCCTTTCTGTTTGTTAGTTTTCCTTCTAACAGTCAGGTCCCTCAACTGCAGGTCTGTTGGAGTTTGCTGGAGGTCCACTCCAGACCCTGTTTGCCTGGGTATCACCAGCAGAGGCTGAAGAGCAGCAAATATTGCAGAACAGCAAATATTGCTGCCTGATCCTTCCTCTGGAAGTTTTGTCCCAGAGAGGCACCTGCCTGTATGAGGTGTCTGTCGGTTACTACTGGGAGGTGTCTCCCAGTTAGGCTACATGGGGGTCAGGAACCCACTTGAGGAGGCAGTCTTTCCTTTTTCAGAGCTCAAACACCATGCTGGGAGAACCACTGCTCCCTTCAGAGCTGTCAGACAGGGATATTTAAGTCTGCAGAAGTTTCTGCTCCCTTTTGTTCAGCTATGCCCTGCCCCCAGAGGTGGAGTCTATAGAAGCAGCCTGCCTTGCTGAGCTGAGGTGGGCCCTGCCCAGTTTAAGCTTCCTGGCCATTTTATTTACCTACTGAAGCCTCAGCAATGGTGAATGCCCCTCCCCCAACAAGGCTGCCACCTCACAGGCTGATCTCAGACTGCTCCGCTAGCAGTGAGCAAGGCTCCTTGGGCTTGAGAACCACCAAGCCAGGCATGGGAGAGAATCTCCTGGTCTGGCAGTTGCTAAGACTGTGGGAAAAGTGCAGTGTTTGGGCGGAAGTGTACCAATTTTTCAGGTACAGTCTGTCACAGATTCCCTTGGCTAGGAAAGGGAAATCTCCCAACCCCTTGTGCTTCCCAGGTGAGGCAACACCCCACCCTACTTCAGCTCACCCTCTGTGGGCTGCACCCACTGTCCAACCAGTCTCAGTGAGCTGAACCAGGTACCTCTGTTGGAAATGCAGAAATCACCCATCTTCTGTATCGATCACACTGGGAGCTGCAGACCAGAGCTATTCCTATTCTGCTATCTTGGAATGGGAATTCTAAAATTCAGCAGCATAATTTCTAATAGCCAAAATTTGGAAACAACACAAACATCCATGAAGTGACCAACGAATAAACAAAGTGTGGTCTCTTAGTAAAATGGGATATTATTTGGCGATAAAAAGCAACAAATATACTGACACATGCTACAACACCAATAAACCTTAAAGTATTATGCTAAGTAAAAGAAGCAGACACAAAAAGCCATGTATTTTATTACTCTGCCTGAAATGTCCAGAATAGGAAAATTTGTTGGACACAAAAAGTAGAGAAGTTGTCTAGGGCTTGGGACAAAATGGGGTATGACTGCTAATTGGTATGGGCTTTGTTTGGGGGCAGATCAAAGTGTATGAAAATAGCTTGTGGTGATGATTTCACAACTCTGCTAACTTACTAAAAACTAGTGAGTTGTACATTTTAAATGACAATTATATTGTATGTGAATTATATCTCCATAAAGCTATGAGAGAAAGAGCTTTCAATGGCTTCTGTACCATGTCCAAATTGTTCTGCCAGTCTTTGAAACCCCTCCATACCACAGAATCAGATTTCATACTATGCCTTTCACCTTTCAAAATTATTTCCAACTGTATCAGTTTTCTATGACTGTGTGACAACCCACCCCCAAATTCAGCAACTTAAAACAATAAACATGTATTAATATTATCACACGAATTCTGTAGGTCAGAAATCTGAGAGTGGCTTAGCTGGGTCCTCTGGCTCAGGCACTTGATGTCTGCCAAGGCTGTAGTCATCTCAAGGCTTGACTCAGGCAATAAGTTCCAACTTCCAAGCTCACTCATGTGGCTGTTTCAACCCCTCAGATTCTAGCTGCTTGTTGGCTGAAGACATCAGTTCCTTGATACACGGCAGCTCATCACACATCAGCTAGCTTCCCTCAGAGAAAGCAATGGTGAAACAGAGTGAGTAAGATGGAAGTCAGAGTCTTTTGTAAGCTAATCTTGGAAATGGCATTTCATGGCATTTGCTGTGTTCTTTTCCTTAGAAGCTAGTCATTAGATCTGGACCACACACAGGAAGAGGCCATTGCACGACAGCATAAATACCATGAGGAGGGAGACAGATGGGGGCCATCACAGAAACTGCCTATCACCACACTGAACACCATCTGATCCAACCAGTCTGGTTCCCTCTCCATCTCACAAGCACATTTCTTGACCCTGTCGTAACTCTTAACTCACTTTATTCCTGGGCCTCTCTCCTTTACCGATCTGAAGTCAGACTCTCATTCAAGATGAGCTCAAATTCCATGTATTCCATGAAACTTGCCCCTGATTATACTTTATTCCTCTGAACTCCTTATGTTTCATAATTATACTACATAATTTACCCCTTAATTATCTCCTGCCTTGCCTTATTACGCAAAGTATGTCTCCCTTAACTGCATATGCTTCAACTGAGAGTTTGTAAGAAACACAGAATCTCCAGCTCCTAAACCAGAATCTGTGTTTTAACAAGACATGCAGGTGATTTTCATGCCCATGAAGGCATGGGAAGCACCACTGAATTGTACCATTCTCTATTGTTTCACCTGTGTAAGTCCCATATCCTTGACTAGGCTTGCGTGTATTTGGAGAACTGGTACCATTTTCTATATTTGTTCTGCTCTTAAACACACACACCCAAGCTTAGAATATAGGTTAGTGCTGACCACACAGTAGATCACAAATTCAAGCTACTAGAGAAGAAACACCTCTATGAACTGGCCAAATTCAGTAACAGGAATATAAAGATAAATCAAATCCCAGCTCTGCTACTCAACAGATAGTGTGACTTTGGGCAAGTCATTTAATTACTCTACATTTCCAATTCTTTATCTGAATTTAAAGGGGACTATCATGGAAGCTCCAATTTTCATTTTATTTCTGAATATCTACTAATCCACAATAACATTAGAATCAATATAGTTTGATATTGCTTAATAAATAAGAAAACATTCTGGAACCTTTTAGTGCCTAAATGTCATCAACATGAACATCAGTAATAACTGCATTGTAGATGTGAGAAAATGTTGCTTAGTCCAGGATTGTTTAGCAAAAAAACATAGAATTCTATATCCTGCATTTGATTTCCCTTATAATTTAGGCCATGTTGAATGTAAGTAAATTGTTAAAGAAGTTTAAAACAAATTTTTGCTGGATAACAACAAGAGTATGGCTAGAACAGGTGAAATCTCCCCTTTGCCACACTTTGGGAGTCACCCCTATGCTCCTCAGCTCTGCCTTGGAAAAGGAGCTTCTGGCTCTGTAAGAGTCAGATTAGAAACAAAGACTTTGCCTTCAAAAGAAAACTATGAATTTCCACCTGAGGTTCACCACCTTCTCCTGTAAAAGGAGGAGCTGGATTTGTTATACAGAGCAGCAGAACTAGGCTGAGTGAATAAAGAAATGGACATATACACAGGTGGTGCTTTTTGTTGTTGTTTTTAAGGTACTCAGTTTAATTTCTTCTTCTGCCTGTAAGGTCCAATCCCACCCACAGAGTTTAAATTGGCACTTCCCCTGAGGACCTGGACTCCAATTACATCTTATATTTTGATCTCTAAATCTCTTCAAGTTCAAGGACTTCACCTCCTCTCCAGGAATAAAGGGCTGTACTTCCCAGTCACCTCCCTCCCCGTCATGTTGTCCTTGCTTCAGCCTTCAGTCCTCTCTTCTGCAGCAAAGAATCCTAATTCCCTACCAGAATTCTTAAACATCAGTTTACTTTACACATTTCTTTTTTGGCTTCTTTACTGTTAGAACAAGCCCTGAGTGTGTAAAACTGTTCTCACTGTGATGACAAGGCTGTACTGAACAATTGGGGGCAAGAGAGCTGTGGTTCCAGCTGAGGGGGCTAAGTTATGGGACCATGCATGCCTCCACACTTATTTCTCTAAAATTCATCATAGCTCTGAACTTCATGCAGAACTCCTAGAAAAAAAAACACAGTCCAGCTACCTACTTTTAAATTTATGGACGAATGATGGTGGTGATGATGATGATAACAATAATAACACTAGTGCTGTTAGCCGCCTCTGAACAGAAGCATATTTTTGGTTTCTGTCCTCAGGCTCCAAAGTGGTTCACATGATGCAAACTGGCCGTGTAGTCAGCGTTTTGGCATTTTCATTTGATTTCTCTGCCCACTCTCCCCTGTTGGCACTGGCTGCACTTTGAAATGAATTTCTGTTCCTGTGCAAACAGGACCGCAAGAACAGTTACCAGACTTTGAGATCACTCAGGGCATGCAGGTTTCCAGAGATCATTATCCTAGAAGCACAATTCAAGAATAAATATGGGAGCTCAAAATCCACCTAAAGAAGAGAGAACTCTTGTACCCCTCTGGCAGATAATTTCTGCCCACAGCCAAATAATACTTTGGTAAAGTCATCCTGAAACTATTTCTTCTATCCGGCCAAACTCGGGCACTTGGACAGAAGCACCAGAGACATCACAGAGAAAAGAGATGCAATGGGAATAACACAGGACCAAGGACAGGGACCCGGGTTCTGGTCCCAGTTCCACCACTAACTTTAACACTGAGTGAGCCACTTCTCCCAAGTGCTTAGCTTTCTCTGTGAAAGATAATAGTTAGATACTACAGTTTCCAACTTGAACTTACCTAATCATCAGTATCTTGTAGGACATTTATTTTAAATACAGATTTTCAGACTGCTCCCTGCAGATGCTGGTTCAGTATGTTTAGCAGTTACTGAATACTAAGTTTAGTTAGTATTCAGGAGTTTGCATTTTAACAAGTGACCCAGGAAAGTCTTCACATAAGCAAGTTTAGGAAACACGGGCCACATGACATCAGAAAGCTCTTCCGGGTCTGCAGTTCTGCAGAATCAAGTTAATTAATGGCCACGATTAAGCTTCTACTCCCTACAAAGCTCTGCTAGATCCTAAAAATGATAGGAATGATAGCTAACATTTATGTAGTACTAGTCACTATTTTAAAGGCTTTGCATATATGAACTATTTTAATCTTCACAACAACCTTCTGAACCAGATACTATTATTATCCCTATTATAAGACACAGAAACAGATGCACAGAGATTAAGTGATTTTTCAAAGATGACTTGGCCACTAAGGAGGTAGGATTGGGATTCAAGCCAAGGCACCCCAGTTATAGAGCCTAGCCTCTCGACTGCTCTGCCCTGCCAAGCTTCAGCCTTCCTGTAGATGCTGAACAGCTCAGAACTCCTCAGCATCAGGCACTTGGTGGACAATAAGAAAAGCCCTCTAATAACTAATAACAGTACCTTAAGGTTATAGTCTGAATGTGTCCCCCAAAGTTGATGTGTTGGAAATGTAATGCCCAATGTAACAGTGTGGAGAAGCGGGACTCTAAGAGGTGACTAAGTCATGGTGACTCTGCCCTCATAAGTAGATTAATGCCATTATCACAAGAGTTGGTTAGTTATTGCTGGAGTGGGTTCCTGATAAAGAGGATGTGTCCACCCACTCTGCCACCCTTTGTGTGCTCTCTCACCCAACCCTTCTGCCATGAGATGATGCAGCAAGAAGGCCTTCACCAGATATGGGCCCCTTGACTTTAGACTTCCCAGCCTCCAGAACTGTAAGAAACAAATCTCTGTTCTTTATAAATTATCTAGTCTCAGGCATTCTGTTATAGGAACAGAAAGGTCTAAGACACTTAACAACCATCTACATCAACTAGATCAGTCTCAGGAGCCAGGGTGAGGGTACTAGGGAAGCCAAAAGGCAAACCCTAGACTTCACCCTTGTTTCAATCAAAGAAAACTGATTTTGTCTGTTTGGTACATGTCACATTTCATTTGAGAAAAAAAAATCTTGTGATTAAAAATGAGATGCTAGAAATCATTGATCTAGGCCCCTTTTATTATGTAGATGAGAAAACTGATCCCAAAAGATAAAGAAACTTTTCCAGATTCCAGGAACAAGAAGTCCTTGGCAATGGCTTCTAAAGCCCCAGGTTTCCAGACTCATTTCTACAGAATCAAAATGCACTTGTCAACCAGATGGACTTGATAAAAACCCATTAAAATTAACATAGATTAATAAAGTAACCACTGGAGAACTGCAGAAACTGGGGCAGCAGCATTTGAGAGGGGACATGCACAGTGACACCAAATGGAACAGAAGATGACTCAAATCAATGGCTGTGTCAGTATTCACAATTCTCTCCTCCAGTAACTGTAGCATCACCAAAAATCAGGGGGAAAAGCCCACCCAGCTTGTGTTGAAGTGGAAACATGACTACAAGTGGAGTAGGAGGACTTACTTATGAACTCTAGCTGTGCCATTTACTACCTGGGTCATGACGCTAGTGATTAGACAAGCCATCAATATGAGGCTTTCATGAAATCATATATGTCAGTAAGTCCACGACTGTGAAGATGTAGTAAACGTAATAATCTTTTAGACCAGAAGCTCCCACTCACAGTCTGGTATTACTGGCTTTACCTGTCATTACAATTCATGATGTTGAGAGGAAGGCTGATCATATAAATGGGGATCCAAACCCCTGGAAAATTTCCCTGAGCTCCCCCTTTTTTTGAACTTCTGTAGGCATGATGATAATCATAAAGAAATAATCTGCAATGGTTGGGCAGCAGCAAGCCCAGAAGATGAGCTGCCAGATAGATGCTGTGACCGTTATCAGTGATTCCATAAATGACTCAGTTTTGCCACCCAGGCACCACTCAGAGATCACCAGAGGTTTGAGGTTAACGAGTACCTTGGCACAGAACCTAGTGTTACTGATACTACACACTATTTTTTGCTCTCTTCTGCCACTGATTAGTAGATGAGGAGAGAGTTATGTCAGCCTCAAGTGCAGATTGCAAGAGGGAAGACACAGGAATATCAAAATAGTGCCATCACCCAAGGAAGAGGCTTCATTGCAAATCATGCTAATATGTGTATTCCCCCTGCTCGAGACTGAGAGCTCCTAGAAGGAACATCTGATAAAATATGTAAGTCCTTCCTCATCCATCCTGATTTCTCATCATTCGTTTTATTGACAAATGGATCAGGTGTTAAAATGTTTAAGGGTAATCGACAGAAAAAAAGTTAAAGTTAAAAAACTTCTATGACTAACCTGACCTGTTTCTGCCAACTGACAAAAGCCCACTTTTATTAGGCTTCAGCCTGATTAAGCTCAGGATGAATAATTACCATGTGCTGAGGGCTTACTGTGGGCCAGAGAGGTGCACTATCTCTGATCCCAACGACTACCTTGTAAGTTAGATATTATCACATTAATTTTACAGACAAGGCAACAGAGACTGAAAGAGTTTACTAGTCTAGTGTCCCAAAGCTAGTATGTGTCAAATTCAGGATTTGCCTCCAAACTCTGCAGACTGCAAACCTCTCCAGTTTGCAGGACCAGATTCAGACTTCTTCACTTGACCCAAAGGGGCCTTCAAGACCCAATCTGTTTGTAGCCTGAGGGCCTGCTATATTCCACATCCATCACATGTAGCCCTCACTACAGAATACCTTGCGGAGGCCTGCATGTATCACAGCGTGACTCACCTCCTTGCCTTCTCCCATGAAATCCCTTCTGCCTGGAGTTTTATTCTTCCTTCTTTATGCAGTTATATTCCAGTTGCTCTCAACACTCAGCTCAAACCACATTCTTCAAGAAGGTCATCTGTGATGTTCCTCAAGCTAATATAACTTCTGCTTTGTTGGACTCCCCATAGCAGCCTGGACAAATTTCTATGTAATCATTTATTAATTACATTTAACTACAGTTTATAATTTATTTTTATCTCCCTCACTAGGCATACACCAACTTGAGGGGAAAAAGACTTTATTTAATTTTTATTCTCAGGCTTAGCATAGTACTATATGAGTAGATACTCATTTACACAATAAATATTTGAGCAAATGAATGATCACAAAAGTGAATAAACTGATTAATTAACTTCCAGGACTATCTTAAAGGCTCAGTTAACTTAACCTCATGTGTTTATCCAAGTGTAATCCTTCTCCTCCACTGGGAACTCCTCGGTACAGAAGCCTCTCTTGTCTCTTTTATAATCTCTGGAACCTATTCGCCCGTGATTCAATAATGGCTGAATGACCCTCTGTCAACACTATCTCTGTTTGAATCAAGAACAATACTATATGACAATTAGATACCATGTAAAATGGACTTCTAATGGGTTTGAAATGTTAATGTATAAAAAAAGTACTACAAATAAAATGTAAGGTAACATATACATGTATACATATATATGCATATATACATGCATATATACATATGAGAATAGGAAAGGACTTACTAGCCATGACACAAATCTCAATAGCCAAAAGAGAAAAGACTCTTACTACACAAAAATGCAAAAACTTCTGAAGGGAAAAAAAAAAAACTCTATGCACCAAGTTTACACACAGCAAAATGAAGAAAATATATTCACATATATGACAATGGCCACAAAAATGTTAGCATTTTTGATACATACAGGGCACGTTCAAATAAGAGAAAAAACAAACAAACAAAAATTACACAAAGAGGAAATTTTCATATGAAGAAATGCAAATGACCAATACAACATGAAAGTGTCACATCACTAATTGGATTAAAGTATAAATTTAAACATCAGTGTCATATTTCTCACTAATTTTATAGAAATCACAAAGCACATGGGAAAATGGACCTATGAAGTTGGGGGCAATTTTAAAGTATATTTTTGAGGCCGGGCGCGGTGGCTTACACCTGTAATCCCAGCACTTCAGAAGACCAAGGCAGGTGGATCACCTGAGTTTAGGGGTTCGAGACCAGCCTGGCCCACATGATGATATTCCGTCTCTACTAAAAATACAAAAATTAGCTGGGCGTGATGGCAGGTGCCTGTAATTCCAGCTGCTTGGGAAGCTGAGGCAGGAGAATAGCTTGAACCTGTGAGGTGGAGGTGGGAGTGAGCAGAGATCACGCCATTGTACTCCAGCTTGGGTGACAGAACGAGACTCTGTCTCCAAAATAAATAAATAAATTGATAAATAAATAAATTAATTAAAGTATGTTTTTGGAGATAAGCAGTATGTTTTAAAATAAGGGCATATACTTGAAACAACTCTGGAAATTTATCATAAGAAATTCAGATAATACTTAAGCAACTAAACAAGGATGTTTATTGCTTATTGTTTAGATAATAGCAAAAAAAAACAAAATCGGATTTTCTATCAAGAGTGAATTCGTGTCTTTAATTACAGACAAATTATATGTCATATAAAGTTACATATTGAGAGATATCAATCTGTCTATATCTCATATCCACACATTATAATACCATGAAGTGTTTAAAATAAAGCAATAGTTAACAAGTGATCATGGAAAGATGTCTCTGAATTAAAGAATCTCAATAAATGACTTTGGTAGGCATAATTCCAAGACATCCTTCACAGTTCCCTGCCACCTGGTGTACATGTTTTGCCTAATCTCTAGGATTGTTAATATGATCAATTTTACCCCCAGGATTAGGTTATATCATGTGGCACAATCAACTTTAAGAAAGTTGACAGATTGTTACTGGCTAGAAAACTTAGAGAGCCACAAGGCAAGGAATATGGGTGGCCTCTAGGAGTTGCAAACATCTCTGGCTGACAGCCAGCAAATAAATGAAGACCTCATTCCTACAACCACAAGGAATTTAATTCTGCCAACAAACTGACTGAGTTTGGAAGCAAAATTTCCCCAGAGCCTCTAAATGAAAACTCAACCTGTTTGACATATTGAATTCAGCTTTGTAGGATCCCAAGCAGAGAATCCTGTCATGCCACCCTGCCAAACTTATAGAACTGTGAACCAATAAAGAGATGCTGTTTCAAGATGCAAGTTTGTGGTAGTTTATACACAGCAATAAAAAACTACTACAATGCCAACCAGAATAAATAAAAAGAAACCAATATCTAGATACTGCAGAACAAGAAAGAGAAATGAAAGATGTTTAAAGTAGCTAGAAAGCAAAGAAAAATTACCTACAAATAAATAAGAACTAAATTGAGAGTTGACTTCTCAACAGCAATAATGAAAAGCAGAAGACTGTGAAAGAATATTTTCAGTCTTCTGAGAGAAGATAACTCAGCCTGGTAATACATAGCCAGCCAAGCCATCCTTCAAGAATGACAGCGGAATAAAGATATTTTCAAGAAAAACTGAAAATTTTCAATACAAAGCTGAATATTTTCACCTAAGAGTCACTGATTAAAGAGTATATTCCAGGAAGAAGTGAAAATGATCCAAAAGAAAAATCTGAAACACAAGAAAGATTGGTGAGCAGAGAATGTGAGGAAATAATCTAAGTGAACAAAAATATGTGCCAAAATTTGAACACTGACTATATAAAATAATAATAGTAATGGGAGGGAATGATAAAAATCAGGCTAGTGATAAAATACTGGACAGTAATTATGTATAAACCAGGAGGCTGTGATTGGTAATTTGTGCTTAATTTTTGTAAAGTCTTTGCAATGTTATGAAAGAATATCTGAGGTCCAATTTTACTTGGCAATACATGGATATATAGAAGCTTTGCTTGATAGAGCAGCCCCTCAGATATAGTGAAGAAATCCTACAGATCAAAAAATATATATACCACAAACTGTAATGCTTACCAAAACAGGAAAAAAAGACAGATTATGGCAGGGGATTTTAAAGTCAGGAGAAAACTAATAACTTCCCTTTTTAAAGTTCACCTAATTGAAAGATGAAACAACAAAACGAAAACGCTTTTCTTGAGTTCACCCAACTCCTCAAAAGTGAAGTAGTAACCACCATCCCAGATCAGAGAACTGACATCATAAACCTTCAAGCCAACTCAGGTTTCATCTACCCTGCCCTACAGAATTAGACATGTGTGTGTGGATGGTGATGGTTCCTTACATAGTTTTTATCTCCCAACATTCACCAAAACTGTGTGAATCTCTCTGAAGAGGCACTAGAAACCTCTTGTGAACTAGTATTTCTCAAATTGGGATGTGAGAGATTGCAGTTTCCTCGGGAAGTAGACATCCAAACTGAGATGCTCTGGCTTTACCAACTATCAAAGTTGATACAAATGATTTTTTTTATACAGACCCCTCGAACGACCAAATAAATCATCTGCTCTCTCAACCAGAAACAAATAATCTAAGTGAACAAAAATACCTGGTTGAAATAAGTTTAGTGCAGGGTTATATTCTGCACCTTAAAATTGTGTTTCTGAGAGATATTCCTCATTGATTCATAAATTCGTCAACTTTGTACTGTTCAGGGTATCTGGATTAAGCATAAGCTTTGGAGTCAGACAGCCTGAATTTCAAAATCAGCCTCATAACTTACGTAACTATTTCTTAGCCCCACTTAGCCTCGGTTTCATCATCTATAAAGTAGCAATAATAACACCTGTCACACACAGCTATTTTAGAAATAAGTAAGATTTCAGAAATCGATTTCAGAAAGAGCTGGCACCAAGGAAGCAATCAATCAGTGTCAGCTATGAGTATTGATAACACTAATGGAGGCTGCATCTGTGTGACTAATCTGTACCAGGGGTTTAAATATCACTAACATTGGACTTTGGAATGCATAGACACATAAAATGTTGGAGTTTGCGGAGGCTTAAAGTTCACCCGTTCCAATTCTCATTTTCTGTGAGGATTTGAAACCCAGACAGACTCAGGAACTCGTACAAAGTCACACAGCCAGTATAAGGAACTGAAATCTGACCCTCAGCCACTGAGCACCAATAACACTATTTCTTCTGTGTCACAGCTCATGTGTCTTCTTTTTTAATCTTACCAGCAAATAATTTGTGAGGTTAATAAAAATTAAAATTGAAATACTTTTCATTGAGCACACCCCAGTGAAACGGAAGGAACAAGGGAACATGGGGTCTGGCCAAAGAGAAACCAAGTTTGAGGAAGAACGTGTTTGGCCTTCCTAAATATAGTTCACCATAATGCCAAGCAAAGGAAAACAAAGAGGCAAAAGATTATAGGCTCATTCTGATATCTCGTAGGCCTATTTATTAAGTACATGATCAATTTCATGGACAAATAATCTTATGTTTTTAGCAATTGTATTTTCTGGCCAAAAATTCTGGAAACTTGTGCTGACAATGAGATGAAATATTTTAAATGCCTATTATCTTTAAAAATTCAGGTTACAAAATTTAATCTACCAACCATTTCTATCACTGTATCTTGTTTTGACCCCACCCCCATTCCCCATTGGAGAGATATTTCTGAAAAGTGATTTATGGGAGCTGGCCTTATTTCCATTGCTTTAACTACCTTGGAGCCCTATCTTCTTTGTATTCTCTAAAATGACTGCCCTTTCTGCACAGTCACTAAATACCTATTGAGTAGCCCATGGTGTCCTTCTGATGACCATCTGATGGGAAAACTTGGACATTTGTGCTCATTATGAACCATCTGCCCTTGAGTCCAAATTTAGAATATACTAATTTTTAAATTGTATTTTTCAACCCCTATAGCTGGTGTAGGTTGAATTCAGCAAAGAATTTTTCTATTCTGTCTTTGGGGACCCTCCAGCATCTTCTCATTCACATCTGAAAGGACGTCTCCCAGTCCACAGTGCCTGTGATTGCCACATTCTGGTGAGAGCTATATGGCAGATTCAAAAATCATTGCGCAGCCTGTCAGCTGATTGGGGTGAATGATCAATGTAACCGGAACTAAAGTTGTATGACATCATCTTTGCCACAGCTTCACGTGACAAAGCTCACTTCAAAAGTGCTTCTTTCTCAGACAAAGCCCTTTAGTCAGAAAAGCCACAAGTAACAGTTAAAATCACCTGGTCCAACCATATGGAAAGACTCACCAAGGTTCATAAAAATGAAACCACCCAAAGTATATGAGGTCTTCTGAGTCCTAATCCAGGGCTTTGACATGGCATCACCAATGCATCACATCCCACATGGCTCTCACTTCTTCCCTGGCACCTCTGCAAAGTTCCAGGGGATTTCCTGCCTCTCACTCTTCTCTCCTCATTCTCTGGACTCACCCTGATCTCATTTATGTATGCTTTTATCATAATTTTCTCTAAAGTAGCCCCAAGTCATAATTACATTAAAACCTGAAGTCTGATAAAATAGTGAATATAAAACCACAGCACTGCTGTCAAAAGTAGAAGAGTGATAGTGAGCTTATCTCCAGGGAAATGGAGAAGTGGTCAAACCACACTGCTATTTTTACCTGCCTGGTATTATTTGAGCCTAACTGAATGTGTGGTCACATGGACAGTGATTCAGAGATGTTAGGAAATTCAGGTCACCATTTATTTAAAGCAACTAGGTTCAAAAGATCCTTATTCTTTCTTCTGCCATGAAGTTACATATCCTGGGAGTGTAAATGAACCAGTCTGGGCTTCATTTTACTCATCTGTAAAACGAAGGATTTGGACTACTTGATATATTATATCTCATTTAATCTAGGACTAAATTCTATTCCAATTGAAGGGTGATGTAGAGGGAAATTGGAAGGCTGATGAAAGAGTCTGAGGATTAGGTAGTGTAGTGTGGAGGAACAATGGAGACAGAAAGTCTTCCTTCAAATTTAGTCTTCAGCTGCATTACAAGCCAAGAGGCTTTGGTCCTGACACCCTCAGACCTGCTCTCTTATCTCTTCTGTCCCTCTACTTATTAGAATGTGTAAGCTGAAGTCATGCTTTTGAATATAACCATATTGATAAGGAGGTTAGAACTGTCAATCCTTCACACATATATGAATCCATTTGAGCAAATGCTTAAGGTATTTCTTCTTAACATTTGGTGACTCTTTTGATTATGAATTTAGTTATGAAAACTAGATAATTCTGGATATCACAGAATGAACAGGTCTTTATAGTAGGTCACATAGGCTTTGGCCCACAAGAGTGCTATCTGTGTAGTGAGACAACTCTCTAACACGGAGAAGCAGCAGAAACAGAGTTTGGGATATGCCTCACATGACCTGGCCATAGAAAAACATGCTGTTTTTCTAGGAACATGGATAGGAACCACAGCCCTTTTCACAGGACTCCTTCTTGTTGGGCTTTGGGCACCAATTCTGCCTGGCCTGGGCCAAGTCCCTGAGATGCAGTGGTGGCAAGTGAGGGTATTTAGTAATACCTGCAGCCCCCTTGGTTCCATCTTCTTCTGAAAGGCAGGAGCAGAAGAGCCTTTTTCCTAGCCCAATTCATGGACCACGAAAGAGTTCCAGAGTCCAAGCAACTGACAGTATCAGAGCATCTGAAAAGCATCATGTGTTTTTATGATTACAAGAAGGAGAAATTCATTGGGGCTAGCTAATGTAACAAAATAAAAATAAAAAGGACTCTAATGTGTGAGTGAACTCTGTCACTTGCCTACCCAGTTATTCATTTTCTTCTAGCATTATGCAATGGACAATAATTGGCCTTAGCCAGGGAATGCTTTACCCTCCCAACCTCTCTTTCTGCTAGAGGTGGCCATGCAATCCAGTGTTCAACTGGGGAAGCTTCTGAGAAAGTTTTTCTTTCTTGGTAAAAGGAACAAAAGAGGCTGGTTCCATCAGTTTCCTCTTGAACTCTGACTATTGTGACTATCTAGATCTGCCTTATATATAAACACCGCATTTATTTTCTGTAACTAATTTCTCATTTATTCATAAAGAAATCAGACATAGGACATAATGAGTGTTTATGGTCCCACTTAAGCTGAGAAAGCTTTCAAATGGCATAGGAGATATCTGTTCTTATACTATTACAAGGTCCTCCATAACCTTCACCTTAATTTCATCATAAAAATAGCTAACATTCATTACTAACTTCAATGCATTTGACAGTCATCATTCCATCTAAGCTTCACAAAAGTCCCATGAGATATATATTATTGATATTCCCATTTTACCAGTGAAGAAACTGTGTCAAGGAAACAGGTAGAAAGCCTAGACTTAGATTGAAACCCAAAGCATTTGGTTCCAGAGTCGGGAATCTAAACCACTATAACATGAAGCCACCTGCATATATATTAAACATTTCAGTTACTATCCCTAAGCAGACTACTTCTGAGTGTTGTCCTGGGAGATGATCTTCTATTCCTAACCTCCTGGCCCAGTCTTCAGATGCAGAGTTGATTGTTCTTCAGCTTGCCCATTTGTGCAGATGAAAGCAGGAGCTGAAGTGGGGCTCTTGCAAGGGCTACTAAAGGCTTTGCCTTCACTCTGAGTGCTTCACATGCCCAGACATTTGTACACATTAAGCACTTGAACCTAGATTAGGACAGGCTGAACTCATGGGAACTCACAGGTAGAAGATGAGCTGCCCCTAGTTGCTTCTTTGCAAAGAGACACCAACAAGATACTGGATTGTTCAGCATCTTTTCCTTCTGAAGGGAATAATTACTTTATGGGTGATGAGAAGCTCAAAAAAAAACCTCCCCATCTGTATTTATATGTTGCAAAATGCTACATGTCTCTATGTTACAGGTTCTCATTCCTCAGCTTAAAATGTAACTGTCCCTTATAAGATAACTTGGAAATTTACATCTGAAATGTGCAGCTTAATGTGAATGGGTTTATCAGGTCCTTTGATAAAAGCTGGATTTGGTTAGGGAGAAAAAGAAAAGAAAAAAGATGTACCTTTAGGTAGAAACAGGAAAGCAGACAAATTTTGACTTGGTTACAATTCCATCTAAGATCAGCCCGAGTCACATGTGAACAACAGGACTGAGAAGTTACCTAGAACACAGAATTCTCAGTACTAAAACCAGTATAGTCCCAGTCAAACTGGGATGGTTGGTCATCCTGTCACAGATTCACACTTTTCCATCTGCCTAGTTCTCAGGAAAACTTTTCAATTATCCGTTCTCTGAAGCCAATTCAACAGTCCCTTACTAGGTTAGTAGATAAACAAACCGTGGTAGATCCAAACAATGGAATACTGGTAGCAATAAAAAGGAACAAATTGTTGATACATGCAACAACTCAGATGAATCTTAAAGGCATTATGCTTATGAAATAAGTCAGTCTCAAAAAATTGCATGCTATATAAGAATACATTTAAAAGACATCCTAAAAAAAGAAAAAAAAAACTATAGTGACATAGGTCAATGGTTGCCAGGGGTTGGGAAAAGGGTTTGAATTTATATTCCTAAATAAATTACAAATATATATTTGTATGAATTTACATTATGTTTTAGATTATGTTTTACAAATATGTATTTTTATGAATTTACATTCATAAAGAATGACATGAGAAATTTTTTCAAAGTGATAGAACTGTGCTCAATCCTGGTAGGGATTACACAAATCTGTACATGAAATAAAATCCATAGGATTTTATACCAAAAGGAAAAAAGTCACTTTCTGTGATAAATTTTAAAATAAAATTCATTTATGAAGAATATTCCTTTAAAGAAAATGTTTATTCACACATGCATCTATGGCGTAGGACATAGATGAGCATTTTCTGTACAAGGAATAAGAAATTCTGAGTTCTTGACCCAATTCCTTTTAACTTTATGCCTAAACTTTGGCAAGTTGCTGCATTTCAGTCTTCAGTGTTCTAATCAATAAAATGAGAGTCACGAGCTAATTTAAAGAATGTCTGACCCAGCTTTAAAATTCTAAGAGGCTGTAATCTTGCACCATATGGAATTCCCCAAATTGTTTGTCTTAACTTTAGCGAAGACTAAAATTAGCTAACGGTGGCAGTTGGATTGGGCAGACATCAAATGAGGGTATTTCCTAATTAAAGATACTCTCAAAGGAGAAGTAAGGGCAAAAGTCTTTCCTACCAGAGAAATTTTTTTTAAAGGCAAACCTCAAGCTTAATAAACTTTCCTAGGCATTAAACCGCACATAGGACCCAGTAGAAAACTTATTCAAATTTTTAAATCACCTTTTCCCCTTCTTGCTCAAAATAAGAATTACAAATTAAAGGGAAAGGGAAACAAAATCACAACTCTTTCTGCCTGAAACTAAGATTTATCATTTTGGTTTTGCTACTGCATTTTAGAAAGGGTGATAAGAAAGACGGGACTTTTTTTTATGCTGCATAAAGAGATTTGAAGTTACTCAAATGAGTGTGTATTCAACCTGAAAGCAGTCTCATAGCTTCATATTGAAATTCCAGAACAGAAAACATTGCTGTGTCAGTTACACTGGAATGTCCCTTAAAATTTTTATTTTCACTTCTAATTGAGAAATTCCTGTGGAATGGATGGAGGACAAAAAGTTCACCTTACAAAGGACTTTAGAAAACCCTAACATACAAGTATCTTGCTGGCACCAGGAAAGAATTTCAAAGATGATTAAATAATGGGAAGTGTGGAAAATACAATCTCTTGAAAATATTGTTTTATTATTTAAAAATTTTGATGTCATAGATTTACTCCAAATTGTAAGTAAACACTGAATAGAGTATTAAATTTTATATATGGTGCTCTGATTCTCTCAACACTTAATATTTAAAAGCATTTGAGTATTTAAAAAGACCTCAACTAAATGTCACATGATCTTAATTTAATTTCACATTAAGTCACTGAATTGTAGTGTCATAAAAGCCTCTTCATGTGCTGTATTGGGTTAATTCAGTATACTGAATTTTTCTGCAATAAAAGTATCTTGTAATAGACAATTTGAATTTTACAGCAGAAATGAACCTTAGAAGCCATTGCTTCTTAAAGCTATTGTGTTTTAAAGTTGTAATCGAAATGCAAAGCATGTTTTGAACTAAGCAAAATATGATTCCCTAGGCCATTATATCTTAGAATCTCAGAGTTTAAAGACCTCAGCCATCATCAGGTACAACCTCTGAGCTGATACAGAAATCCCACTGTATTCCTTTTTCTGGAACACTTGCTCTACCAGGCTGCTCAGTGCTACCTACTCTGCACAAGATCAATGTGACATAACTCCAGTCACTTGACACTCCTTCAGATCACTTAGACTAGATCTGTTTCCCAATGCTTGCATCCCAGGACTTGTCTCTGTCCTCAAGGATACCAAAGATGTTATCTTTCTTGTTCACGTTTGCCCTATGGCTATAAAAATAGCAATCATGTCTCCTCCTTGGTTTTCTCTTTTTCACATTAGACATCAACTTCCCCCTCAACTAGCCCTCATGTGACTTGATTTTTCAGCCTCTTTGCATCCTGCCTGCCCTCCTATAAAGAAATCACTTTAGGTTCCCAATGGCCTCTAAATACTGTGTACCTAGACCAGAATACAGTTACTCCAGTATTTTCAATTGGCCCAGAGTCCCTAGCTCAAAATGAACAATATACTACTATTGCTGTGGTATTGATGGTCCTGCTGTTATTTACCACAATATTTCTTAACATGAGATTTCTGTCAATTAGGAAATGTCCTTCTCTGTAAAATGTAACTGATACATGAGATCAGCAGAGGAGCTATTTCATCAGCTGAAAGCCCATATGATGACCAGTATTCTAAAAAGCCAAGCAGGGAGTTGTCTAGTTAAAAGCAGGCTGGGGCCAGGCACGGTGGCTCTCACCTGTAATCCCAGAACTTTGGGAGGCCAAGATGGGTGGACCACTTGAGGCCAGGAGTTCAAGACCAGCCTGGCCAACATGGCAAAACCCCCATCTCTACTAAAAATACAAAAATTAGCTGGGTGTGGTGGTGCACACCTGTAGTCCCAGCTACTCAGGAGGCTGAGGCATGATAATCGCTTGAACCCAGGAGGCAGAGTTTGCAGTGAGCTGAGATCACACCACTGTACTCCAGAAAAAAAAAAAAAAAAACAGGGTGGAAAGCTCCCCTCAGCACAATCTCCACCTTCAGGCTTCTCAAATGTTCAACGGAGCCTAAGATTCTTGTTCTGAATGTCCAGCCCCAGCCTCATGGTCCTCTGGAGAATAAAAAAAACTTTCTAACTCTGAGTGTTACTTGCCTCTAAAAAGCTACGGCTGGTAAAATAATTTATATTCCCTTCTTCTAGGAGTGGACAATTAGGTGTTGGGTATTATACTAACACCTAAATGTCGATTCCTGTCTTCTTCTATGTGAAGAGAGAGGTTTTTTTGTTGTTGTTTCTTTGTTTGCTTTTTGGTTTTGGCTGCTTTCTTGTTGACTTTGGAAACCACTTTCCCACCGGAAAATTTTGAAACAGGGGCCATGTAAAATCAATTTAATTCTGTCTCTGGTTTAGAAAGAACATGACCCTGTTCACTAATAATTAAGAAGAAAGTTTGGGGCGGGGGGGGGGGAACTAAAACTCAAATGCTAAAAATGGTTGAGTAAAATAAGATCTACAATATGTATATGTTTGGTCTAAAGAACAAGGGACAAACAGAAAGGGGGAAACATGAGAGAAAAGGATGAAACAAAGAAGGAAAATTAAAAGGCAGAGATAGAAAAACTTCCCACACAGGACACACAGAAAGGAAAGGGAAAGAGGGAGAGAAAGAAAGGAGAGAGAGTGATATGGTTTGGCTGTGTCCCCACCCAAATCTCATCTCGAATTGTAAGCCCCATAATCCCAGGTGTCAAAGGAGGGACTTAGCATTAAGCTATTGGATCATGGGGGTGGTTTCTCCTATACTGTTCTCGTGATACTGAGTGAGTTCTCATAAGGTCTTTTTTTTAATGACATAAATTTATTTTTCCAGTTCTGGAGGGTGGAAGTCCAAGATCAAGGTGCTGGCAAGGTAGACTTCTTCTGAGGTCTCTATCCTCAACTTTCACGCAGCTACCTTCTTGCTGTGTCTTCATGTAGCCCTTTCTTTGGGTGTGTGCATACATGATTTCTCTTCCTTTTCTTTTTTTGAATTTTTATTTTTTATTCCAATAGGTTTTTGGGGAACGAGTGGTGTTTGATTACATGGATGGGTTCTTTAGTGGTGATTTATGAGATTTGGGTGCACCACTCACCCAAGTAGTGTACACTGTACCAAATATATAGGCTTTTATCCCTCACCCTCCTCCCACCCTTTCCCCCGAGTCCCCAAAGTCCATTGTATTATTCTTATGCCTTTGCATCGTCATAGCTTAGCTCCTACTTATGAGTGAGAAAATATGATATTTGGTTTTCCATTTCAGTGTGGAGATTCTAAAAGAACTAAAAGTAGATCTACCATTTGATCCAGCAATCCCACTACTGGGTATCTACCCAGAGGGAAAAAAGGTCATTATACAAAAGACACCTGCACACACATGTTTATAGCAGCACAATTTGTAATTGCAAAATTATGGAATCATCCCAAATGCCCATCAATCAACAAGTAGATAAAGAAAATGTGATATAGCATGTTCTCACTTATAAGTGGGAGCTGAACAATGAGAACACATGGACACAGTGAGGGGAACAACACACACTGGAGCCTGTCAGAGTGGAGTAGGGAGAGCGTCAGGATAAATAGCTAATGCATGCAGGGCTTAATACCTAGGTGGTGGATTGATAGGTGCAGCAAACCACCATGGCACATGTTTACCTATGAAACAAACCTACACATCCTGCACATGTATCCCAGTACTTAAAAGTAAATTAGATTAAATTTAAAAAATACAAATTAAGAAAAAAAATAAATAAAATAAATAAAATGTGGTATATATTAGGTTGGTGCACAACTAATTTCAGTTTTTGCTATTTTTTTTAAAAAGTAATTGCAGAAACTGCAATTCATTTTGCACCAACCTAATATATACCATGGGATACTACTCAGGCATAATAAGGAACAAATAATGGCATTTCCACCATGCCATTCTATCCATGCTGGATGGAATTGGAGACCATTATTCTAAGTGAAGTAACTCAGGAATGAAGTAACTGATGATTTTATAAATCGTAGTTTCCCCTGGGTTTTTCTCTCTTTCCTACCACCTTGCAAAGAAGGTACTTGCTTCTTCTTCACCTTCCGCCATGACTGTAAGTTTCCTGAGGCCTCCCCAGCCATGCAGAACTGTGAGTCAGTTAAACCACTTTTCTTTCTAAATTACCCAGTCTCAGGTAGTATCTTTATAGCAGTATGAAAATAGAGAGCGAGAAAGAGAGAAAGAGAAGGAAAGCGGTGAGAAGAGGCTGGGAGGGACAGCAGAAGGATATGGGATTCTAGCAGAGAAGCATTAATGTGATGTACTTTAGGTTCTCTCCACACCCATCCAAGAGCAAAGCTCTGATCTACATTCCAAAGGTTCATGTTAGTGAGAATCAGACCTCCCAGCCAAGAGCCCTGCCCCTCCATCCCTGCCAGGAGAGAAGTGTTCATCCCAATGCTCAGCATTCCTCTCATTTGCTCACATACAGCATGAGAAATGCTGACATTTTAGCTTATACTTTAAGAAATTCTGGGTTTCATGAGATTTTCACTTTGTTAATATAATATACCAAAAAAGCCTCCAGTTTTTAAAAGATAATAATTACAGTCATTATAAATGAAAGTCACATCTAGGATCGCATCTCCAATTCCTCATTTTACAATGGAGAAATTGAGGCTCAAAGCTGAGGTGACTTCCCCAGGGTTTCACAACCCAGCCAGCCATAAACTAGAACAAGGAAGGAGCAAAGTGTCAGTACCAACAACGTGAGAGCAAAGTCATTTTCTGAAAATGTACACCATTGAAACAGCCCAAGTCGTTGTCACCTTGAGTTTTCTCCACCATACATCTGCAGGCTTGGCTCTGTCACATCACCACTTCCTGATGTGGGGATTGTTTTCCTTTCAAGAATAAATAAACAGTAAGAGCCAATAAACTCTAGAATGATGAATGCCCTCTTTTCTTAATATTTTCTTCCCAGAAGATGGAATATGACACACAAGGAAAATTCTTTTCACCAGAATAATAAATATTTATCATTAAGATGCAAACAAGACATGAATGAAACTCTTGGGGTGATTTTACTTTCTGTCAGTGCAACATTTTCTGCAAGTCTGTGAGGCAGTCAGCCCAGAGTGGACAAACAAAGCTGACTGATTGATTCTGAACATGAGTTTGGCCACTAAGTAGCCCACGAGCGATGGGACTGCTGAGACATGGTGCTGTGTTATTTGTTCCACTCAAGCAAATTCCAGGCATTAGCTTGCCTGCCCCAAACCCACCTACACAGTGACAAATTCAATTCCCACATCAACCAGAAATACCAGGACTCACTCGCTCCTGCATCTCAAAAGAGACTGTCCCCAATTTCTGGAGGGCCCCAGTGGAGAAAGAGTCCCACCGCAATAGAAGTCATTCCTGTGAGATGCTATAAGCTGCTCAGCATCACCCAGCCATGGCTCAAGATCTCACTCTACTCCCCAATGCAAGTATGATCATTTTTCCTTTTTTTTTTTTGTATGCTTAAGCTCAACGACAAGAAATGTATGGTCTTTGTATCATTTCTAATCCAAACGAACTCTTTTCATCCCTTACAAACACACCGAAAATCCTGTGATTCTAATCACAGAACTGGAAAAATCCAAGTCAAATGATTCTCATCTAACTGAATGGAGATGAATGGGTTATAAGCACTTATTGAACACCCACCACATACAGGACACCCTATGAGGGGCCTGCACTGGCCTGACGGAGAGAGTGAATGATCATTACATCCTAACATAAAACTGCTGCAACCAAATTTTGCAGATGTTCATTCAGGTTAGTTAGCTGGGCTCTTGGCCTTTGTCTTGACTGCATTCTTGCCCTTTTGTGCCCATTGTTCCTATTAACACCTCTTTGAGAAGGTAATATGAAAGAATTTAAATTAAGCAAGACAGTTTAAAGAAGGTCTTTGTTAATATGAAAGTTGAAGATTATATCTGAATATCATTAACCCTTGCTATTTGAATCCTTTATTACTGCCGTTGGTTTGATTTGGTGGTAGCATAGGGGTTACAGAACATTGCCTGTGGCAGTGTAACAGCACTGCGCAGGTAAAGAGAGCATTACTCGTGCAGCTTCTAATCCATACTTTGGGTCTCAGTTTTTCTACTTAAAGAACAAGCATTCATGTTTCTTTCTCCCAAAGATTATTTTATTATTCCTGAGGACTGTGTCTGCTAAGCATGTCAAAATTTCCCAACATTAGTTAGAAAACCTGCTGCCTCTTTTTGCCTTAACAATCCTTCACAAATCAGTAGCAAACACCTAGAGAAATTACCTTTATAATCTAGGATGCAAAAGCAAGGGAACATGGGTGCAGGTGGGGACCCCCCCCACAGCAGAGGCACAGGTACCTCTGGTCACCTCAGAAGTACAATTGCAATAGATTGACTTAGATGCCATCTTGCTAAAGGCAAGGAACATACTAGGTGGCATGTGATAAATTTTCTAGGCTTATAAACCTAATTCTTGATTTCATGCCTCCAAGAGATCTGAAATTAAAGAGAAGAAGTTGGGTCAGCAAAATTGAATTTCGTGGAAAGTACAGCTATAGGAGTGATGCACTTAATTTCCTTTACTGACCATTCTATTACAAAGAAAATGGATAATTGTGATTCAAGAAGCTGAGGGAAATAAAATGGAAAAAAGGTAGTCAACATCTTCTAATAAAGGTCAATATTAGAAATAACTTCAGCTAACCCTTTCCTTGACGTGATAATTCAATATTTTACAGATAAATTCCCTGTAGTTATTTTGCCCGCTAAAATATATTAAGCTCCCTTCCATGCGCATCACACAGTGTTAAATACGGAAAGTCGAAAACAAAGGACAGGGGAAAGAAATTGATCCCTGACTTAAAGCAACTGCATTTTTCCAATGACAAGTTTATATCAATTGGTTAGTGTTTCTCAAAGTGTCATCTATGGATCCTCTGACCAGAGTCACCATAAGAGCTCTGCAGAAATACAGGGGCTGGGCCTTACCTAACACCTAGTCATTTAGAATCTCTGAGAGAAGGGCCTCTTTAGAGGGTTCCCTAGAGACTCTTAAGTACAGTAAAGTTTGAGATTGCTGCCATAGGAACAATCACAAGTCTACATCATTCAGGAGATTTGAGTGCAGGCCTAGATGAGAGAATGACTAATTACCTTGGATTAAAATTCACTAAGAATCTGACTTTCCATTTCCTGTCTTATACTGAAGCTCACATTCCAACTGAATTCCTTTGGCTCTTACGGATGAAAAGAAATTGCTGTATATTCCTGAATTACCTTTACTAATAGTTCAGCCACACTCGAAGACCTGAATATAGTAGAAACTTGAATAATTTGGACCTGCTAAAGGAGAGGTCACATAGCTTGGAAGCGGTCAGAATCAGCAGACATTTGGCCTGGCGCAGAGGCTCACACCAGTCTGGCCAATATGGTGAAACCCCATCTCTACTAAAAATACAAAAAAATATTTAGCCGGGCATGGTAGTGCATGCCTGTAGTCCCAGATACTCAGGAGGCTGAGGCTGGAGAATCACTTGAGCCCAGGAAGCGGAGGTTGCAGTAAGCCAAGATCGTGCCACTGCACTCCAGCCTGGGTGACAGAGCAAGACTCTGTCTCAAAAAAAAAAAAAAAAAAAAAGAATCAGTGGACATTTGAGATTTTTTTTCCTGTGGCATAATAGTAATGTATTCTGGCTTACAAACCAATGCCGAATTTTAAATCTGAGCTTTTGGCCTTGATGTGATTGATATGTACTGAAAAATGTTCCCACCACCTCACTTATCCCCTGGTCCGTCATTATCAATTGTTATGAAATTTGTTCCCTCTGGTTTAACAAGAATTCCGGTTCCAAAACTGAATAACTTATGGCACAGAGAAAGAAATAATTTAAAGACACAAAATGCCAGCCACTGATTTCCTTAGCCCCTTTTCGTTTATTGATCATCATAACTGTGGGGGTAGATGTTATTAGTCCTATTTATATTTGAAGATAGGGGATCACATGGGTACAAAATGATAAAGCAGATGCAATGTCAGGATCTCCACCCCCAGACGAGGAAGCTGTCTTAATTGCACTAGGCAGCATCTTCTTTCAATGCAAATAGGCTGAAGAAAGCAACATGTTTGTTACACTAGGGAGTAAATGACATAAAGAAGAAGGAGAAGGAGAATAAAAGCAAAATATCAGGCAAGTAAGGAGTCTCTGGAGAGTGGAGGGAAAAGGGTGTCAGCAAGTGGAACAAGAATAAAGAAGGGAAAAATAGATGGGCACCCAAACCAAACTTCTTCCATTTGACAAATTTTGTGAAGACTTTTCTGACAGACAGAGGTCCCTCCATGCTGGTCTTAAAGATTTTTAAAAACTCACTTAGCAGCAGCAGCATATTGTAACGAATATGTCAAAGAATCCCATGTACTCATACCCAATAAAATTGTTCCCTGTTAAAATAACATTCTTCCTTGCAATTTTGGTTTCACTATTGCTGAAACATGGTAAAAACTGTTTCTTGTAATACCAAACATTTTGCTCTGCTCTGTAGCTGACATGACACTTGTAGCTTCCACGGGTTGCTTGATGAATAAGTACAACACCAAACCATCAGATGGTAAAGGCTCTTCTCCACATCTCATGTCTCAGCTGCCACAACACAAACCCTTCAAAGGAGACACATTCCCAGTTTCATGCTCCAAGTGAGACAGATGCTCCCCAAAGCCACTACACCACCTCAGAACTAGAGAAAAGAAGTCCTCAGATTTCCTTTTGTTCCTGAGACCAGCACACTGAGGCTCTTTTACTTTCCCCTTGGCCACCATCCTGCTGAGAGCTGCAGGAGAGAATGTCTGTCTAGTGTCCCCATATCCCCCTGTCTGGCTATCAAATGTAAAGCCACCAGACCTGACATCCCTGTTGTCTATTAACCAGAAACCTGAGCTCCATCCCTAGTACTCTGTACATTTCCTACTCTGACCCACTTTCTTAATCATCCTGTACCTCCCAAACCCCTCCAGTGTTTCCTCTTGTCTGCCATCAGCAAACACTCTTGTTATGAGTTGAACTGCATCCCTCTCTCCGTTCATATGTTGACATCGTAACCCTCAGTACTTTAGAGTGTGACCTTATTGAGAAATAGGGCTGTTGCAGATGTAATTAGTTAGGATAAGGTCATACTGCAGTAGGATGGCCCTCTGATCCAATAGAACTAGTGTCCTTCTCAAACAGGCAAGTTTGGACAAAGACACACACACACATACACACAAAAACACCAAATGAAGATTGGAGTTATGCTGTGGCAAGCCAAGGAACTACCAGAAGTTAGGAGAAAGGCCTGGAACAGACCTCAGGGAAGCACAGCCCTGCTGGCATCTTGACTTTGGACTTTTGGCCTTCAGAACTGGAAGACAATAAATTTCTGTTGTTTTAAGCCACCCAGTTTGTAATACTTTGTTATACCTCCCCGGAAAAAGAATACAACCCATCTTTGAGCACTCCCTTCACCTGGCTCCCCACTAGTGGCACAGCTTCTCTTGCAGTCTTACTGAGGGAAGATTTCTTCTCCTTCCCCTTGGTACCTCAAAGCCTGGAGTTAGATCCCATTGCTCCTTCTAAACCATTTCTTCTCCCTGTGCTCAAAAGCCCAGATCCTTTGAAGTTTAAGCCATCATACTCTTTCTACTTGCTACTGGCATCTACAAAACTTGGTCACTCTTCATCACTTATTGATGACTTTGTCACCTGTTCTATAACTTCCTTTCTACCCCCACTCCTGGCAAAACGTTTAATGACATCAACTCTCTGGTGTCTTGGTTCCTCTACATTCTCATGTCCAAAAGTTGTTTCTTCCATTCCAGTTCAATCTCCTATTCCTTGTTGTCATCACCATTAACTGTACTAACTTCAGAATCTCAGCCTCCAGCTTCCCCCTCTCTGAACACCACGTTCTAATCTTTGAGCTCATTTACTCGGTACATAATCTCTCAAAATTCTCCACTTTCAGTTATGGAGACTTCCAATCAACTGAAAGGTAACTGACACCAAACATTTCCTCTTGAACACTTTTCTTATGTCTTATCTTCTTACCTAGTTTGAAGTCCACTCATCCTTAATTAGAATTACTTCCTTGGAAACACCTTTCACTCTCTCTCCATTTTTGTACCAGCACATCTACTTGGCAATGCTCCAACCCAGGTAGTACCCACCAATCTACCTATTCTGGGTTTCTACCTAAGAAATTAAACTTGCTGGACTAAAATATACAACTATGCCTTCAGATTTCCCTTTAAAGTCATGACTACGAAAGTATATTTACCAGCTGTCATCACTTCACACTTCTAGTAATAACCTCTCATTCCCTGAAAAGTTATAACACTGGATTGTCTTTCTTTCCATCGCTTTTCCTATGAGGTATTGGTGATTGTAATATTCAAATAACTAATCCATTTAATAGTATAGCATGTCAGTTTCTTGATTATCTCATTTTTGTTGACTTTGTCTTCATCTCTACCTCCAGTACCCACGTAAGTGACTATATCCTAGATCTTATTATTGATTGAGATCTGCAATCTCAATTTGAAGCCATTCTCTAATCTCTAACTTCCAATCTTCCCAGGTCATGTTCTCCCACATACTTACTCCAAAACTCTTTGGGCCCTACTGGGATATTCAGTCTATTAATCCTACCACCTACTTTTCTCCAATCCCTCCTTTTCTTCTTACCAAATGTAGATTCCAGGATCCATCATTTAACCACTCCTTCTACAGATCCTCAACTAGCTTGCTTCCTTTGTACCTGTCTGACAAAACGCCAACCTGCTAAAACCTAAATCTCTCCCTATATCTGCAGCTGAGCAGCCAAATGTGGCTAGACAAAAACACAACCATGCTGACTCTTCTTTCAAATATGACCTCAAGCTTCAAAAACGTTAATATTGCCCAGCAATTCTCTATATTCTTCTGGCTTTTCCACTCTTCAGACACCTCTTTTACATCTTTTTTTTTTTCCTGTCCCTAAACCTCTGCATTGGCTCTATTCTTACTCTCAGCTGAAATATTTGCCTCTTATTTTCCTAATCCAATCGAAGTATTTAGGAGATAATTCCCATATCCTACCTACTATAAGTTTATCAAACTACCTACATCTGTACCTTGTCTCCTGTTGCAATGGATGAACTGTCCCTGCTCCTATCTAAAGCCAACCCCTCCTTTTATTATCTAGATTCCATCCCATTATCTTCACTCAGACTTTGCTCCTACAATTATCCCCTCTCTTAATTGCAACACAAGTTTTCACATTGATATACAAATTGCTCCCATATTTAAAATACCCTGCTTGATTTCTTTCTAGCACCTGGCCCATTTTTCTATTCTTCTTTGTAGCAAAACTCCTCAGAGAGGATGCCTGTGATAGCTGGGTTCCTATTCTCAACACTTCTAGTCAGGATATTGATTCAAGATTTCACTAAGCTCACTCACATCATCAGCTCCAGTCATCAATGGTTGGTCCCCACACTTTTCCAACCCTCAGCAGTACTGAGTAGAGTTAATCATATCCTTAAAACATTTTTTCCCTTGGTTCCGAGGGCGTTGCACCTTATTGTTTTACAGCCTACGTTGCAGGCTGCTCCCTTTCCAATCTCTTTGCAGGATGCTCCTTCTCTTCTTAACACAAAGTTGTGTTAAGATTAGGGCAGCTATTCCCCAGGTGCCCTAATCTAGTCCAATAGCTTAATACTCTGTCTGTATGATGATGACTCCTGAAGTAGCAACCCTGATCACTCACTTAAACATTAGATATGCACGTCCAGTCACTTACAGGACACCTCTTAGTAGGCTCCAAACCCAACTCTTGATTCCTACTCTGCAGCCTCTAAAATGTCTCCTTCCTTTGTCTCTCAGTAAGTGAGCAACTACCCCATTTCTAACCCATTAATCCAGCCAGACACCTAAGGTTAGTGTTCGATGTTTTCCCTTTCTCAGACTCTCTACATTCAATCCATCAGCAAGACTGATTCACAGTACTATCTCAACACATACGTATGGAATAGATGAATACATGAATAAATAAGCAAGTGTATACAACTGTCCTGTGCCAGGAGCAGAAACTAGGAAAAACTATCCATCCCTTACAGTCCAAAGATTCAAATAACAGCATTCATTCTTAACATGGCTTTTTAATAACTAATGAGAAAATGAAACCCGTAATAAAGTCATATGCCAAGATTCATAGCAAGAGTCCTCACTTCTCAAATTTGATCACTTCCCCTTAATTTACTGGCACAGCCTGCCCAGTGTTGCTATTTTGGGGGATCCGATTTCTCTTCTGCTAACCAGTTTAAATAAGTCCTAAAATTATGCGTTTTAAGTTATTGCTCTCCAAATATAATTTCTAAACTTCTATAATATATTAATTGCCAGCCATTGATAACTACTCAGGTAAAAATCTGGAGAACAAAACTAATTAAACCAACTTTCTAGATTAAAGGAGCGATAGTTCTGGTGTACTAGAGATGAAAAACAATTAACCATATCAAATTATCTGTGGGAACAACCTCTGAGAGTTGTGTTTTTTACAACTTAATATTTTAATCCAATATTTTCTATTTGCTTTTCAACCCCAAATTCAATTTGAAATGTAAATAGTTAATGTTTTTAGGAATGGGAAACATTAATTCACTTATTTTCTGGTACACAAAGAACATTAGTGCCTATAAAAATGACTTGGGTCATTGCTTTTTCAATAAAAGAGCAAAAATTTGAGCCAGGGTTGACTCACATATCCATTAGCATCTTAGGTTTATTGACTGTCATCCCATTCCTTTCAAACGCTTTTGAATTCAGAGAGTACTCACCAGACAATAAGTATACAAATCACTCACTTTAATAAAATTTTGTTGAATACCTAGATTGTAAGTTTATTCCTCACACTAAGAAGTCAGTCAGTCATGAGACAGACAGTCAATCCTGACGAGGCCCCACCACAACACACTCAGTGGTTATAAAGGGCAACAGGAAAGCAGAAAGCACAGCCTAACACCACTCATGGAAAATTTTATAGCACATGCACTCTTTGCAGGAAGTCAATGTAAATGCTATGTAAATACTGTATTGTTTATTGTAATACTGTAAATACTGTAATACTGTATTGCTTTTAATTTGTATTATTTTTATTGTTATGTTATTCATTTTTATCAACAGTTTTTTGACTGTGGAGGTGGAACTTTTGGATACAAAATGCTGATTATATGCTGAGAAAGGATAAAGAAGGAAATGTCTTAAATAGAAGAAAACATAAGAAGATAGAAACTGCAGAGGACAGAGGACCACTGTATGCCCTGAAGACATCACTAAAGTGGCACATGAAGCACACTTTTGAACACTCAGGAAGAAATTCCTGACAATCAATGGACACAGAAAAACATTATTAAGTAAAACTTGTGGTGACTCTTTTGCTAGGCAGTGGGGCATAGTGGTTAAAAATTTGGGACTTGGGAGCCATTTCCAAAAAGAAAAAAAAATAATGAACAAAAAAGTTCGTGGAGCTGCTTCCTGCGGAAATCATGAAAAATGCCATTGAAAGTCAAAGCCCTGCACTAATAACTAATTATTTGTCCTTGAACAAGTTATTTGTGAATACAGAACCCATAGATACGAAAGGCCAACTGTACTTATTGAAAACAATCCAGGTATAACTAGACCCGCACAGTTCAAACCCATGTTGTTCAAGGGTCAACTGTATAATTCACTTAATCCCTAGAGCAACTGTAAGAGCTAGATACGATTGTTATCCTTGTTTTGTAGGAGAGGAAAGTGAGGCACAGAAGTGTGGTTCAAGGACCAGAAGCATCTGCATCACTTGGGAGTTTGTGAGAAATGCATAATCTTAAGGCCCACCTCAGATTGCTAAATTGGAATCTGCTTTTTAATAAAATTAGCAGATTCCTACAAATATTAAAGTATCAGAAGCACCTGGCTAAAACCATCTTCCCAAAAGTGGTGGAAGGGGATTTCAAGCCTTACAGGTCTCACTCTACACTGTACTGTATAAGCCTCTTTGCATTAGAAAATTAATGTAAAGTGCCTAGCATATTATAAGTAATAAACATTGTCCATCATTATAATATTTTAGGAATAGTTTGTACATATTTCTACCTGGAAGTAAAACTATTTATTTATTTGTTTATTTATTTATTTATTTATTTATTTCAAACTAAAATTTAAAAAGCTGAAATTATCACCAAACACTTAGCATTGACAGGAATTCGAATTGCAGAATTATAGAACATCAACACTTAAAGGGAACAGTAAGATCTAAGAATTCAAATCTCTTGTTTCATTTCTGTGGAAATTTGTGCTAAAAGAGATATGAAGTTAATGTGACGAAAGTCAGCCAGCAAATTAGGGGCATAGGAAGGACTTAAACTTGGGTCTTGGTAGCTAGGTCTGCAATCATGCAATTATTACTGACTTCTCTTCATTCCCTGCCACTGCATAGGTCAAAAAAGGCAATTGGATAAGTAAGCAATTCGCAGATCCAAGTGGTTTCACATTACTGTTTAAAGCGCTCTCCCGACCACAGAGGCTACTTGTGATGTCTATGAATATAAAATATCTTCATAATGTGTTTTTTCAGAAATCAGCTGTTTACTGGTTCTGTAGTAGATTCTCTCCTGGGTATTTCCTTAGCATTTGGCTAGAACATTGGTGCAAAATTGATGTGGTATAATATTGTAAACTTTGGGCAATAGTGTAACCTCTCCCAACAATCCTTTTTTCTATCCAACATTAATTCTTATCATTCTATCCATCTTCATAGGAAATTTTTTAAGTAACAATGTTTTAGTCTTCTCTAAATTACAGCATATTTTTCCCTGCCCTCAAGAGTCCCCATCTTATAAATGTTTGCCTTTCGGTTAGTCCAGCCAAATTTTATTTTTTTGCCTGCCACCTGCATTCTAATAGTCCTTTTGCCTCTTATGCACCTACTCTTGACCATTCATTTCTCCTCTTATCTCTACAGTGTTCCAAGATAATTATGCAAAGTATATTCAGATCACTCCTTCAGCAGGCTACTGCATTCTTTCTTCAAATTGCTCAAAATACATTTCTCCCAAAAAGTATTTTCTTTACTTGTTGAGAATAACCAGGAATTGATTCATATTAGGCATTTTATTCATCTTTACTATGTAATCAGCAATAGAAATCTGATAGGCATGATCCCTGACTTCATCTTCTACGCAATATTCTATGTATATATACCAGCTTGCCTTTAGCCTTATTACTGAGTTTTAATTTTGATACTGTGATAGTTAACTACATGTGTCAACTTAACTGGGCCACAAGATGCCCTGATATTTTAAACAGTATTCTGGTTGTGTCTGTGAGCATGTTTCCAGATGAGATTAACATTTGAATCAGTAGATTCCCCTCCCCAATGTGGTCGGGTGTTATCCAAGCCTTTGAAAGGCTGAATAGACCAAAAAAAAAGAATAAATGAGAATTCACTGTCTCTGACTGTTTTAGAGCTGAACATTGACCCTCTCCTATACTCAGACTGGGACTTATGCCATCAATTCTTCTGGTTCTCAGGATTTGGACTGGAACTACACTACCAGCTCTCCTGGGTCTCCAATTTGCAGATGGCAGATATCATGGGACTTCTTAGCCTATGCCTTATAATAAATTGTGTGTGTGTGTGTGCGTGTGTGTGTGATACATATATATATATATATATATATATATATATATATATATATATATATATATATATGAGGTATGTGTGTTTGTGTGTGTGTCCGTCCTATTGGTTCTGTTCCTCTGGAACAGATCAGACTATTAGAGATAGATTATGTGCCTTCACCTACTCACTGTTCCTGCTTTCCTTCCATGTGCTCACTGTTCCCTGTGAATGGCTCAGGATTTGCTATGGGAAGTAATTTTGCCTTCCTATGAAAAGTAGATAAAGATTCAGATCCACCCTTTCTAAGTTGTAAGTATTTTTACTTTACGTGAACTTCCTTTAATGATTTAAACAAGAAGTGGAAAGCTTAATGTATGCTCAACTTTTTAAAAACTTAACAGAAAAAAATTGGAACACTATTGACCAAAACTTTTAGCACTTTGGTTATCTAACGGTGTTTCCATTATGGGCGATGTTAATTTATTTATCTTTGCTTTTCTATATATTTCAAGATTAATCAAACAGTATATTAATACTAATTTCGAAAAGACCAAAATCATTAAAAAAACAGATCGTTTTGATTCATACTGTCCTCTAGTTGGTAATCCCCAACAAATCAGCACAAATATCACACCAAAATTAGAACAA
Organism: Homo sapiens; assembly: GCF_000001405.40. NCBI lineage: Eukaryota > Metazoa > Chordata > Mammalia > Primates > Hominidae > Homo > Homo sapiens. The sequence continues at coordinate 40,507,001 of NC_000005.10, forward strand.
AAATTTGTTAACAATAAAAAAGATAAAAACCCAGCAAATCTACACCAATTAAAAATAGATGATCACAAGGAAGAATAAACTAGTTTAAGATAAACCTACATAGGCTACTCACAGCACATTCCACCTTATATCATGAAACAGAAATCACCAAAAACCAAAAGATAAGATCTTTGCCGTTTCTCTCCATATGTCCTCAGATTCAAAGATCCAAGAAGTTACAACTGAAGAACAAGGTAGGGTTTCCTTTCTACCTTCTGTATTCTACTCTGTGAAGAAAGTAGTAACTATGCCCATTTACCATTTCCACCACCAGATGGTATAATCATCTACAAAAAAGAAAAAAAAACTCATTTAATTCAAAGAGTGAGAATTATATAAGGTACATTTTTCTCACCACAAAGCAGAATTACAATACTTTTTTTTTAAGTACTGTTTGGAAATTAGAAGAGGAAAATTACCTTTAAATAAACTTGGTTAGAATAAGAACCCGAAACTATAATTACAGATCATTTAGAAAACACCAAAAATAAGGATACAACATGTAAAAACTTAGTAAATATGGCCAAGCTGTATAATCAAAGAAATTTACTTTAAGTGATTTTATTATTAATTTCTAGAAATTAAAATAAATTAACAAAACAATTTGCTCTATAAATTAGAGTAAAACAGAACAAACTTCAGGAAAACAAGCAGAAATTGTTAATAAAGTAGAAATCAATAAATTAGGAAATACTGAAATAGAGGTAAATTCGAGTTTATAAACAAATTCAAAAGCTGTTTATTTAAAAAGAACAATAGAATAAACAATTTAGACAAATATAACTTAAGAAAGACATAAGAGAAAAAACACAGACCCCTCTGAAATTAGAAAAAAAGATCAAACTACAACAATGAAGATAATTTTTTTAATTTGAAAAAAAGTAGATCTATAATCATGGAATAAATTGGGGAAAATTGTCAAAGAAATTTTTCAAAGTTAGATAGACAAATAATTTCTGGTCTTTCAAGTAACAGATAATTACTTTGCTATTTACATTCTTAAAAAGTATAGAAAAAAGAGCCAGGCGCAGTGGCTCATGCCTGTAATCCTAGCACTTTGGAAGGCTGAGGCAGGCGGATCACGAGGTCAGGAAATCGAGAACATCCTGGCTAACACAGTGAAACCCCGTCTCTACTAAAAACACAAAAAAAATTAGCTGGGTATGGTGGCGGGCGCCTGTAGTCCCAGCTACTCAGGAGGCTGAGGCTGGAGAATGGTGTGAACCCGGGAGGCGGAGCTTGCAGTGAGCCAAGATCACGCCACTGCACTCCAACCACTGCACTCAAGCCTGGGCGACAGAGCTAGACTACGTCTCGAACAAAAAAACAAAAAAAAAGTATACAAAAAAGATGAAATGCCACTTATGCCATTTAATCTTACCAATTTACAATAATCTTTGAATAGAAATCTGATAAAGCAGATAGAAGAAATCTACAAACTTATCTAACTAATAAGTATTAAGTCATGGTCATGGTGTCTTTTTACTTTCTTTTTTAAAGAAAGAAAAAAGCCATGACCAACAATTAATTTCATACTTACAATCAAAAAACCAGAAGTGTTTCTATTGACAAATGTGCCTGAAGGCACAATTATTTATCACTGTTCTGAAAGTCTGAACAAAACCAATAAGGTAAAATAAATTATAAGTTTAAAAGAGGGGGAGACAGAATCATTATTATTTTCATTTAGTATGATTCTTTACCTACAAAACGTGAGAGAATCAACCAAAGACATTTTAAATAAGCTAGTTATCTGAAAATCCACAGGTTAAAATATATTGTTATCTAATAATCTTTTAACCATTGATCCAGTTTGGCTGCCTGGAAGCATTTTCTAAGATTGTACATTCTACTTTGGAGGGTAAGTTTTTCTCTATCAATGTAGTAAGTAAAACATATGACCTATTTTTTTCTACCCATGGAATGAAGTTGTACTTGGTAAGGCTATAGCTCTAATCCTTTTTTCTTCTTCTTCTTCATTTTCATACTCAGTGGAAGAACTCAGGATCCATTGTCAAAGTTTTCTTTGAGTCTGCTGAGAAAATCCCATCTTAAATTGCATTATATATTCAGCAGTTGTCATATATTCATTTATTCATTCAACAGAACATATTCTAAGTCCTAAAACATAGAAATACGCACTAAAGACACACAGATTAATTTTATCTCACTCGGCTTATTATCTAGTAGCAGAAAAAGACATAGGCATAAAAATTTAAGGGGACAATCTCATATAATAAAAGCATGTGCTATGAGGCCATAAAAAAACCAGTCTTTACACTTATGGCCCTTTGGAATATGCACTCAAGGGTCCTCATATATAACAACAGACCACTACTATGTATGGACTAAGGATAGTTTTGAAAATTACTGAGTTAATATATCAACTACTCCAGTGAAACCAAGTGATATTTTAGTGTTCAAATTTATTATCAAATTATAGTATGTGGGCAGCTATTTGCTTTAAAAATAAAGTTTGCTAGACTATCCTTTGAAAAAAACTTTGGCCTGATTTGATTTGCTATGTGCTGTTGTTGAAGTATAGGGACCAACTGGATTGAAGCTGCTGCCTAATCAGCAAGCATACTGCTGGGGCATAATACACAAACTCCTTGAATTCCAATGGCATTACCTACTAACCCACTGAAATGTTGATCATGGCCACACTGTGAGGCCAGCCTTGAGCACCCTGGGCCACCGTGTGAGATTTGTGACAGGATGCTTGAGCAGTGACCATCTGCAGGAAGAAATGGGGCAACCAGACCAAGGACAAGTCAAAGAAATGCTTTCAGACTCTACAGAGGCCCAGTGAACAACAGGGCTATGAACTGAGTCCCAGTAACCAATAAACCAAGATTCAGATATTAAAAATGCAGCTGCTCGCCATAAAAAAGGATGAGTTCATGTCCTTTGTAGGGACATGGATGAAGCTGGAAGCCATCATTCTGAGAAAACTATCACAAGAACAGAAAACCAAACATCACATGTTCTCACTCATAGGTGGGAATTGAACAATGAGATCACTTGGACACAGGAAGGGGAACATCACACACCAGGACCTGTCGTGGGGTGGAGGGAGCGGGGAGGAATAGCATTAGGAGATATACCTAATGTAAATGGCGAGTTAATGGGTGCAGCACACCAACATGGCACATGTATACATATGTAACAAACCTGCACGTTGTGCACATGTACGCTAGAACTCAAAGTATAATAATAAAAAAGAGAAAAAAAAAGAAAAAATAAGTAAAATAAAGATACACACTGAAAAAAAAATTCTGCTGCTCTTATTTAAACATAGTCTCTGTCCAGAGCACAAGTGTAGGGAAAGGGCCACAACTTCAGTGAGCTTTGCAAACGAAGACTTCAGGCACAAAGTACAGATTAAAATTACAGTGCAGTCTTGACATTTGCTCAGTGTAGAAGAAAATAAAAATACTTGATTTGACATCAATCATTTCAGCCTCAAATATAAAATCAATCAAATATTTATTGAGCATCTTATACTCTGTATTCCGATCTATGTTAGGAGCTACAGAGATATCCAAAAGAAGTGTAAGATGTGGTCTTTGACTTCAAGGTAATTACAGTCTAGATGATAAGTCATGTGCTCCCATAGTACCTAAAGTTATTTTTCAAAGTTCTAAATATAATTATAAGTAATTATTCAACTATTTTTTAATCTATTGCTCCATGGTGCTCTAAATTCCATGAGCTCAATCAAATCTAATCCATACCTCATCCACCACTTTACTTCCAATGCCAACTTCATAGTGGCTGCATAAGAAATATGTCTTGGATAGATGAATAAATGGATATGTGAGTGACATGTAAGAAGCATTTTTAAAAGTTCGGTTTTTTTCTGAATTGGGCTTAGTGTGAATGAGCACACAGAATGGAGAGAGCTCTAAGGACTGGAGTAGTGGGAAAACACTAATTACTACCATTAATATCATCTATAAATATTAAGACCAAATCAAATACACCCAAATGTAAAAGCTTAAAATGTCTACTGAATGTGTTCATTACAAGCTACCACTGTGCTCTGGAGCCAACCATTTGGAAACTGCTATTCACCAATTGTCTCCTCTTGGCTGTTGTTTCTTCCCCCTACCAATTTGCTGACAATAGAAATACAGTTCTATTCTTTCATTTCCCCACAGTATAGAAGACAAGGCTGCAAAGAGTACTAAATCTTCAGTGAATTTAGGGGTATCATGAGTACAACCTCAACGGCCATCTATGCTGTTAGTAGAGAGGAGCACACATGGCTTCTTTGAAAGTCTCTGGAGGCCAGCATCACCTTTCCCAGTGGTCCCCAGGAATCTATTGAGAAAGAGTTCACAAAGTATTCTCACCAAGCTTAGGCTTTAAGTTGCTAACACATGTGTGTCTTCTAAATTCACAGGAAGGTTAAACAACCTGCTGTGGTGATGGGAATGCTGTTGCCACACACATAACTGATTGGTTTTCCTTTTTTCTTTTGGTTAATACATTTTAATTGTCCCTTTTTCGATATTTCTGAGAGAATCCAAACAACAGTTCTTACATTTGTTTGATTTGCCCTTCTTTCAGAATCACTCCTACATTGCACAGAGACATAAATTTTACTTTCTCATTTTAAAAAAAATAGCTCTACCTTGACTTCCATTTTAATTTCTAATGTAAATGCATACCCCTATGTACAAGCTTTGGCTCTACTGGGTGATGAGAAAATTAATTATATTTGTGAAATATGGCAAATAATTAGTGGCCTTCCAATTGAAGTGCTAGTATTCTTGGATTATATAAAAATGTTTTAAGTATAAAAGCAAACATGGGTAATTTTAAAGCAAGGAAATTTCCAGCTCCTCAGGTTCATGCTGAGAATACAATTGTAGTAGAGACACCTTGCTGGTCCTTCACCATCACAACGATACACATGAAAATCCATAGGGATTTTTACTTAAGTGCCAAGTTTTCTGACAGCTGTCACTCATCAATCATTTCTCTGCTTCCTTATTCATTCTTATCATAAACTTGGCAGATTTGGATTAAAAATAATATGCTAGGAATTAATATATTTTTTGTATACTTTCTACTCTGAATTATTTTGGCTATTGAATTCCATTGAACCCTAATTCATTCCAATAATCAGTAATATTTAAATGCAGATAATGAGCTAAAGTTCCTCATTATGAGCCTTTTTATATAGTTTATTTTTATGTTTATAAATATAACTGTGTAATTATATAACTATAAAAATGTGTAAAATAATTGCTTAGTGTCATGATAATAAAGTTAAATCTATTCAGAATAAATTTTTATTACTTAGAAACATCACAGAAAAAAATTAATGTAAAATTTCAATTCATATACATAATTTTTATAGTAAAATATATCTGATCAATATAAGATATTCAGGAACAAAAATATTATATTCAATTAAAAATCTTTACAGAGAAGTTGAATGGAAATGGACTCAGGAAGAAAAATATAGATGGTAGAAAATTTCTGACTATTAAAATGACCTTGTCCACGTATTTTTCAATTAAATATTGTGGCCATTGAATTGTTATTGTATTAAGATTCCATTGAAAAAGTATTAAAGTGATTCAATAGTTTGTTTTAATGTTAATATTTACAATTAGACTGATATTGCATCATTTTCAACAAATTAAACTTAGAGTAAAAAATTTTAGCTGTTAACTTAATGTGAAAGAACTACATAGATTTTTCTACATTATTTTAAGTAGTATGAAGCAAAAAATTGAAAGTCTTCTATGGTAGACTATGAAAGACTAATATGGCATACTCAGCCACTCATACTGGGGCATGCTTAGCTGATGTGCTTTTGCTCTGAGGCTCTGCTTCATGACGAAATTCATCAGTTGGGGCATTTCTGTAGCTGACATTAGATTTCTCAGGAATCTAGTCCAGGAATCTCTGCATCAAGTTCAGATGAATTTCTTTGGAGACGTGTTCTCCAAACATGAGTGGAGAAAGCAGACCTACAGGTCCCTCCTGGCAGTTTTTCTATCTTAAGGTCTCCTGAAAAGAACATATTGAGAAAAAATAAGACATGCAGATACACACAGAACCAGTTTAGTCTAATTCCTGATTTCTCTAACTTCACAATGATACAGTTTTAATAAAGGTACATTCAATTTACATTAACAGAATATTTAATATTCTAGTTTTCAACTTATGAATTCAGATTTAATTGGCTTTATATTTTTTCTAAAAACAATGAATGGGTGTATATAGTATATTCGTGTTGAAGGACTGTATTAGATAATACTCATAAACCATTTCAGATCTCTTCAGCTTCACCTGTCTTTCATTCCAGCCACTGCTATGATGAACAGTGCTGCGCAGACTCTGACCCACTTCGTGCAGGTGCAATCTGACTGTCCTTTGTGCCAGTTCTGTGCCATGCACAACACATCTTCCACCCAGCAGCTTCTCTGTTGATGCCATGGAGTAGGATGCTACAGAAATCTGTTTCATACTAAACCATACACAACCCAGAAGCACAAATCTCTATTTGTCCCTTGATGTAAACCTTTGACAAATAGATGTTGGAAGCCAATGGGTAAGTATTTCTCCCTTTCTTCCCCAAGAGAGATGGTCCTGCAAGGCATTTTATAGGGTTTCTAGGACAGCCCTTTGAAGTGATAGTTGACTTGATAAGATTCTCTTTTATTGCCCTCCTTGCTTTGTCACCCCACAAGTCTGCTTTCTGGAAAAAACATTCCCCCAATGAAATACTTGCATATGAATGTTTGCCAGATGTTCTGCTTTCTGGAGAACCAAGTCTATGACTGTAGATACCAGAAAGCATCCTAAAAAGCATACACTCAGCAGCAGATTTTAAAACTGGATCATTTAAGTATAAGATGGCAATAAGGACCCAGTACTTGTAGTAATGGGGTAGTAATAATCCATGGCATTAGATAGTATCATAATTACTCATTTTTTAAACTTTTGATTTATTGGGATAAGATATAGGCTGAAGTCAGGTAGTGGGTTTTGCTATGGCTGTATTGCTTAAATGGTACAGAGGCAGTGATATTTACAAAGATCAGTAGAGTAGCCTGGCTTTTGTAAACCCTCTACCCCAGTGGTAGCCAATTTAATAATACTTATTTGTATTGGTTTTTCTTTAAAAAAGAAAATGGTAAGCTTATTCAACTGTCAACTTAAAGTAGCTGTGAAAACCAGAAGGCCAACATGGAAATTTTAGAGCCTAAAGGAGACTCATCTCTTGCAACATCAGGACAAACTATTGAATATCAGGCATGAAATTTAATGGCAAGAGTGGTAAGATGGCCGAGAAAAGTGAATATAGACTTGATAGTCGCCCATGCCAAACTGAGGCCTTCATAACAAACTGAGGCCTTCATAAGAAACAAAGGGAACTCTGAGACCTGTGATGGAGATGTTTGGTGGATGAGCTTGAGAATCTTGAACTCTCCAATTCCCTTAAATTCTCCATAAATGCACAAGTAGAGGAGAGCAACCTGTATACCCTTCAAGGTCTCCCCAGGTGTGGGTGACTTGCAAGCTGACAGATGTCCTCCTTCAGAGCTATCCCCACCACCCCTCATTGTGCCCAGGCCTATAACAGGGTCAGGTGTTGGCACAGCTGACAGAAGAATGTAAAGCCCATACTCAGGGAGGGAGTAGCTTACACTTGAAGGAATCGTAATAACTGGCTGACACATACTACAGGGACTGAGAGAACACACGTAAGAGAGGCTTTTGAGGGTTAGTGGTCCAGGAGGAGAAATATAAAGCCAGATAGAGGAGAATTTAGTAGAAAGGAGAACTAGCCCTGCTACACTATGGGAATGCTTTCTTGAAATTAGACATGATGGGTCCATGGTAAATTAGGAGGACATGCCAGCACCTCCTTGGCTAAGTAGTAAGAAAGTACCAAGAAAGGAGCCAGAAGAGTCAGAGAGATTGAAATGTTAAAGTGGATTTCTCAGTAAGAACAGAAAACCCTGATAGGTGCAGCAAATCACCATGGCACACGTTTACCTATGTAACAAACCTACACATCCTGCACATGTACCCTGGAACTTTAAATTAAGTTAAATTAAAATGTTTTTTAAAAGACCGGAAAACCCAATACACGTTTCTGTTTCCTGGGAGGGCCCAGAGGATACTTCCTTCACTAAAGCCACAAGAGTGCATGGGAGAAGCATCTCAGGATGGGAGGGGCAGGGGGATCTTTAAGAAACAGCTTTAAGAAACTTGGTGAGGGAAAGTAATCTGAAATATATTGTTGACAGTAAAAGAGAGTGTAATGAAGCTCTGCTCCGTGGTGCCAAACGAGGTGATAGGATTCCAGAAAAGGAGAAATTTGGGGTTGGCATTTAATTGTTAAAAGCAAGGTGTATGTAGTTACCAAGTCATAAGGTCAGGAGGGCATAGCAAGAATTTATTAAACAATAGAAATAATACATTCCGTCCACCTTGAATTAGTTGAAAAGTGGGGAAAGGGGGAAATAATCATTCAGGATCAGGTCCAGAAGGCACGAGTAAATTATAATGAAGAGGCAGCCCAGACTACCAGGTCACATATCTTTGTCATGCTGTCACCAATCTCTCGGCTTGTATGTAAGGTCTCATGGGGAGTGGAGGGGTAGTTCTTCCTACCAACTGATGGAGGAGGAAACACAGTCTTGGTGCGCAGATGAGTCAGAGCAATGTCTGTGCTGTCAAAAAATGGACTTCTGTTGTATTATATTCCCATTCAGGAGTGGTCCTAAAGGGCAGTCATGAAAGGAAATCATTCCAATAGGCATATCTGCAAGTCATTTATTTGATTATTTACCTAGTGTGGACAGAGAAGTGGTCCAAGATATGGATATGAATTCCTGAGCTATGTTGAATGACTTGGGTGGTTATTAGAGGTCTGAAAGGAATTAGATTGAAGACCAAAACATGACTGGTGATGAGGTATGTGGGTGACCAGTGGAAGATGGTCCAAGGCATGCAGAATTTTTTTATGCTAATACCCATCTGAGACCATCCTGGAAGCAATCAAATTCTAGGTGCACAGAATGATTTGTTCAGTGAATGTCAATAAGTCTCACTCCTTGGCCAGTCCAGTGCTAACCAGCTAAACCCATGAACATAGTATGCATGCTGGCAAAGATGATTAAGCACAGAACCAACTTTTACAAACTCTGATCTAGCTACTCTCACTGCTGAGTGCCCAATCTGCCAGCAGCAGAAATCAATGTTGAATATTCAATAAGGAACAATCCAATATAGAACAATGCCTCAGGAGAACAGCTAGCCATTTAGTGGCAAGTTGATTACATTGGACTCTTTCACCCTGAAGAGTACCACAATGTGTCCTTTCCAGAATTTACATCTACTCTCATAAGAAATTGTCTTCCTTGTCCCAAGTGCTTCTTGCAGCACTGCCATCTAAGGGCTTACAGAATGCCTGAACTATCACATAGTATTTCCCACAACATTGTCTTAGATCAAGGAGCCCATTTTATTGCAAAGAAGCTGTGACAATGAGCACATAACCATTGGCCTAATCATGTAACCAATTGCTCAGAAGTAGCTGACCCAACAGAACAGTGGAAGTCTTGTCAAAGGCTCAGCTACAGCACCAGCTTGGGGAAGACATGGTCATAGCAAGGACTGGGTTGCTGTAATCCATGACGTGGTATATATGTTAAGCCAACAGCTAAAAACTCATGCTGTGTCCCCAGTAGCCATAATGCATGCATCTCAGGATCAAAGAGTAAAAATCATCCCTGATGTTCCATTTCCAGAATTGGTGCCTCTACACTGGGGGCTTTTCTGCCTTCCACACTGGGGTTTCTCTGTTGATGATAAAGCAAGGGGCACCAAAGGAACCCATTTGTTGTCTATGTATGCACTCAGAAGTGCAGGAGTCATTCCTTGTGGGGCAAACCTTGGACCAATGGGAGATGAGACTAATGGGCAAACATTTCCCCTAAAATGCATTTCATGCTGTTTCTCAGAAGGCTCCCTGGGACCAAACAACCTGTCTTTCCCATAGTGGTTCCAACTTTATAACACTGCCTTGTATTGGCTCTCTCTCTTTCTCTGCTTTGCTTCCCCTTTCCCTTATTCCTGCCCCCTGCAAAAAAAAGAAAAAGAAAAAGAAATTCCAGTAAAGTACTGCCCATAAGTGCTCTCACATTTTGCATTCTGGGGGAAATCTGAACAAGCCAGGTCCTGTGCTAGTGGTTTTCACAAAAAAAAAGAAAACTTGCTCCAAAACGTAATTAGCATCTCTTTTACCAGAACCAAGGCCTCTAACAATTTTTCTTCTTTTTAAAATATATATGTGTATATATATATATATATATACACACACATATATATATAAAGGTATAACTTACAATAAAGTGTGTGTATCTTAAGTGTACAGCTTAATGAATTTTTATATTTGTATATCCTTCTTGACAGCAAATTTTAAAGATGAATTATATCCCCACAAAACAACTTAAACTCAAATCTGTAACAGGTGTTTTATTGCATGTCGATTTACTCTCCTCTTTCTATAAATAAAATACGACTGCTCTAGCTCAGGCCTTCATTCTCTCTCACTGTAACAACTTTCTAACAAGCTCCCTTTAGTGTTTTGACTTCCTTAAATCAGTCCTTCACTGTCACCAGAGAAAGCTATCTAAATGAAAACTCTGACTTTGTCACTCTTCTGCTTACAATTCTTCAGTGGCTGCTGATTACCTAAAGGAACTAGGGTTCCTTATCCTGGTACTCAAGGCCCTCCTCCTTTTATATTGTCCCTCAACCCTGCCTATCTACCTAGATAATTTTACTCATCTTTTACACCTTAGATTATAGCTCTTTTACTCCAGGAAGCCTCCTTAGCCTCCGTTTTCCAAGCCATGCCCCATAGTACCCTGTGCCTATCTCCCTGGTTGTACCAAACACTTGATATTTTAAATATCAGTTCGCCTGTCTGTTTGCTTCTAAAGACAAGCATCATAATCATTTGCATTCCAATAACCCCAGTGCAAAGCTTATTACCTGAGTCATAATATGCAATTAATAATTTTTTTAGTAAATAGATTAAAGGAGAAAAGAATATTTAAGACACTGTACTCAACAAATGTGTACCAAAAAATTTAAAACCAAGAGATGGCCAGGCATGGTGGCTCATGCCTGTAATCCCAGCACTTTGGGAGGCTGAGGTGGGTGGAGAGCTTGAGCCTAGGGGTTCAAGACCAACCTTGGCAAGATGGTGAAACCGCACCTCTACCAAAAATACAAAAGTTGGCCAGTCTCATAACAGGGTCTCAAAATAAATAAATAGATAAAAATTAAAAATAATAAATAAAAATAAAAAGAAGAGCTTTTGATAAAACCAAATCCCACATATTTGAATTTCTACCTTAGAGTAGACAGATCACCCCTGTAATCATATATCTGACTTCCTACCTGCATGGAACTCAAACATCTGCTATCAAGAGATTAAACTGCTCTGACGTAGGCATCACCCTGCCCTGAGGCCTGGTGCTCTAAGGTGTCCTGGTTACCCACAGCGCTCTGAGTCAGTGTTGAGCCATTCTCACTGATGGCTCATAGTACCATGGGTCTCAAGCTATTGAGTTACAGTTTTCCATATCCCCGGTATTCAGTCTTAGTTGTTGCCTAGTTTTTCATCTCCCTGCTTTACATTCTAGTTCCCCCAATGTCTAAGTCTTTTGCCCTTTATCCCCATCTTCTGGAGACTAAATGGCTGCCTTCCAACAGGTTGATTGCCTGATCTCTGAAACTTTATGAGTCACTTACCCTAGATCTGAGACTTGATTTGAACCAAAGGTACACGTTTGTGATCTGTCCTTCCTGCCTCTTGGCCTGGCACCCAGTTTTAGATCTCCCTTCAGGCTCATTTCATGCAGATATGCTTGGACTTACGATTCTGATCATCCTTTGACCTGTCTCATCATCCTTCTCATATCCTAAGTTAGCACTTCCCCCAATTATTCAACTTTTGTGTAAATCCGTATTTTGTTATATTGAGTCTTCTTAACGTGAGTTATACTCATGATACAAAGCAGAGCCAAGTGTAGGAGTGAGTTTGGAGGTGATAACTCTTTCTGAGTGGACCCAAACAATTCAGTACTTTGTATAAGATGATTTAGAGTCTGGTACAAAGCACCTCTTAGGGGCCTATTCAGTGTGAACAAGTTCTCTAACATTAAGAACCTGACAGTTTGGTTGAGGAAGAACAACAGGCTCCTATGAAGTCATCCAGAAGTGTATGTTTACATGGCAGCTACTTAGTTTATCAGCCTTTCTCTGGCTACCTGCCTTAAATTATTTCCTTAGCAAAATCGACTTTGCTTATCCAAATGCCCTAAAATGCAAACCAGTTTTGCTTCCCCATAAATCTCTGGAATTAATAGGAAAAAGAATTTGAAACTTTGTCCCAAAATAAGACATTGATAACATTTCCTTTATGTTCAGGATCAATTTGTTGGCATTTCCCTAACTCATCTGCATCCTTCCCTAAAGGAATAAATGACTTCCCAGTTTAACGAGATCTCTTTATTGTGCACAGAAGAACACATGGCACTTCATCATGTATGACTGCCCTCTGCCTTTATGAATATCATGAAATTTGGCTATCTGCTCCAAGATCTCCTTCTTTGCTTCTCCTCTTTTTAATTCCATGAAACCTAACCCTGGAGATAATATGTATGTACAACCTATTTTCTCATGATCAGTATTTTTAAATCACAACAGGAAAGGAGCCAACAAAGTCATCTTTGGTCTTTGGCTATCTTCTTATAGGAACACTTTTTCCTTCATTTCCTTGTTATTATTTGGTTGTAAAGTCCTCCAAGACACTGAATTGTTAGACCTGCAACTTTTTGTAGAAGAGAATTCTGTTTTGCTGAGTAAAGTGCAGCATGCTGCATTCTCTATGTTGGAGATGAGGTATTGATTTTTTTTAATAATATTTGGTTCAGGGGTATATATTGCTGCTGAATTATTATGTTTCTTAGAATTGAACATTTCACAAATGGATCCAAGATGGCCTTTTATGGATTGAAATAGTTCTAAACCGTACATTATCAATAGCAACAAAATAAATCACCAGGATGTGAATAAAATATTGATTATATATTCCTTTCCTCCATTAATTTGAACTTTACATCTAGTATTTCAATTTTTCTGTAATGAGATACCATTATATCTACATTGATTATAGCCTAGAAATGTTTTCAGTTAAAATTTCGAAGTAAAAAGTTTTTTGTTTCAGGAAAAGTGGGCTGAAAACAAAATATAAGGTAACATTTCAAAATAATTTGTATGATGTCAATGGCTTAACAGTGGTTATTTCATGAACTCAGAAAAATCTTATTGGAAAAGTATTCATCTTATGAACACATATAGCTGAGAAAATAGAGTTTAGGCTGACTTGCAGCATTAGGTCTTGATACAATTTAAATAAAGAACTTGAAAACATTCATAACACTTATGTCAGCCTACAGAGAAAGGTACTTACTTAACTCATGTTCTCCCACTTAGGCCATGTGAACAGACTCTTTTACATAATGTGATTGTAGTCAAAGGTCCTCAAACATCATTATTATCATCCTCATGGTTATCATCACCCTTACCGCCATTGTGTACCCAACTGCAAGGTAGCATAGGGACATCAAATCTTAGCATTTTCAAGGGGTTAATTTTAAAGAAAGAGAGTGTAAATGTCAAACACAGTTTTAAAACTAGAAGGAAGGAACTGTCAGTGGATCAAAGCTGAGGTTAGTTCCCAGAGTCCAGTTAGATATATTAAGAGTTAAATGAGAGACGCACTGACACTAGGTCATGGTCCTGTTTCTTGACTTTTGAACCACTGCTTTTTCATGGCTTTTATCAACAATAACAGGATACAAAGTGCTAAAAGTGTGGGAAGATATTTACATTTAAGGAGAACAAAAAAACATGACACTGATGGTTTAAAAAAAGTCACATGGAAGAAAAATGAGAGAGAAAGTCATAACAAAGGGCTGGACTTGAAGTTAAATCCCTATTAGGTCCTGTAAAATGCTGAACACATTAGGTTAAATATTTACTCTTCAAACCAAGCTTTTGTGGTGTAGATACCATTTATTCTATTTTACAGATAGGAGGTGTTGGGCTCGGAAAGTTTAAGCAACATGCCCAAGATCACCCAGCTGGGAGTAGTGAGGCAGAATTAAACACCAAGCTCAACTGATGCAAAGATTGTTCTACTACAGATGATTCTCAAACCTAGCTCATGTTACTATCACCTAGGGATCTCTGAAGAAGTACCTCTGCCTGGGCACCACTCAGGATCAATTGAACTAGAATCTGTAAGGGAGTCAAACATCCGTACTTTTAGAAAGCCCTTTATACAATTATGATGTGTAGCCAAGGTTGAAAACACTGAACTAACAGAAGGCTACCGAAATGGTGTGAATTAGGGAGCAGTGAAAAGGCCACCTGTCCAGGACACAAAGTAACCAATATTTCCATAGACTCTATTGACAGAGTTCCTGTAACAGCCAAAACAAATATTTTTGGCAGAAGCATATCAACAGATGATTCTTTTCAGCATGTTTACAGCTAATTCATAGCCCAGAAAGGAGGTTGAAAAACAATGATAAGTGGATATAACTTCCTAATAAAAACTTAGAATTGCATAGATATTTCCTGTAGGAAATATCAAAGTTAATTGAGGCATAAGAATTCACTTAAAAGGCCACTGCAAAAAAAAAAATAAACAAAGCTTAAAATTTGCACTTTCACTTTGCAATAAGTCCTCGTTGCTTTTCAGAATAGTTTGGTATCTAAAACCTTGAGAAATGTAAGGAATAAGTTCAAGAGAGAGGTCAAGCTGGAGTCTTATAACAAGCATATAGAGATCATTTCAAGATTGGAAATTGAGGGCATCACTTAGAAAGGATAATAATAAAAGAGAAGTGTGCCTAAGATTGAAACTTAAGTACTTAAGAGACTCTTAAGAAGGAGTGGCAGGAAGGTACAAGGAAAACAGGATGACATAAGGACTTGAAGTTAACAGAGTACAAGATTTCCAAATGTGGGAAACAACTGTTCAGACACTGTTGAGAAATCAAGAAGGATGAAGACAGAGGAGCATCTATTGCATTTGGCAATATGGATGTCAACAGTGACCAGTGACACTTTGCTGTCCACTGTATTGTACATGTATTATTATACCTCATTGGTGTTCTGCCAAGAAATTATAACTCCTATTGTGTCTGATGGCTAAATAAGTTGGAAATCCTAACTTAGATGACTTTTACAACCTACAATTTTAAAGTTCCTTTTAGGAGAGCTAAACTTCAGTTATTTGGAGAGGGTTGGGGGCACAATTAGAATCAGAAAAGCTGAACTAGAGAAGAGAAATATGTATATTTAACATTTATCTTACCTATGTTGAAAAATATATCACTGGTATATTTCTAGTTATCTCTCTTAATTCAAAAACTTACACTGGTTTCCCAGTGAAGAAAAGTCTGGGACCCAATGGCTTCACTGCTAAATTTTACCAAATATTTAAAGAAGAACTAATACCAGTTTTACTCAAACTATTCCAAAAAATAGAGGAGGAGAGAATACTTCCAAACTCACTCTACGATGCCAATATTGCCCTGATACCGAAACCAGACAAAGACACATCAAGAAAAAAAAAAAAAAGAAGAAAGAAAGAAAAGAAAACTACAGGCCAATATCTGATAAATATTAATGCAAAAATCTTCAACAAAATACTTGCAAACCAAATTCAACAACGCATTAAAAATATCATTCATCGTGCCAAGTGGGATTTACCCTAGGGATGCAAGGATGGGTCAACATATGCAAATCAACCAATGTGATACACTATATCAACAGAATGAAGGACAAAAACCATATGATCATTTCAATTGGTGCTGAAATTTATCATTGAAGCGATGTTGAAATTCAACATCTCAAATCAATAAAAGTCATATACAATAGACTCACCACTAGTATCATACTAGATGGGGAAAACCTGAAAGCCTTTCCTCTAAGGTCTGGAACACAGCAAGGATGCTCATTGTCACCACTGTTATTCAACATAGTATCAAAAGTCCTAACTAAAGCAATCAGACAAGAGAAAGAAATAAAGAGCATCCAAATTGGAAAAGAAGAAGTCAAATTATCCTTGTTTGCAGATGATATGATTTTATATTTAGAAAAAGCTAAAGGCTCCACAAAAAACTGTTAGAACTGATAAACAAATTCAGTAAAGTTGCAAGAGACAAAATCAACATACAAAAACCAGTAGGATTTCTACATGCCAACAGTGAACAATCTGAAAAAGAAATCAGGAAAACAATCCTATTGATTGTACAATAGCTACAGGCAAAATTAAATACCTAGGAATTAACTTGAACAGAGAAGTGAAAGATCTATACAATGAAAATTATAAAACACTGATGAAAGAAATTGAAGAGGATGCCAAAAATGGAAAGCTATTCCATGTTCATGGATTGGAAGAATCAATATTATTAAAATGTCCGTACTACCCAAAGCAATCTACAGATTCAATGCAATTCCTATCAAAATACCAATGACATTCTTCACAGAAATAGAAAAAGTAATCTGAAAATGTATATAGAACCACAAAAGATGCTGAAAAGCCAAAGCCATTCTGAGCAAAAACAACAAAACTGGAAGAATCATATTACCTGACTTCAAATTATACTACAGCACTATAGTAACCAAAACAGCATGGTGCTGGGATAAAAACAAACACATAGACCAGTGTAACAGAATACAGAACCCCAAAATAAATCCATACATTTTTGTTAAAGCTGCGAAGAACATACATTGGGAAAAGACAGTCTCTTCAATAAATGGTGCTGGGAAAACTGAATATCCACATGCAGAAGAATGAAACTAGACCCCTATCTCTCACCATATACAAAAATCAAATCGAAATGGATTAAAGACTTAAATCTAAGACCTCAAACTACGAAACTACTACAAGAAAACATTGAGGAAAATTTCTAGGACATTGGTCTGGGCAAAGAGTTATTGAGTAATATCCCAAAAGCACAGCAACCAAAGCAAAAATGGACAAATGGAATTACATCAAGTTTAAAAGCTTCTTCATAACAAACAATAAACAAAGTGAAGAGACAACCAACAGAATGGGAGAAAATATTTGCAAACTTTCCATCTGACAAGGGATTAATAACCAGAATACATAAGGAGCTCAAACAACTTAGAAGAAAACCAAATAATCTGATTTTTAAATGGGCAAAAATTCTGAGTAGACATTTCTCAAAAGAAGAGATGTAAATGGCCAACAGGAATATAAAAAGTTGCACTGCATCACTGATCATCAGGGAAATGCATATCAAAACTACAATGAGTTATCATCTAACCCCAGTTAAAATGGCTTTTCTCCAAAACACAGGCAATAACAAATGCTGGCAAGGATGTGGAGAAAAGGAAACTGTCATACACTGCAGGTGAGGATGTAAATTAGTACAGCCTCTATAAAGAACAGTATAGGGATTCCTCAAAAAAAAACTAAAAATAGAACTACCATATGATCCAATAATCCCACTGCTAGGTATATTCCCAAAAGAAAAAGAAATCAGTATATCAAAGAGATATCTGCACTGTCATATTTATTGCAGCACTATTCACAATAGCCAAGATTTGGAAGCAACCTAAGTGTCCATCAATAGACGAATGGACAAATAAATAGATAAAGGAAATGGATAAAATGAATGGATATACACAATGGAGTACTATTTAGACATAACAAAAGAAGGAGATTACATCATTTGCAACACCATGGGTGAAACTGGAGGTCATTATGCTAAATGGAATAAACCAAGCACAGAAAAACAAACTTTGCATATTCTCTTTCATTTGCAAGAGCTAAAAATGAAAATGATTGAACTAATGGAGATAAAGAATAGAATGATGGTTACCAGAGGCTGGGAAAGGTAGTTGGGAAAGGGGGAGGGATGTGAGGATAATTAATGGGTACAAAAATATAGTTAGATACATATATAAGATCAAAAGATCTTATTCACTTGATAGCACAACAAGGTGATTACAGTCAATGAAAATAAATAGTACATTTTAGAATAAGTTAAAGAGTGTAATTGGATTGCTTGTAACACAAAGAAATGATAAATGCTTGAGGTAATGGATACCCCATTTACCCTGATGCAATTATCTCATATACTCCACAAACATACACACCTATTATGTATTCATAAAAATAAAAAAAGTTAAAATGCAATATTTGAAATAAAAAGAACTTAACAGTGAAGTGTGCTTTAGACTTTTTAAATTTCTTCACACTGAATGCATATAAATGACAAGATGTACTTCAGAAAATTGTAGTTGGAAATATATTTAGAAAAGTATGAGCTTAAGGGTCATTATTTACTACATCTTAAAAAGTAGAGAGAGTCATACTGTATGATTCTAATTATATAACATTCTGAAAAGTAAACAGTAAAAAGATAACTGGCCTCCAGGAGCTCGGGGAGAGAAGGTGATGCACGTAGGCATTTTTAGTCTAGTGAAGCTCTTTTAGCGCAGTGAGACTTTTTGAAAATTGACTAGAGTTGGAGCAATCAGTGTAATCTCATGTTTAGCTTAATATACATGCCTACGCTTACATATAGAAATACTTATGAATATAAGCATATACATGGGTTAGTATGCACATGTATATTTCCTTGCTCTGTCAGCTGAGAATACCTAAAAGCAATAATGCCCTAGTAATGATGAGTACGCTTAGCACTTGAATTTTGGTTTCTACCCCTACTTTCTGATAAAAGAAACCAGGGCTCCTTGGAAAAAATGACTGATTCTAGGAGAAGGGCAAGAAATATACATGATAAGCCTGGAACATCTTATAGTGCCAGAAGTAAGAAAGTGCTAAAAAAAGAAAAAAAAAACGAAAAAAGCTTCACTTTGATTAGTATATGTCAAAGGGACATAGGAGCCACAGAAAGAGCTCCCAATGGCCAATGCTGGAACAATTTAAGCAACAAATAAAGTAGAATTCAATTACAACACAAAGTATAAAATAAATATTCATGAGTTCATACTGATATAAATAAATGATTGCATAAATACATATATGAGGGAGAAGAGGCAAATCTGCCATGAAGAATTCCAAATAATTTATGTAGATAATCTACCAGCAAGGAGTGGGGGCATAACTCCTCACTCCCTAAGTGTGGGCCACACATAGTGACTTCCTTACCAAAAGCACAGCAAGAAAGAGGCCAGAGGAGAATAACTTTAGAGTGGAGAGGCCTAACAAACATTACCTTGACCAGGTGATCACAATCAACATCAACAGTGCAGTATGAACCTTTGACGTATGAAAACAACATCATTTTATCTTTGTAAGCTTCCTCTCCAAAACCTCAATCTAATCATGAAAAAACAGACAAATTTAACAGTGGGCATTCCACAAAATACCTGACCAGTACTCCTGAAAATGTCCAGGTGGTCAGAGAACAAAAAAAGTCTGAGACCGTGACAACTGAGAGAAGCTTAAGAAGGCATGCCAACTAAATGTAATGTGATAACTAGATGAGATGTTGGAACAGAAGGACATCAGGTAAAATCCAAGGAAATTTGACTGAACTATGGACTTTAGTTAATAATAGTGAATCAATTAATACTGTCTATTAATTGTAATAAATGTACCATACTAATATAAGATGATAATCATAGGGGAAACTGGTGTGGGGTATGTAGGTATTCTCTATATTATCACCTCAATTTTTTTGTAAGTCTAAAATTACTCTAAAAAATAAATCTATTTTTTCAAAAGTAGAGGATTTTATAAAATCATTTCAGACAAAGTTAATTTGAATGTATTAGTCAAATCATGATGTAATAAATTAAGCCATCTTTTCAAGAAAGAATACCTATTTATAATACAATAATAACAATCAATGGTGACATTTTCTATTAAGCGTTTCAAAATTATTGCCTTATTTGATACTCATCACACCTCTAAAAGAATGCGAAGAGATAAAAAAGCACTCCAGGTTTGTATTTATTGGAAAACATAAGAGATTATAAAATGCATAAAATGTCTTTATAATCAAAATACACCTGAAATTAATAAAGCAAAAACCATAGAAAATACACCACATGATTGAGCGGGTATTTTGCTTAATAACTGTGAAGCATCTCAGATGAATTTCTCCCTTGGAAAGATTGCTTACTCTATTCAGTAAAATGTGCTTCTTAGTAAAATAGAGCATTGTCATTATCTGGCATCTCCCGTGCCTATGAATTTCACATGGAAATACACTGGGTCCTACTTCTTAAGTAACCTTGACAGTAGCTTCCCAAATCTGAAAATAGAAATTCAAACAAGTTTTATGAAGTTGAATATTTGTGCCTTATGCACTGAGCTGTGTGTTATGTACAATTTTAAAGTTAAGATGTTAAATAGAAATTCAAATAAGTGCTAGTGAGTTCTATATCTGCCAGTTAGTGTTTACACATCTGGAAGGCGTAATACTAAAAAAAAAAAAAAATCCAAAATTTCAACAACCTCTTGATAGCTTAAGAAGCTAAGATTCGAGAAAGTTTCTCCTTGAAGAAATACCATACCAAGGACAGCTTAAGGTGTAGAAATTGTCAACCCAGGAGGTCAACTGCAAACCTGTCACTAACTTCTAATTAAATATAGCATTTTCTTCTATTATATGCACTAGTAGTAGCAGTGATGTTTGGATACCTGTAACTTTATCTCCATTAGAAATGTCAGATATTTTAATATCATCAGTTATTTTTTGCAGATATCTTGAAGTACTATTTATGTTCCTCACTACTGGGATAGTTTTGTAGATTCATGTTACTCACTACTGAGATAGTCATTTAGCCTGTGCACTAGACCTTGCTTTTGATGCCTTAATAACGCATATAGCACAAAATTTTCAAAACATTTCTGTGAACATCTTTCAATAGTATTCATTTTTTTATTTTATGCATTAAAAACATTATTTTGCAAAGGGACCCATAGGCTTCATAAGACTGCCAAAAGTATGTGGTACAAAGAATTAGGAATTTTTAATATGTGGTGAGATACAAATTCACTATGTGAATTGCATTTTGATTGAACTAGAATATCAATTTTACTAATCAATAATCCCCATACTGGACATCACATATTTCTCAAAAAAATTTTTTGCAATATATTCTCCATGAAATGATCTCGTTTAGCTAACTTTGTAGACCAGCCTTTCATACATGCATCATCAGAAGAAACTCAAGTGTTTTCTGCTACTTCACCCTATGCAGTTCAAGTCCTAGGTAGAATTTTAGTGGCACCAGGAAATATTATGTTCCCATCTTCCTTCCTCCTCTACTAGTTTCATATTAATTACTGATGCCTGTAACTTCCTTAAGAAACCAAACTTAAGAAACCAAACTTAAGAAACCAAAAAAATAAAAGTTTTTGCATATTAATTAGGGATAAGAATTAATAGATTCAAGTACACCCTACAAAGAGCAGTTACTTAAATTCACAGAAGTATAAATATCTGACAACAGCCCATTTCCTGAAGGAAAGTTTTGACAGGAAGACAGTGCAATTAGAAAGAAGTATCAAGGAGGGAGGGGAAAGCACACAGCAAGAGAAACTAGTCTCTCTCACACTCTTGCCTAGAGTCACCCCTAAATCTCAATGATCCACTTAATTCTAGTATCCTAACTTCCAATTTCTAGATTTCCCATTTGTCAAACAGCAATGATAACATGGCGCTTTTCACCCAGGTATTGGCTGTATAGTGAAGACTGCCAGCCTCCTGGGTATCAAATGCTTCGCACTCATTCAAGCAAATGTCCTATGCAACAATCAGTAGTGGCAAAAACCATTTCTTCTTTGTGATGGATCTCACCATGTCCTCTCCCTCTCTCATAATGTAGCTCTTCAATCCCTAGGTTTCCCACAACACAGGAAGAGTGCAATTACATGTGTTTTTAGGCTGACTCATTTTCTGATGGTAATGATCAGTATTTAAGCTAATTAGAAAGATTCTTTTGATGTCTTTTATTTCATTCACAATTAGTGTCCTGCTGTATATGTATTTTTAAATAAACGCCCAGCCAGTAGTGGGAAGAGAAAGAATCATTTTACTATCCTCAATGTCTATCTGGTTTCGGGGAATTGCTCATCACCTGGCTGCCTCTCTCTCTCGAAGAGCACATAAAATGTAAGATGTTAAGAAGTAGTGACTGAGCCACTCTGTGCTGCCTCTGCTAATGGAATTCTGAATCCAGGTCCATTGGGAACCTGATATGAGAAGGGCCAAAAGTCTTATGATGGTCTCTCTCCTTTGAGTCAATTTCCTGTTTCCACCAAGTTCCTGTAAAGTAGATGGGATGCAGAGGTTGGAGACTGGTCTGGAAAAGTGTGAGGTGAGGGACTCTTTTCAGTTTAGGAGAGCAAGAAGCACAGGAGGGCCCATGAAAAGTCTGCAAAGGTGGGGAGTCCTTCCCAAGACAGTCTTCAGCATCTTAATTAACCACTAGCCTTTTAATCAAAAGACTGCTGTTCCACTGCTTGAAACTAGGAAACTCAGAGTGTTAGTCTTTAGCCGAATGTGTTTTCTAACAGGTCACTGAGGCATTATCAGGGCCTATCAATATCAGCCTGTACAACGAGGGTGATTGCAGTCTGTGGCAAAACCCAAAAGAGACTCAAAGTCAGAGAGACTATTCGCAGGTTTTCCAGGAGCTACACTACCACTGTGATTAAGGTGTACTCAGTTGTTACAGTGGGAATTCATTCAGTCAGCATTTAAGATGAACCTGTTTATGCTATAGAGAATCCTAAGGTGTGATACTTGCCCTGAAAGTGCTCACAGTCTTGGGTAGAAATGATGTGCTGGGCCGGCCAGGCGCAGTGGCTCAGGCCTGTAATCCCAGCACTTTGGGAGGCCAAGGCGGGTGGATCAC
Source organism: Homo sapiens (assembly GCF_000001405.40). NCBI lineage: Eukaryota > Metazoa > Chordata > Mammalia > Primates > Hominidae > Homo > Homo sapiens. Next base: position 40,530,032 of record NC_000005.10, read on the forward strand.
GAGGTCAGGAGATCGAGACCAGCCTGGCTAACATGGTGAAACCCCATCTCTACTAAAAATACAAAAAATTAGCGGGGCATGGTGGCAGGAGCCTGTGGTCCCAGCTATTTGGGAGGCTGAGGCAGAAGAATGGAGTGAACCAGGGAGGCGGAGGTTGCAGTGAGCCGAGATCGCGCCACTGCACACCATCCTGGGCAACAAGAGCAAAACTCCGTCTCAAAAAAAAAAAAAAAAAAAGTGATGTGCTAGGCCATTCATGGACACTCATACAGCATGGGCTATTATCTATGAAGAGATGTTACAGAGTGCTGCAGATGGGGCTCACCAAAAGAGCACCTCTGGGACCTCAGCAGGAAACTCCACGTACATTTAAAGATGACAACATAGATGGTGATCACTATCTTATCTATGCAGATGTGGCTGCCATTCTGGAGGAAAAAAAAAAAAACTTCTCTTCCCCTCTTCTTTGCCTGAATATGAAGACTGACTCTGGTTTAGAGCTGCAGAAAGTGCTTGCTGTTCTGGATGTGAGGGTGCTCCCAGTTGTCCTCCTTAGTTTTGTTCTTAAAAAAAGTCAACTTTCTGTCCAAGTGCTGTAGGCCATCCTCATTTACTCCTGGATAACCCCTAAAATTAATACCCATCATTTGAAATGACTGATTAAGGTTTACTCAAAAGTGAAAAAAAAATTATCAGTCTAGCTTCTATGTAGTATTATCTCTTTCTCAATTACCATCTGCTTAGTTATACAACTTCACCTCTCACTATTCTACCTTCTCGCACACTTACACACTACTCTAGCACAAACACGCACACACACCAACACCATACTGCTGCAGCTGTGAACATCTCTCAGGTCTGCAGCGTGCCATTCTCGTTCACAGCTTCAAGCCAGAGAGCATATCATTGCCCTGAATAGAATACCTTTTTTCTCTTCTTTGCTTGGTGAATTTCTATTTGTCTTTCCCATTGAGCCATGACTAACACTATGACACTTCCATCCCTAAAAGTCATTCTTTCATGTTGCCACTCTTACCTCCATCATAGCATTGATAGCACATTCAATTGGGTTGTTTCCTTATGTGACTACCTCTCCAAAATTTAATGGTTATTTTTCAAGCACTTAGAATGGTTCCTGGCCAAAAAAAAAAAAAAAATCACTGATGAATTAATAAAGAAAGTAACAGCCTATTTCTCCAATAAAACTGGTTTTCAGCAAGCATCAACTTAGTGCTGATAAACCAGCTGCATTACAATAAATCTGGATGATCTAAACTTGTCATTTTAAGCCATAATTATAGCTCAGAGATGACACTGAAGAAACAGTTAAAAGATTGGGTGCAAATTTGTAACTCAAGGAAGTCTGAGAGTTCTTAGAAAAAAATAAGATAGAGCTTCTCCTCTGCATATCTCCAATTTGCTCTATAACTTGATTGAGTCATGGCCACACTCTGTCTAGAAGACATAGCAAGGTCACTCTGAACTTGATTCAGTTAAGGAAGAGCAGCAGGCAGCAAGTTTCATCATTTCTAACCCGTATCAGCTACTACACAAGAGCAAGAGAAATCAAATCTCAAACATTTTTGAACACTCCAAATGCCCAATTCTGCACTCAGTCCTGAAATGGTGGACTCCCTGATGCTTATGCTTGGAAAGGATCTTGCAATAAACTGTCTGACTTATTCTCAAAGTAAGAATGTTCTCTACAATATGTGGGGAAGATACTCACTTATCTCCACTTGAAAATGTCTACAGACAAAACACTCCTTACTCTATGAGTTGTCTATCTATCAACTTCAAACGCATGTAAAGTACTGTGTTAATCCATTTTCATGCTGCTGATGAAGACATTCCCGAGACTGGGCAACTTACAAAAGAAAGAAGTTTAATGGACTTACAGTTCCACAGGGCTGGGGAGGCCTCACAATCATGGAAGGCAAGGAGGAGCAAGTCACATCTTACGAGGATGGTGGCAGGCAAAGAGAGAGAGAGCTTGTGCAGAGGAACAACTCTTTATAAAACCATCAGATCTCATGAGACTTATTCCCTATCATGAGAACAGCATTGGAAAGACTTGCCTCCAACATTACCTCCCATCGGGTCCCTCCCACAACACATGGTAATTCAAAATGAGATTTGGGTAGAGACACAGCCAAACTATATCAAGTACATGGCATAGTACCTGCCACACAGTAATTGTTCAATAAATGTTAGTTATTGACATTATTATCATTATCAACTCTCAAACCCTTTTTTATTTTACTAACAATTCCTTCTTTTAAGATATAAAACATACAAGGAGCAAAAAAGTATGTTCAGTACACCTCAGTTTGTATAAAAAATGATAAATATAGATATATGATGATTTGTGTAAGTATGTATGTGTGACCATGCTTACAAAGCTGCTTGAAGGAGTCCCCAACTGCCACAGCAGATGATGTTCATTGTGAAAACTCAAATGTCCACATCAGAGATGCTATCTCCTATCCTCTGATGCCAGGATGCTGCTAGGCCTGGTGCCACAGCGAGATGAAAAGCCTCTACCCTATCTTATTCTATACTTTGTCACCTGCACCTTGAAGGAGTATTGCTATATCCAAAGTTCCATAAAATCCATCATGTAAGCCAATCCAAGACTCTGGACAGGCAGTCATCTTCCCCATCTTCTACCTCCCCAAGGATCAGCTGTTAATCACCTACAGTACTTACCCTTGCTTTGGGAGAACAGCAAACACAAAATATTTCCACAAGAATGCACAACTATTACTGTATCAAGCATAATAAATTCCCACTTGGGAAAGGAAATTATCTAAAGGGCATAGTGTCTACAGGGATACAGCTCTGGCTAAACCATGAACACCTTTCAACGTTGTCATATAGAGCAGTTTAGTTACTGAGAGTCACAGCTCTTAAATATACACTTTTCTATCTACAATTACAAAACCAACTAGCCTATTCTTGTGGTATCTCCAACAAAAGAACACTTTCTGCTAAAAGGTAAGTTATTCTCTGTTGAGAGACGTTGCAGAGGGCTGCAGATGGGGCTCACCAAAAGGTATATTCACTTCTCTAGCTCATGCAGATAGACTTGCCACTTTGAAATAACAGGTGAGTTTTATCCCCACCTTCTGCTATTCCCATGCAGATTTCAAATATCTAAAAATCTAAGATCTAAGAGCCAAGTATTAGTCAGAACTCAGATCACAGGTATTTGTGTTCTCTTCCCCAGGAATTTCTGTAAGAAGCTCACAGACTAGCACTGGGATCTTTGCTTGGCTATCCAGCCACCTAAAATTTATTCATTAGTTTTTTTTATATTGAATTTTTTTTATTTCAATAGGTTTTTGGGGAACAGGTGGTGTTTCATTACATGAATAAGTTCTTTAGTGGTGATTTCTGAGATTTTGGTGCATCCATCACCCGAGCAGTGTACACTGTACCCAATGAGTAGTCTTTTATCCCTCGCCAACCCCCACCTTTTCCCCCAAGTCTCCAAAGTCCAATTTATCATTCTTATGCCTTTGCATCCTCATAGCTTAGCTCCCACATGTGAGAACATAACAATGTTTGGTTTTCCATTCCTGAGTTACTTCACTTAGAATAATAGTCTCTAATTCCATCCAGGTTGCTACAAATGCCATTATTTCATTCCTTTTTATGGCTGAGTAGTAGTCCATGGTGTGCGTGTGTAGATATATATATGTGTGTGTGTGTATATATATATATATACACACTGTTTTCCATATATATGTGTATGTATAAATGTATATATGTATATATATGTATATATATGTATGTGTATATATATATGTATGTGTACATATATATGTGTGTGTGTATATATATATATGTGTGTGTGTATATATGTATCTATGCACTGTTTTCCATAGTGGTTGTACTAGTTTACATTCCCACCAATAGTATAGAAGTGTTCCCTTTTCACCAGATCCACACCAACGTCTTTTTTTTTGTTATTATTATGGCCATTCTTGCAGGAGTAAGGTGGTATTACATTGTGGTTTTGATTTGCATTTCCCTGATAATTACTGACATTGAGCATTTTTCCATATGCTTTTTGGCCATTTGTATCTTCTTTTGAGAATTATCTATTCATGTCCTTAGCCCACTCTTTGATGAGATTGTTTTATTCTTGCTGATTTGTTAGAGTTCCTTGTAGATTCTGGATTAGTCCTTTGTTGGATGTATGGATTGTGAAGACTTTTTCCCACCCTGTGGATTGTCTGTTAACTCTGATGATTATTTCTTTTGCTGTGCAGAAGCTTTTAATTTAGTTAAGTCTCATCTATTCATCTTTGTTTTTGTTGCATTTTCTTTTGGATTCTTGGTCATGAAGTCTTTGCCTAAGCCAATCTCTAGAAGGGTTTTTCTGATGTTATCTTTTAGAATCTTTATGGTTTTAGGTCTTAGACTTAAGTCTTTGATCCATCTTGAGTTGATTTTTGTATAAGATGAGAGATGAGGATCCAGTTTCATTTTTCTATGTGTGGCTTGTCAATTATCAATTATCCCAGCACCATTTGTTGAATAGGGTGTCCTTTCCCCCCTTTATGTTTTTGTTTGCTTTGTCAAAGATCAGTTGGCTATAAGTATTTGGCTTTATTTCTGGGTTCTCTATTCTGTTCCATTGGTCTATGTGCCTATTTGTATACCAGTACCATGTTGTTTTGGTGACTATGACCTTATAGTACAGTTGGAAGTTGGGTAATGTGATGCCTCCAGGTTTGTTCTTTTTGCTTAGTCTTGCTTTGGCTATGTGGGTTCTTTTATAGTTCCATATGGATTTTAGGATTGTTTTTCTAGTTCTGTGAAGAATGAGGGTGGTATTTTGGTGAGAATTTCATTGAATTAGTAGATTGCTTTTGGAAGTATGGTCATTTTCACAATATTGATTCTACCCATCCATGACCATGGGATGTGTTTTCATTTATTTGTGTCATCTATGATTTCTTTCAACAGCGTTTTGCAGTTTTCCTTGTAGAGGTCTTTCACCTCCTTGGTTAAGTGTATTCCTATGATTTTTTGTTTTTTGGGTTTGTTTGTTTGTTTTTGCAGCTATTGTGAAAGGGGTTGACTTCTTGATTTGATTATCAGCTTGGCCACTGTTGGTATGTAGGAGAGCTACTGATTTGTGTACATTAATTTTGTGTCATAAAACTCTGCTGAATTCATTTACCAGTTCTAGGAGCTTTTCAGGTGAGTCTTTAGGGTTTTCTAGGTGTACTTTCATATCATCAGCAAGCAGTGACAGTTCTACTTCCTCTTTATCAATTTAGGTGCGCTTTATTTCTTTCTCTTGTCTGATTGCTCTGGCTAGGACTTCCAATGCTATGTTGAATAAAAGTGGTGAAAGTGAGCATCTTTGTTTTGTTCCAGTTCTCAGGGGGAATGCTTTCAACTTTTCCCCATCTAGTAAAATATTGGCTGTAGGTTTGTCATAGATGGCTTTTATTACCTTAAAGTATGTCCCTTCTATGCTGATTTTGCTGAACGTTTTAATCTAAAGAGATGCTGGATTTTGTCAAATGCTTTTTCTGTGTCTATTGAGATGATCATGTAGTTTTTGTTTTTCATTCTGTTTATATGGGCATCACATTTATTGAGATACGTATGTTAAACCATCCTGGCATCCCCGATATGAAACCCATTTGATCATGGTGGATTGTCTTTTTGATATGCTGTTGAATTTGGTTCACTAGTATTTTCTTTAGGATTTTTGCATCTATGTTCATGAGGGATATTTGTCTGTAGTTTTCTTTTTTTGTTATGTGCTTCCCTGGTTTGGGTATTAGGGTGATACTGGCTTCATAGAATGATTTAGGAAGGATTCCCTCTTTCTCTATCTTTTGGAATAGTGTCAATAGGATTCGTACCAATTCTTTGAATGTCTGATAGAATTCAGCTGTGAATCCATCTTGTCCTGAACTTTTTTTGTTGTTGGCAATTTTTAAATTAACATTTCAATCTTGCTGCTTGTTATTAGTCTGTTTAGAGATTCGATATATTCCCGGCTTAATCTAGAAGGATTGTATAACTCCAGAAATTTATCCATCTCTTCTAGGTTTTCTAGTTTGTGCATGTAAATGTGTTCATAGTAGCCTTGAATAATCTTTTGTATTTCTGTGGTATCAGCTGTAGTATTTCCCATTTCATTTCTAATTGTGCTTATTTGGATCTTCTCTCTTCTTTTCTTGGTTAATTTCCTTAATAGTCTATCAATTTTATTTATCTTTCCAAAGAACCAGCTTTTTGTTTCATTTATCTTTTGTATTTGTTTGTTTGTTTCAATTTCATTTAGTTCTGCTCAGATCTTCATTATTCCTTTTCTTCTGCTGGGTTTGGGTTTGGTTTGTTCTTGTTTCTCTAGTTCCATGAAGTGTGACCTTAGATTGTCTATTTGTGCTTTTTTGGACTTTTTGACATAGGCATTTAATGCTGTGAACTTTCCTCTTAGCACCACTTTTGCTGTATCCCAGAGGTTTTGACAGGTTGTGTCAGTACTATCACTTGGTTCAAAGAATTGTTTGAATTTCCATCTTGATTTCATTGTTGACCCAATGATCATTCAGGGGCAGGTTATTTAATTTCCATGTATTTGCATAGTCTTGAGGGTTGCTTTTGGATCTGACTTCCAATTTTATTCCACTGTAGTCTGAGAGAGTACTTGAAATAATTTCAGTATTCTTAAATTTACAGAGACTTGTTTTGTGGCCTGTCATATAGTCTATCTTGGAGAATGTTTCTTGTGCTGACGAAAAGAATGTATATTCTGCAGTTGTTGAGTAGAATGTTCTGTAAATATCTGTTAAGTCAATTTGTTGTAGGGTATAAGTCCATTGTTTGTTTGTTGACTTTCTGTCTTGATGATCTATCTAGTGCTGTCAGTGGAGTATTAAAGTCACCCACTATTATTGTGTTGCTGTCTAACTCATTTCTTAGGTCTAGTTGTAATTGTTTTATAAACTTGGGAGCTCCAGTGTTAGGTGCATATATGTTTAGAATTAGAATATTTTCCTAATGGAATAGCCCTTTCATCATTATATAATGTCCTTCTTTGTCTTTTTTAACTTCTCTTGCTCTAAAGTTTGTCTGATGTAAGAATAGATACTCCTGCTCATTTTTGGTGTCCATTTGCATGAAATATCTTTTTTTTTTTTTTTTTTGAGACAGAGTCTTGCTCTGTCACCCAGGCTAGAGTGCAGTGTCACAATCTTGGCTAACTGCAACCTCCACCTCCTGGGTTCAAGTGATTCGCCTGCCTCAGCCTCCCAAGCAGCTGGGATTACAGGCACCCGCCACCGCACCTGGCTAATTTTTGTATTTTTAGTAGAGACAGGGTTTCACCATCTTGGCCAGGCTGGTCTCGAACTCCTGACCTTGTGATCCACCTGCCTCAGCCTCCCAAAATGCTGGGATTACAGGGGTGAGCCACTGCACCTGGCCGCATGGAATATCTTTTTCCACCCCTTTACCTTAAGTTTATGTGAGTCCTTATGTGTTAGATGAGTCTCCTGAAGACAACAGAAACTTGTTTGGTGAATTCCTATTCATTCTGCCATTCTGTGTCTTTTAAGTGGGGCATTTAGTCCATTTACATTCAATGTTTATATTGAGATGTGAGGTACTATTCTATTCATAATGTTATTTGTTGCCTGAATACCTTGTTTTTTTTTTCTTTCATTGTGTTATTGTTATATAGGTCCTGAGATCTATGCTTTAAGGAGGTTCTATTTTGACGTATTTTGAGGATTTGTTTCAAGATTTAGAGCTCCTTTTAGCAGTTCATGTAGTGCTGGCTTGGTAGTGGTGAATTCTCTCAGCATTTGTTTGTCTGGAAAGGACTGTTATCTTTCCTTCATTTGTGAAGCTTAGTTTTGCTTGAATACAAAATTCTTGGCTGATAATTGTTTTGTTTAAGGAGGCGAAAAATAGGACCACAATCCTTTCTAGCTTTCAGGGTTTCTGCTGAAAAACTGTGCTGCTAATCTGATAGGATCTCCTTTATAGGTTACCTGATGCTTTTGCTCGCATCTCTTAAGATTCTTTCCTTCCTCTTGACTTTAGATAACCTGATGACTATGTGCCTAGGTGATTATCTTTTTGTGATGAATTTCCCAGGTGTTTTTTAAGCTTCTTGTATTTGGACGTCTAGATATCTAGCAAGGCTGGGGAAGCTTTCCTCAAATATATTTTCCAAACTTTTAGATTTCTCTTCTTCCTCAAGAACACCAGTTATTCTTAGGTTTGAACGTTTAACATAGTCCCAAACTTCTTGGAGGCTTTGTTCATTTTTTTTTATCCTTTTTGTCTTTGACAGATTAGGCTAATTCAAAAGCCTTGTCTTTAAGCTCTGAAGTTTTTTCTTCTTGTTTGATTCTACTGTGGTGATTTTCCAGTGCATTTTGCATTTCTCTAAGTGTGTCCTTAATTTCCATAAGTTGTGATTGTTTTTTATTTATGCTATGTATTTCACTAAATAATTTTTCTTTCATATCCTGTATCATGTTTTTTATTTCTTTCAGTTGGACTTCACCTTTCTCTGGTGCCTCCTTGATTAACTTAATAATCAACCTTCTGAATTCTTTTTCTGGCAATGCAGAGATTTTATCTTGGTTTGGATCCATTGCTGATGAGCTGGTATGATCTTTTGGGGGTGTTAAAGAACCTTGTTTTGTCATACTACCAGAATGTTTTTCTGGTTCCTTCTCATTTGGGAAGACTATGTCAAGGTCTGCTGTTCAGATTCTTTTGTCCCATGGGTTGCTCCCTAGATGTGGTGTTCTTCCCCTTCCTCTAGGAATGGGGCTTCTTGAGAGCCAAACTGCAGTGATTGTTTTTCCTCTTCTGGGTCTAGCCACCCAGTGGACCTACTGGGTGGCAGGCTGGTACTGGCAAGTGTCTGCAAAGAGTCCTGTGATGTGATTCACCTTCAGGTCTTTCAGCCATAGATACCAGCACCTGCTCCAGTGGTGGTAGCAGGGGAGCAAAGTGGACTCTATGAGGGTCCTTGATTGTGTTTTTGTTTAGTGTGCTGATTTTGTGTTGGTTCATCTCCAGCAGGAGGTGGTGCTTTCAAGTGCACATCAGCTGTGGTCCTACAGGGAGGATGCAAACTTGCTCTAGGAATACCTGGTTAAGCATTCAGGTTTCTCAGGTGGTGGGCAGGGCCAGAGAGCTTCCAAGAGATTATGACCTTTGTCTTCAGCTACCAGAGCAGGTAGAAAAAGACCACCAGGTTGGGGCAGGGATAGGTGTGTCTGAGCTCAGCCTCTCATTGCCCGGGGCTTGCTGCTGCTGGTGTTGGTGATGGGGGTGTGGTTCTCAGTCCAATGGAGTTATATTCCCAGGGGGATTATGGCTGTCTCTGCTGAGTCTTAAAGGTTGGCCGGGAAGTGGGAGAAAGCCAGTAGTCACAGGGCTCACCTCGCTCCCATGCAGCCCTCAGTCCTGAAGGCCAGTCTCACTCCTTCAATGCCCCCACAACAACACCAAGTCTATTTCCAGACATCTGGTGACCAGGGCTTAGAATTTTCCCCAGACCACGAGCCTCTGCATTGAGAAAGCAAGCCTACTCACAGTTTTTTGGCATCTCAGGGAGCCTGCAGTGGTCATCCAGTTCCTTTTAAGTGTCTGTGGATTCTCTTGGCTTTCCTGGTATGCTCCTGCGGTATAGTTCTTGGAGCAAAAGTTGACAATATGAGTCTCCACATGCTGCTCTGTCCATCCAATAGGGAGCTGTAAGCTAGTCCTGCCTCCTGTCTGCCATCTTCACTAGTAGTTTCTCATTAGTTCTTTTTTTTTTTTTTTTTTTTTGAGACAGAGTCTCACTCTGTTGCCCAAGCTGTAGTGCAGGGACATGATCTTGGCTCACTGCAACCTCCACTTCCCAGGCTCAAGCAATTCTCATGCCTCAACCTTCCCAGTAGCTGGGACTACAGGCACACACCACCAGACTCAGCTAATTTTTCGAATTTTAGTAGGGACGGGGTTTCACCATGTTGCCCAGGGTGGTCTTGAACTCCTGAGCTTAGGCAACCCACCCACCTCAGCCTCCCAAAGTGCTGGGATTACAGGCATGAGCCACCATGCCCAGCTGCCATTAGTTCTTAAAATAAATATTTTGAGTACCTGTTTTGTGTGAACCATACACCCTTCACTATTGCTTCCCCTGTATATGTTCCCCGTTCAGGGAGTGTCTACATGACTAAATGCAGAAAATCATGCAGAGTTCCATTTCCACCAATTCCATTAACAGCCTGCTTAGCTTATTTTTTATTCCCATGAAAATCTTTCTAAATTAAGGTAGAAATCAATGAAAAGGTGAAGTATGTGCAGTGCAAAGGTGCAGCATTTCTAGTGTTACTGTTTGAACAAAAGAAAAGACTGTACATAGGCATATGCTCATATAGATGTGAAATATCTCTGGAAGGACATACACAATGTGGTAATGGTGCCAAGGTAGTTAGGTGATAAGGTACAATCCTAGGTGATAAGGCAAAAACAAAAGTAAAATTCTATTTCCTGAAGCCTCAAGAAGCAACTCTGGAAAAACATGTATGTGCTTTTCATTGTATGTCCTTCTAGGTGTTTTCAATTTTAAAATATGTTCATACACTAGGCATTCAAAAAAGTTATAAAGAAATATTGCACAATGCTGAAATAGCCTCAATACATTTGGAATTAATTTTGAATTCAGAAATTCTGGAGTCAATTCTTCTTTGACATAGACTTTTTTTTTTTTTTGTCTCTTATCAATATCAAAACTTTCCAAGCCCTATCTCCCAGACCACCAGAGAAACTACCAGCTTCTCACTTAAAGTAAATAAGTAAGTAAATGTATCTGTTTCATATTGCCACTGTAACAAATTACCACAAATTTAGTGGCTTAAAACAAGACAAATTTATTATCTTACAACTCTTTAGGTCAGAAGTCTGACACAAGTCCCACTTTTCTAAAATCAACATTTCAGCACGGTTGCATTCCTCTCTGGAAGATCTAGGGAAAAAATTTGTTTTCTCACTTTTTCCATCTTCTAGAAGCTGCCTTAAACCCTAGGCTTATGGCCCTTCAGTTGGTAAGGCCTGCAATGGCTTGTTGAGTCCTTCCTGGATTTCATGATTCTGATGCCAATTCTCCTTCTGACATCTGATTCCACTTCTAAGAACCCTTGTGATCATGTTGGGCCCACCTGGATAATCAAGGATATCTGGAACTCTCCCAATTTCAAAGTCAGTTGATTAGAAATTTTCATTCCGGGGGGAGGAGCCAAGATGGCCGAATAGGAACAGCTCCGGTCTACAGCTCCCAGCGTGAGCGACGCAGAAGACGGGTGATTTCTGCATTTCCATCTGAGGTACCGGGTTTATCTCACTAGGGAGTGCCAGACAGTGGGCGCAGGCCAGTGGGTGCGCGCACCGTGCGCGAGCCGAAGCAGGGCGAGGCATTGCCTCACTTGAGAAGCGTGAGGGGTCAGGGAGTTCCCTTTCTGAGTCAAAGAAAGGGGTGACGGACGCACCTGGAAAATCGGGTCACTCCCACCCAAATATTGCGCTTTTCAGACCGGCTTAAAAAGCGGCGAACCACGAGATTATATCCCACACCTGGCTCGGAGGGTCCTACGCCCATAGAATCTCGCTGACTGCTAGCACAGCAGTCTGAGATCAAACTGCAAGGCGGCAGCGAGGCTGGGGGAGGGGCGCCCGCCATTGCCCAGGCTTGCTTAGGTAAACAAAGCAGCCAGGAAGCTCGAACTGGGTGGAGCCCACCACAGCTCAAGGAGGCCTGCCTGACTCTGTAGGCTCCACCTCTGGGGGCAGGGCACAGACAAACAAAAAGACAGCAGTAACCTTTGCAGACTTAAGTGTCCCTGTCTGACAGCTTTGAAGAGAGCAGTGGTTCTCCCAGCACGCAGCTGGAGATCTGAGAACCGGCAGACTGCCTCCTCAAGTGGGTCCCTGACCCCTGACCCCCGAGCAGCCTAACTGGGAGGCACCCCCCAGCAGGGGCACACTGACACCTCACACGGCAGGGTATTCCAACAGACTTGCAGCTGAGGGTCCTGTCTGTTAGAAGGAAAACTAACAAACAGAAAGGACATCCACACCGAAAACCCATCTGTACATCACCATCATCAAAGACCAAAAGTAGATAAAACCACAAAGATGGGGAAAAAACAGAACAGAAAAACTGGAAACTCTAAAACGCAGAGCGCCTCTCCTCCTCCAAAGGAACACAGTTCCTCACCAGCAACGGAACAAAGCTGGATGGAGAATGACTTTGATGAGCTGAGAGAAGAAGGCTTCAGACGATCAAATTACTCTGAGCTACGGGAGGACATTCAAACCAAAGGCAAAGAAGTTGAAAACTTTGAAAAAAATTTAGAAGAATGTATAACTAGAATAACCAATACAGAGAAGTGCTTAAAGGAGCTGATGGAGCTGAAAACCAAGGCTCGAGAACTACGTGAAGAATGCAGAAGCCTCAGGAGCTGATGCGATCAACTGGAAGAAAGGGTATCAGCAATGTAAGATGAAATGAATGAAATGAAGCGAGAAGGGAAGGTTAGAGAAAAAAGAATAAAAAGAAATGAGCAAAGCCTCTAAGAAATATGGGACTATGTGAAAAGACCAAATCTACGTCTGATTGGTGCACCTGAAAGTGATGGGGAGAATGGAACCAAGTTGGAAAACACTCTGCAGGATATTATCCAGGAGAACTTCCCCAATCTAGCAAGGCAGGCCAACGTTCAGATTCAGGAAATACAGAGAATGCCACAAAGATACTCCTCAAGAAGAGCAACTCCAAGACACATAATTGTCAGATTCACCAAAGTTGAAATGAAGGAAAAAATGTTAAGGGCAGCCAGAGAGAAAGGTCGGGTTACCCTCAAAGGGAAGCCCATCAGACTAACAGTGGATCTCTCGGCAGAAACCCTACAAGCCAGAAGAGAGTGGGAGCCAATATTCAACATTCTTAAAGAAAAGAATTTTCAACCCACAATTTCATATCCAGCCAAACTAAGCTTCATAAGTGAAGGAGAAATAAAATACTTCACAGACAAGCAAATGCTGAGAGATTTTGTCACCACTAGGCCTGCCCTAAAAGAGCTCCTGAAGGAAGCGCTAAACATGGAAAGGAACAACCGGTACCAGCCGCTGCAAAATCATGCCAAAATGTAAAGCCCATCAAGACTAGGAAGAAACTGCATCAACTAACGAGCAAAATCACCAGCTAACATCATAATGACAGGATCAAATTCACACATAACAATATTAACTTTAAATGTAAATGGACTAAATTCTCCAATTAAAAGACACAGACTGGCAAATTGGATAAAGAGTCAAGACCCATCAGTGTGCTGTATTCAGGAAACCCATCTCACGTGCAGAGACACACATAGGCTCAAAATAAAAGGATGGAGGAAGATCTACCAAGCAAATGGAAAACAAAAAAAGGCAGGGGTTGCAATCCTAGTCTCTGATAAAACAGACTTTAAACCAACAAAGATCAAAAGAGACAAAGAAGGCCATTACATAATGGTAAAGGGATCAATTCAACAAGAAGAGCTAACTATCCTAAATATATATGCACCCAATACAGGAGCACCCAGATTCACAAAGCAAGTCCTTACAGACCTACAAAGAGACTTAGACTCCCACACATTAATAATGGGAGATTTTAACACCCCACTGTCAACATTAGACAGATCAACGAGACAGAAAGTCAACAAGGATACCCAGGAATTGAACTCAGCTCTGCACCAAGTGGACCTAATAGACATCTACAGAACTCTCCACCCCAAATCAACAGAATATACATTTTTTTCAGCACCACACCACACCTATTCCAAAATTGACCACATAGTTGGAAGTAAAGCTGTCCTCAGCAAATGTAAAAGAACAGAAATTATAACAAACTATCTCTCAGACCACAGTGCAATCAAACTAGAACTCAGGATTAAGAATCTCACTCAAAGCCGCTCAACTACATGGAAACTGAGCAACCTGCTCCTGAATGACTACTGGGTACATAACGAAATGAAGGCAGAAATAAAGATGTTCTTTGAAACCAACGAGAACAAAGACACAACATACCAGAATCTCTGAGACGCATTCAAAGCAGTGTGTAGAGGGAAATTTATAGCACTAACTGCCCACAAGAGAATGCAGGAAAGATCCAAAATTGACACCCTAACATCACAATTAAAAGAACTAGAAAAGCAAGAGCAAACACATTCAAAAGCTAGCAGAAGGCAAGAAATAACTAAAATCAGAGCAGAACTGAAGGAAATAGAGACACGAAAAACCCTTCAAAAAATCAATGAATCCAGGAGCTGGTTTTTTGAAAGGATCAACAAAATTGATAGACCGCTAGCAAGACTAATAAAGAAAAAAAGAGAGAAGAATCAAATAGACACAATAAAAAATGATAAAGGGGATATCACCACCGATCCCACAGAAATACAAACTACCATCAGAGAATACTACAAACACCTCCACGCAAATAAACTAGAAAATCTAGAAGAAATGGATAAATTCCTCAACACATACACTCTCCCAAGACTAAACCAGGAAGAAGTTGAATCTCTGAATAGACCAACAACAGGAGCTGAAATTGTGGCAATAATCGATAGTTTACCAACCAAAAAGAGTCCAGGACCAGATAGATTCACAGCTGAATTCTACCAGAGGTACAAGGAGGAACTGGTACCATTCCTTCTGAAACTATTCCAATCAATAGAAAAAGAGGGAATCCTCCCTAACTCATTTTATGAGGCCAGCATCATTCTGATACCAAAGCTGGGCAGAGACACAACCAAAAAAGAGAATTTTAGACCAATATCCTTGATGAACATTGATGCAAAAATCCTCAATAAAATACTGGCAAAACGAATCCAGAAGCACATCAAAAAGCTTATCCACCATGATCAAGTGGGCTTCATCCCTGGGATGCAAGGCTGGTTCAATATACGCAAATCAATAAATGTAATCCAGCATATAAACAGAGCCAAAGACAAAAACCACATGATTATCTCAATAGATGCAGAAAAAGCCTTTGACAAAATTCAACAACCCTTCATGCTAAAAACTCTCAATAAATTAGGTATTGATGGGACGTATTTCAAAATAATAAGAGCTATCTATGACAAACCCACAGCCAATATCATACTGAATGGGCAAAAACTGGAAGCATTCCCTTTGAAAAGTGGCACAAGACAGGGATGCCCTCTCTCACCACTCCTATTCAACATAGTGTTGGAGGTTCTGGCCAGGGCAATTAGGCAGGAGAAGGAAATAAAGGGTATTCAATTAGGAAAAGAGGAAGTCAAATTGTCCCTGTTTGCAGACGACATGATTGTATATCTAGAAAACCCCATTGTCTCAGCCCAAAATCTCCTTAAGCTGATAAGCAACTTCAGCAAAGTCTCAGGATACAAAATCAATGTACAAAAATCACAAGCATTCTTATACACCAACAACAGACAAACAGAGAGCCAAATCGTGAGTGAACTCCCATTCACAATTGCTTCAAAGAGAATAAAATACCTAGGAATCCAACTTACAAGGGATGTGAAGGACCTCTTCAAGGAGAACTACAAACCACTGCTCAATGAAATAAAAGAGGATACAAACAAATGGAAGAACATTCCATGCTCATGGGTAGGAAGAATCAATATCGTGAAAATGGCCATACTGCCCAAGGTAATTTACAGATTCAATGCCATCCCCATAAAGCTACCAATGCCTTTCTTCACAGAATTGGAAAAAACTACTTTAAAGTTCATATGGAACCAAAAAAGAGCCCGCATTGCCAAGTCAATCCTAAGCCAAAAGAACAAAGCTGGAGACATCACACTACCTGACTTCAAACTATACTACAAGGCTACAGTAACCAAAACAGCATGGTCCTGGTACCAAAACAGAGATATAGATCAATGGAACAGAACAGAGCCCTCAGAAATAACACCGCATATCTACAACTATCTGATCTTTGACAAACCTGAGAAAAACAAGCAATGGGGAAAGGATTCCCTATGTAATAAATGGTGCTGGGAAAACTGGCTAGCCATATGTAGAAATCTGAAACTGGATCCCTTCCTTACACCTTATACAAAAATCAATTCAAGATGGATTAAAGATTTAAATGTTAGACCTAAAACCATAAAAACCCTAGAAGAAAACCTAGGCATTACCATTCAGGACATAGGCATGGGCAAGGACTTCATGTCCAAAACACCAAAAGCAATGGCAACAAAAGCCAAAATTGACAAATGGGATCTAATTAAACTAAAGAGCTTCTGCATAGCAAAAGAAACTACCATCAGAGTGAACAGGCAACCTACAAAATGGGAGAAAATTTTCGCAACCTACTCATCTGACAAAGGGCTAATATCCAGAATCTACAATGAACTCAAACAAATTTACAAGAAAAAAACAAACAACCCCATCAAAAAGTGGGCGAAGGACATGAACAGACACTTCTCAAAAGAAGACATTTATGCAGCCAAAAAACACATGAAAAAATGCTCATCATCACTAGCCATCAGAGAAATGCAAATCAAAACCACAATGAGATACCATCTCACACCAGTTAGAATGGCAATCATTAAAAAGTCAGGAAACAACAGGTGCTGGAGAGGATGTGGAGAAATAGGAACACTTTTACACTGTTGGTGGGACTGTAAACTAGTTCAACCATTGTGGAAGTCAGTGTGGCAATTCCTCAGGGATCTAGAACTAGAAATACCATTTGACCCAGCCATCCCATTACTGGGTATATACCCAAAGGACTCTAAATCATGCTGCTATAAAGACACAGGCACACGTATGTTTATTGCGGCATTATTCACAATAGCAAAGACTTGGAACCAACCCAAATGTCCAACAATTATAGACTGGATTAAGAAAATGTGGCACATATACACCATGGAATACTATGCAGCCATAAAAAATGATGAGTTCGTGTCCTTTGTAGGGACATGGATGAAATTGGAAATCATCATTCTCAGTAAACTATCGCAAGAACAAAAAACCAAACACCGCATATTCTCACTCATAGGTGGGAATTGAACAATGAGATCACATGGACACAGGAAGGGGAATATCACACTCTGGGGACTGTGGTGGGGTGGGGGGAGGGGGGAGGGATAGCATTGGGAGATATACCTAATGCTAGATGACGAGTTAGTGGGTGCAGCGCACCAGCATGGCACATGTATACATATGTAACTAACCTGCACAATGTGCACATGTACCCTAAAACTTAAAGTATAATTAAAAAAAAAAGAAAAAAAAAAAGAAATTTTCATTCCATCTGCAACCTAATTTCCATTTGCCATGTGACATCTAGCCCCAGGCTCTAGGGATTAGGACATGAACATTTGGAGGTGGGAGTGGCTGAGGCATTATTCTGTCTACTTCAGTAAAAGAACTATTAGATGGATAGATCACACATACATACATACATACATACATACATTGAGTTTCTGTAGAGCTGCAGCCTCTCTCATGAAATCATTTTTTATTTTATAAAGCATAATATTCCTAATCCTCATATGAAATTGATGCTTTTGGATTACTATGGCATTGTCAGGTGCTATTCCAAGACATATGAAGACATACTTTAGACAGTCTATTAATATATATTCTATAGCCTGACTCACAGGTTCCAAATGCCAGCTCCACCACTTACACTGTGTGACTTACGCCTTAGTTTCCTCATTCGCAAAATGAAGACAGCATTAGTATCTGTGTCACAGGGTTGTTGTGAGGCTTAAATGAGTTACTAAGCACTTAGAACAGCACCAAGACATAACGAGTACTCGATACATGCTGCTTAGTTTGACTTCATTCATATCTGCCTGAGCAAGAGCTCACAGAAGAATCTCTCCCAGGGCAGGAATGATCAGCCCCAAACTAAAATCCAGTTTTTGTTCTCAGATACACAAGCAGAAAATAGTAACAGATCATTTTTTTAATCCACCTTGGTATATCTGGGTTTTTTTCTTTCCATTTTACCAGACTGAAATTACATATCAGGATGTCTGGTTCAATACTGGGAACCTGGAAACCCTACTGGCTTTCTGCTATGAATTACATGGATTGGGCAAGATAACCTTTGCCCTCAAGAAAGTTGCCACATAATGAGCAGATAGGACGAACAAAGATGGAACATAAGTAAACAAATTTAGCAAAAAGATTTATTTCCAGAGCCTCAGATAGCTTTGATCTAAAATGCAAAGGGAGCAACTCCCCATTTTGGCCTGTTTGCCCCCAGGGGACTGAATCTTGAAGTTGTATGGAACGATTCTCATTGCTAACATCAAAAAAGCTGGACACAAAAGCTTCATTCAAGGCACCTCCTCTACAACTGTAATCATACAGTTGAAGTAAACTATACTTCATTAATCTTTGGGTAAATCTTTCCTCTAGCATCCAGGATTGTTTCTAAGAAAAGGCTAAAAATATGACGAATTTCTCTCTCTAGATTCATTATGCTAAAGGATTATCCAATGCACAAAGCTCAAAGACTATCTCACAGGAGCACACATAGTTCCACAACTAAGCATTACTTAAAACATGAAAATTCCATAAAAAATCCTTCTGATTTTTACTATTTTAAATTGGTAAAGGGCTACTTCTTTCCCATGAAATTACTGCCAAACTGAAATTAGTAAATCTATCTCTATTTACTCTGCTTTCAAGTATTTTGGCAGCCATTCTGACATACAATTCAAAGCACTTAGAAAACTGACAATACCTGAATGTCAACACCGTGGAAGAGGAGTGCAAACTTGATGTTCTGTACTTTATTGTGATTATCAAGTAAAATTAAATTTTATGTTATCAAATACAGCAATTTCTCTTAATGTAGTAAGCTGTATAATTAATGAACTCAGAAACAATTAAATATTGCCATTCAAATATATTTTTTTTTTTTTGAGATGGAATCTCACTCTGTCACCCAGGCTGGAGTGCGGTGGCACTATCTCTGCTCACTACAAGCTCCACCTCCCAGGCTTACGCCATTCTCCTGCCTCAGCCTCCCGAGTAGCTGGGACTACAGGTGCCCGCCACCACACCCGGCTAATGTTTTGTATTTTTAGTAGAGATGGGGTTTCACCGTGTTAGCCAGGATGGTCTCGATCTCCTGACCTTGTGATCCACCCACCTCAGCCTCCCAAAGTGCTGGGGTTACAGGCGTGAGCCACCGTGCCCAGCCTCAAGTATACTCTTACAACACAATTAAATTCAATCTTCAGTAATCCCAAAATTTCATTACCCCTGTGAAAATGTCCTGGATTAGCAGTCTCCTACTTTAAGTGTTTTATGAAAGAATACAGTTTATTTTAGTATAAATAATATAGCCAGACTCTATGAAACAAAAGGTTGAATAATATTTACCTATAGCTCCCATTTAGAAGTACCAAAGTTATGAAGCACATTCATTGGCTACTGTCATATTTATTAGGATTTATGTTTTATCAGATTATAAGCACTCTTTAGTGAAAAATGTTTTTTTCCTCTTTGCTCAGAAAATTGTCCAACACTCCTGGTCCAGTCAAGAGTGAAGCAAAAAACTCCTCAATTTGAATGGCTTTCGTTTGGGTCAATTTATTTGGTTACAGAGAAGTTTTGATAAAATACAAAAAAAAAAAAACCTAAATATTTTTATTGTTTAAAAATATTAATCACTACCCACTAAGTGCCAGGCACTGTTCTAGGTACTAGAGATACATAGCTAAAGGCCACAGCCAAAAAAATGAGTCATTGGGATTACAAATATGGAGCAATGGCTAAAAGTTAGTGCTTGAGAGTAGCTGAAATGGCTGTTGGAGAAGAGAGGAAAAGAAGTGCCATATTCCAGCAGTAGGGTTCAACCAACTAACTTTTTTTCTTTTTTTTTTTTTTATCCAACATTTATTTTAAGTTCAGGTTTGTTAACATAGGTAAACATAGGCCATGGTAGTTTGCTGCACAGATCAATCCACCACCTAGGTATTAAGCCCAGCATCCCTTAGCTATTCTTCCTGATGGTCTCCCCCCACCCCGCTCCCACCCCTGACGGGCCCCAGTGTGTGTTGCTCCCCTACATGTGCCTATGTGCTCTCATTGTTCAGCTCCTACTTATAAGGGAGAACATGACATGTTTGGTTTTCTGCTTCTGCGTTAGTTTGCTGAGGATAACAGCTCCCAGCTCTATCCATTTCCTGGCAAAGGACATAATATCATTCCTTTTTATGGCTGCATTGTATTCCATGGTGTATATGTACCACATTTTCTTTACCCAGTCTGCTATTCATGGGCATTTGGGTTGATTCCATGTCTTTGCTATTGTGAATAGTGCTGCAGTGAACATATATGTGCATGTTTCTTTATAACAGAATGATTTATGTTCCTTTGGGTATATACCAAGTAATGGAATTGCTGGGTCAAATGGTTTTCTGCCTTTAGATCTTTGAGGAATTGCCACACTGTCTTCCACAATGCTTGAACAAATTTACACTCCCACCAGCAGTGTAAAAGAGTTACTCTTTCTCTGCAACCTCACCAGCATCTGCTGTTTCTGGACTTTTTTTTTTTTCTGACTGGCATGAGATGATACCTCATTGTGGTTTTGATTTGCTTTTCTCTAATAATCAGTGATGTTGAGGTTTTTTCATGTGTTTGTTGGCCACATGAATGTCTCCTTTTGAGAACTGTCTGTTCATATCATTTGCCCACTTTTTAATGGGGTTGCTTGTTTTTTTCTTGTAAATTTGTTTAAGTTCCTTATAGACTCTGGATATTAGACCTTTGTCAATGGGATAGATTGCAAAAATTTTTTCCCATTCTGTAAGTTGTCTAGTCATTCTGATGATAGTTTCTTTTGCTCTACAGAACTTTAGTTTAATTAGATCCCATTTATCAATTTTGCTTTTATTGCAATTGCTTTTGGTGTTTTTCATCATGAAATATTTACCCGTGCTTATGTCCTGAATGGTACTTCCTAGATTTTCTTCTAGGGTTTTTATAGTCTTGGGTCTTACATTTAAGTTTTTAATCCATCTTGAGTTAATTTTTGTATAAGGAAGTGATCCAGTTTCAATTTTCTGCATCTGAGCCAACTAACTTTTAAAAGACAGAGTGATGGCTTGAAGATGTGATAAAAATTATTAAAACTCAATAAAAATTTTGAAAGTAAAACAAAGATCCAAATCACATAAGAGAGGCCCAAGAATAAAACTAAGGGAGAGAAAGTATTGACAAACCCAAACACACGCACACTCACCCACCCCCCCACCCACACACACGAAATGATTGTGCACTGTGATGGTTACTGTTGAACATCAATTTGATTGAATTGAAAGGATGCAAAGTATTGTTCCTGGGTGTGCCTGTGAAAGTGTGGCCAAAGGAGATTAACTTTTGTGTCAGTGGACTGGGAGAGGCAGACCCACCCTCAATCTGGGTGGGTACCATCTAATCAGCTGCCAGTTCTGCTAGAATAAAGGAGGCAGAAGAAGTTGGAAAGAGCAGACTTGCTGAGTCTTCCGGCCCTCATCTTTCTCCCATGCTGAATGCTTCCTGTCCTTGGATATCAGCCTCCAGGTTCTTCAGCTTTTGGACTCTTGGACTTACACCAGTGATTTGACAGGGGCTCTCAGACCTTGGGCCACAGACTGAAAGCTGCACTGTCAGCTTCCCTTCTTTTGAGGTTCTGGGACTCGGACTGGTTTCCCCACTCCTCACCTTGCAGACGGCCTATTGTGGGACTTTACCTTAGGTGAGTCAATTCTCCTAATAAACTCCCTTTCATGTATACATATATCCTATTGTTCTGTCCCTTTAGAGAACCCTGACTAATACGGGCACAAAGAAACACAGACAAGAAACTTCTAGTAATGAATGGGGAACTTCTGAGAAGTAAATCTGATGACACTGAGTGTGTCAGTCTTATCTGACTATGTTTATAGAAAGGAAAAGAATCACAAACTTGGGATTGTTTCCTCTCATATTCCAATCAATAGTAACTTCCTTTTCACAATGAGACTTTAAACAATTAGGGAAACATTTCAGTTTCCAGCTAATGGATTTAAGAGTGATTGCTATTTCAGGAAAAGCACTTCATCCAATTGTAGGCATGCCAAAGGTGGAAGAAAGGGGAACTGAAGAAGCGTAAACTGTACTAAAGGCCTCCACAGCTGGCTTTGAATCCACTGAGAAACTAATATTCTTTCCCTAATAATCTCTTAAAGACTTTAGGTTGCTTTCATTCAGGATGAAAATGTGCTGGCCTAAGAACAACTGTTGACTCAACACTTGAGCATCAAGGAGCTAGACGTTCTATTTACTGTGCCAATGCCAGGCATTCCTGCGTAATGTGCAAGCAGTGCTTGAGAAAATATACATAGAGTGGGGGTTCAAATACCGAGATACCAGTGTTCTAGTTAATAGCATGTTCAAACCTACCACATTTTTTCCTCCTGGTAATTATTCCAGCGCCTCTGGATATTCTCTTGCTGTTCACCAGAGAGCAAAGTAGGGCAGAGAAAGGACAAACACCCTAGGTCATCAACACTTTGGCCACAGATATCTTGAACACTGTAGGTAATCTGTTATTTTAGAGCCTACTTTTCCAGAATTCACCCTCATATGTGACCTGCACCAGTGCTATGTTGTTTTAAATGTATTGAAATATGTTCTTGCTTTATGGAGGCATCAACAACATCAACTCACTTGCAAATACCAATGTGTCAAAATTTGATACAGATACTGATATTAATATGATATAGAAGGATGATAATTAAGCTTGGATAATTTTATAAAGATAATTGGCATCAAACTAATAAGGCACATTTATGCATTATATATTTGCTAAATTAATGTCTTATTTAGTTATTTATAATATTTAAGTGTCTTCTCTGTTGATTTCGTGTTATTAGCTTATGTCATTTTCTGTGTGACTAAATTGTCCTATTAATTATAGTGTAAGAGCTCTGTAGTGTGAAATTTAAAAAGCAAATTATAATATATAATTCTTGTTATGATATTGTATCAATTAGGAATAGTTTTTTGCAAGTAACAGAAAACTTGACTGATAGGCTTAAGTCACATGGACATTACCTAACAAAGAGACCAGAGAAAAGCCAGCCCCGGATTGAGTCAACGGTTCAATTATGTCATCAAAACACAAGGTCCTTCAAATTTTCTACTCAATCAGCTTTGGTATGTATTCAGTGTTTTCCCTCAAGGTTAAAGATAGCTAACAATGGCCAGGTGTGGTGGCTCACACCTGTAATTCCAGCACTTTGGGAGGCCAAGGTGGGCCGATCACCTGAGGTCAGGAGTTCGAGACCAGCCTGGCCAACATGGTGAAACCCTGTCTCTACAAAAAAATACAAAAAAAATTAGCCAGGCATGGTGGCACATGCCTGTAATTTCAGCTACTTGGGAGGCTGAGACAGGAGAATCACTCGAATCCAGGAGGCGGAGGTTGCAGTGAGCCAAGATCACGCCGCTGCACTCCAGCCTGGGCCACAAGAGTGAGACTCTATCTCAAAAAACAAAAAAGATGGCTAACAACAATGCTCCAAAGAACCTGTCTTCACACAACAGTAGGACTTCCCCAGCATATTCCTCACATTTTCTTTTCCAGAACAGGATCACATAGCCATCCCAGGTAAGTCACTGTCAAGGAGCAACAAGATTGTCGTAATTGCTTTACACCAAAAGTGACTTATATCCAGGGGCTGAGTGCATTGGAATGGAACATAAGCAACCAACAGAGTCTACCACAGGTACGTGTGGCCC
Organism: Homo sapiens; assembly: GCF_000001405.40. Classification (NCBI taxonomy): domain Eukaryota; kingdom Metazoa; phylum Chordata; class Mammalia; order Primates; family Hominidae; genus Homo; species Homo sapiens. Next base: position 40,553,843 of record NC_000005.10, read on the forward strand.
CTTCCAAATCCAAGCATGTAATAGCGATCCTAGTATACAACTAAATGGTGGTAACTAAATACCTCTCCCCATTTTGTATTCCTCTCTTAGTCTCTTCCTGTCTTTCTCTGTTTCTGTAACACACACATACACACAAACACACACACACACACCCCAGGACTAATGAGCCATGAGGCCAGAAAGCCAGATAATGCCAAAAGACGTGAGTTCCAAAGCAATCCTAAGACTATTGCCTCCCTGCAGTTAAAGTGCCTTGTCCACAAATGTATGTGCGGCTATAAGCTTTCATTTTCATACTTTCAGTCTTGCAAACTACAATTGAAGCTGATGAAAAAATATGATTACAGGCTTTGGCACTTGAGTGCCCCCATGGATTTATCTGCATACTAACAGGTCCTTTCCTGCATAGAGAGGCACCACCTTTAATGTCAATAGAAAGAAACAAATGCCACTATTCATTGTCCTCAGCTAGGATTTGACAAAGATGAGTGGGAAAGCAAGAGGACAAAGACAGGAAAACAACTTTATTCTCTGTTGAGAAATGCAAAACTGTGAAGGAGCAGGTCTAAAGGTTCCACAGAGAACCCCAAATATCATTTTCTTCTATTAATTGCCTATCAGCCCTATCCAGCTCTCACTTTTACCAAACGCTGGCTAAACAGTTTCTGCAATCTACTTCACATCCCACAAAGATTGTGTTGGGAAAAGTATAAGACCTCTGGAATAAAAAGGTCAGAACGCTGCTCCAATCCCAAGATCAAAGAGCTCAGGGACAATACATACACCCCCTCACCTCTGTCAAATCATCTTTTGGACACAGTGTCTCTTTCAAAATAGGGGGCAAGAGGTCATACTTCTGTGTTAAGCATTGGTCCCTATTAAGTACACATATATTGCAAATTCATTCAAAACTGCTTTAGAGCATACATATGGCAATCTGGCAGATCAAGGAAGCTTTCCAGACTTGTAGTCCATATGTAATAAGAGGACATAAAACAAAATGTAAAACTGAAGTTCAAATAAACTTTGTAGTGGAAGTAGTACTTTCTGTTCACAGCTACCATTCTCATCATCAGTTATATCATCAAAAGTCCCTGACTGCATGACACCAAGCTGGATGCTTCATGTGACTCAGGACTGATATCAGCAATGCCAGGTGGTAGAAATAACAGGTAGTTCACCGAGCTGACCAGAGGCACACCTTTAGGAAAATTGCTTGAACTTTATAAGCCTCAGTTTTCTTATCTATAAAATTATAGGGAAAAGTCCATGCTACAAGGTTGGAATAAGACCAAGTCAAATAAAATGAAGATACCCATTTATTATCATATGTATAAATCAGGTTAAGCACTTCTTAGAAACATCTTAAATATTTGAGTCATTCAGTATAATAACTATTAACTATATGGGTGCTGAAAAGCCAAGAGGAGAGCCTTCATATGACACATTTTTGTGCCAATATATGTTTTTGCTAGTGTAGTACTTTTTATCCAGATTGTCTTTATACCCCCATTAGATTTGTTCATTATAAATTTGGGGCCAGGCACAGTGGCTCACACCTGCAATCCCAGCACTTTGGGAGTTCAAGGCGGGTGGATCACGAGGTCAGGGATCCAAGACCAGCCTGGCCAAGATGGTGAAACCTGTCTCTACTAAAAATACAAAAATTAGCCAGGCATGGTGGTGCGCGCCTGTAATCCCAGCTACTCAGGAGGCTGAGGCAGAGAATTGCTTGAACCCGGGAGGCAGAGGTTGCAGTGAGCCGAGATAGCACCACTGTACTCTAGCCTGGGAGACAGAGCAAGACTGCAAATCAAAAAAAAAAAAAAAAATTGGGACATTTTACATATTTATTTGGAAAAACTGAAGAATGAAAATGACATAAAATCCCATTGACAGTCTGTCAGCCAAGTGTAATTAGAAATTTTTCATACTAAGCTGCATATTCAAAATAAATCTCTAAAATTTAGTCAAATGCTTGGTTGAAACAGGAATTTAAATACTAAACTATTTGCCCTTTCATTTTCTTATCCTTTTCATGCTACATGAACTGGGGAGATAATCCATTGTGAAAAACTGAATAAATACCTCTTCCCCCTTTCTATGTCTCTCTTTCTACCTTTCTGTCTTTATGTCAGTTTCTGTCTTTGTAACAAACAAACCTATCTGGACTAATGAGCCATGAGGCCAGAAAACCAGGTCATGCTAAAAGATGTGAGTAACAAAGCAATCCTGAAACTCTTGTCTCTTTGCACTTAAAGTCCCTTGTACACACGTATGTGTAGGCTATGTGCTCTCATTTTCATACTGCTTTCCTCCTTAAGTTCTACACTGGGTGTTTATGTGTATCTATAAGAGACAGGCAGGTGGGGAGGGAAGATAATTTCCAACATAATAATGCTAGTTCCATATAGCCATAGGTTACACCTCTCAGTGCCACCATTACTAAACACTACATCTGGTTTACTTCCCTAGTTTGTGATTTACTTACCTTCTTCCTTCTACCCTTCTTTTCTCCAAACTGACAGATTTTCACTAAGAAGTTTTCCATTACCTGCAAATGTGAAGCTGATTCTTAGCAGTTATTTTCAGAATCAAATTTTTAGTTTCTTCCATTTTTAATGATAAATAGTACAGTTTCTGATTTTTTTCAGTTATCTGATTTTTTTCATGATAAAGGCATGAGTTCTCTAATAAAGTATCCTATACCCACTGTGTGTATAGTATCCTATAGTATGCACATATAGGATACTATAGTATAGTATCCTATATATGCACATATAGGATACTATAGTATAGTATCCTATAGTATGCACATATAGGATACTATAGTATAGTATCCTATACACACAGTGGGTATAGGATACCTCATCCATTGCTAACTCCAAATCAGCTTTTTTCCTCAGTTGTGTATTCTATAGGTATGAACCCTAAGGAAAAAGGAATAGATGGGTGCCCAAATCCATAATGCATAGAAGAAAAATAATTTGAGAGAAAGCTATTACATACATTTTCTTAGATTTTAGAACTTTATCTTTAGAATGGGCATCATAGTTCATCTATTTCATAAAACACTTTCCCCTTTCCTTCCCTTCTGTCACACTCATGCAAATCTCTCTGTAACATGTTAGCACAAATGGGGAAACCAAAAGACAGGTTTGCAGAGTGTTTATGAAAACATAAATCATCCACAGAAACCACTGATCTTTTCCATGTTATATCCTGAATCATGGATGGCTCTGTAGTCCTAAATAGTCACACCCTACAAATTCATATTTTTCCAATGAGATGAAATATGAAGATGAGGAAATAGAATTTTCTTTCCTTTTGGAGAAAATAAAGAAGTGCAGGAGTTTGTCAACAGACTGTCTTCAGATAAATCTACTTAAAGACGGCGGGATTGTTTCAGAGTCCTTGAAAGGAAAAAACAAGAGAACCTTCATTTAATACCAGTTTTCCCAAGCCCCTGCCTTTGGTTCTGAGACTTTTCAACTCATTCCACAAACCTGCATCAATCACTTATTCTGTGCCAGGCCTTCATTTAAGCATTGGCAAGAATAAGACATAGTCATGTCTCTGGAGTTTCAGTTTGAAAGGAGACCCCGACACATGGAGTAACAATTAAAATACCATATGTCAAGAACCATAGCAGGGATATCTGCAAAGTGCTTGGAACTCATCAAAGGGGCAAAACTGACACTCCTCTAGAAAAAGTCAAGGAAGTCTTCCCAGAGGAAGTGGCACATAATGGAGAATAAAGAACTCCTTGAAATCTGTGCAGGCAAGTCCTATTTCTCCCTCCTCATTTTCTCACAATAATACAGAAGAGAGCAGCCCAACAGCATGTTGCTTTCGGATGAATCATGAGAATGCTAGGCAACTGCCACCTCTAATAGCATCTCTAAGGAAAGCAATTAACTGGCAATTTTCCTTTATTATTACACTCATGCACATAATTAAATATCCTTAACACACTTATTTCATAGCATTTTATAAAGAATGATAACTCTATGTTACCTTATACTAATAATAATATAATCAGCCACAAGTTTCACATGCTTCAATGTATTCTTTCTACAAATTATTATAAAATACAAGTTTAATGGGAGTTTAAGGATTTGCACCAAGCCTTTTCCTCTAAGACACCACTGCTTTTCTTTATTTCACAGTGGGAAAAATATCTTAAAAGTCTTGCCTTAGATTCCTCTGAATTTTAAGGAAAGTGTAAATGTTTATACAGATATATTAAAAAATCCCTCTGATTTCTCAAAAGTCATTCTAAAAGATTTTGTCAGTTTTCGCATTTTACTTTAAGATATATGATTATTGTCATTGTGCTATCTTTATCATACTATATAAATATGCACACACATATATATGCTTACATATGTATACTTTTTATGTATTATGTTATTTTATATATAATACATTTGTTTTGTATATATAAGTACATATACATATGTAGATATATGTATATGCATAATTTGTGTACCTATAAAAACATACAATAAGGACCTCTTTAACCTTGCCTTAAATCTCATCTCTATGTCTTATTAATTTTTCTCAAATTGCTTTCACGTAGTCTGTAGGTACCAAGATAAAAACATTCAATTCCAAATATGGTTTCCCCGGTTATGTATTACCAACAACATCCTGACTATCTATTACAAGACCTTATATGTGCAATTTAAAATTCACTTTTCTAGAAGTAAGTGTCCATTTATTTCACTTTGACTTATTGCAGTTTCAGACTCTGTTTGAATCTATATGTCGTAGTGGCAGACCCAGCCTGATAATGAAACAATCTGACTGAAGGTGATCATTATTCCCCTAGTTTGGCCCTTTGTATCTGAACATCATATATAAAAGTTTCCTTTGAAAGTTACAACCTACCACTTTTTAATTTGAACAAAAAACAATCCTGGTATGCTCAATGTTTCAAGAGATGACTTAATATTTCAAATAATAATATCTCTTTTATATGTAGCATTCTTATTTTTGATACATTTTGATAACTAGTGTCCTATGTATGCTTACAAAAGTTTACACAATAAGTGATGAAGGAATTTAGAATAGTAACTCTTTAAAAGCATAAAGTCAGAGGATAAGCTTTAAAAACTGTTATAATACCTTCATAGTCTGTTATAATGCCTTTTGAAGTCTGTGTTATAAAATCTTTCTAATAACAATGATGTGGTTACATTTGAAGGGAAGCAAAACTAAGGATTTGCCCTAGGTGACAAAGCAAGCCCTTTGTGGGACGAAGAAGTCTCTGTCTGGTTCCTAACTCATCAAAACACACTGCTGCCTTTCTTTTCAAATATGTACCTTGCACACAAAATTATTACTTCAGGTGCTGAACCAAAGTATATGAGTGTACCTTCTTCTAATTCTCAAATACTATAAGCCAATTTACTTCACATTTCTCTTAAGCTGGTTTTTAGCACAAGCAAGCTAGCAAAGGTTGTGCTAAGAACTTTCTGTTGGGATTTTTGTGTGTATGTGTGCAGAATTATCTTTAAGTTCAGTGCAGAACCATGTTTCCAAGTAAGTAATTTATCTGTGCAGTGGTTTAACAAAAATTAAATTGTATCATTCTTTAAATACCTCATTACTCAATGTTGCTAATGCTCCTGTGTCATTAACCATAAGCCACCTGGGATTTTCCAGCTCTGCTGTGTATCACTGGTTGCCACACTAGGATACAGATGCATGAGCATAATTAAAACCTATTTATTAGTGTCATGCAGGAGTGTAGCATGTACACTTTTCAGGACATTCTGTCTTGAAACAAGAGTTTGGTTTTTCCAAAAGTCTAGTTCATATGCTTCCATGATTCTGAGCAGTAGCAGCCCAGCATAAACATGAAGAGATAATAAGATGATTTCTCAAAGTGCTTTCTCTACCTGTTCCTGCCTATGAACACGCAATTGCTTTTCAGAGAAAGAAATGACAAAAGGAAGATTACCAAACATGAATGATCTACCACCAATTCCAAGTCAAAAGACACATAGAAGCTTTGGTTTCACTAAAAAGAATTTTTACATAAAAAAGTGTGTTAAGGCCAGGCACAGTGGTTCGTGCCTGTAATCCTGGCACTTTGGGAGGCTGAGGTGTGTGTATCACTTGAGGTTGTGAGTTCAAGACCAGCCTGGTCAACATGGCGAGACCCCATCTCTACAAAAAGTACAAAAATTAGCCAGGCTTAGTGGCAAGCACCTGTAGTCCACCTACTCAGGAGGTTGAGGCAAGAGGATGGCTTGAGCCTGGGAGGTCAAGGCTGCAGTGAACCAAGAACATGCCATCGCACTCCAGCCTGGGTGACAGAGAATGAGACACTGTCTCACACACACACACACAAAAGATGGTTATTAATATTGTAACTCTTCTTTCCTCTTCACCATCCCACCAGTCATTTCACAACGTCTTTATGATGCCCCTAAATTTTTTTGCACTTGCTGCCTTTATTCTATTCAAGTTCTCATTGCCAAGAAAAAACAATAAAATAAAAAGTTCTCAAGATTTACTTTGTAAAACACTGGGGTTCCAAGAGTTGGTCTGAGATTTCTTCTTAAATGAAATCTCGGTGGGGTTTTTTAAGATTTTCAGGAGGTGAGGCAATTAATGAACTGGGTTTTCTCAATTGGTTGGGTTTGCTTCCTACATTTTTCTTAAAAGTTTGGGAGATCTGCAGCTTGTCCACACTAGAATGTGGTATGAGATGATATTTATAGAACAAAATTATTATCTTTGTTGTTTTAAATTGAATATAACAATGCTTCATGATGTTCTGCAAAGATGATTATGACTTTCAGGAGTTCTGCCACATCAGCAAGTTTGGGTTTTTAAAACTGTTTCCAATTTCTTGCAGAATCATCTTCCTAAAGTACATCTCTGATCCACTCCTCCATAAAAAATTTTCATAGGCTCTGATATGGTTTTGTTGTGTACCTCCCCAAATCTCACCTTGAATTGTAATAATCCCCATGTGTCAAAGGAGGGACCGAGTGGGAGGTAATTCAATCATGGGGGCGGGTTTTTCCCATGCTATTCTCATAATAGTGAATAAGTCTCATGAGATCTGATGGTGTTATAATGCGGAGTTCCCCTGCACATGCCCTCTTGCCTGCAGCCATGTAAGACGTCCCTTGGCTCTTCCTTCATATTCTGCCATGATCATGAGACCTCCCCAGCCATCTGGAACTGTGAGTCCATTAAACCTCTTTCCTTCATAAATTACCTAGTCTCCAGTATGTGTTTATTAGCAACATGAGAACAGACTAATACAGGCTCCCCATTGCCTGCTGCACAAAATCCAAACACCCATGCAAAGCACTCAGAGGTCCAGTGAGCTGTGCTAAGTGCATCACTTTTTGCAAAAGCAAACTTTCCCAGGTGATGGTTACACTAAAAGCTGATCTCACCACTAGACAATATACCCATGTAACGAAACTGTACTTATATACCTTAAACATACAATTTTCCTTTTTCTAGAATAATTTGCAATTTATTTCTTTATTCTTTCTATCTTTCCATTGTTTTCCATATTGATACAAATTTTTTTATTATACTTTAAGTTCTAGGACACATGTGCACAATGTGCAGGTTTGTTTCCTAGGTATACAGTGCCACGTTGGTTTGCTGCACCCATCAACTCGTCATTTACATTAGGTATTTCTCCTAATGTTATCCCTCTCCTAGCCCCCCACCCCCTGACTGGCCCTGGTGTGTGATGTTCCCCACCTTGTGTCCATGTGTTCTCATTCTTTAACTCCCACTTATGAGTGAGAACAGGCGGTGTTTGGTTTTCTGTCCTTGTGAAAGTTTGCTCAGAATGATGGTTTCCAGCTTCAGCTGCAAAGCACATGAACTCATCTTTTTTTATAGCTGTATAGTATTCCATAGTGTATATGTGCCACATTTTCTTAACCCAGTCTATCATTGATGGACATTTGGGTTGGTTCCAAGTCTTTGTTATTGTGAATAGTGCCACAATAAACATACGTGTGCATGGATCTTTATCATAGAATGATTTATAATACTTTGGGTATATGCCCAGTAATGGGATTGCTAGGTCAAATGGTATTTCTAGTTCTAGATTCTTGAGAAATTGACACACTGTCTTCCACAATGGTTGAACTAATTTACACCCCCACCAACAGTGTAAAAGCATTCCTATTTCTCCACATGCTCTCCAGCATCTGTTGTTTCCTGACTTTTTAATAATCGCCATTCTAACTGGCATGAGATGGTATCTCATTGTGGTTTTGATTTGCATTTCTCTGATGACCAGTGATGATGAGCATTTTTTCATGTGTCTGTTGGCTGCATAAGTGTCTTCTTTTGAGAAGTGTCTGTTCATATCCTTCGCCCACTTTTTGATGGGGTTGTTTGTTTTTTTCTTGTAAATTTGTTTGAGTTCTTTCTAGATTCTGGATATTAGCCCTTTGTCAGATGGGTAGATTGCAAAAATTTTCTCCCACTCTGTAGGTTGCCTGTTCACTCTGATGGTAGTTTCTTTTGCTGTGCAGAAGCGCTTTAGTTTAATTAGATCCCATTTGTCAATTTTGGCTTTTGTTGCCATTGCTTTTGGTGTTTTAGTCATCATGTCCTTGCCTATGCCTATGTCCTGAATGCTATTGCCTAGGTTTTCTTCTAGGGTTTTTATGATTTTAAGTCCAACATTTCAGTCTTTAATCCATCTTGAATTAATTTTTGAATAAGATGAAAGGAAGGGATCCAGTTTCAGATTTCTACATATGGCTAGCCAGTTTTCCCAGCATCATTTATTAAATAGGGAATCCTTTCCCCATTTCTTGTTTTTGTGAGGTTTGTCAAAGATCAGATGGTTGTAGATGTGTGGAGTTATTTCTGAGGCCTCTGTTCTGCTCCATTGGTCTATGTATCTGTTTTGGTACCAGTACCATGTTGCTTTTGTCACTGTAGCCTTGAAGTATAGTTTGAAATCAGGTAGCGTGATGCCTCCAGCTTTGTTCTTTTGGCTTAGGGTTGTCTTGGAAATGTGGGCTCTTTTTTGGTTCCATATGAACTTTAAAGTAGTTTTCTCCAATTCTGTGAAGAAAGTCATTGGTAGCTTGATGGGGATGGCATTGAATCTATAAATTACTTTGGGCAGTATGGCCATTTTCACGATATTGATTCTTCCTATCCATGAGCATGGCATATTCTTCCATTTGTTTGTATCCTCTTTTATTTCCTTGAGCAGTGGTTTGTAGTTCTCCTTGAAGAGGTCCTTCACATCCCTTGTAAGTTGGATTCCTAGGTATTTTATTCTCTTTGTAACAATTGTGAATGGGAGTTCACTCATGATTTGGCTCTCTGTTTGTTATTGGTGTATAGGAATGCTTGTGATTTTTGCACATTGATTTTGTATCCTGAGACTTTGCTGAAGTTGCTTATAAGCTTAAGGAGATTGTGGGCTGAGATGATGGGGTTTTCTAAATATACAATCATGTCATCTGCAAACAGACACAATTTGACTTCCTCTTTTCCTAGTTGAATACCCTTTATTTCTTTCTCTTTCCTGATTGCCCTAGCCAGAACTTCCCACACTATGTTGAATAGGAGTGGTGAGAGAGGTCATTCCTGTCTTGTTCCAGTTTTCAAAGGGAATGCTTCCAGTTTTTGCCCATTCAGTATGATATTGGCTGTGGGTTTGTCATAAATAGCTCTTATTATTTTGAGATGTGTTCCATCAATACCTAGTTTATTGAGAGTTTTTAGCATGAAGGGCTGTTGAATTTTGTCGAAGGTCTTTTCTGCATCTATTGAAATAATCATGTGGTTTTTGTCTTTGGTTCTGTTTATGTGATGGATTGCGTTTATGGATTTTCGTATGTTGAACCAGCCTTGCATCCCAGGGATGAAGCTGACTTGATCATGGTGGATAAGCTTTTTGATGTGCTGCTGGATTTGGTTTGCCAGTATTTTATTGAGGATTTTTACATCAATGTTCATCAGGGATATTGGCCTAAAATTCTCTTTTTTTGTTGGGTCTCTAGCAGGCTTTGGTATCAGGATGATGCTGGCCACATAAAAGGAGTTAGGGAGGATTCCCTCTTTTTCTATTGTTTGGAATAGTTTCAGAAGGAATAGTACCAGCTCCTCTGTGTACCTCTGGTAGAATTCAGCTGTTAATCCATCTGGTCCTGGACTTTTTCTGGTTGGTAGGCTATTAATTATTGCCTCAATTTCAGAACCTGTTATTTGTCTATTCAGAGATTCAACTTCTTCCTGGTTTAGTCTTGGGAGGGTGTATGTGTCCAAAAATTTATCCATTTCTTCTAGATTTTCTAGTTTATTTGCATAGAGGTGTTTATAGTATTCTGTATTGCTAGTTTCTATTTCTGTGGGATCAGTGGTGATAGCCTCTTTTTCATTTTTTATTGCATCTATTAGATTCTTCTCTCTTTTCTTCTTTATTAGTCTTGCTAGCAGTCTATCAATTTTGTTGATCTTTTCAAAAACCAGCTCCTGGATTCATTGATTTTTTGAAGGGTTCTTTGTGTATCTATCTCTTTCAGTTCTGCTCTGATCTTAATTATTTCTTGCCTTCTGCTAGCTTTTGAATGTGTTTGCTCTTACTTCTTTAGTTCTTTTCATTGTGATGTTAGAGTGTCAATTTTAGATCTTTCCTGCTTTTTCTTGTGGGCATTTAGTGCTATAAATTTCCCTCTACACACTGCTTTAAATGTGCCCCAGAAATTCTGGTACATTGTGACTTTTTTCTCATTGGTTTCAAAGAACATCTTTACTTCTGACTTCATTTTGTTATTTACCAGTAGTCATTCAGGAGCAGGTTGCTCAGTTTCCATGTAGTTGTGCAGTTTTTAGTGAGCTTATTAATCCTGAGTTCTAATTTGACTGCACTGTGGTCTCAGAGACTGTTTGTTGTGATTCCTGTTCTTTTACATTTGCTGAGGAGTGTTTTACTACCAATTATGTGGTCAATTTTAGAATAAGTGTGATGTGGTGCTGTGAAGTATGTATATTCTGTTGATGTGGGGTGTAGGGTTCTGTAGATATCTATTAGGTCTGCTTGGTCCAGAGCTGAGTTCAAGTCCTGGATATCCTTGTTAACCTTCTATCTCATTGATCTGTCTAATATTGACAGTGGGGTGTTAAAGTCTCCCATTATTATTGTGTGGGAGTCTAAGTCTCTTTGTAGGTCTCTAAGGACTTGCTTTATGAAGCTGGGTGCTCCAGTATTAGGTGTATATATTTTTAGGATAGTTAGCTCTTCTTGTTGAATTGATCCCTTTACCATTACGTAGTGGCCTTTTTTGTCTCTTTTGATCTTTGTTGGTTTAAAGTCTGTTTTATCAGAGACTGGGATTGCAATCCCTGCTCTTTTTTTTTTTTTTTTTTTTTTTTTTTTTTTTGCTTTTCATTTGCTTGGTTTCTTCCTTCATCCCTTTATTTTGAGCCTATGTGCATCTTTGCACATGAGATGGGTCTCCTGAATACAGCACACTGATGGGTCTTGACTATCCAATTTGCCAGTCTGTGTCTTTTAATTGGGGCATTTAGCCCATTTACATTTAAGGTTAATATTGTTACATTTGAATTTGATACTGTCATTTGATGCTAGCAGGTTATTTTGTCCCTTAATTGATGCAGTTTCTTCATAGCATCGATGGTCTTTACCATTTGGCATGTTTTTGCAGTGGCTGATACCAGTCGTTCCTTTCCATGTTTAGTGCTTCCTGCAGGAGCTCTTGTAAGGCAGGCCTGGTGGTGACAAAATCTCTCAGCATTTGTCTGTAAAGGATTTTATTTCTCCTTCATTTATGAAGCTTAGTTTGGCTGGATATGAGATTCTGGGTTGAAAATTCTTTTCCTTAAGAATGTTGAATATTGGCCCCCACTCTCTTCTGGCTTGTAGGGTTTCTGCTGAAAGATCCGCTGTTAGTCTGATGGGCTTCCCTTTGTGGGTAACCCAACCTTTCTCTCTGGCTGCCCTTAACATTTTTTCCTCATTTCAACCTTGGTAAATGTGACAATTATGTGTCTTGGGGTTGCTCTTCTCTAGAAGTATCTTTGTGCTGTTCTCTGTATTTCCTGAATTTGAATGTTGGCCTGCCTTGCTGGTTAGGGAAGTTCTCCTGGATAATATCCTGAATAGTGTTTTCTAACTTGGTTCCATTCTCCCCGTCACTTTCCAGTACACCAATCAAATGTATACTTGGTCTTTTCACACAGTCCCATATTTCTTGGAGGCTTTGTTCATTTCTTTTCACTCTTTTTTCTCTAATCTTGTCTCCTCACTTTATTTCATTAATATGATCTTCAATCACTGATATCCTTTCTTCCACTTGATTGAAGCTTTTGCATGTGTCACAGAAATCTCGTGCCATGGTTTTCAGCTCCCTCAGGTCATTTAAGGTGTTCTTTACACTGTTTATTCTAGTTAGCCATTCGTCTAGCCTTTTCGAGGTTTTTAGATTCCTTGTGATGGGTTCGAACATGCTCCTTTAGCTCGGAGAAGTTTGTTATTAGCAGTCTTCTGAAGCTTACTTCTGTCAACTCGTCAAAGTCATTCTCCATCCAGTTTTGTTCCCTTGCTGGCAAGGAGCAGCGATCTTTTGGAGGAGAAGAGCCAATTTGTTTTTTGGAATTCTCAGGTTTTCTGCTCTGGTTTCTCCCCATCTTTGTGGTTTTATCTACCTTTGGTCTTTGATGTTGGTGACCTATGTGTGGAGTTTTGGTGTGGATGTCCTTTTTGTTGATGTTGATGCTACTCTTTTCTGTTTGTTAGTTTTCCTTCTAACAGTCAGACCCCTCAGCTTCAGGGCTGTTGGAGTTTGCTGGAGGTCCACTCCAGACCCTGTTTGCCTGGGTATCACCAGGGGAGGCTGCAGAACAGCAAATATTGCTGCCTGATCCTTCCTCTGGAAGATTCATCCCAGAGTGGCACCCACCTGTGTGAGATGTCTGTCAGCCCCTATTGGGAGGTGTTTCCCAGTCAGGCTACACAGGGGTCAGGGACCTGCTTGACAAGGCAGTCTATCTGTTCTTGGAGCTTGAACGCTGTGCTGAGAGAACCACTGCTCTCTTCAGAGCTGTCAGACAGGGACGTTTAATTCTGCAGAAGCTGTCTGTTGCCTTTTGTTCTACTATGCCTTGCCCCAGAGGTGGAATCTATAGAGGCTGATCTGTGGTGGGCTCTGCCCAGTTCATGCTTCCAAGCCTCTTTATTTACACTGTGAGCTACTCAAGCCTCAGCAATGACGGACACCCCTCCCCCCAACTAGCTGCAGCATCCCAGGTCTATCTCAGACTGCTGTGCTAGTGGTGAACAAGGCTCCGTGGGCATGGGACCCACCGAGCCAGGCACGGGAGGGTATCTCCTAGTTGGCTGCTTGCTAAGTCCGTGGGAATAGCACAGTATTTGGTCAGGAGTGTACTGTTTCTCCAGTTACCATCTGTCATGGCTTCCCTTGGCTAGGAAAGGGAACTCCCCTGACCCCTTGCACTCCCCTGGTGAGGCAACGTCCCACCCTGCTTCTGCTCACCCTCCATGGGCTGCACCCACTGTCCAACCAGCCCAATGAGATGAACCAGGTACCTCAGTTGGAAATGCAGAAATCACCCATCTTCTGCGTCAATCTCACTGGGAGCTGCAGACCGGAGCTGTTCCTATTCGGCCATCTTGGAAGCAACCATCAACATACAATTTTTCTTAAAAACCTTTCCCTACTTCACACAGTAAGGCTTGACTTTTGTGTGAATGTGTGTGTTTGCAGAGTTCTATTACACAACACATACTCAGAGAGAGACCATTTTCACTCATAATACATTTCTGCAATCTATGTGATTTATTTTTCCAAGGAAGACATGTTTAATTACATATTGTATTCTTAAGTAAGAAACTTGTACAAAATAAATTACAGGCATGCCCACAGTAACAGGTGAAAAAATAAAGCTGTGAATATATACCCTAGGACTCCTAGATATAATAAAATTATCCCTCAAGACAAATAAGAAATATCAAATACTGCAATTGTAGCTACCTAAGGGACTGAAGCATATATAGCACATAAGACTACACTATGATATTTTACCTAAAATTAATATGTAGGCTATAACAAACAGTAAATTGCTCATTAACAACAATCATATTTATATCCTAAGGATTTAGAAATATTTATTTGGGTAATTTGGAATGCTTAGGTCTTTCAAAGAAAGCTGTCCAAAGAAAATCGAATGGGTGTCTTTTCTTGTAATCAATTTACTTGTAGTGAGAAAGTATTCAAATTCATTATATTTTCTCAGGATATTCTCAGGCAGGTACATCAATATGTTTTTATAATTGTTACCCATTGAAAAATACTTTTTTAAAAATAAGGACTATTCCAACATTTTCCCATCTTTGTCTTTCTTGCTTTAGTTAAAGCTGGTAACAAATTAAATAAAGACCATTAAGAAAAAATGAGTTTCACTCACTTAACATTTTCTTGACACTAGTCAGAGAAGAATATTCTCATTTAGACAGAAATTTTTGAAATTCTTTTTTAATATAGACAGTTTAAAAAATTACTTTAAACCATCTCAGATCTTATAAGGGAATTTCAGAATGGCAAATCTAAGTCACCTTTAGTTGAACAAGAGAGACATAGCAATTTAGGGTTTCATTTAAAAAGAGCTCGGAAAAGATCAGTGTTGAGGATAAAAGATGCATTCATCAGGATTCAACCCTTTGTAGCAATCTGGCTTCAATGTCAGAGCCCTTTATTCAGCATTCTTTCTCCTTTGCACTTTTTGTGTACCAATCAAAAGAACTCATGGATGAGACAGTAAAATGAGTACAACCACTTGAGGAAGCTGGCAGTATCTTCTGATACCGAGCTTATACATATTTTATGACCCAACAATTCCACTTTTATCTGCACACTTGACTCAGATAAATACATCTATTCACCTAGACATGTCCTAGCATGCTCATAGAAGCACCATTTCTAATAGCCAGAAATACCCAAATTCCATCAAGAGTAAAATTGATAAATAATGTATATTTACACATTATACACAAATGAGAATGAATGTTAACAGCAACCACATGCAGTATGATGGCTCTCATTAACATAATGTTGAGTGAAAGAAGCTAGAAACAAAAGAGTACATAATGTATGATGTAAGTTATATGACCAAAACATGAGCCAAAGTACCAAAGCACCCTATGCTGTTAGAAGTCAATGTCATGATTACCCTCAGTGGAGAGAGGAATGAGGAGCCAGAATAGATTGTGAGGGGGCTTATGTGGTGCCGGTAATGTTCTTCTTCTTGATCTAAGTGCTGGTGACACAGATGTGTTCAGTAGCTAAAAGTTTATTGATTTTAAGTGATGATATTTTTACTTTTCTGAAAGTATATTCTAATTTGATAGTGTTTAAAAGAGGATCCAGGAATTCAAAAGCACCTTTCTACTGCCACAAAGAATCACATCCCTTGAAAGATGTTAAGGACTGAGCATGGTGTCTCACGCTTGTAATTCCAATGTTTTGAGGTGCTGAGGCAGGAGGATGACTTGAGCCCAGGAGTTCAAGACAAGCTTGGGAAACATAGAGAGACTCTGTCTCCATTAAAAAAAAATGTATATATATATAATATTAGCCAGGTGTGGTAGCACATGCTTGTTAATCCCAGCTTCCAAGCTACTTGGGAGGCTATAGCAGGAGTCCAAGAGTTCCAGCCTGGGTGACAGAGACAGAGTGAGACCCTGTCTCAAAAAAAAAAAAAATGTTAAGGTTCCCTGAGTATCCCAGTGAGTGCCAGATTGAAATATTATTCAAACAAGGCATAAATCAGCCAAACATTCAATCCAGCTGAGTTGAGGATTTTGGTTTTTGTTTCTGTTGGGTATTTATAAGTAAAGACTATCAGAAAACTGGAAATGAAAGTTAGTTAGTATCTCAGACTACACTCTGCACCAAGTAGTTTGCTTAAGAATCGACTTCAAAACAGCTCACATGAAGCACTTAGGATATACCACTCCAATTTTTTTATCAGAACTAATATTTATGAATTAGAAACTGATGGAGAATTAAACTTCATGGAGAATTTCAAAAGGTCAAGAACATGACAGCTTGTCTTCCTCTGGAAATTTGCTGCGGCTTCATCACCATGAAAATATGTTTCTCCACCCTCCCCATCACTTCCCCTAAATTGTTTTTCTTTAACAAGTCAAATATGTAGAAAAAAACATTTTTATCAACTCTTCTGCCATTGTGACATTGTTGTAAACTATATTTCCCAAGATTCAAACACAAACATAATGTAATAATAACAGCTGGACACTTGGAAGATGTTAGCAAGTGACCATGCAGATACTTTAAATCTGGACTCTCTTTGGATTCTAGAGAGCATGTTTCTAAGATCACGTTGTCTTCTTCAGGAGTCAACCATACAATCACTTTCCTCAGGAAGTTCCATAGGACAAGATATAGAACAACACACAAATAAATATTCAAAGAAGAGAATGTTTTGATGTGTCTGGTTCCTCTGACTCAAAAAAAAAAAAAGGTCTCTTTTAAGGACTCAGACAGGGACAAGGGCTCCCTTCCTTCTTCATGGGAACAGATGCAAAAGATCTCTTCTGACTGGCCCCTTCTCTTTAAATCTTCTTTTTTCATTTATTTCTAAAGTATCCAAAGGCACAGGACAGGCTGCTGCTACACATCATTATTTGCAGTCCTTTGAATGTCTTCAGCAAATGACCTCACTACCTCCTAGAAGGACATGAGTCAGACCTTAGCATGAAAACAAACATACACCTAAACCATGTCACACTCTTGAGAACATATTCCTCTTAGCTTCACAGATGCTGAGAGTGTTAAGATTTGAGCACAGTACATAAGTCATTTGAATTAAAGCCTTCTTCATACAATCAAATTAAGAGACTTGGCTAAGGGCACACAGCTAATTAGAGCTTAAGCTAAGACTAGAATCCTAGATTGCTAATTCCTAGTCTAATGCTTATTTGTGCTATATCAAGAGGCCTTTAAGTCATGAGAAATTACATAAATGAATGACAATCTACTTTTGTGGGTTATGCATTGCTACTCAAGCGGAGCCAAGAGCTGTAAGCCACAGAGTAAAATAAAACTCTGTATGAACTGGACATTCTTCAGGAGATATGTGATGTGCCAGAGATTCCTGACATCTCCACCTACTTGCACAGCTGTTGTTACACATGATGAACACCAAGGAGATAATATAAGGAAAGGAAAACAAGGCACGCACATCTGCATGTGCATGCACACACCTCCTCTCCCTTGCCCTACTGTAATCCATCTGATGAGCTACCTATATCCTAAGAACATAGGTCAAGAAAGATATGCAACAGCATCCCAGTTTTACGAGGGAGAACGGAAAGAATCAAGTCCACCAGAGATGGACTTTTTCAGGGACCTTAAGAATCAGTAAGAAAAGAAAGGAATTTTCATTCATTCCTTCTTTCACTCAGCACATTTGTATCTTATTCCTGCCATGTCCAGGTATGGTGCTAGTCAGTGAGGATACACAGATAAAACATACAAGTCCCTGCCTTCAGGATGCTAACAGTTAATTGGGCAGGCAACAATTGCCAAGCTGTGTGGGAAGTGCCATGGTGGAACGTGGCAGCTGAGAGAAAAGATTTACAAAGGGTGGAGGCTGGGGGATGCAGAGAAGCAGAAGGGAGAAGAGGATACAGGAAAAAGTTAATGCTAAGAAGGTCTTCCCAAGAGTGAATAGTAAAAATATTAGAAATTACATCATTTTCTTCTCTAAGAGACATTCTCACATACTCAATAGTTCGGTGGTTCTCAAAGTGTGGTCCCAAGGCTAGATGTGTCAGCATCACCTGAGAACTTGTTGGAAACAGAAATGGTCTGACCATATCCCAGAACTACTGAATCAGAAACTCTTAGGATGGGGCCCAGCACTCTGTTGTAACAAGCCCCCAGGTAATTCTAATGCGCTCTAAAGTTGGAGAACCATTATACTAGATAAATCAAAGCAAACTCGAGGGGAATGAAAGCCCATATGTCCAAGCAGTTAAGAGCAGGCCTGAGGGCAATGATTCTAGTGTGGTAATGTTTCATGTAAATGCACCAAAATGGGAAGTAATCTTTTGTCAGATATGACCTAATTTATATTTCAGAAAATATGGTTCTCTGTTTTTGAAGGCCTATGGACCCCTGTGTTTCCTAAGATCTACCATACAAATGACTGATATTCCTGAAGTAAAAGCTTTGTAATTTAACCTGGAGTCAAGAGTCTTGGATGGAGATCAACACAGATCTTCAGAAGGCACAAGAAGGTCCCATAGGACACACTACAGAATCTAGCGATGGGACTCACAGGGACTGTACCATTTACATTTTCCCTAGGGCTACATAGTCCCTGATTTTCAGTGTCTGCTTCTTTCTTTATGGCTTCCCCCATAGAAGGGTTTTCTACTTCCACTTATCATAGTTTGCCACATGACCCTTCTTGGCCTCAACTCTATAAGATATTAGAGTTCCCATATCTGGAAGTGTGTCTAGCATCATACTCTAAGTGTCTTAGACTTAAAGCTTCTTAGTTTAAATTCTTAAAAGAGAGAATGTGATCGTCCCAATGGTTCATTTAGCTGTGGCCTCCGGTATTAACAAAGCAGAAACAGCAGCAGACCGGAGGCTGAGTATTGACGTTAGAAGAGGTTATGGAACTGGCAAGGAGACAACGTTCAGAAAACCTAACACAGTAGAAATTATCCATTTGGCCCCTGAGAGTTCCATCTAACTTCACGAGTCTCTGGAACAACAGTGTATCCTTTATTTCTGTAAATTCCAAACAAATGGTAGGAAATTCATAGAAAAATGCAACAGCTTGTAAAATATGTTGATTACATATTTTAAAACCTTAATTATACATGCACCCTTCACTCTAGAAATTTAAATCCTAGGGTTTTATCTTAAGAGAAAATTTGGGATGTGCCCAATAAGAAATAAGGAAAAGGAATTCTTGTCACGGTATTGTTTTTCATAGCAAACTTTTTTTACAAAAAGAAATGATCTAAATATCTAGAAATTGGGATTTTTATCAATGGAAGTCATTTTTACTTTTTTTGTTTTTACAAAAAAAATTCATCATTCATCTTTGGTAAACTTTTTTCTCTTCATTAAAAAAAAGTCAGTAAGCCTTAACATTGTTTTAATACTGGCATAAGGAAATTGCAAGCAGATGGCCTCCCACGTTCTGTTTTTCTTGTCTGGGTTACAGTCACTATGATGATCTAGCTGCAGCTGCTGGATGATCTCTTCCAGCTGCAGATTTGATTTGCTCCTACTAGTCCCTAATTGAATTTAGTCGCTTCCCTTCTCTCCTCCACATCAGCAGAGGCCTCCCAATCTTAAAGTCCCAGTCTGCCTCTGTCCCTGTGTCCAAGGGCAGAAAAGTCCATATTTTGGGCTCTGAAGTTCAACTAGATTAAATTTCAGTCATTCCAGTCAATAATCTAAAATAGTTTTTATAATTAATGGCTAACTAGTTCTAGTCTTTGACTTGCTAGGAATTACTTGAGTCTCCATGTCTTCCTATCATCTTAACAGACAAGAGCAGAATGAGTTGGAATGCTAAAAAAAAAAATGAAATTTATCTTTTCTTTAAATACAAGAAAGATCTTGTGTCCAAGAAAGATTACAAAATTACGGTATTAGAGTATAAATAGCTAGAATTAATAGAGTGATTTTCCCTAACCCAGAATCTTTTCCTCTTTGTCAGAATGTTGGATGAAAGGACACAGAGTTGAGAGAATGTGATAATTCTTAACCCATTGCTAAGGGTGTAACCATGAAATTTCTTTACTGTAAAGTTAAAGCTTCGGGTTATTACAAACCCAAAGGAGTTTGTTAAGACCTGGCAACAAAATCAATAAAGGTGAAAGCAATTTACATCACCCTGGATGATCGCAATTTTTTTAATAGTCCCAAAGTCACCATATTTGCCATTAGTCTATATCTGTAACATGGACATCTGAGGACAATGTGACTCATATGGCTGAGGATCTCCAAAATACAATAAAATCTAAACTCACTCCTAAGAAGAGTAGGAGGAGCATGAAAAGTACTGTGTGTCTCGTTAGTATGGCAAATGAAAGTATACAATTTTTGTGACTACTTAGCTCACCATGTCATCGACCCCAGACACACACTGCCCCTGAGTGTCTTCCTCTGTAAAATAACGACACCTCGGCATGGCTAATAAATAAAAGTTTGGAGCCATCCTGGTTGAAGAGGGCAGGATAGAAACAGTATTCTGGTATTCAGTCTCCCCTTTGGTTTCCTCCATTTCTTCCTTGTACCCAAAATGGCCACCTTGGCAGAACCCAAAGGTTCTACAGCACACAGAGTGACCACCAACAAGCCATGCAGTTTCTAAGGCCCCTCCCTCCTATAACAGCCTTCACTTCTATATGCCTGGGAGGTGTTTATAAAAATTGACACTGCTTACCTAGCTTCATATACCGGCACAGCACACAGCAGGTGCTTCATAATGTTGAGTAAATTGAATTTCAACTAGTACCTGTTTGCTCAATGTTCTAATAAAACTTTCAGAAGAGCAAATATTCTAGGTCCTAGATTACTGATTTTTCAGCAAATAGGAATAGAACAAAATTACAAACCAATGTTTAAAATTAGGGTATCTCTAAATTTTATTGTATGATTTTTGCCTCCTGTTATTAATACCCACTTAGGTCTCACTTAGTTCCTATTTCTGAATTTCCCTCATAACTCATAGATTATGTTCTGCTTGTCGCTATGTGGCAGAATGTAAAGAGGACTTTCTTTATTGGGCTCACTCTGACCTGGGTTCTAATCCCAGCTCTCACGTGTACTATCTATGGGACTTTGAGCGAAACTTTAACCTTCATCGTTTCCTCATCTGAAAAGAATGAAACAGGGAAATAAGGAACAGGGAAAAGGCTGATTTGAGGATTATATGGAATAATGTGTCATGGATAGCAACTGATAAGTGTTCCATAAATGACAACTGTAATAATTATTTTTAGTTGATCCAAAAATGAAGAAGCGATCACATAGCATACCCAAGAAGACTATTCCTCCTTTTAAAAAGAAGTCTATTAAGGTATCATGAGGGAGAGATATTTAAGAGTTCAAGGAAAGATAGCTGCTTTAATATCAGAAAAGGGAGCTTAGAGATAGGAGTATCCTAGTTACCATGGCTGGTTAATGACGGATAGTTTGACTTGTGTATCCCCATATCCTGCCAAACCAAATAATCCCATGCTCTCCTGCTAGACCAAGTCTCTCCTATAATCCTTTTTTTCAGAATCATATTCTACCTGTTATGGAGAAATAAAATATTCACTTTAGAACATATTGTAGGAAATCACCTCAAAAATTATCCAGTCTGCCCATGGGACATTCTCTATCAAAACTTTACCACATAGCTTCTTTTTAGCTGTGGCAACTCTCAGCTACAGCTGAGAGGCTATGTAGTGGACATCTATTATTATTTTGTCTCCACAGTATACTTCTGCCTCTGGGCACAATACAAAATATCAGAACTTCCCCTTCCCTCAAGTTCAATGATATGATTACCAAGGAAGCCACCATGTCCTTCCATAAGTTTACCCCTGGTCACAGCTGAGCAATGTAGGATGTACACTAAACCAAACTCATCAATTTGAGGACCTCTGGACATGAAGCAGCATGAATTGAGGCCATTTCCCTTTGGCTGCTGTAACTGTTAAATGTAAGATTCATGAACTGTCAGCAGCCATTTCCCGCCTTTGAACTGGAGAAGCAGAGGCAGCAATCTGCAAATCAGCAAGAGCCAGCATCCTCAGGAGCATAGAGGAGAACAGAATCTGGAGAAAGAGGGCTGTGACAACATCTAAGGCTCTGTTCCTGAAGCAAGGCAATGTTCCTTGGGTTCTACCAGTGACTCAAAAATTCCTCTTTTTCCTTAAGGTGGGGAGATTACAAAGTATCGTGCAACTAAAAAGACCAATGAATACAAGGTTTTAACATATGGGTTAAGAGACCTAGACCATAAATCTCTCTAGGGACGAACTTATAATTGGAGATAGTCGTATTCCAGGGCAGACCTTCCTATGCCCAAGCCATGGTGCCTGCAGCTGCCTACTCTGCCCCTTTTTAAGTAAAGTGATCACATGTCATAGTTCAGCCCAGGAAGTCCCAGTGTATGCACTTGGTCCCAGCATACTGCACAGTTAGCTCCCTTTATTGTTGAAACTATCCTGATTTGAGCAATAAAGTATATGTCACCTTACTCACAAGGCTAGATCTGCCACTGTCAGCTTCCACTTCAACTTCTGCTGCTGTTTCACTCTTTGTCACCATATACAGTATTTGGCAGAGCACCTATAAATGAATCCCAATTTCAGGAAGCGTGGACCATATGAGAAAGCTAGAAAACCCATGAAATTATAAAATAATACTACCAGATAGGAAACAATAACAATAATAATAAACAAGGTAACATACGTAAAGCACATTGAACAGTTTGGGGAACACTGTAAGCTCTCAATAATTAATAGTTATTATTATCATTATATTGCATAATAGGATTATCTCATCCCTTCTGTGGCTATGGATGAGACTGTTCCTTAAAAGTTAAAAGGTATACAGTAAAATAAAAATTATAATTTATCACTTTAACATTTAATAAATAGAAAATATTCCCTTAAGCCAGCAATCTGAAACAATTATTAGGAATCCTTCCTGAAAAGTGATTTATCTAATAATTATGATAGAATTTTCCATCTTTTCAATTCTGATGCTTTTTTAAGGAAAGGCAAAAATGTATTATGGACAAAATGAAAAACAGAAATAAGTTTTACCTTAAATATTTAGGAAGTTTTTCCTTTTGATTTAATGATGATAAAGGGGTGGTAAACAAAAGTACACAGACTTAACCTTGCAAAATTTCTCTCTTAACCCAGTCAAAAGGAAGACTGTTTTTTAAAATTTTAAACAGCCAAAATTACCCAAAAGGAAGACAGGAAAGTACAGAAGACACAGGAGTATCATTACATCATGATGGATGATAAGGAATAAAATGCTGTTGGCTTGCAAAGTGATAAAAAAATAACTATTTTACCTATGATATTGAGTTATATTTCATCAGATTCCTTCCCTTTCTCCCAAGTACTCCCTTGTCACACCATTAAGATCCTGAGTCATTTCAAAACATGGCAGGAGGTGTGGGGTGATATTAATAATAAATAAAAACACCCAGGATCTCTACTCCAATTTTCTCCACAAGAACACCAAGTAATCTCTATTATTTCATGACATCTTTTGCAAGAGGATACAGATGGGCATTATTACTCCTATTATATGGTTAGAGAACCTATGCAAGAAAACTGGACAAATAATTCTATATCATATTAGCTGAACTAGAATTATAACCCTTGTCTTTCTTGTATCTCTTAGTGAAGAGAAAAGAAGAGACGATTGGGAAAATATCAATTTTATAACCAATTTAAATAACAGTTTAACTGTTATCTAATACTAATTTAAATAACAATTTAAACTGTTCGTGTATGTGTTATAAAAGATTACTGGGAATTCCTTTAATACACATAATAAAACATGGTACATCCCAATTTCCATTTTGTAAATGTAATTTATGCATACAGGTACAATTTATAAGCATATAATTTTATGCATATAATTTATGCATAAAATGGAATGATACTATACATATTGTTTTATAGCCTATTCTTTTGGGGCAACACCATATTGTAAACAACTGTCATACTTCTACATGAACATTTGCAATGGCTGCAATGTGATCCACTCATAGATGTATCCTAATCTATTTATTTTTGGAAAAGTTTTTTCAAAGCCAGCGTGAATACTCTTCTTTGAAAAACACAGAAAGAAACTCCTCACAAAAAATATAGATTGATTCCTTTAAAAAATAATTACTGAGTACCTTTAGTATAGCAGACATTCTGGGGAAATCTCCATGAAAAGACACTCAAGTACCAAAAATTTAGGGAGAAGGGTAAGCAAACAAGCCAGCAATTACAACAGTATGTGGTCAGTCACCCTCGTAAACTAAGGTAACATTTTTTCTAAAAGTTAATATGGGTAAATATGTCAGAAGTTCTAAGACTGTAAATATCTCTTGCGCAGACAAATCCCCTGCTTAAAATTTATTATTAGGATGTAATGGGACAAGGTACAAAGATGGTGGTACAAGACATTTATTGTAGTTTGTTAAATAAAGCAAGAGAGAGGGAGCAAAGTAAATATCCATGAAAAGGGAATGGTTTAAATAAATTAGAAGGCATCGAAAGTGAATAGACCAAGGCCTTGAAAATGGTGATGCAGATGAGGGAACAATATTTGGGATACATTATTAAGATTTTTTTTAAAACAGGCTACATCAACATGTGTGTATGTGCATGCATTGGACGGATAAAATCCAAAATACTAGTAGTGGTTTTCTCTGGGTTATAAGGTTATTGGAGCCTTTTTTTTTTAATGTTCATAGAATTTTCTGATTTATATATAATGAACACAGAACGTTTATTCAAAGTCAAAATTAACATTGAACATTTTTAATAGAATGTGTTACATGAGAGCATACATACAGGGTTCTCTAGGATCCCTTAACAGCCTGAAGCTAAGAGGGAGCGTGGGGATGGCTTCTCAAATTAGTGACACTTATTTAAACTGAATCATCAAGGAAACATAGCAGTTAGCCAGTGATATACAAGGAAATGAGCACACCAGGATGAAGAAACAGCCTACGCAAAGCCGTGGAGGCCTGCACAGCACAGCCCCATCCAAGCAGTGTGAGTAGTTCACATGCTACAGAGAGCAAACTAATATCAGAACTAAAAGTGTCTGTGAGATTTTTAGTATATTCCATTTTTACCTACGCTTGAGTCATTTCTGACAAATAACAAAGGCAAAAGCCAGATGGTCACATGCTAAGGAATGAATGGGAGGTGAGAAAGTGTTGAAAGTAAACACAGGGAGGGGAACATCACACACAGAGGCCTGTCAGGGGGTGGGGGGCAAGGAGAGGGAGAGCATTAGGACAAATACCTAATGCACGCAGGGCTTAAAATCTAGATGGCAGGTTAATGGGTGCAGCAAACCACCATGGCACATATATACCTATGTAACACACCTGCACATTCTTCACACGTATCCCAGAACTTAAAGTAAAATAAAAAATAAATAAAGTAAGCAGGAATTCAAGAAGTGCCGATAAATAGTGAAAAGGGAGAGGGGTAACTAGAGTTGTGAGAAGGTTTTACTTTGAAGTGGGGAGAACTGAAAGATGCTAATAGGGGAAAGAACCAATATAGGGGGAGAGGTTGATTTAAAAGAAGGAGGAGGAGGAAGAGGAGGAGGAGGAGAAGAAAGGAATGGACAGACGTGATGATAGCTTAATGTTTCTATTTTGGGGCAGAAGGGGAGATCCAGAGAGGAGTGAAAGTGTAAGCAATTAGGCCAGGCAACATTGCAGGAAGTCATCTCTTGCTTCAAAAAACTACAAAAAGCCAATTCATAGAAAGAATCGTAACTTCAGTTTCCTAAAAGATAGGACCAGCAAGTAGCTATGACCAGAACAACCTAGAAAGTACTTAGTATAGTCAGCAAAATGTGGTAGAAACAGAACAGCACATTACTATCTCACCCCTGCATAACAACAAAAAATATTCTGTGACTTTTTATAACAACTCCTAAGGAAAAACATTATTGAAAAAAGTATAGAAGACAGAAACTAAAATGCTCAAGCAAATGGGAAGCACGTTCCAGCAGCAAAGAAAAATCAGATTTGGAATTTTCATGAAGAAATAACAAAACCTATTAAAAGACATGATTTAAGTTAGTGGCTTCTAGTCTTTCTAAGAAAATCTTTTTTAACATCAAAAATATTTGAGAACACAGGTGGTGGTAACTAAGCATTTAGTAATTATTGATTGAGAAAATACAATAGGATAAGAAGCATTCATAAGTTAGATAATTCTTTTTAATTAATTTTCATTTTATTAATCTCAGCATCTACATATTTTTGTATGTGTGTATTTATGAATATAAGTCATTATATTTTATTCCACCAAAGAAAATGTTTGGATACGCATATGAAATTGCAATTCCTTTGAAACCACTACCAACCACCATCCCATATCTGCCCAAACTACATTTGAGAACCACTATTCTAATTTATAAAACCCTGAATAGGATGAATATAAATCTCATCACTTAATACCCAAAAACTATAATTAAAACATGAAGCTCAAAAAAGGCATATTTAGAATATAGTTGTCTTTGGAAAGATTTGCAAATGTTACACAACTGAAACAGCATAAGATAAAAAATAGACATTGTTTTCGAAATGTTTACATAAGCCACTTTATGATATTTCTATAATGAATTTTAAAGTAAAAAGTAAAATTGCTTTGTCAGAGGCCATAGCCTTTGTGGTGACATCAGGGAGTAAGACAGTATTGTGCCATGATACTTGTTGGTGCTGCTGACCCAAATATATGATAAGGATTGTTGTAAATTCTCACATTTGTATCCTGACCAGGCATAGTGCAGAGGCACACATACCCTCAACATAATCCAGAATAAAGAGAAAATGAATGAGTCAATAAAAGCAGAGACAGAAACTGAAAGATAAAAATAGCTTTAAGACTAAATAATTTCACCATCCTGAAAATAACTTAAAAGTATAGAAAGAAAACTTAAAGGATCCTTTGACTTGCTTACATATTCTGAATATTAGCCCCTTATGAGATAGATATGTGTTTTGCAAATATTTTCCCCCAATCCATGGGTTGTCTCTTCATTTTGTTAGTTGTTTCTTTGCTGTGCAGAAGCTTTTTAGTTTGATGTAATCTCATTTGTCTGTTTTTGCTTTTGTTGCCTGTGTTTTTTGGAGTCCTATCTGATAAATCATTGTCCAGATCAATATCATGGAGTTTTGCCCCTTATGTTTTCTTTTAGTAGCTTTACAGTTTCAGGTCTTATGTTCAAGTTTTATCAGTTTTGAGTTGATTTTTGTATCTGGTGTAAGATAAGGGTCCAACTTTATTCTTGTGTATGTGGATATCCAGCTTTCTCAGTGCCGTTTATTGAGCAGACTGTTCTTTCCCAATTGTGTGTTCCTGGCACCTTTATTGAAAATCAACTGATCTTAAATATTTGCATTATTTCTTGGTTTTCTATCCTTTTCCATTGGTTCATCCTGTTCCATTGTCTGTTTTTATGCCAGTACCGTGCTGCCTTGATTACAATAGCTTTATCTTTTGAAATAAGAGAGTGTTATGCCTCTAGCTTTGTTCTTTTTGCTCAAGATTGCTTTATAATTTAGGGTATTTCCTAGTTTTATGTTAATTTTAGGATTTAGTTTTTTATTTCTGTTTATAATGATAGAATTTTCATGGAAACTGCACTGTATCTGTAGATCACTTTGGGTAGCATGAACATTTTAACAATATTAATTCTTCCAATCTATAAACCTGGGATAACTTTTTATTTATTTGGGTCTTGTTCAACTTTTTTCATCAATGTTCTTTAGTTTTCAGTGTACAAATATTTTATCCCTTTGGTTAACAACTCAACAGCAAGAAGGCAAATAACCCCACTTAAAATGGGCAAAAAGATCTGAATAGACATTTCTCAAAAGAAGAAATACAAATGGGCAACAGATACATTTTTTAAATGCTCAACATCTCTAATCATCAGGGAAATACAAATGGAAATCACAGTGTGATATTACCTCACACCTGTCAGAATGGCTATTATCAATAAATGAATGATAAGAAGTGTTGGTAAGGATGGGAGAAAATGGAATCCTTACTCACTGTTGGTGGGAATGTAGATTAGTATAGCCATTTTGTATAATAGTATGAAGGTTTCACAAAAACTAAAAGTAGAATTACCATATGACCCAGCAATTTCATACTAGGTACATATCCAAAGAAATTGTCATCAGTATGACAAAGAGATATCTGCACTCCCATGTTCGTTTCAGTACTATTGAAAATAGCCACATATGGAATCAACGTAAGTTTCCATCAACTGAATAATATATACCCTTAGAATACAAAAAAATTTTGTCATTTGTAACAACATGGACAGAACATTATATTAAATGAATTAGGCCAGGTCCAGAAAGATAAATACTGTATCTCACTTATATGAAGAATCTTTAAAAGTCAATCTCATAGAAACAGAGTAGAAAGGTGATTACCAGAGGCTGGACAGGAGGGTGAGGGATGGGAAAGGGAAGATGTTGATCAAAGGGTACAAAGTTTTAGTTAGACTGGAGAAATAAGTTTTAGTGGCTTACTGCACTACATCGTGACTACAGTTAGTAATAATTTATTTTACATTTCAAAATTGCTAAAGTAGATTTTTAAGATTCTCACCATAAAAAAAGATAAGTTAATTAGCTCTACTGAATATTTCTATAGGTCTCTTCACCCCATCTCCTTTAACTTTATTATTAGTAACAGTATCAAAAGCCATCAACTGTGGACTCCCTGAAGTCATGAGATAGGAGCACCTGCTACCTAATCAAACCAAGAGTCCAAGATAGGCAGCAAAAAAATGAATCATAAATCTCATGATTAATAATAAACAAGACTTATCAAACTAAAAAGCTTCTGCACAGCCAAAGAAACCAACAGAGTAAAAACCAACATATGCAATGGGAGAAAATATTTGCAAATGTTAACATCTGATAAGCCATTAACATCCAAAATATATAAAGAATTCAAACAACTCAATAGTGGGAAAACAAATTAACCCCATTAAAAATGAACAGAGGATATTAATAGAAATGTCTTGAAAGAAGACATACAAATGGGCAACATGTATATTTAAAAATTTTCAAAATCACTAATCACCAGGGAAATACAAATCAAAACCACAATGAGAAATCACCTCACACACGTTAGAATGGCTAAAAGACAAAAAGACAAAAGATGACAAGTGTTGGCAAGGATGTGGAGAAAAGGGAACCATTGAACACTGTAGGTAGAAATGTTCGTTAGTAAAACCATTATGGAAAACAGTACGGAGATTCCTCAAAAAATTAAAAATAAAATTACCATATGATCTAGCAATCCCACTGCTGGGTATATATCCAATGGAAGTGAAAACAGTATGTCAAAGAGATATTTGCACTCTCATGTTCATTGCAGCACTATTCACAATAGCCAAGATATGGAATCAACCTAAGTGTTCATCAGTGGATGAATGGATAAAGAAAAGGTGGCATATATACACAATGGAATACTATCTGGTCTTTACGAAAAGAAAAAAATACTATTTGCAACAACATGGATGAATCTGAAGGACATTAAGTAAAATAAGACAGGCACAGAAAGACAAATACCACATTATCTCACTTATATGTGGAATCTAAGAGTTGATCTCATAAAAGTAAAGAGTAGAATAGGGAAGGGGGGAATGGCAATTGGTCAAAGGATATAAAATTTCAGTTAGATAGGAGGAATAAGTTGAAGAGCTCTATTGTAGAACATGGTGACTACAGTTAGTAACAATGAATTTGTATTCTAAAAATTACTAACAGTAGATTTTACATGTTCTCACCACAAAAAAATAGGTATATGAGCTAATACATATGTTAATTATCTGAATTTAGCCCTTCTGCAATGTATACGTATTTCAAAACACATTGCACATGATAAATACATAACTTTCATTTGTCAATTGAAAAGGAAAAAAATTTTAAAATAATAAAGGTGAACCTGCATTCAGGTTCAAAAATCAAATAACAAATTTCAATAAAAAGGTACAATAAAAATGATTTCACAGCTCTTCAGTTGAAAATATTTCCTATATTTGTTTTATCACCAGAGAGAGCCTACTGTGTGATGCAGATATCTGTAAGCTGACACAGGCCTACTCAACTCTGTACCTCATACCACCATTAGGGCATCATGTTCAATACTGGCATTGTGTTCTAAGAGAGGTGGACTAGCCTGATACTCAGCAAGTATCTACCAGTATGGCCAGCCTAGCGACCAAAAGGTTAATACCAGGCACAGCAAGTGTCTCCATTCTGATACAGTTGCTATCTGTGCCAGATGGATTGTATTGTTAATATTGCCAAAAATGAAATACCAAGAAAAACTACTAATCAGGAGTGGGAATTGCCTGGAAATTATGTCAGAGGAAGGACCATTGAAGGTTCAAGTGATCTTTAGATTTCAAAGGAGACGATTTGGGATGGGGAAGAGGCAGGGGGACTATGAGCACTGCCTTCAAATACATGAATGGGCTCCATATGAGAAACAAATTAGATTTATACCACATGGCTGCAGGGGGAGGAATTGCACACAATGATTGGAAGTTACAATAAGGCTGACGTTTGTGCACAATGATTGGAAGTTACAATAAGGCTGATGTCAGTTCTATATAAGGAAGAACTTTTGAATCCTGGTGCCACCCAACAATGGAACTGACTTTGTGAGGGTAGTGAATTTCCAGTACCAGCACAGGAAGGGAGCAATAATTCTAGGAGTGCTGCAGCTGTGGGTGCTTCTGTTCTGGAGGGTGAATTAAAGAGATCCCAAACTTAAATATTAATCTGAATTCTCAATGGAAATTTTAATAGACTTTATTTCTTAGAACAGTTTTAGGTACACAGCAAAACTGAGAAAAAAAGTATGAAGAGTTCTCATATACTCCCTGCTCCCCTGTAGACACATATGAGCCTCCCTCAGCCATCAGTGTCCACACCAGAGTGGTACATTTGTTACAACTGGTGAATCTACATGACACATCATTATCACCCAAAGTCTATAATTTACATTAGGCTTCACTCTTAGTGTTATACATTCTATGGGGTTTGACAAATGCATAACGACAAGTATTCACCACTATAAATGAAACTTTTTAAAGACCAGGCCTCCTGCTTCCCAACCCAAACCTACTAAATCAGTATCTCTAGCCACTGGAGTTTGGAATTTTGTGTACTTTAAAGCTCTTCAATTGATGTTGATACACAGATATGTTTGGAAACCTGCATTCAGTGATCTGCAAAGTTATTTTCAACCTTTAGATTCTATAATTCTATTAACAAAATTCACAATAACTTTTTTAAAAGAGTAGTTCACTTTTGAACACTTACCAGGGCTTAGAGGAGAATCTTTAGCCTGTCAAACACTATGCTAGACCTCATTTAATTCTCACAACAACCCTATAAAGAAAATGTTAATATATATTCCCATTTAATAGAAAACAAAACTGAGGCCCAGATAGATTAAGAAACTTGCCCAAGATTACAGAGTCAGTAAAAGGCAGAGTGGGGATTCAAACTGAGGACTATTTGATCCACATTCTTTCCTTCACACCATTAGACCTTGAGAGTTTTGAATAGAGACACAACTTGAAATTACTAATATTAGGGGTGAGGGGTTGAGGGGGTTTTGCCTGGTGGGTTTTTTTAGTAATATATTTAGCACATGGGAGGGATATTTTGTACATATTTTGAACATAAAACTAGATGATATTCCAGGAACTTGTAAGTGACTTACATCAAGCCAGCGACTAACATAGCCAACGCATTTGCTCTATGAATCCAAAATATTGGTCTAAGGGTTCTATGGTACCTAAACAAAACATGTGGTGAACTATCCAAAATGAGAGAAAAGAACTCAACTACATCTTTGTTCATCATAATGGACTCCAAACCAGAAAGGACATTTCTACATTTTCACATTGGAACCATTACCCATTTTCTGAGCCACCGAAAGGAACAACTAGCTTCTTAGAGCTGTATTTCTGCCACTTCAAGGAACATGAAAATATAGTTTTGTGGTTATTAAGAGTACACATCTTTGAGGCAAACCTAGATTCTGGGTCCGCCACTAAATATGTAATTTTGGGGAAATTACCTAACCTCTCTGGGTTAGTTTCCCATCTGTAAAATGCACTGATGATATTTTAATATCTGCCTTCCGGAGTTACCACGAGAATTAGATAAGATGTTGTATGTGAAGCAATTAACACCCCCTTGATACTTAGTAAGCACTCAATAAGCATTCTTATTAATGGAGAAGTCAAGTCCAACACAATCTCTGCAATCCCTTGGCTGTCCAGCTAGGGTAGAAACCAATTATTGTTGTGTCCACAGTCCCGACTAAAGGAAAAAGGTATGTGTGTTGGAGTGGAAGGAGGGTGAGGTTAACCTATCCTCAGGCCTATGAGAATTTGCTCTTAACCCTTAACTATAAGGATCTTAAAACACCTCCAGGTGTTTTAAGAATGTAAGGGTCATTGGTATAAATGAAAGCAAAGAATGTAAGGGTCATTGGGATAAATGAAAGCAAAGTTACATACTGAAAAGTCAAAAACTGACACAGAAATGGAGCTATATTAGAAGAAGGCTATAGCCTTACTTCTGCCTCCATTTCTAACTATATTATTTGCAGATGAATTAGAACAGGCGAGGTGGGGCTGGCACAAAACATGTTCCCATGACACAAGACAATAACCAGCTCACACATCTTTGGTGGCCCCTGGTACTGAGCACCAGAGGCCCTCATTGAGGACAGGCACTCCTTTTTCACCTAAAAGTATTTCCTCTCTACTGGGAATCAAAAATTGCCTTCTACAAACTAAATTGCCAGCAACATTCATCAAGAAAATAGCACTAACTTAGCATAAGAGGCCTTGGATTTAGAAGACGACACAACAACGTCTAGAGACCCAACATGATTGTCAAAGACTGGGGAGCTTGCTGAGTGGGTGAGCAAACACATTCTGAGTAGCCTCTGTATTGGGAGGTGAGAATTCCTATATAAAAGTGCTAATAATCTGCATTAATTGATTTGTTGAAAAAATAAAAAATAAAAATAAAGTCACTTATTAACAGCCAGTAAATACAGAATTCCTTCCTTGGGTAATGGATGGCATAATGGGACATTGCAAACTTGAGAAATGGAACCATTTCTGATTTATGAAGGCATATACAGCTAAGCTAACTTGTAGGGTTACTTTGATGGGATAGAAGAAAATAACCCATTTAAACTCCTCTCACAAATCACTTTTTAAAAATGCTTCCTTTTTAGACCATTAAAACTTAAAGTAAACTAAAACTATATTGTTTAAGAATACATAAATAGGTGTAAAACTACAGTGGAAAACAAGAACATGAACATCTTACTGTCCTTGTTAGGATACTTACCTAGAGGGGGAAGGAAAAGGGATAAATTAGGTGGAGTCATTCAGGAAGGTGTAAGCAATGTCCTGTTTCTCAGCTTTAATGTTGATCTATACTGGTGCTTGTTTTTTATATACTAGGGTTTGTTTTTTATACAGGTGTTTGTTTTATAAATCATTAAACTAAATTTGTTTTGTGCAAAAAAATAAGACATTTATTAGAGAAGTATATATTAAACTAACGGTAGTTATGTCTACTGGAAAGAAGTAGAACTGTGAGAATCTGTCACAGTGACTGTTGTTTTCCTAAAAAATACTTCAGCATCATTATTGTAATAGTATGTAAGTGCTGATTCACTTAAGCTTTGATTCTAGAGATACTCAGCAACATTCTTTCAAGAATGCAGTACCGAGGTATGAGCTAGTATTATACTAGAAAGGGCCTCTCTTCAGAGTGGCTGCTGTTAAGCCCTTCTGCTGTCTGTATCTTGATTGACAATAGACATTTTGCTGATGCATAAGATGTCAAATTAGTCCAATTAATTATGTGATACTAATGACTATTTATTTGCTTGATGCATGCTAGAAATTCTCTCCTATTTGTGCAATTACAGGTATTCAAGGAATGTGGATTGTCTAGAGTTGTTAAAGATCTGTTCACTCTTGTGTGTACAAGGGAACTGAGTAACATGTCTCCTTAGGAATGGAAACTAATCTCTGATACATTCTATATCCAACCATTGTTTCAATCAAATGAGACTGACTAGATGACATAGAAATAAGCCAACCTGTACTCTGACACCTGAAAGAGCAGATGACTGAGATTTCATGGAGCCTGCAGATCAAATTTGTGAATAGTTTTATACCTGCTAGCTAGTGAATATTTGTTGAATATGTATTTGACTATATAACAGACTTCAGTCTGAGACATGTATTCATTTTAATCTGGTAGCAAGGTTGTGGAGAAGAAGCTAACCATTGCTACTTCAAAAATCTTTTGTGGCTATTGTTATCAAGACAAAAAAGAAAGAACCTAAAAGTTTTGCATGACTAACATGATGAAAGTTGGTTCACAACAGAGTCTTTTGCTTTTTGCTGATCTTTTTCTAAAATTATTGACATTTGTAAATTGAATGAGTCTTATTTTACAAAAAGAAAAACTATTAAAATACCTAATAGAAAAAGAAGCAAAAGACCTAAGGAGACATTTCACACACAAAAAAATACATATAGTCAATAAACATGTAAGGAGCTGTTCAACATTATTATTAATCAGAGAATTAATCAATGTGATATCATTTTAAACTCGTTCATTTGGCAAAAAAATAATACTGAGTCTGACAATAATTGGCATTTTCAAGAATATGGAGCCACAGAATCTTCTATGTCTTGCTGGAAGTAGATTAAATTGGCTCAATCACTTTGGAAAATAATTTTTCTCATCTCAAGGAGTTAAACATTCACATGCCCTCTTTCACTCCCAGGGGTATACCCAATAGAAATCCTTGTGCCAGTACTCTAAGAAACATGCTCAAGAATGTCTGTAGCAGCACTGTACACAAAAGCAAAACCTAGAAATAACCCAAATGCCCATCAACAAGATGGAAAAAAATGACATATTCATACAACAAAGTCCTATTCGAAAATCTCATAAATTAACAATAGCAATACACAACAATATAGATGAATCTTAGCAGTATGTTATTAAGTTAAACATAATTCTCAAAAGATTACACACACAGTAGGATATCTTATTTAGGAATAGATACAGATGCGATAAATTATATTAAAAGAAAAGCAAGAGAAAGCAAGGGAAGAGGGTGATGCTTCCCAGGGAAGAGAAAGCTAGGAATGGGGTGGTACAGAAGAAGGAAACCATATAACTTGATGTAAGTTATTATCAAGAATTTAGCTCCTGTCTTTGGCCAGGTGTGGTGGCTCACACCTGTAATCCTAACACTTTTGGAGGCTGAGACAGGCAGATCACTTGAGGTCAGGAGTTTGAAACCAGCCTGGCCAACATGGTGAAACCCCCATCTCTGCTAAAAAGAAAACACAAAAAATTAGCCAGGCGTGGTGGTGCACACCTGTAGTTCCAGCTACTCAGAAGGCTGAGGCAGAGAACCGCTTAAACCTGGAAGGCAGAAGTTGCAGTGAGCCAAGATCACACCACTGCACTCCAGCCTGGGTGACAGAATGAGACTCTGTCTAAAAAAAAAAAAAAAAAAAAAAAAAGAATTTAGCTTTTATTTTTGATGATGAGTTTATGAATGATTATATTAATCATGATGGATGAGTAGATAAAAGCAGGCCATACATAAAACAATGGTGAGGTTGTATTATGAGACATCCATTAAGTTTTCTCCATTCTGTGCACTTGAAGACAAAATCAAAACAAATCAAGGAGAAAAACAAAATAAACTTTAAATCATATATATTTATATACATATAGTAGGCAACCCAATTGTGTTTATTCTAGATGAAAACTATTGCTGTTATCTTGCTTCTCGCATTAAAACATCTGTATCAAATTGTTTTTTAATACTATCTTAAGGATTTTTTTTTACATTTTATGCTCTAGCCAAAGCCAAGTATAGTTGGATAGTTCTTTGACTTTCCACAGTTTTTTTAAGTGAAAAGAATATTATATATCATTTTTATGTTGCAAATGACACAGTAATTACCAAACTAAATAAAATATTTCAAGATCTTTTTGTTACAATTATGAATTTCTTGCTGGAACCCAATTAATTTGAATGGGAAAAAAATCAGCTGTAAAAATCACCAAGAAGGAATAAAAGACATTGTATATACCCATTCAGAAGTGTAAGCAACAAAATTCCTGCTTTGAATAAAAGCATTACTACACAAAAGTAAATAAAGTATTTTGGAATTTGCTGAGATAATTGTTACATGAAAACATTAAGAACAAGTTTTTCTTTTTTTTTTTCCTTTCCAATTTTTATTTTAGATTCAAGGGGTACATGTGCAGGTTTGTTACATGGGTAAATTGCATGTCATGGGGGCTGTGTACAGATAATTTCATCACCCAGGTAATCAGCATAATACCCAATAGACAGGTTTTTAATCCTCACCCTCCTTCAAACCTCCACCCTCAGATAAGCCCCATTGTTTATTGTTCCCCCTCTTTGTGTCCATGTGCACTCAATATTTAGCTCCCACTTATAAGAGAACATGCAGTATTTGGTTTTTCTGTTCCTGTATTAATTCACTCAGGATAATTGCCTCCAGCTCCATCCATATTGCTACAAAGGACATGCTCTCATTTTTTATAGCTGCATAGTATTCCAGGGTGTATATGTGCCATATCTTCTTTACAGTCCCCTGTTGATGGGCATCCAGGTTGATTCTATATCTTTGCCATTGTGAAGAGTGCTGCAATAAACATACCTGTGCATGTTTCCTTATGGTAGAATGATTTATATTCCTTTGAGTATATACTCAGTAATGGGATTACTGGGTTGAATGGTAGTTCTATTTTAAGATCTTTGAGAAGTCTCCAGACTGCTTTCCACAGTGGCTGAACTAATTTACATTCCCTCCAGCAGTGTATATGCCTTCCCTTTTCTCTACAATCTCACCAGCATCTGTTATTTAATTGTGTTTGTTTGTTTGTTTGTTTTGAGATCGAGTTTCGCTCTTGTTGCCTCCTGGGTTCAAGTGATTCTCCTGCCTCAGCCTCCCAAGTAGCTGGGATTACAGGTGCCCACCACCATGCTTGGCTAATTTTTGTACTTTTAGTAGAGACAGGGTTTTACCATGTTAGCCAGGCTGGTCTCGAACCCCTGACCTCAGGTGATCCACCCACCTCAGCCTCCCGAAGTGCTAGGATTACAGGCATGAGCCACCGCACCAGTCCTTTGACTTTTCATAATGGCCATTCTGACTAGTGTGAGATGGTATCTCATTGTGGTTTTGATTTTCATTTCCTAATCATTGGTGATATTGAGCATTTTTTCATAAGCTTGTTGGCTGTGTGCACGTCTTCTTTTGAGAAGTGTCTGTTTACGTCCTTTGCTCACTTTTTAATGAGGCTGTTTGTTTTTCTCTTGTTAATTTGTTTAAGTTTCTTACAGATTCTGGATATGAGACCTTTGTCAGCTGTATAGTTTGAAAATATCTTCTCCCATTCTGTAGATTGTCTGTTTGCTCTGTTGATAGATTATTTTGCTGTGCAGAAGCTCTTTAGTTCAATTAGGTTCCATTTGTCAAGTTTTGTTTTTGTTGCAATTGTTTTGGAGTCTTTGTCATGAAGTCTTTGCCTGGGCCAATGTTCAGAATGGTACTTATTGTTCCACTGGTCTATGTGTCTATTTTTCTACCAGTACCATGCTATTTTAGTTACTGTGGCCTCTATAGCATAATTTGAAGTCAGACAGTGTGATGCCTCCAGCTTTGTTCTTTTTGCTTAGGATTTCTTTGGCTATTTGGGCTCTTTTTTAGTTCCAAATGAATTTAGAAATTTTTTTAATTATGTGAAAAAAATGTCGCTGATTTGATGGGAATAGCATTGAATTTGTAAATAACAAAATCAGTGGTTTAATTGATTCTTCCTATCCATGAGAAGAGAATATTTTTCCATTTGTTTGTGTCATCTCTGATTTCTTTCAGCAGTGCTTTGTAATTCTCTTTGTAGAGACCTTTCACCTCCCTGGTTAGCTGTATTCCTAG
Source organism: Homo sapiens (assembly GCF_000001405.40). NCBI lineage: Eukaryota > Metazoa > Chordata > Mammalia > Primates > Hominidae > Homo > Homo sapiens. Next base: position 40,591,738 of record NC_000005.10, read on the forward strand.
GTATTATATTCTTTTTATGGCTATTGTGAATAGGATCGCATTCTTGATTTGGCTGTCAGTATGTACATTGTTGCTATGTAGAAATGCTACTGATTTTTATACATTGATTTTACATCCTGAAACGACTGAAGTTGTTTATCAGATCTAGAAGGCTTTGGGCAGAGACTATGGGGCTTTCTTGTTATAGTATCATATCATCTGCAAACAGAGATAGTTTCACTTCCTCTCTTTCTATTTGGATGCATTTTATGTCTTTCTCTTGCCAAGTTTTTCTTAAATGTGTTCCTTTTCATCTCGATCCTATTTACTACATATTCAGCAGAATGTTCTTTCTCCAAATTAAAACTATTTTTTTTTTTTTTTGAGACGGAGTCTTGCTCTGTTGCCCAGGCTGGAGTGTAGTGGCCTGATCTCGGCTCACCGCAACCTCCGCCTCCTGAATTCAAGTGATTCTCCTGCCTCAGCCTCCAGAGTAGCTAGGATTACAGGTGCGCACCACTGCACCCAGCTAATTTTTGTGTTTTTAGTAGAGGCGGGTTTTCAGCATGTTGGTCAGGCTGGTCTTGAACTCCTGACCTCAGGTGATCCACCCACCTCAGCCTCCCAGAGTGCTGGGATTACAGGCACGAGCCACCAGGCCTGGCCTAAAACTATTTTTAAGATGAAGAATATGAGATATAAGAAAAAGAATACAAGATAAGAGTATAAGAGAATAATATTTAATGACTTCCCAACCCTCCATATAAAAACTCAAGCAGTGAAAAAACAGAAGTTTGTTATGCTAATGTCAAAATCATGACAAATACCATTCCCAGTATGGAAGCACCATTATTAACAGAATAATGCATTTTATATAATATCATATTTTATTTTCAATTTCAATTTTCTTACATAATAAAAATGTCATTTTTTCAAGAACAGTGTTACTAGAATACTAACAATTATAACCCTAAATAAGACATTTATCTGAAAGCAGTTTTATTTTCACAAAGACCTAATATTTGTTGAATATTTAGTATGTGCCAAGCCCATTGCTGACACATACTACTTTGATGTGGTATCTCCTTGTTTGTAAAACACTTGGAAAATATATGAGTATGTGTTTTTTGAAGATCTATAGTGGATCATACTGTTCAAAATATAACCACTGGCCAGGCGCAGTGGTGCACACGTGTAATCCCAGCACTTTGGGAGGCTGAGTAGGGAGGATCACATGAGGCTAGGAGTTTGAGACCAGCCTGGTCAACATGGCAAAACACCATCTCTACGAAAAATACAAAAATTAGCCAGGCGTGGTGGTGCACGTCTCTAATTCCAGCTACTCAGGAGGCTAAGGCACAAGAATCGCTTGAACCCAGGAGGCAGAAGTTGCAGTAAGCCGAGATCACACCACTGCATTCCAGCCTGGGCGACAGAGGGAGACTCTGTCTCAAAAAATAATAATAATAATAAATAACTACTAGTTATTCTTGTAGTCATGCTTACTACTGACACAATGAGTGAGGTGCCATGCAGGAGAATGTAAATACTGTCCTGGCATTTTTTAGTAGGCAACTGTTGTCTTGGAGGCATATCACTTCCACAAGACTATATCCCAGCAGAAACAGTCAGAGAGCAACTGGAGACACAGGAGAATTTATCCCCTTTTCTTTCTTTAGGGTGCTTGGTAAAAGCCCTGCAGCAGAATGTTGGCCTGTGATGAAGTACCCCAGGTCACCCTGAACAGTTGTGAGTATGCACTCTACACAAGGCACCCATGGGGGCCAAAGAGGTGCTGGATCCACCAGCATAAATTTAACTTGTAGTTTTTCCTAATTGGTATATCTGGAGGGGCACTTTCTTGTAATTTATTTGCCTAGAAAGAACAAGTTTTTCTAATTCACATGGAAGTTCAGTGTATATTTGCTGAGACTTTGAAAGCTTCCAACTGGAACTGCCAGGAGTCTAATACCCCTGATGGGTTCTAGGCAACTGTTGTCTCTGAATATGAGAAGATGATGTACTGATGAATTATTCTGACAATCTTAATGCTAACTACTAAGGGGAGGTTGCATGGATGTTTCTCTCCTTCTGCATGTAGCAGAGTAATGCAGCCGAAGCTAAAACAAAGCTGAATCCCTTCTCCCAGAGCTCTGCACAATTATAAATTAGTTTTAGTTAACTTGAAACAAAACATGCACCATCGCTCCAATTAAAGGGACTTTAAAAACACCCAGAATACTTCCTACTAACACCTTAAAAACATATCTGCCACCCCCTACTAGAAATATCGATTAGTTCGCCGGGCATGGTAGCTCATGCCTGTCATCCCAGCACTTTGGGAGGCTAAGGCGGGCAGATCACCTGAAGTCAGGAGTTCAAGACCAGCCTGGCCAACATGGCAAAACCCCATCTCTACTAAAAAATACAAAAACTAGCTGGGTGTGGTGGTGGGTGCCTATAATCCCAGCTATTCAGGAGGCTGAAGTAGGGAGAATTGCTTGAACCTGGGAGGCAGAGGTTGCAGTGAGCCAAGATCGCACCACTGCACTCCGGTCTGGGCAACAGAGCAAGACTCCGTCTCAAAAAATGAAAAATAAATAAATATCCATTAGTCATACATTGAGTGAACTCACCAAAAAAACCCTCTATTAAAATAATTAACATTTGTTGCTTATTTTACAGTATACAAAATTATTAGTATTTTCTATCTTCCTTAGCAAATCTTGACATTTGTTGCTTATTTTACAGTATACAAAATTATTAGTATTTTCTATCTTCCTTAGCAAATCTTGAGGAAACAGAACAAACATCAGTGGCTGTATTTTATGTGAGGAAAAATTGAGGATAATAGATTTGCCAGACACAGGTAATAAATGGCAGTCAAAACTAAAAAGCAAGTCTTACAGTTTCCCAATCACTGTGCTTTGATCAGGCACAAAGCTGTTCTCAGTGATCCATGAGCCACCAAGTGCTCATAATGAATCAAAGGACAAACTGAGGGACCCCATTGCTTGAATAGGGAGCAGTTGGTTGGAAAGGATTTGAAGCACAACAAAATAAAATGGAATGGCTGAATGTCTTCATGTCGATGGAGGGGAAGGTAATGTATGTCAGCCAGAGAGATGAGCAGGAGCACAGGTAGAGGAAGAGGAAAGCCTGGGAGGTGTTGAGAGAATGACCCAGTTTAGCTAGATTAAGAGGTGCAGAGAAAGACTAGGAAAGTAGACTAGGGTCAAAGCACAGAGAGCTTTGAGTAATACTATGGAATATTTGGATCTAACCCAGCTGGCAAGCAGTAAGTTCTCTGAGTATGGGAGTAGTGTGATCAGAACTGTGTTTTGGAGCAGTTAACTTGGTAACAACGTGTAGGATGTGTTATGGAAGGAAAGCCAGAGGCAAGGAGACTAGGTGTGATGCCACAATAGCCCAGGTGGGAGAAAGTGAGGAATTAAACTGGAATCAAAGCATTGGAATGGAGAGGAAGGGATGAGCATAAGAGACATTGCAGAGAAAAATATGGTTACTAAGATTTGATGCTTAATAAAATAGGACAATGAAAGAGTACAAAGAATCAAATATGAATCTTAATTTTTTCAGTCTGTATAACTGAGGAATTATCTGTTCATATAAAGGGAATGCTTTTTTTTTCCCCCCCAGACAGAGTCTTGCTCTGTCACCCAGGCTGGAGCATGATCTCGGCTCACTAAAACCTCCACTTCCCAGGTTCAAGCAATTCTGGTGCCTCAGCCTCCCAAGTTACTGGGACTACAGGTGCATGCTACCATGCCCGGCTAATTTTTGTATTTTTAGTAGAGATGGGGTTTCACCATTTTGGCCAGGCTGGTCTCGAACTCCTGACCTCAAGTGATCCGCTCACCTCGGCCTCCCAAAGTGCTGGGATTACAGGCATGAGGGACCATGCCCAGCCTAAAGTGAATGCTTTTAAAAAAAAAAATCATTAGCTTCTTAAATTTTGTCCTGGCTTACATCATAAATCCATAATGAAGGAGGTTCACATCAAGTTATTAACCCCTGTCCTGCTGGCAAAAAGATGGCAATGGTCCTTAGAAAGCCTCCATTTTAAAATGTCTCACTTTTTTTTTTTTAAGCTTCACTTTTTTTTTTTTTAATAATTATTATACTTTAAGTTTTCGGGTACATGTGCACAATGTGCAGGTTAGTTACATATGTATACATGTGCCATGCTGGTGTGCTGCACCCATTAACTTGTCAATTAGCATTATTTTATCTTACCACTGAGAGATTCGCTTTAGTTAGCAAGCTCCTCTTTTAAAATGCAAATGAACCCTGGAAGAGTTGTACCATTATTCAAACCAAAGTGTAAATGATAATAACTGGATAACCAGATATACTGATTAAGAAAAGGCACACTGTGAGATTAGCACTTAGTATTCCCATTTTACAAACGAGTAAACTGTGATTCACAGAAGTTAATAACTTGTCCAATGTTACACAGCTAGCAAGTGCTATATCCAATATTTTACCTCTTCTGTCTGATCCCAATGCCTATACTCTTTTCATTTTATTAGTAGATTTCCCTGTAGAATCAAACAATTGGGGAAAGCCATTTTCTATAAAGGACGACACAAGGAGAAGAGTAGAACATTTTCCAAAATTAAACAACTGTCCTGCAGCATTTCTCCAACATTAATTGCCAAGATGATAACTATATGGTTCTCTTAGTGACCTGAAAGAGGTAATGGACAAATTTCAAGTCTTAGTAGCTACAGTAAAAGAGAAAAATCTCACATTTGATGAGAATAGGGGTCACAAACTCAAAAGTCTATAGAGACCAGGCAAATATAGAGATGAGTGAAGTAGGCCAAGTGCAAGCCATAAGTTGGCAATTAGTGCAGGCCCCGTTTTACAGATCTCAGTAAGGAACAGTGAAGAATTGCATAAAAGGGAGAGTGTAGGCCCCAACTGAAATAGGAGCAGTAACTCATCTCCAGCTAGTTTTTGAAGGACTGCAAACCAGTATTGTCAAGTTATTTACTTTTTTTAGCCAGAAATTTAGATTATTGTATAAAATCACTCAAATTTTTAAATGCTGACAACTAATTCAAATTTAAACATCATTCAAGGGCCAGATGCAGTGGCTCACCCCTGTAATCCCAGCACTTTGGGAGGCCAAGGTGGGCAGATTGATTCATCCCAGGAGTTCGAGACCAGCCTGGGAAACATGGCAAAACCCCGTCTCTACCAAAAGTTAGTTGGGCATGATGGTGCATTCCTATAGTTCCAGCTTATTCAGGAGGTTGAGGTGGGAGGATCACTTGAGCTCAGGAGGAAGAGGTTGCAGTGAGCTGAGATCATGCCACACTAATCCAGCCTGGGTGAGAGAATGGGACCCTGTCTCAAAAGAATAATATAAAGTAAAATAAAACATCATGCAGGCCAGGACTGTATAAGTTAAACCAAACACACTTAAAGGGGATTTGGGCCACAGGCTATCAGTTTTTTACCTCTAAAATGTAAAAAATATGATCTTCAAGATAATGTTGGGAGTCATTGTCACAAACTTGCTGAGTTGAAACATTATCAGATATTAGTGCCTTTTTTCTAGAAGTTTGCAATCTACTGGGACAGAACAGCCTACTTAATTCCGTATAAATAGGACTAGTCAAAAACAACATGCTGAATAAATGGTGAATATGAGTGTACTGCCACACATCCACCATCCCAAGATCTATTTGAATGTCACATGATGATATGAGCCACATTTGCCATCCATAAATCAGCATGAATTATCTGCTGGGCTCCATTCTGGATTCTGAGGATAAAGCAGAAAACAGCAAGGTATCTGTCTGCATGGAGTTTACACTCTAATATTGCAGTTATCATCCTATCATGACCATTGATATGAAGAAAAATAATGCAGCACATGGCAATAGGAAAAAGAGAGTCATCCGAGAAGCCTCTCTGAGAAGGGTTCATTTGATGGAGAGTAGGATGTAAAGGAGAACTCAGTCATATCCAGGGTAGAAGCATTGCAGAGGAGAAAAGAGCAAGGACAAAGCTGTGAGGTGGGAAATTGCCTTAATTATTGCAGGCACAGTTAAGGCCATGTAGGGCCGCAGGGAGGCTGGTAGGGGATGAGTTTGGGTGCTAGCCGAGGACCTGTTCATATAGGGCTCTGTAGGGCTTGAGAAGGACTTTGCTTTTATTCTAGTTGGAAGGAGAAGCAATGGCAGGAAACAATCTGACTTACATTTTTAAAGTTTCATTTCTGGATGCTGAGCAGAGAATGTGCTACCAGGGTCACAAGAGTGGAAGCAGGGAGACAAGTCATGAAACTGCTGCAGTGGTCCAGGACAGGGGGAGTGGTGAGGACTCAGTCAGTGATGATGGAGATGGTGAAGAGCAGTCAGTGAAGGTGAAGTCAGCAGGATTTGCTGATGGAGTAAATATGAGGATATGAGATAAAGAAAGGATCAGGAATGTCCCCACAGTGTTTTGCATAACCAGCTGGGTAGACAGTGGTATCACCTTCTGAGTTCTTTCTTGTACAAGGAAAGAACAAGTTTCTTTTTAGGGGAAGAGCAATGTGGAATCAGGAGTGTGTTGGAAATATTAAATGTGGAAGTCTACTAAATTTCTAAGTGGAGATGCTTAGACAGCTGAGTTTCAGTCTGGAATTCTGGGGAATAGTCAGCACTGGAACTAGAGAGAGGGTATCTAAAGTTACGGAAGTGCACGAGGTCTTCTGAGGGAGAGAGAAGAAAGGGAGCAGAGCTATGAGAACAAGCCCTGGAGTGCTCTGGGCAGAAGTCATGAGAAGAAAGGGAGGTCCAGTACTGAGACTGAAGAGGCTCAGAACAGGAGAGATGGAAAATCAGAAATGGGGGTTGTCCAGGAGCCTCGTGAGGAAAGTGTTTCAAGAAGGCAGTGAATTGATGTGGAATACTTTGAAGAGGTCAGGGGAAATGAGAACTAACTGATCGTGACATTTATCCACATGGAGCACAACAGAGACCTCGATAAGAAGCATTTCAGCAATGTGGAGGTGAGAGCAGTCTAACTGGAGTGGGTTCAAGAGAGACTGGGAAGCAAGCAGACTGAGACAGCAGTACAGCCAATTCTCTTGAGGAGTTTATTTTTAAAATATATTCCAGAGGAGAAAGAAAGAAAATTCTCCTCACACACACATAAATTTTCCAACCTGTTAGAATTCTTCCCAATTACAATTCACCACCTAACACCATACTTAAACCTAAACACAAGTCAAAATACAGCAAATCATTGGTAGACTAAATCTCAATAGAAAAAGCCATGCCCAAAAAACATAACTCACCTCCAAAAACTAGCCTCAAATACTGTATCTAACCAAAAAGCCTAATCAAACTGCTTTCTCTCATTTCTCATTCCACTTTCTCTAAGTACACTTCTTGTTACCCAATTTCCTCAAGTAATCTCAATTACAATGAAAATACGAACAAAGATCAATTCTGCATGCCAGAAACCTGCATGTGTTCCTCATACTTTGAGAGAAGACAAGATAGCTATATATGCAGATGACACTTTACTATGGAAGACAGATTGATAGTGTCTTAGTCAGTTTGAGCTGCTATAGCAAACTACCAGAGGCTGAGTAGCTTAAACAACAAACGTATTCCTCCTGGTTCTGGAAGCTGGAAGTCCAAGAATAGTGGCAGCATGGTCAGGTTATGGTGAGGGCCCCCTCTTCCTGATTATGTCCTCACCTGGTGGATCTGCCCTCATGGCTTCATCTGAACCTGATTACCTTTCAAAGCTCCACCTCCAAATACTATCACATTGGGGACTAGGGCTTCAACATATGAATTTGGGGGGACACAAACATTGGGTCCATTAGCCATCAAGAGATAAGCTTCTTAGGGCTCTTTGTTTAGTCTCCTAATCCTTTTTTCCACTTTTACTCTCTTAAAAAATCTCTACACCCAAATTTATTTCTCTTTCTTACCTCACCTCCCCCTCCTCTCTTCTTTTGTTTTGTTTTGTTTTGTTTTGTTTAAGCCCTCTGATTACATGATTGATTACATATCTCCTCATCACCCCCACACCTCTGCAAACCACCAGCAGTAACCTATCAAGCTATTCTAGGTCAAGAGCTAATTGTTCCTCTTCTGCCCTCAACCTGCAGGGAGTCCCAGGAATACCTCCAGGCAAAATTGCTGTCTTTCCTTCCCCAGGACATCTGAACCAGGTCTAGTTGAAGCAAAGTTGGTTGACAACTCATGCCTCTTGTCCTGGCCTGTTCCTCCAGTCTCTACAGCTGTCACTGAAGTTCAATCTCCATTAACAAGGTAACCAGGGGCAGGGACTCCAGGTCTGGAAGCCAAGCTGGGGATGGGAGAAGTTAACCCTTCTCTCAGTTTCCCAAAGCAAAAAGTGTGGGGAGGTCTCTGAATTTTCAACAGCTGTTCTCTCCTCTCCCTGCCTAGCCTACTTAGGTCTATGTCAGTGAAGCAGGCAGCAAAATCACCCATTGTAGGCACGTGCTAGCTCAGGTTCCAAGGGAATCTGAAAGGCTCACCTTGCTCGATGTGTTCAGGCCATTCAGCTACAGTGTTTTAGAGTTACTGACATGTCTCTCAGGCTCAGAACCTTAAGATGATGCTTTTTCTGATGACTGCCTAGATTTTCTGGTATTGATCAGATTAGAACATGTCTGAGAAAATCTGTCCTCTGGGGGCCAGATAGGAAAAGAGAGGGTGAATGAGGAAAAAAAAATCAATTTACAGATACCACAAACAGCCAGGAACATTTCTGGCCAGAGGTGTCCTTTCTGATAGTGCTAAATGGGTTAAAAAGCCATCTCATCAGATCAGTGGAACAAATGAGAAACCACAACTGCGAGTCAATAGGTATTGATTTACCCCTGTTGTGCTTTAATGATGTTTCAAAAGAAAAATGATACCTGAGCAGAGGCACACATCCACAGCAGCCAGCCTTTCTGGGAAAGTCACTCAAGAGTCCCACAAATAAATTGCCTACCATTGAAAGCAGAGGTGTTTCCATTTAAGCTTTATTGAAATAGAAATCTAGAGTCTTTGCAAATGTAACATGTGAGACCAGGAAATTTGTCTTTTCAAGTCATCAAACAGTTAATACCTTAGCTAATTCAGTAACAAGTACACCCACTGAAGCAGAACCTAGAGTTATGAACTAGCCCTAAGACCCATAAATCTTGTACATTGAGAAATAGGGTAGAACCTGCTTTTTTTACACCAAAATACTACGACTTTTTAAAATAGTCCAGGATCATTTAGGATTATTACAGATCTAAGAAAAATACATGTTTCATTGAATCACAGGTGTTAAATACTCCCTATATTCCCAAAGTCTCTCTTATTAAGTGAAGTCTCTCTTAATTGCAGTGTCAATCTATTTATAAGAGAAAAAAAAAATGACTCAGGCCCAAAAAGAACGTAGCATATTTTACAAATAGGAGTTAGATCCCATTCAGAAACTGCAGATGGAAACAGTATCTCTTATGGACATTGGGCTGGTCAACAAGGAAACTGTGGGCCAAAAACCATGGGAAGAAGTAACAGCAATGCCACCAGCCAGTTAGGGAAAAAGGGTGAAATGGCATACCTGTCACTTTCCCTTTTACAGTTTTCCTTCTCCAGCTGAAATTTATTGGCTTCACAATGACCTCAGCTCCTCTTCCATTAAAACATGTTGAGACATGTTGGCACCTCAAAGCATTCCCATAATTTTCAGAAAATGAAAAGACCAAAGCTGTTAAACCTAGCTTGCAAAAATAACAACTGCAAAATGAAGTGGGAAATATGTTTCAACCAGCCAGGGAGCCAAAGTCCAGCACACTGGGCTTCAAAGAGCTCTATTATTATAAACACACACCTGGATGCTAATCCACACCAAAAACATACATTCTGAAAACAACAGAGGAAGCCAGTGAGCAACACCATCACAGATCAGTCAATAAACACCCTCTTCTAGGAAGACAGGGAAGAGGAACTACAGAAAGACAAAGGTGAAAATCAGCCAACTATATATATTTTGACAAACTTTGAGCTTATACAAAGATATGAAAAAGCTAATCTCTAGAGGAAAAGTTAAGCATTCCTGCAAACTAACTGGGCAGTTCATGAGAAATCTACTTCTCATTTCCAATACTGTTGAAACAGTTTTTCCAAGAAGTCTTCTCTCTCACTAATGGGAAGAAGCCTGTAGGGTATCACTTTTGAAATTCTTCCCTCAGGCATCCCCCCTTCCTCAGATCTAGGCACTTTGATTTTTCTTTGACTGCAGTGCACATCTCCATCCCTAGGACCTTCCTAGGCTGTGAACACACTGCATACCTTGCATATTTTCCTACCTTTCCCTTCCATGTAAAATATACTTGTCCTATGTTCCACTTCCCTAGATTCTGTCCTCAACCAAAGTCACAATGAATTAATCATATAAACAAATTAGTTAGCCCGTGCGCTACACCTCTCACCTAGAAAAATATGTCTGTAATCTTGTTTAAATGCTTATTTTCATCAAAAAACATTTGACTGGACTAGGTAACCTTCAAATTGTCTCCCAACGCTAACATTGTAAAATTATATGAGTAACTCCAACCAGAAAAAAAAAAAAAGTAAACCTTGGGCTAAGCTAATTGGTAAGTTGACCTTTTGGGGTCCTTGAAATTAGACAATTTGTGTTGTTGCTACTGGGTGTAAACATGTCACATCTGCTAGTTGACCTTCAATCAAAAATTTATTGGCAATTTTTAGAGGTTATTATTACATTTTCTTGTCTATTCTATGTCCTTCAGTGAATTAAAGATGACTCAAATTCTTTGCTCTTCCTCCCATCAGAAAGTTAGTCTATTTTCTCTCCAACATGGAATCAAGCCAGCCTTATGAATTTATTAATCAATAGAAGGTAGTGAAAGTGACACCTTGCCAGCTCTGGCCTAGGCCTTCATAGGCATGGAAGCTTCTGCTTTCAGCCTCTTTGGAGCCTTAGCCAATACATAAAGTAAAGATATTCCATTACTCTGCTGCAAAGACCTGTAGCAGGAGAGAGAGAAAGATTTCTGTCCAGCCTCCAGTTGTTTCAGACTTAGCTGAGGTGCCAAACATGTGGATAAAGCCATTTTGGATCCCCAGCCCTATAAAACCTCCAGATAAGTGCAGCCACATGAATAAGTCAGACAAGGCCAACAGAAGAATCACCCACCTGAGCTCAGCCCATAGACAGTTGTTATTATCAAGCTACTACCTTTCAGAATGGTTTGTTACTCTGCAATAGATAACTGCAGCACATCCCTAAAAGCTGACCTATTCCTTTCTTTGAATAAAGAAGGTATTAATAACAAATAAAATAATTTTTAAAGTTTCTAATTATCATAGTCATTTCACCCTCCAGCACACACTTACTCTTACAATGGCACATCAGTAAAACTCATTCAATACTTTCTCAGCTGCATGCGTGTCCTTAATATCTGTTGCCATCCACGAAGTCATAAATTGTAAGCTCCTGCTGGCTAGGATCCAGAAACTCCAATAAGTATTTTATAAAGACTTTTCAGAAATAATTTCAGTCAAAGCCTTCAGCAATTATCAGCAATATTTCCTATAAGTCTTACTACTTTTCCACATTGAGAAGTCTAGAATTGGATCCTCAGAGAGAAACTCCACTTTTAAAGCCTCCATTTTTCATGTCATGCTTTTGACTTAAAAGAGCATTGAAACCATAAACCTCTCCCAATGTTCTTTTCACAACAATACAATGAATTATAACTTGGCAACAGGCAGGAGTGTATTTGTATTAATTGGCTGGGAGGTTGGTTATTTGTAAAAGGAAATTTTTAATTCCTCTGCCATGCATTCATGTGTGACAAATCCCTGACACCTGCATAGACATTCCTAGGCCAGAAGCTTATAGTCTTGTCTGGACTCCCTAAGCTGAAAAGTCATCCTGAAAGAATCCATGGATAACAGAGATGACAGTGTTTCAGAAGCTTAGAGTTTGCAAACCATCATCAGAACTCCATCAGACCGCTCATCCATGACCCCTTTCCATGACCTATGACCTTTTTTCATAGGTCATGGAAAAGTGAAATGTTGATTTAATTTTTTTCATAAAATTTGCAAAGTTAAAATGGTATGAATTTTGTATTAGTCCGTTTTCATGCTACTGATAAAGACGTACCTGAGACTGGGAAGAAAAAGAGGTTTAATTGGACTTACAGTTCCACATGGCTGGGAGGCCTCAGAATCATGGCAGGAGGGTGAAAGGCACTTCTTACATGACGGTGGCAAGAGACAATGAGGAGGAAGCAAAAGCGGAAACACCTGAAAAACCCATCAGATCTCGTGAGACTTATTTGCTGTCATGAGAATAGCACAGGAAAGACCAGCTGCCATGATTCAATTACCTCTCACTGGGTCCCTCCCGCAACATGTGGGAATTCTGGCAGATACAATTCAAGTTGAGATTTGGGTGGGGGCACAGCCAAACCATATCAAATTTCTTTTGGGTAAAGGATATTCCATTTTTAGTCTATATACTTCTGAAATGTTGGGCTTTTTAAGAATAAATATGCATTATTTTAGTATTTGTTTAAACATATGATCAGCAGAGAAATTAAATTGTACATAAAATATTCATATTAATATATTTTTCATTATTTGTGGAACAGTCATAGCATAAGTCAGAAAACTATGGGCATCCTAATGAAGACAGAAAGGGCTGTTACACACATCATGACACAAAGGACTAATATTGTTGTACTTTATCTTAATGTAATGACAATTGACTTATAAATGCACTATAAATACATCATGCCCTTTCCTATAACACTGCATAAATCTCTACATCAAACACCAAACTCTTAAAATCTGAATAATGTAAAATGCCAGTGTCTTGATTATAATGTAAACTGTCCGCCACATAATGTGATCTAAAAGTCAAAAGTTAGTTTTGCACCCTAAATCTCTTTTTCACCAGCCTCTTTTTAACCATCTCTTTTTTACCAACTTAACCTAAAGAACGGCTTTGGGAGGAATATCAAGTCTGTCTGTGCTTGAAATTCCTGCCAAAGCCATTCTTTAGGTTAAGTTATAATGCTTACAGGAGACCTCCTTTAAATACAAATAGTGGGCCGGGCACGGTGCCTCATGCTTGTAATCCCAGCACTTTAGGAGGCCAAGGCAGGCAAATCACTTGAGGTCAGGAGTTCGAGACCAGCCTGGCCAACAGGTGAAGACCTGTCTCTACTAAAAATACAAAAATTACCCAGGCATGGTTGTGGGCACCTGTAATCCCAGCTACTCAGGAGGCTGAGGCAGGAGAATCACTTGAACCCAGAAGGCAGAGGTTGCAGTAAGCCGAGATCACACCATTGCACTCAAGCCTGGATGTCAGAGCAAGATTCTGTCTCAAAAAAAAAAAAAAAATACAAATAGTGGTTTTCTTAGAAAAGTAACCAATTCACCTGTTAGAATCAACAGTTTTACCTGATTAAGCCATTACTATACAAGGCTTGACTCCAAATAATGATCACTGCTGATTGTGCTTACTTTCCTGATCTTTTTCTCATGTTACTATTAATGCAAATGATCATGATTATCTGTACAATTTGCTGAGCACCCATAATGAATTCGGCCCAGTAATTAGTACTTGCCACACATTATTTCTAGTACTGATATCACATTACAACACACTATTCTCTCATTTCATGGATTAAGAAACTGACATCCGATGAATTTAGGTGATTCACCCAAGTACACGTAGCTCCTAAGAAACAGTCAAGATGCCAACCAGAGCTGTGTGAAGCCAAAGCCAGAAATCCCTCTACACTGTGCTTATGATACTTAAGGCCAAGCAAGCGCTGTACCTCTGACAAAGTTATAGAATTACCTGATTTATGAGGAAAATTCTTTTTTCTTTGCCATGCCATATTCTTGCCATTTACAGCCAGTGACAGAAAGAAGGCAATGTCACCAATCCAGTCCATCTTCTGCATGTTCCTTTTCTCAACCCATGGCCCTTAGCCAAGACTCTGGTCTATCCTACCCTCCTTCAGTTATTCAAGTCTAATTATAGCTCTCAGAAGCCTCACTAACTCAGCAGATAATAACCACATCCTGTTGAATTCAAATAAAATATTTTTAAAACAATGATAATTGTACTTAGTGATGTTTTTTATAAATAACAAAAAGATAATCACCCTTTAAATTCATACAGTGAGTAGTCTTCCCTCTCAAAGAACTTTACAAGTATTAACTAATTGGTGTTGTAAGATACAGTCATAGTAAATATCCTTTAACTTGTGGAAGCAAGAGTGTCTTACTTAAGGTAAAGCAATTCTGACCCTTGCCTGATAGCACAGGGTGGGCCTGACTCTCACCCTGTCGAGAGGAGCCTCCTGAGCACAACGGGGATGGAGCAGAAAGTAAAGTGAAAATAACGGCTGGGAATTTGTGGAAATCTTTTCATCTACTGGTCACGCTGTTCACAACAATTGTTTTGATAAAACCTTCTCCCGGCCATACAATTTCCTTTTTTTGTTTTTGTTTTTGAGACAGTCTCGCTCTGTCGCCCAGGCTGGTGTGCAGTGGCGCAATCTCAGCTCACTGCAACCTCCACTTCATGGGTTCAAGTGATTCTCATGCCCCACCCTCTGGAGTAGCTGGGATTACAGGCATGTGCCACCACTCCCAGCTAATTTTTTGTATTTTTAGTAGAGATGGGGTCTCGCCATGTTTCCCTGGCTGGTCTCAAATTCCTGAGCTCAGGCAATCTGCCCACCTTGGCTTCCTAAAGTGCTGGCATTACAGTCATGAGCCACCGCATCCAGCCTGCTATTTTAAAATGTAGCTTTCCCAGGAGTTTGAGACTGCAATGAGCTGTGATTGCACCACTGCACTCCAGCCTGGATGACAGAGTGAGATTTAGTCACTATAAATAAATAAATAAATAAATAAATAAATAAGGCTTCCATCAGTTATGATAGTGTGATATGTGATGTAAGGAAAGGCTGAAATCTCAGCAAACTATTCGGCCTGACACTGGATAAAAAACTAAGCTAATAATACTTCAGGCCATCCAGCCTTCTGCCACCTAAGGAAGTGCTTCAGATGGCCAAATATTTCCCTGGTTCTGTTTCAGCTTTTATATGGAATTGTGGCTAAGTTCCTCTATTGTTTTAGTGTAAATTGCTCTAATAGTTAAATAACATAGCATTTCTCTATTAATTCCTCTAATATTTGAACACTTCCCATAAAGATTTCCAAGTAACCATTATTGGCATGACAACATGGTTATCTCAGGGGCACAACTCTGAAACTGACTAGAGAAATACATGAGACCCTTTTTGGGATCCTGGGCTGAAAGATGCACAAGTGTAATCCAAACTAAACGGAATTCTGTACAGAAATGGGACCCCATGCAACATCCAAGAAGCTAACTCTCCAAGCCAGTAAGAAAGAAAAGAGAAAAAGTTGCCTTCTATGTTTAACTTATTTTAATAAAAGAATCTCCCAAAGAACTATCTGGCTGTTTCATCTGTATGTTTATATTATTTGGCATTCATAGCCTAGTACCTAGAGCTACGGTGGAATCCCCAGGTGCTGCAAAAATCCTAACATGTCAAAGACAGTGCTCATCAAATTCTATGGACTTCTCTATATTTCACAGCCTCTTTTGCAGGTACGTTGGGGGTCACATGACTTCTTCTAGTCAAAGGACTCTGAGTGGAAATGACATGTGTCACTTCTAGGCTAAGATGAGTGAGAACCAGTGCACCTCTGCCATCTCTCACTTCCCGTACCATGATCATTGCAGAGGGTGCACATTCCAGATTCTATAGCTGCAAGATAGAATGGGAAATAAGCAAGAAATAACCATTTACTGCATGAAGTCCCTGATATTTCAAGATTTTTATCTATGTGACATCTAGGGCTAATTTTTTTATCTAATACACCTTAGAACTCTCATTCCTGCACAATACTTTATGACTTCAATGCATTTTAAGCTTGAATATGACCTTGAACCTGCCTGCCAATTTGTAATATCATACAGTAGTGGCTGGACAACTGAATATGGAGGCAACAAGGCAGTTTTAGGATTGTGTCTCCATAGGAACCACTCATTAAACTCCTTCTGTGTCCTTCAGCCTGGGCTATATGATATGGAGAGACAAGAAGGAAAGAGATACAGTTCAGGCTCTCACAATGCTCAGGATTTTGTTTCCAGTAAGGTTTTAGGCTCCTGCGCCTCCTAACCAGGATATTATTAATGCGCTGTGGCTGGGTTGCTTAAGAAATTACATAATTATGCCACATCAAGGTTTTATACATGCCTAGAATGGCAATCACATGAACAAGGGGAATAAGATATGAGGATTTAATTGATGCCATGAATTTCAACTCCAATTAGATTAATTAAATTTATAATTTAGTTTATAGTAACTTTCTCCACCGTAACTCTGCCAAAATGCTTGGGAGGCTGTAAGGGTTAATTTAAAATAATCAGAGAAAAAAATGCTAATTGAAACCATAAAACTAGTGTGGTGGCTAGATTAGTGGGCATTTTAGCCAACAGTAATCCCCATGTCTCATTTCAAAAGACATGACAACCTTCTTTTGTCATTTATCTTCTTTTCACTAATGGGAAAACTCAGGGACATGTGGGCCTGTGCCCCTCTCAGTCCTCCTGCCCTTTCCTTTTGTCTTTTTGAATGTCTCTTCTCTGTTCTCAGAAGATTAAAAATATTATGTTTTTGTTTTTTGGTTTTGCCTCTTTTGCTTCCATGACATCTACCTATATCCTTTGAGTTGCTAGGAAATCAGGTGCACTGCCTGGTTCTCTTGTGACTCTTCAATGACCTCTTCCAGTGTCTGTTTTTGGAAGGAAAAAAGAGAGAAAAAGAACAATTTGCTTAATGAATGTTCCCCCTCTAAGACCCAGTGGAATCCTAATTATCAAAGCCTTCTATAGGAACCTGTCAAGGGTATGAACTGATTGCTTTATATTAGGCCAACTCCCTCTTGCTGGAACTGTCATTTATTCAGAGTAACTTATTTTATTTATTTATTTTATTTATTTATTATTTTTTAGATAGAGTCTCACTCTGTCTCCCAGTCTGGAGTGCAATGGCACCATCTCGGCTCACTACAGCCTCTGCCTCCCAGGTGCCTGTGATTCTTGTGCCTCAGCCTCCAGAGCAGCTGGAACTACAGGCACAAGCCACCATGCCCAGCTAATTTTTGCATTTTTTTTTTTGTAGAGATGGGGTTTCCCCCATCTTGCCCAGGCTGGTCTCGAACTCCTCGCCTCAAGCGGTCCGCCCACTTTAGTCTCCCAAAGTGCTGGAATTACAGGGGTAAGCCACCACGCCCAGCCAGAATAACTTCTTTTAAATTGCCAGTTGATTCCTCCAGCTACCATAATAAGCATTTCAATTGCTTCCTCTAAATGTCTCAGGGAAAGGAAAAAACTGTCAGGTTAAAGAATGTTATATTAAGAAAATTTAAAAAGAACAAAAACAACAATATTGAAGACTTTCTACACTATAGGTCAAACAGTTTTATTTGCATTATATGAGTTTTCTCATTTTATTAACTTGCAAAAATCTATGCAATATAAATATAGGTGTAACATTTGTCCATATATGGCCACTTAATGAAAGCTCTCATTATGTGACACTATCACTAAAGCATAGCTTTTTTAATAAAGTCTTCCTCTAAGAAGATTCAGCTCTTCAATATTCTTTATGAAGCTCCATAATACTGTAAATCTTACATTGAATATAAAGGTATTTCTCCATTTGCATTATTCTAAAATGTGAAAAATATGTTGAAGGAATCAACATGCACTATAACATAAAAGCAGCTTATTTTGCTGGGTGTTTTCTCCATATGATCAGAAAACAGTTTTTTTTCATGCAGTGTTCTAAAGCGAATTATGTTTTTAGGTAGATTGGAAAGAACACAGGACTAAGAACTGGAACGCCTGCATGCTGAACCTCGCTTTGTGCCTTAGCCAGCTGTGTCACTTGAGGAAATCACTTAATGTCTCTACCACTCAGTTCCTCATCTATAAAATGATGAGCACATTTCTATATTGTCTGAAAAAATCTAATTTAGAATACAAGCTAATGATCATACATTTAATAATATTTTTCGTTTCTCTTATACCTCTATCTTTCCACCATCAAATAATCAATGATAAGTCACCTACTGTATGTCAGTCTCTGCTAAGGCTTAGGGATACAATTTAAAAAAAAAAAAAAGATTAACTCTGTTTTCTACAAGACCATAATTGGGTGAGGAAACAGTCATGTAGACAAGTAACTAATTCAATGTTATCATTGCTGTAACAGGGGTGAGGATCCAAGATCTATAGGAAAACAACCAGGGCAGTTGGAACAGTCAGAAAAGGCTTCAGAGAAGATGTGGCATTTGTTTAGGGCCTTGAAAGATGAACACATCATATTTTTGCATAACCTCTCTATATACCTGCTACTACTTTAATGGATATTTGGTCTTCTTTCATGATGCATTAAAAACCAGTTCTCCAACCAACTTAACCATGGCCCTAAATAAAATTTATTTTCTGACTATACAGCAGCAATCCAGTTGCCAAAATAAAAACACTTTATCTCTCTTATTGGAGGGAGAATGGATACATAAGATCAAACAGAATGGAATATGGAAGTGGCTTAAAGATATAGAGTTTACTGAAACAATCCAAACAGCCCACAGTTTCCATCTCTCATAAGGAAATTCTACTTTGAGATGCCCTGTGATTTTACGTGTTCTCTTGCTTAGATACCCAAACTCTTGTAAAAGAAATTCTAGCCAAAAAATTAAGCTTTGGTTTATCTTTGGAACCTATAAAAACCTATATTGACACATATAGGGATGTGGTGGCTCAAGCATCTCTATCAACACATCCATAGTTGTGTACTCCAACCAGCCTCCATTCACAGCCAGAGCCCTATCACTCCTACCATCTTCTATCGGCACTCTAACCAGGCAAGTAACCTGTATTCTTCCCATCAACAACTGCATCAGGGTAGACTTGATATGGAGAGATTCTCAAGTTGGTGTAGCAGTATGCTAAAGTGAATGGAGTAAAATCTTAAAGATGTGCACAATGGAATCCTTCAGGGGGATCTTAAATAAAATAAAAAACATCCTTTTTATATTAAAAAATAAGTCCTCAAGGCTGACAAGACTTTAATGGAAGGGAGAATACTGATGCACTGTTGACAGGTCTGCAGAAGATTATAGTCCTTTGGGAAGTGATTTATCCACATGTCTCAAAAACTTAAAAATGTTCATGTCCTTTGTATTAGTCCGTTTTCACGGTGCTGATAAAGACATACCTGAGACTGGGCAATTTACAAAAGAAAGAGGTTTAATGGATTCACAGTTCTATGTGGTTGTGGAGGCTTCACAATCATGGTGGAAGGCAAAAGGAACATCTCACAAGGCAGCAGACAGGAGAACAGATTGAGAGCCAAGAGAAGGGGGTTTCTCCTTATAAAACCATCAGATCTTGTGAGACTTATTTACCACCATGAAAACAGTATGGGGGAAACCGCTCCCATGATTCAATTATGTCCCACTGGGTTCCTCCCACAACACGAGGGAATTATGGGAGCTACAATTCAAAATGATATTTGGGTGGGGACACAGACAAACCATATCACCCTTGGACACAGCTTCTGGGACATAACCCTACTTATGTTGTTACCTAATGATTGTTAATTGTAATAAAAATACAATACAATCCAAAAGTTCAACAATGAGAAAATTGTTTATTGAAATTTTTGCAAATTCATTTTACAATACTGCAGTATACAATATATTCATTAAGTAAAACTTAACAAAGAGTTTATAGAATATTGGAAAACACTTAGGTTACAATATTAAAGGATTACACCAAAATACAAAATTAAATAAACAGTTGAATTTTAGACATTATCATGCTTTCTTAAAAATGCATTAAAAAAGATTGGCAGGAAATACACAAACAAATTCCCAGTGATTGCCTTTGAGTAAAATACACTGACCAATATTTGTATTATTTTACTTTATAATATTTTCCTTGTTTTCTCTAATGAGATTCAGGACAAAATTAAGTGCATTGTATGCAATAATTTAGAATGGTGCTGTTCAAGTATGGTGTTATTCATAAATCCACAGACAGCCAGACAGATCAATGACCTCAATGAGCCAACACAAAATTCCAAAGGATGCCAACAAAGTAAAGAGCTAAGGGAGGCTCAGTGATATAAAAAAGCAAAGTTAGATTCCCAGAGCTTGTGAATAATAAAAAGGTAAATGCAGAGAAATACTGCTATTCAAAATGCATCTGATTCCAGAATGATTTGCCTGATAGATACATTCAGAGTTTCTCTGCTAATGAATCTTAATTTAACCAAAGAATTAATTCAATTAATTCAACCAATCTTTATTGAGCACCTACTATACACCAGATATTTGTCTATGTGCCTGGAACACAAATATGGCATTGTCCTTCAAGAAGTTTAGAAGAGTATAGTTCAGTGCTGTAGCTTTTATTACATCTGGGTTTAACTAATGTAGGTAATTTCCAAAAAACTGCCTAAAGATAAGAAATTTTAAAATATTTCATTTGGACTAGTAGAAAAGAAGGAAAGTTAAATTCTAAGGAACTGATGACGAAAGGTTAAAATTTGGAGTTAGGAAGTCAAGTTAAGATAAAGACAGTCATAATTCATTCTGATATCCTACAGCTGCTAATACTAGTAAGTTGGAGGAAGAAATCAGTTTACCAGAAATGAGTCAGTTGTCCACGAACATTAGTTGCGTGCCCACTATGGTCAGAAGCACAAAAAAAAAATTTAATAAAGAACATTTTATCTCTTCCACAAGAAACTTACACACTAATTTGGGAAACATAACGCAAAGGAAATAAGAAAGCTTTTGCGATCCTGGCGTGATGGCTCACGCCTGTAATCCCAGCACTTTGGGAAGCCGAGGTGGGCGGATCACTTGACCCCAGGAGTTAGAGACTAGCCTGGGCAACATGGTGAAACCCCCGTCTCTACAAAAAATACACAAATTAGCTGGGCGTGGTGTGCGCAGCTGTAATCCCAGCTATTCTGGAGGCTGAGGTGGGAGAATCGCTTGAACCCGAGAGGTGGAGGTTGCAGTGAGCTGAGATCACGCAACTGCACTCCAGCCTGGGTGACAGAGCGAGACACTGTCTTGAAAAAAAAAGAAAGAAGCTTTTGTGAATTTCACTTGTCCAATAAATCCAAACGGAAAAGTAATGAGTAAGAGTAAGAAAGGCACCACACAAAACAGGGAGCATAATCTAGGGTGTAAATAATACAAAGTTCCCTGGAAAGGCATCTTTGCAACTGTCTTCTGAAGATAATGAGGGACGCTGACAGAAAAGAGAGAGGAATGGCATGCCCAATGGAAGTGAAACAAAAAAGTAACATCTAAAATAAGGCCAGGAAGTTGAGTTTTGGTTTGACTCTAGCCCAGTGATTCCCAAACTCGATGGCTCCTGGGAACTTTTTAAACACACCTGTGTCCAGAGATTCTGGTTTAATTGATCTGTGTAGGGCCTAGGCGTTAGTGTTTTCAAGAAAATTCTCCCAGTTGATTCTGGTGTTCAGCCAGTGTGGAGAACCCCTAGATAAAGAAACCATATGACTGAATTATGTGAAATGATGTACTTGAAATAGAAAACAAATATTTGTGACTTAGTTAAAAGATAGCTTTAAATACCATAATTAATTTGACTCATTAAACTGTGAATTTCTTGGAAGCAGGGTTCATGTTTTTATTCATTTCTGTATGAAAATAATACTAAGTTAATACTTTTAATGATTGAATGATTGATTAAATGAATGAATATGATGTTTAAAAAATCACAGTAGGCACTTCAGCCAACAGATAAGATGATGATAATTTTTAAATGAGTTTATTTCAACCTTATAACTGAAGGATGAAAAAACAGGTAATGGTTAAATGCTAGGGAATGCTCCCTGTGCTCCAGGTTGTGTACATGCAGTGTGTAATTTCACACAATGAGCCTTTCAAGTAGATGTTGTTATCCCAAATAAGGGAACCGAGGTCCAAGATCACTCCATGTTGATGAGTAGCAAAGCTAGGAATCTGGATTTGCAAAAATGTTGTGGTAGTTCCTCTTGGTGAATGCCTAAATGTATATGAACAAACACCACACACACCAACACAGGTTCAACTTTCTGAAGAGAATTCCAGCTTTGGACCTGCTCTAATGATGCAGAAATAGCATGTGATTTAATTAAGATACTTACCTAACCACAAGATTAGAGCTCTTAACAGTAATCAGAGAGGTGGGTCAACATTTGATGTTTCTAGGAAATAATTTCTATTGCTTCATCTCTTCTCTCATATAATTTTATTAGAAATGTAATAGAAAAGAACACATATTGCATTGCACTTTGTTTTGGAATAGGAAATACAATTGCTTTATCATTTAGGGGAAATTTTTCGTCACTCATTATTTCTCTGTTCGCATTTAAAGAAAGCTTTTCTTTTCATTCTTTCAGAGATTGTCTGAAAAGAAATGTTTCCGTTCTGTATGATGTCATGTATTATCTAAAGTAGTAGAATTATATGTGGATAGAAATAAGAAACTAATAAACTGAAGAGAGCTTCTCAAATCATGTATTAAAGATTGTGATTGACCTTGAAAGACTGCTCTAGATGACCTTATTTGGGGAACAAGACACTTTAAGCACTAAATTTGTTTAAAAAGTAGGACTGAGGACATTTTAGGAAATATTATCCTCTGTTCAAGGATAAGTAGAAGGCCTCAATTACAAAAGGAAAAATGCAGCCTCCCCATGATGGAAAATGGGAAATCATCCTATCGGCATTCAGCACTATTGATATAAACAAGTTAAGCACATTAATTGCTTTGTGATGCTTTGGGAAATCAGAAACTGGAACTTTTGAGAAACTCTGTGTTTGGATATAACCAAAGCCAATTTAGTAGAGCAACAATTTGCAATATATTGCCAACTGGAAACACAGCTGAATTCTTCTATTCTTAAAACACTTCAACTTTGTAACTTCAACCTCAAAAATCATATAACCTCTACACATTTTCAATTTTAACTTCCTTTTAATATGAATGATCTTACCACGTGAAAACTTTAAATTCACTGTTAGAATTTTCAGCTCAGGCTCAGCAACTACTCCTTCTGAAACATTCATTCATTTACTAACTGAGGTTTGCTTATATTTTTAAAATATCAAACTTTTAATGTCCCTCTTTCTCGCCTATTCCCGCTCCCTCAAATCCATGAATGACTCTGCCATAAACATCACTTATTTTTGGCATCCAAGTTTCTGTGTTCTAGTTGGGAGCTTTGCTTTTGGCTTGGACTGTGCACTAGTGATACTCAACAAAGCTCCTGTGACAGAGTCTCTGAATTGTTCTAGAAGTTAGAAAACATAATTATCCAGAAATTTTCTTGAACTATATTTAGGAAGAGTTTACTGCCCTCTGCCAGGGGAACCTAGCTTCTGGGCCCCCTGATTTATCAGAAAGATACTTTGGGATTTAGAATGGTCTTTTTTTTATTTTTTTTTTCATTTTTTTTCTGTTTTTGTTTTGTTTTGTTTTGTTTTTTACTTTAAGTTCTGGGATAAATGTGCTGAATGTGCAGGTTTGTTACATAGGTATACATGGGCTATGGTGGTTTGCTGCACCTATCAACCCTAGAACAGTCTTTCTAACTTATTAGCTGCAAGATTGGGACTTCTCCATAGTCTAGCCTCGGAGGGCCACTCTGAAAAAAAGAAAGGTCTTCCCTTCTGGGGACATGGGTTGTCACTTTATGTAACAATTGTAAATTATATTACTCTCCATTTTCACTGCCTGCGTCTCTCATCACTATACTCTCTTATTCTTCATTTTAAAATGACAGATAAACGGGAAGTGAGCAATGATAAAATAGTTCAGAGATTATGTAATCAAAGGCAGAACTCAAACCATAAAACAAGTTGCTACAGTAAAACCACCAAACCCCAACTGAATAAAAACAACACCATGAGAAGCAAAGTCCTCTAACAAAATATGGTTCATTGAAACAAAAGTATTTTTGGAAGTGGAGCCAAAAGGCAATCCCCTGTGAGGGTCCCAATGACTTTCACCCTGAATACCTAGAAGAGGCTGAGACAGAGCTAACTACCATGGGCAGTCCATAATATGCAAAGCTCTTTACCCCACATACTGCCCAGTTTATTTCTTTCCCAATCAGTTGTGTACACATGATGTTCTTCCTTTCCCTTTTTCCTCCTTTAAATTGCTACGTTGCACAAATAATGTGTTTTAGTCATCTTTCTGTCGCTGCAATACAGTGCTTTGCAATAAATGCTTATTGAATTAAAAATTCTAATTGGAGACTGTGCCATTAATACAGGTCTTTTTATTGCAAATACAGGAAGGTCTATTTATATAAACACAAACTAGTTTTAATAACCTGCTTTGGTAGGAGTTTCGTGCAGTAAATTGATTGTTAGAAGGCCATATTTTAAGCCTAATGTTTTGTTTATAACATTCTAATAAATAATAGGTGTCAATAATATGAATATTAGTCTGTAAAATTATGTTATTAAGTACTATTTAACTCTCACAACCTTTCCTTCTTATTCCAATACAAAAAAAAATGTGGGGCAAATGAGGATTTAGCAATTATGCCTCTTATTTCTGCTCAACAAAAACAAAAAAATTAATTTAAATATATGTATTAACGCTTTTCATATTTCAAAATTATAATTTCTCTTTCAAAACAGAATGACAGCAAAAGGATTTCCTTTTATTTTCTAACCAATCCAGATCGAGAGAAAACTAAACACATTTCCCACAGCACCTCCAGCCAGTAATCTTCACAGCTACTGAATTTTATCTAAATACATTTTCCTAAGACAGAAAGTAAAGAAATCAAAAGGATTTTTTAAGTCAAAAATACTGTACCCCAAGTTCCCTGGTCATTTATGTTAAGTACAAGAAAGGAAAATGTTTGGCATCCAAGCTTCCGTCCCCACTTCCCTTTATGTGTGAAAAAGTTCTCTCATTACAGTGATGATATTATAATAATAACAATCTGGAACCGTACATGTGTTCAAAGCACTCACACACATTATCTCCATCTAACTTCCATAGCAGACATATGAGATCACTATTATTATTATCCCCACTTTACAGATAGAGAAACTGAGAAGTGAAATAACTTGCTCAAGTGATTCACGTAGTTATTTCGAAGGTCTGAGCTTACAAGCACGCACACTGGAGCCATCTTTCCTTATATAACTCTGTTAGGTGGGTAGAAGCAGAAGTAAAGTAAATTTTTTTTCTTTTTTTTTTCTAAGCAAGTAAAATAATTCAACTGAAAGTTTTCAGGAAGTCCCTCCCAAAAAGGTTCATTCATGACCAAACTATTATAAAAACTCTCCATGTCTAATGATTCCTATCTTTAGTGGCTGATCCATTTATCTTGCTTCTAAAATTTCCTCTAAATAGTACATTTTACTCAGGTACTAGAGTTCTTTCTCAATTATCAAAACCCAAATTCATTGGCACACATAATTTAAAATATTTATATTTCCAATTATTTGATTCACATTGCACAGAGAGATGTTACAGGAATCCAAACATGAAGAATCTTTTGGATATAAGAAAATAGATAAGATCAACAACCAGGAAACATCTCATTCAGTTTTTAGAGTGTCTAATCTTAATTCCACAGGGAAGAGAGTTAGGAGGATGGTTTATGCTATACCCACACATGGGGGGAAATGAAAACCAAGACATACAGGAAAAATGTCTAAGATTTTTAAATTATTGTTTTTGTGTATATGAATATAAGTGATTTCTCCTCCTTTCTGTTGTTCTCTATATTCGTTTTAAAATAGAAAAAATAATCCTTATTTTACAAAATTTAAGGCACCATCAATTTTTTTCATTTACTTTTTTTTTTTTTTTTTTTGAGACAGGGTCTGGCTCTGTGACACAGGCTGGAGTACAATGGCACAATCTCAGCTCACTGCAACCTCAGTCTCCCAGGTTCATGCGATTCTAGTGCCTCAGCCTCCCGAGCAGCTGAGATTACATGTGTGCACCACCACGCCTGGCTAATTTTTGTATTTTTAGTAGAGAAAGGCTTTCACCACGTTGGCCAGGCTGGTCTTGAACTCCTGACCTCAAGTGATCCACCCACCTTGGCCTCCCAAAGTGCTGGGATTACAGGCCTGAGCCACTGCACCCAGCCTTAATTTGCTTTTGTTAGCCAATTTCAATGATGTATAAAGTACAATTTTACATACAATAAAATCACCAATTTTAAGTACACAATTCAGTTAGCTTTGGCAAGTACATTCAGTTGTGTGACCATCACCACAATCATGATAGATAACTTTTCCATCATCTCAAAAAGTTCTTTTCTGTCCCTTTGCAGAGTCTCTTCACCCCTGGCCTTAGACAACTACTAGTCTGCTTTCAATAACAATAGTTTTGCCTTTTCTATAATTTAAAAATTATATAATGTGAAGACCTTTGCATCCAGCTTCTTTAACTTTTAAGATTCATCCATGATGTCATATGTATATTCATAGTTTACCCTTTTTTGTTGCTGAATTCATTATATGGACACATCATAATTTCTTTATCCAGTCACAGTTAATGGAATTTAGGTTGTTTCCAATTTGAGACTAGTATGAATATTTGCATACAAGCATTTCTTTGAATATGTTTTCATTTCTCTTGATTAAATAGCCAGAAATGGAATTGCTGGGACGTACACTAAGCATGTCTAACTTTTTAGGAAAGTGACAAATTCTTTTTCCAAAATAGCTGTATAATTTTGCATTTCTACCAGCAATACATGAGAGTTCCAATTGTTTCACACCCTTACCAACAACTGGTTTTGTCAGTCTTTTTCATTTTAGCCATTCTAGTAAGTATGTAGTGAGATTATGTTGTGGTGTTAATTTGCATTTGCTTATGACTGATCATAAATGTAAGATGCCATTGATATTTAATGTGCTACCAAAAAGAAAAACTCTTGCCAATTAAACAATTGCACAATGATGTTTTATCACTTAGAAATTTTATTTTATAGCTACTTCTTAAAGTTGTCTCAGACTTATTTAGACATAGACTTTTTTTCATATATCTCTCATGTATAAATTAAAAAGGAATATACAAGCAAAATTCATTGGTGAAGAAAATGCTAAAACTTCTTCAAATGTGGAGTTCCACTCTTCTAAATCCTTTTGGCACAGTTATCAGTGTTAGCGTTTTCCTTGTAACATCATCTTCTGTGTCCACAACAGCAGTGGAGAAGCAGCATTTTATTTTGGAGTATGCACCATTGTTGCTTCTGAAATTTTTCTTTAAGCCACTAACAACATTCTGCAAGCTTTGATGCTGACACATACTTGATTTTATCAGACTGAATTGAATTTCTTAACAGAAAAGATTCACATTTTTTCTTCCTATGGCTTATAGACTGAAATGGTAAGGGGATTCAGCTGTGCAGTCATGCTACCAGCAATGACAAGTATGAGTGAACGTGAACAACAAATGGTAACTGAATCAGGACAGTTGCCCAAAAGTAGTTATTGTATAGATGTATTATAGATTGTAAAGATCAATTGTAAGATACACCCCAGTTTCAGAAGAATATGTGAAAAGTGCCTCTTAGAAGCATAAAATATAATTGAAAATAAGCATGCTTTTTAAAAGTTGTCTTCTTGGTTTAGATCTGTGTTCTTCAATACATAAGACACACTCGTAAATGCTGCACTTCCATTATTTTTAAACTACATCACACAGTTTGACAAGTAATTACTCACAGTCATAAAATATGCTCCAGTGGTTTGTAAGTTAGTCTTCTCCCCACCCCCACTTGACTACAAAGTTCCTCCAGTTCAGGAATTTTTCCTTTGCCTCCTCTCATATTGTTTGTAGCATTAATTTCAAATTTTGTGTAATGACACATTAGAGTCATGAAATCATTCTGATGGGTCATGACCAGCACTTTTTAAGCAAAGTAGAATAAAAATATGAGTGCAATACATAGTAAATGTAAGAACCATTCCATAATACTTTTGCTTTTTTAATTATATTTATATATGTGTGGACTACTTGTGGCATCAAATGTATTTCTTACAGAATGTCATAACAACAAAGGACTGAAAGACATTACTATAATGGCATTAGAAGCATTCAATAATACCAATTAATTGATTTTTGCAGACTAAGCCAATTTTAAACTTTAAAAGTAGCCAAATATGATGGTCCAAGTCTTCAGAAGTTATTATCAGGATGATATACTTTTACCTTCTTTCAATGAGGATAATATAGGGAAAGCTCTTGCAATCCCTGTTTATCTATATAATTACCATAGAATAGATATATCATAGTTCCGTTTCTAAAGGAAAAAGTCTCAATTTCTGACTTGAAAATGAGAAAATCAGGGTTCTGCAGTCTGGTGTGGGTTCTGCAATCTGAACTGGACCCAGAATTTTGAGTCCCGGGAGGCTAGTTATTTCAAACCCTTTCAAACTGAGATTATTTAAATAATTATTCAGCCTTTAATTGAAAGAAAGCCCTCTCCTCAATTCTTCTATCAATAAATCTTGCCCCCAATCTGCACAACCAAACCAAAGACACAAGGATTCTAGGGATAATCAGATCCAATCTCCCTAAAAAGCAGTTCTAGGATGATTTATCTGTAATTTCTCAAACACACCACTCAGTGTGACCTCACTGCACACACATGACTTATCAAAATATTTCTTCCAGTCAAATTTGGTAGTTCTTTCAGGGAAAAGTTCTGGTACATGCAATTTCTTCCATCCCTGTTTCAACAATTTCAGTAATGTTCAGCTTCCTGGCAACCTGCTGTCCTCCAGAGTTGCCTGGCTAACCTATCTCTTAATGTCTTCAATCTAACTCTGGTTGTCATAGGAAAACTGCCCTTGAGCCTGGAATTTTGAGTGCCTGGCCATGTCACACAACTGACCTTTGGCATTTTACTTAGACTCAGTGGGTTCCATTTTCTTCATCTGTAGACAAAATTAGCTCCCTGCCTTTATGTGCTCCAATGCTCTATCTAATGTCATGAGTTCATATTCTTGATGAGTAGTTTTCATATCTTCTCTAAGAAATAAGGGTTATGAGAGGTGAGGTATGAACGTTAAGACCATGCCATAAAAGTTCTGCTACAATCAGTTTTATTTGTTAAATGCATATAAGGTTTCATTAAAATAAAGGATTCTCTAGACAAAATAAATAAAGCATTATAGGCAATTGATTCATTTCAAATATTTGTTATAGCCAGGTATGGTGGCTCACACCTATAATCCCAGCACTTTGGGAGGCCAAGGCAGGAAGATTACTTGAGCCCAGGAGTTCAAGACCAGCCTCAGCAACATATGAAAACCCTGCCTCTACAAAACAACAACAACAAACAAATAAACAAACAAAACAATAGCCAGGGGTGGTGGCACACACCTGTGGTCCCAGCTACTTGGGAGGCTGAGATGGGTGGATTGCCTGAGCCCAGGAGGTTGAGGCTACAGTGAGCTGTGATCATGCCTCCAGCCTGGGCACCATGCCACTGCACTCCAGCCTGGGTGAAAGAGCAAGACCCTGTCTTAAAAAAAAAGTATATATGTGTGTGTATATATATATATATATATATATATATATATATATATATATATATATATACACACACATAATATTTGTTAAGTAAGATCCCAGACACTGTTCTAGGAGCTGGGATTTTCCTTGTGAATGCGACAGAGAACCACCCTGCCTTGGTGGATATTAAAGTGAATATTTATATGAAAGCAATTTTTATAAACTTGAAAGCACTACACAAGGTAATATGTTTACTTACATTAAGTGTATATAATTTTATTTTTAAAAGTCTTATTTTATCATTAAAATGTTTCTATCAGATCTAGTATTGGTACAGTCCATAAGAAGAACATAACTGAAAATATCAATATAATCAGTTGGAAAAGAAAAACCTTTTGTAACAAGAACTGAATTTCTGTAAAATATATCTCACTAAATGAGTTTAACAAAGATATTACAGCATTTCCTTTCAAATAAGGAACTGCTGATCATCTGTGAGATAAAAATCATGAAAACAGAGACTGAATATAACAGAACCTGCCAATATTAATCTGACCCTTAATATCCATCTCTTCCACAACACTGTAAATCCCTTCAGGGAGTTTGTCATGAAGATACATACATCTATCATGCATTTAGTTCTCTCACAGCACCTACAATAAGACTTTCTTATACATTGGCTTAATGAATGAAACATGCCAGGCACTCAACTCTGGGAGCTAATACTCTACTGCCACCACCATGGTAAGTAGATGACACCAGTTTACCCAAACTAGTTCCAGTGTAAGCCTGTTGCAGGATAACTATTAACAGTGCCCCTTTCACTCACAGAAGTGTCATGTTTTGCAAGATAAATCATGCGTTTGCCCTAATTATAGGACTTAGTCATGTTTATCCTACTATTTAATTGCTTTTAAGGCAAAGAATTCAAGAACATTCTAGCTTCGTTTCCTGATTTTATTTTGCTCTGTAAGCTAGAAGAATAAGTGCAGATCCTGATAAATGCATTCCTGTTTCACTCTCATCACAGGACCTGTGGGGACTCTCCTTAGGGAGAGTGTATATCTTTTAGAGACCAAGCTAAACCACAAGCAAACCTTGCCCTACGAAGACAAGGCCACCAAGAAACTTGACTGAAAGGCAAGAAGTCTCAAGATTCCCCCATAAATAAAGATATGACCTGGAGGGAAAACTTTATCTCAATCCTGGTGATCCTAAACATCTATTAGGTGGATAAACCATGCTGCCTGCTACATCCAGGGATTTGGGAGGACAATTGAATCACATCTGTTAATTACTTTGAATTCCAGAGAAATTCCTGACATTGTTAGAAGAATGTTACAAAGGTCAGATGGTAGGATAATTTTTCTCTAGTTATAACTTCAGGGAAATTACCCCAATCTAGAGTTCTACTTCCATCAAATGTGCAAAATAATAACCCAGTAGCACCCCTTTTGACTTTACCCCTCTGCTCTCTCACAACCCTGTGAACATGCATGGTGAGGCAAGAGCTTGGGGCAAATGGTGGCACGCAGCAACTATGTGAGGGAAATGCTGGTAAGAGATGGCCAAGTTTTGAACATAGAGAATGACCTTGAAGATAAAGTAAAAGCAGCCTACATCCTTTGTGCTTATATAAATAAAGTCCAGATCAGGACTGTGAGTCAGGGACTTCTGATTTCTAATCTTCCTTCTACTCTGGGCCTGGTAGTGATATAGGCAATTAAGTGGAAGCCCCAACAATGTACCAGATGTCCTGAAGAGGAGGTCCAGAAAAGGAAACATTGCCTCCCTTCTTCCCAAACTGAGGTTAATTCCTGTCCAAGCCTGAAAGTCCAAAATTAGATTAAAAAAAGAGTTCTGGAGGCATCAAACTGACCCCAGGGAAAGTGTGAAGCTAAATGCCCACTTAGGGTACTCTCAGAGACAGGTTTATGTCACCCTGGACTTATATAAGATAGGACAGATATCCCCAATTTAATTCTGATATAGGTTAACATACCTATCTGCCTTTCTTTCTCCTTCTTTTATAGTTCATACTTCTTAGCTATCCCACTTCCACACCCAACAGTGACAAGTCATTTAACCTCTTCATATTTTAGTTTCCTCATAGGCAAAATCAGTGAGGCAGTTGAGAGAGGGATAGGGACTACATTTAGACAAAAACTACCCTAGAGAAGCCCTGTATTTCTTCATGAAGCAGAGGCACAGCTACCAACTCCCTGCACCTAATCACTCTGCAAAGTGTGAAGAATAAAGTGAAAGCGACCTAAGGCACCCACATCAAAGGCAAGCTAATTCTGTTGCTACAACAAAGGATGGTTATAGTATAATTGGAGCTGTGCAGGGTTCCATAAAACAATTCATTTATGCATAATACTCATTGCAGGTCCTTCCCAGTCTGTTTTCCCTCTGTCTCCAAGTTGGGGCTATAGGAGTCAAAGAGAATTGCCTACTTATAGATCCCAAACAACTTGCCCCCATCTGCCATGCCTATAGAAAGGGAGATCCGGAAGTTGAGAGCCTGGATCTAGCACACTCTCAAACAAGAATCAATTCTATGATCTTGGGGCAGTCTTTTAACTTCCTGGACCAATTTTCTCTCCCAATGCCAATGAAGGGTTTTGTCTCCATTCTCCATTAACTTTAAGATTATTTCTATTCAAACATCTCCAATTGCCTGAGACTTTTTATGTTCTTTTATATCTCCTCCTTTCTGTCTTCTTACAGTTGTGTTTGTGCTCCCATGCTCCTGTATTTATAATCATCTGGCAGAGGCATAATAGATCAGAGGTTAAGAAGCACAGCCTTTGGCATTAGAAAAACCAAGATTCAAGGTTCAATCCTGCTACATAAAAGCTGTGTAACTTCAGGTAAGTTATCTTTCCTTATCTGTAAAATGAGATTAATAATAGTGCCTACCTCACAGGGTTGTAGAGATATTACATGCAGAATGCTTGACACTTATTCATTCAGTTATTCAAGCACCTACTTTGCAACAGGCACAGTGCTGGACCCTGGGAATACAGCAATGAGCAAAACAGATGAGATCTCTGCCTATATGGATGTTACTATCCAATGGGGAGTGAGTTCTTGAACAAGTCATTGCTAAAGTCCAAGAGTGATACATCCTATGAAGGAACCATCTGGAGGGGTGCAGAACAATGTAGCAAGGAAATTAATTTTGGTGGAAACTTGGCAAGAAAATCTTCCTCAAGAAAACTTTAAGTCTGAGTAGAACGGGGGCCAAGGAAAGAGTGGGAACAAGACCCCAAGCAAGGTTGGGGAAGGGCTCATGGGAAACCCTAAAGCTGGAAGGAGTGGCCATGGCCAGAGATGCTGAGTACAAAAGTGGCTAGAGAAGTAGGCAGAGGTTTCATCTTGCAGGCAGAGCAGTCACACAGAGGTTGGTTGTTGTCATTATTACCATCCCCACAAATTTAACATATCTAAAATGAAATCCATCTTTTAACCTAAAGCAATTCCTCCCTCCTACCTTCCCCATCTGTTATCATGGCAATGTTATTTTGATGGTTTTCATATTTTAAAGTCCTCCTTGGTACTTTTATCCCCTTAGCACTTTCATTCATTTATTCCACAAGTTTTAAGTACCTACTTTGCTAAGAGCCTAATTTATTATTTCAACTTTTCCGAGTTTCTTCCTCTCTATGCTCTTGTTTCTATTCCAACAGCTCCTGCCCAAGGCCTTGTTACCTCATGCCTGAGTTATCTTCATTCTATATCAACTCTAAGAACCCCTGACCACAGACTGAACAAAATACTGCTTTATCCATCTTTATTACTGCTCAATAATATTAATAATAATAATAATAATGGCCTCCCATCAATCTTCAGGTGAGATCAGTCTTCAGAGTTCTTCAAGATATTCCCTGCCTCTCCTCAGGCTGCTCTGCATGTAGGATGAAGAACTTCCATTCTCTTCAAACTGACCTCCTTTGTCCTCCAAACACATGAGACTCATTCCACACTCCAAGCCAGTTCTCAATCCATGAGGCCCATTGTAATCACCTAAAAAGTGCCTAAAATACCCATGCTTGTACCCACCTCTGGAGATGCTGGAGAGGACCTCAGTCATCAGAATTTTTTTAAGCATGCTGGGTGACTCAAATGTGCAGTCAAGGTTGAGAACCACTGCTCTATGCATCCTGCCTGCTGTATCCCTGCCTAAGATGCCTATTCTTCTTCCCTCCCCCACCCCTTCTTCTGTGTCCTTGTAGGTTCAACAATTCAGACTGTCCCTGTCTTCTACTGATCATCTGGATTCCAACTTTCTCAAGACCCTTAGAGTATTAGTGGTTTGAATCAGTTGTTTTAGCAATAAAAAAGCTTTACACTAAGTGGGCATCCTAGAACTCAGGACCTCTAGTATATGATGAAATAAAAAGATTAGTGTGAGCCAGTCTTGGAAATTTATGATTATTTATAAGATTTTATCTCTAGAAAAGTAAGTCCTCCCTTATTGAAGAATCTAACAACCATCAGGAGAATGCACTCAGATTTCTAATGTGGCACACCAAGCACACAACCCTGCCTGTCTTTACTGCCCTTGCCACTCTACAGGAGTAAGAAATATCATGTCGCTAATATCTCACATGCTGGCAAAGACAGAACAAATTTTTCAAGGCCCTGGTGTCGGTTTTCACATCCTTTGGCACCTACTGGAGTCCCTCGTAGTGCCTTCCCCTTTGCTGAATATGTAGCAAATGTGCAATGTTAAATATTGCTAATTGTCCTCATCTTGGAATGAAGCACTTCATATAAATGGTTTTTCTAGAAAGCTAAAATTTACCTCTTTGAATACACAAGTTTTTTGCCTTATCCATTTTATTATAATACATCCTTACTTACCTTTGAACAGAGTAAATGGATTGAAATCACTTCTTAGCCACTCAGAACCGTTATCATGAGTCAGCAAGAGAGCTATGTAACATCATATAGATGCCTGAGAGGGTTTTTAAAGTATCAAAACACTTCCCTCATATATATTCAGTTATCTGATACTGATATCGTTTGAATGTATGTCCCTGCCAAATCTCATGTTGAATTGTAATCCCCAATGTTGGTGGTGGGGCCAGGTGGGAGGTGTTTTGATCATGGTGGTGGATCTCTCATGAATGGCTTGGTCAATTCCCTGGGTAATAACTCTAGCTCTGAGTTCACATGAGATCTGGTCATTTAAAAGTGTATGGCACCTCCCCGCAAACTCTCTCATTCTGTTGCTTCTGTTTTCACCATGTGAAGTGCCTACTCCTGCCTCGCCTTCCACCAGGATTTGAAAGTCACTGAGGCCTCTCTCCAGAAGCCAGGCAGATGCTGGTGCCATGCTTCCTGTACAGCCTGCAGAACCATGAGCCAATTAAATCTCTTTTCTTTATAAATTACCCAGTCTCACATATTTCTTTATAGCAATGCAAGAATGACCTAACACACAGACATAAACACTTGGCATGTTTATGCCAAAGGGAGGGGAGGAAAAACTTTGAAGACTTACCAAGTCGTGAATGTCTACCTTGTGCCTGAACCTTGCTGTGTATGCTCCCATGTGACTCACACCTGAATCTTTCTGTGTATATTCTGTGTGATCTGGATGAAAGGTTGAGGGTGACTCCTCTTTTGACCCCATTACAGCGTACTTAAATTCAGTGATGGATATCTTTCTTACTGTTAGAGTCATCTTTGTTTCATGGATCATTAACCCCAAGGTGACCAGAAGCCTGAAATAAAGTGAATGTGTAGAAGGGATCTTCTTGTTAGGGAATAGGTTTTTTTGTATTGATTATGCAAGTGATTCTAGTCCTTGGTAGGAAATTTGCCATAGGCAATGACCTACAAAACAGTATTAGATCTAACATCCCCACCCCAATCCTAACAATAGAACATAAAAATCTAAGTAGCCCCTATATTGCACTTAATACCTGTTTGGAATTAACGGTCATAGTCTTGGAACATTTTCTAAAGCTTTGCTTGGGGCCCAAAATACATAGTTAGGTTCTTGAATGTATTCCATGACCCTCAGATGATAAAGGCTTATAATCCCCTGGTTATAACCTTATACACAAGCTCCTGGAGGCTTTAAAATACCCATCACATCCCAAAATAAGACATGCCTTAGATTTAGGCCAAAGTAAGCACCCATATCTGCATATTTCAGCAACAACAGTAAGATTTATTTGCCCTATTTGATAATTTTCTGATTGTTAAATTTGTGTTAAGTATTCTAACATATATATTTTCTTCCTACTTGAAGCTATTATTCTTTCTCAAAGAAAAGTAAAAAACAAAAGCTATTTCTACATCTACATCACTGTTATGGCATCTTTCTATCTGCAAGTAAATCCTTGTGAATTTTGTGGGCAGTTCATTGGTAGCTCCTCTCTCTCTAGCTCTCTGTCTCTCTTTCTCTCTCTCCCTCCCACCACCTTCTCTCTCCCTTAGTTGTTAGAAACTTGAAATGAAAATGAATCAGCAGTAATGACTGCTGCACTTAAGGAAATCTATGCTCTGGTTTATAATTTATGTATTGGGTCCTGAAGGAGCTTAAGTACTTAACCCCCAGTTTATGATGAAATTATGAGTAACGGCATCTCTCAATTTGTATCTGATTCAACTTGCTAATTTTATCCAAATCGAATGTCTAAATTTAGTTCCCAAGCAACTTTCATTTCACCAGCATTTTAATCTCTGAATGTGGAGCTGCAATAAAATATTTGTGTTTATCCAAAATGCTTTATTTCTACTTTCAAGAAAAACCATAGCATAGTATCTTTGATAGTCTCAGAAAACTGTACGGCTCTACCTGATGGTAAGCAAGATTACCCCAAGGAGTTCTTTCTCAGGGAGCTATGTCAAGGGGAGGAGGAAATGGAGAAGAGAGTAATCACACAAGAGACACATTTGTTGATCTGGTGTATTAGTAATCAACTAAACATTTTCAAAATTATCTAAGGATAATTTTACTCATGTCTTTCCTATCACCACATCAAATCCAAACTTTTCTATTTGGTTTTTAAGATTTGGCTCTGTCTTTTCCATCTAAACATATCTTCCCACTTCTCCCCAAAATAAAGTGCCTGCCCCATTGGGTCCCACACAAATTCTGCTCACTTCTACCTCTGTCACTGTGTGACTTGATTAGCTAAGAGGTGAGTGCGTAGTGGAAAGAACCCTAGACTAGAAGATGGGAGGTCTGGATTTTATTCTGTTTTTGCTAATAAACAAGCTGACTTTGCTATGTTACATAACTCCTCTGAACCTCAGCTTCCTCATTTATAAAATGAGAGAGTTAGCTTGATACTGTCTGATTACATTACTTTTTAGAGCATTCTCTATGCCTACATTATTAACCTAAATATTCTTTTAATTCCACAGTACTTATTATCATGGAATATATTTTTACTTATAGATTTTTTTTCTTACTTGTCTGTATTAGAATGCAAGCTCTATGTGGGCAAAGATGTTTTCCCATTTTGTTCACTACTGTATTCCCAGAGCTTAGAAAAGTTCAATGCATCAATGGACACTAAATATTTGTTGAATGAATTAATGCGTTAAAGAATCATAGATATTATTCTTCCTTAAAGATGCTCTGCAGATTGAGTTTTTTTCCATCAAACTCTGCTG
This sequence comes from Homo sapiens, assembly GCF_000001405.40. Lineage (NCBI taxonomy): Eukaryota > Metazoa > Chordata > Mammalia > Primates > Hominidae > Homo > Homo sapiens. The sequence continues at coordinate 40,629,037 of NC_000005.10, forward strand.
ACTATTTCAAACCCACATTTCTCCCTTCCATGCACTTCTAAGGCAATTATGGTTAGTTGCATAGTTTGGCATTTAAGAATTCTCTTAATATTTCAGGTAGATCAGTACTAATTTCCTTTTTTAAGATTATACATTTCTGACATTTTGGGCTAGATGTTTTAAAAAGAGTATAGATTTCTTGGGGTCAAGGGCTCTAGCCTATCATATACTTGCTAGGTATTTGATCAATTAAATTTCTTTTTTTTTATTATTATTATACTTCTTTAAGTTTTAGGGTACATGTGCACAACGTGCAGGTTAGTTACATATGTATACATGTGTCATGCTGGTGCGCTGCACCCACTAACTCGTCATCTAGCATTAGGTATATCTCCCAATGCTATCTCTCCCCCCACTCCCACCCCACAACAGTCCCCAGAGTGTGATGTTCCCCTTCCTGTGTCCATGTGTTCTCATTGTTCAATTCACACCTATGAGTGAGAATATGCGGTGTTTGGCTTTTTGTTCTTGCGATAGTTTACTGAGAATGATGATTTCCAATTTCATCCATGTCCCTACAAAGGACATGAACTCATCATTTTTTATGGCTGCATAGTATTCCATGGTGTATATGTGCCACATTTTCTTAATCCAGTCTATCATTGTTGGACATTTGGGTTGGTTCCAAGTCTTTGCTATTGTGAATAGTGCTGCAATAAACATACGTGTGCATGTCTCTTTATAGCAGCATGATTTATAGTCCTTTGGGTATATATCCAGTAATGGGATGGCTGGGTCAAATGGTATTTCTAGTTCTAGATCCCTGAGGAATCGCCACACTGACTTCCACAATGGTTGAACTAGTTTACAGTCCCACCAACAGTGTAAAAGTGTTCCTATTTCTCCACATCCTCCCCAGCACCTGTTGTTTCCTGACTTTTTAATGATTGCCATTCTAACTGGTGTGAGATGGTATCTCATCGTGGTTTTGATTTGCATTTCTTCTGATGGCCAGTGATGGTGAAAAAAACAAACAACACCATCAAAAAGTGGGCGAAGGACATGAAGAGACACTTCTCAAAAGAAGACATTTATGCAGCCAAAAAACACATGAAAAAATGCTCACCATCAATTAAATTTCTTAAAAATGTCAGCCACATGTTAGGCAACTAACTCAGGTTTCAGCCATCTGCATTTCTTATCTGCTATTCTCTGTCTGTTTTGTGGCCAGGTATTATGGAGGTGATGAATAGGTCTCTGCAGGGAGTACAGGGGAAGAGCAGTTATCACTTCCTTAGCCTGTCACTGCAAATGCAAGTATATAATATTATCCCTGGGTAATAAAGAGACTGTAGTGGGGGAGAGGGAGGTTTTTTGGGAGGGTCAGAATAAAAATAACTGCAAGGATCTTTTAAATAGGAGAAAGAGGAAGTAGAGGACTTGACTTGAAACATTAAAGATAAAAAAAAGTACCTTAGGCATTGCCTCTTCTATTACCCTGTATTTGTGTAAGGAAATTGACTATCAGAGAGGTGAAATGACTTGCCTAAATGCACAAAGATTATTATTGAAAGTACAGTGAAATACTGCTCATCAAACTCTGGTCGAATAAATTGAATTTTCTCTTTAAAGTTTTACAGGAAACCCATTTGATTTGTAAATATGATCAAAAAGCTTTCTAAAATATAGCAGCAAGGATATATAATATATTGATACATTTTACTTCTAAGTATAGCCTAGTTAAAGTAATTTCATCTGTGTTTGATATTTTAGGGACATATTACTGAGCATCAATTATAACCATAACGTATTAAAGATGTGAAAACTATAGGAGCTACAACTGAATTATGCTTGGCCCTGAAAATGGATTTGGGGATGGTTGCTTTTTATAATTTATTTCTTTGGATTTGCTTCTTTCTCTTAAAAGTCAAACACATACGAATGAATACATTACAAACCCAAATTAGCTCATTTCCAGTTCTCATTCTATAATCATGGAATAGGGTTTTTTATAAATGAATAAACTATATCATTGCAGAAATTCTGATTTTGCATTTATAAAAAGGTGTTAGTGGGTTAGTCAAATATATCTTTATTGACTGTGCTTCCATTTCCATTGCAGAGTCATAGGTCGAGAACTTAAAGAATACCTCACCATATCTCTTCACATATCCATGAAGAAACTGAGGTGCAAAGAAGTTAAGTGATAAACCTGAAGCCACACAGCCAGTTAAAGTTAAGACTTCTAATAAAATCCCAATGGTTAACTTCAGGACCATAACCAAAGGTATCCTAGTTGCTACGGGGGGCAACCTTCCACAGGCTACAATTGCTATTAATCCAGACCCATGTGCACAGCTTCCTTGTGATTCCCTACACCTTTTTATGAGAACGTAATCTCAACTGCCGGAAGTTGCCCTGTTGACCCTGAAAAGGCTGCCAAGTGGGTGTCCCGGAAGCCTACTGAGTACAAGTTTAATATTTTCTGTTAAGCAACTCACAGCATTTAAGCCGCAGTTGTGGAAATTCTCAAGAAAGCTCATTCTGTATGAATCAAATTTCTGAAGCGATTCTCTTCCAGGGAACTGCAATCAATCCTGTCCGGACTTCACTTTACATAGCTCATTTTTTGAGCCTTCATCATACACAACATTCACTGCAAAAGATCCAAGGGAGCCACACTTTCTGAAGGATGCTATTGTTGCTCAACTGGCAAACTCAAATTTGGTTTGAAGAGCATAAGTTTTAATTTTCTAGGTTAAAACTTATTTTTCTTCTCAAGTTCCATTTATCAAAGAAATCGTTTTGTTTTGTTTGTTTAATCGAATAACATCGCAAGTGCAGAAGACTTAGCTGGGATGGAGGTTGGGGGAGTGTCCTTGCCTGTTTCAGGGAACCAATAAAGGACATCTCAAAAACCAAACACAGTACTTATGATGTGCCAGGCACTCTTCTGAGGGCTTTACACGATGTAACTCATTTAATCTTGAGAAAACCCCTAAGAGGTAGATATTGACATCATCCCATTTTATAGATGAGAATCTGAGGAACAAATACGTTAGGTAACTGGCCCAAAGTCATTGTAGCTAATAAGTCACAAAGCTGGGAGTATGAACCCGGCAGTTTGTGTTTTTACCACTGTGCTCCACCTAACATACGTAATTTGAGAAAAAAAAAATTAAAACAACCTTTTAGCCTCCATTTTCTAAGCATCTCAAGTTAAAGTAGTTGGGGTCTGAGAAAAGTATTCAGATAACTGACCCACTAGCTAAAGACTCAGCCATGTAATCATCCAATAATTTTCACAATTTACAGCTTCACAGTTTTACAAAAAAAGAGTCCAATGTGTGAGCAAATTTATAAGCTGCTTAATCTTGATTAAAAAAACAATTAATTCACTAGCTACCTGTTATGTGCCAGGCTCTGGAACAATGCCACGAATTAGACATGGCTACTCTAAAAATTCTCTGTGGAAACAATATTTGGACATAGGAAAAAAATGTAACAACAAAGGCAATGAATGATTTATATCAAACTGATAGGCTGACAATAAATGAAAAAAAACTCTTCTAGAAATAATTTGTGCATTTAGCATTCCAAATATTAAAGAATATAAAAACATCTTAGAATAACTAAAAGAAAATGTGAATTTGTATTTTTTACTATAATTGTGGTGATATTTCTTTTCAAATATTGTTATAATCAAATGAACACTTTACTAGATATCTACTCCAATTAAAACACTTTGATAATGCTTTGTAAAGAATTGTGAATTGAATACCAGATAATTATTTCCTTTGTTACTCAATAACAACTTCTATTAAAGTTTTTATGCTAGTGGGAATGTAAACTAATACAACCACTATGGAAGACAGTATGAAGATTTCTTAAAGAACTAAAAGTAGAACTACTATTTGATCCAGCAATCCAACTACTGGGTATCTACCAAGAGGAAAAGAAGTCATTATATGAAAAAGACACTTGCACACACATGTTTATAGCAGCACAATTCGCAACTGCAAAAATATGGAACCAGCTTAAATCCCTGTCAACCAGGTGGATAAAGAAAATGTGGTATATATGGCCGGGCATGGTGGCTCACGCTTGTAATCCCAGGCACTTTAGGAGGCTGAAGTGGGCAGATCACTTGAGGACAGGAGTTCGAGACCAGCCTGGCCAACATGGTAAAACCCCATCTCTACTAAAACTACAAAAAAAAAAAAAATTAGCCGGGCATGGTGATGGGCACCTGTAATCCCAGTTACTTGGGAGGCTGAGGCAGGAGAATTGCTCGAACTCAGGAGGTGGAGGTTGCAGTGAGTCAAGATCATGCCGTTGCAACCCAGCCTGGGCAACAAGAGCAAAACTCTGTCTCAAAAAAAAAAAAAGAAAAGAAAAGAAAATGTGGTATGCATATACCATGGAATACTCCTCAGCCATAAAAAGGAACAAAATAATGGCATTTGCAGAAACCTGGAAGGAGTTGGACACCATTATTCTAAGTAACTCAGAATGGAAAACCAAATATTGTATGTTCTCACTTATAAGTGGGGGCTAAGCTATGAAGACACAAAGGCATAAGAATGATATAATGAACTTTGGGGACTCTGGGGGAAGGGTGGAAAGGGGTAAGAGATAAAAGACTACACATTGGGTACAGTGTATGCAGCTCGTGTGACAGGTGAACCAAAGTCTCAGAAATCATCACTAAAGAACTAATCCATGTAACCAAAAACCACCTGTTCCCCAAAAACTTGAATTTTTTTAATTTTAATTTAATGTTAATACTTTTTTCATGTCTGTTTTTCTTTTAAAAAATAATAATAAAGGAAGTACCATGAGTCCCTTTGATTATAATCATAAAAAGATTTAAAAATATGCCACACAAACATCAGAAGCATTCTTACGTTAATTTCCCTCTATTGCAAAGGTACAATTTCCTTAATTGTTCTTTATGCATTAAATGTGTATCATAAACTTGCCTATACATCAAGTTGATGTTCCATTTCAGTTTTCTTTCTTCTGCAAAATAGGTTAGTAATTATCTGTTTTCTATCAATAAACTATCATCAGTTATTTTAGTCAGAATGTTTATAGTCATTTTTATTCCCAACTCATTCCCACTGAAATTTGTAAGAATAATAAAAAAGCGGTGGTGGCTGGCAAGATGGCCTAATGGGAACAGCTCTGTTCTGCAGCTCCCAGGGAGATCAATGAAGAAGGCAGGTGATTTCTGCATTTCCAACTGAGATACCTGGATCATCTCACTGGGACTGGTTAGACAGCAGGTGCAGCCCACAGATGGCGAGCTGAAGCAGGGTGGGGCATTACCTCACCTGGGAGGCACAAGGGGTCAGGGAACTCCCTCCCCTAGCCATGAGGGACTGTGCATGAGGAAGGGTGCACTCTGGCCCAGATACTATACTTTTCCCATGGTCTTCAAAACCCACAAACTAGGAGATTCTCTCGAGTGCCTACACCACCAGGGCCCTGGGTTTCAAGCACAAAACTGGGCTGCTGTTTGGGCAGACACCAGCCTAGCTGCAGGAGTTTTTTATTCATAACCCTATGGTGCCCAGAATCCCAGTGAGACAGAACTGTTCACTCCCCTGGAAAGGGCGTTGAAGCCAGGGAGCCAAGTGGTCTGGCCTAGCGGGTCCCACCCCCAAGGAGCCCAGCAAGCTAAGATCCACTGGCTTGAAATTCTCACTGCCAGCACAGCAGTCTGAAGTCAACCTGGGACACTCGAGCTTGGTGGGGAGAGGGGCATCCCCCATTACTGGGGCTTGAGTAGGCGGTTTTCCTCTCACAGTGTAAACAAAGCTGCCTAGAAGTTCAAACGGAGAGGAGCCCACTTCCACGCAGCAAACCCGCTGTAACCAGACTGCCCCTCTAGATTCCTTCTCTCTGGGCAGGGCATCCCTGAAAGAAAGGCAGCACCCCAATCAGAGGCTTATAGATAATACTCCCATCTCCCTGGGACAGAGCACCTGGGGAAAGGAGTGGCTGTGGGCAGTTTCAGGAGACTTAAACATTCCTGCCTGCAGGCTCTGAAGAGAGCAGTGGATCTCTCAGGACAGTGCTCGAGCTCTGCTAAAGGACAGACTGCCTCCTTAAGTGGGTCCCTGACTCCCATGCCTCCTGACTGGGAGACACCTCCCAGCAGGGGTAAATAGACACCTCATACAGGAGAGCTCCAGCTGGCATTCGGCAGGTGCCCCTCTAGGACAAAGCTTCTAGAGGAAGGAATAGGCAGCAATTTTTTCTGTTCTGCAGCCTCTACAGTGATATCAAGACAAACAGGGTCTGAAGTGGACCTCCAGCAAACTCCAGCAGACCTGCAGCAGAGGGGCCTGACTGTTAGAAGGAAAATAAACACAAAGGAATAGCATCAACATTAGCAAAAAGGACGTCCACACAGAAGCCCTATCTGAAGGTCACCAACATCAAAGACTAAAGGTAGATAAATCCATGAAAATAAGGAAAAACCAGTGCAAAAAGGCTAAAAATACCAAAAACCAGAATGCCTCTTCTTTTCCAAAGGATCACAACTCCTCACCAGCAAGGGAACAAAACTGGACAGAGAATGAGTTTGACGAATTGACAGAAGTAGGCTTCAGAAGGTGGGTAACAACAAACTCCTCCCAGCTAAAGAAGCATGTTCTAACCCAATGCAAGGAAGCTGAGAACCTTGAAAAAAGGTTGCAAGAATTGCTAGCTAGAATAACCAGTCTAGAGAAGAACATAAATGACCTGATGGAGCTGAAAAACGCAGCTCAAGAACTTCGTGAAGCATACACAAGTGCAGTAGCCAAATCGATCAAGTGGAAAAAAGGATATCAGAGATTGAAGATCAACTTAATGAAATAAAGCACGAAGACAAGGTTAAAGAAAAAAAGAATGAAAAAGAACAAACAAAGCCTCCAAGAAATATAGGACTATGTGAAAAGACCAAACCTATGTTTGATTGGTGTACCTGAAAGTGATGGGGAGAATGGAACCAAGTTGGAAAACTCTCTTCAGGATATTATCCAGGAGAACTTCCACAACCTAGCAAGACAGGCCAACATTCAAATTCAGGAAATGCAGAGAACACCACAAAGATATTCCTTAAGAAGAGCAACCCCAAGACACGTAATCGTCAGATTCACCAAGGTTGAAATGAAGGAAAAAATGTTAAGGGCAGCCAGAGAGAAAGCTCGGGTTATCCACAAAGGGAAGCCCATCAGACTAACAGTGGATCTCTCTGCAGGAACTCTACAAGCCAGAAGAGAGTAGGGGCCAATATTCAACATTCTTAAAGAAAAGAATTTTCAACCCAGAATCTCATATCCAGCTAAACTAAGCTTCATAAGTGAAGGAGAAATAAAATCCTTTACAGACAAGCAAATCTGAGAGATTTTGTCACCACCAGGACTGTCTTACAAGAGCTCCTGAAGGAAGCACTAAATATGGAAAGGAAAAACCAGTACCAGCCACTGCAAAAACATACCAAAACGTAAAGACCATAGAGCTATGAAGAAACTGTATCAACTAATGGGCAAAATAACTAGCTAGCATCATAATGACACATAACACATAATTCACACATAACAATATTAACCTTAAATGTAAACAGGCTAAATGCACCAGTTAAAAGACACAGACTTGCAAATAGGATAAAGAGTCAAGACCCACCTGTGTGCTGTATTCAGGAGACCCATCTCATGTGCAAAGACACACATACACTCAAAATGAAGGGATGGAGGAAGATTTACCAAGCAAATGGGAAGCAAAAAAAAAGCAAGAGTTGCAATCCTAGTCTCTGATAAAACAGACTTTAAACAAATGATCAAAAAAACAAAGACGGGCATTCCATAATTGTAAAGGGATCAATGCAACAAGAAGAGCTAACTATCCTAACTATATATGGACCCAATACAGGAGCACCCAGATGCATAAAGCAAGTTCTTAGAGAACTACAAAGAGACTTAGACTCCCACACAATAATAGTAGGAGATTTTAACACCCCACTGTCAGTATTAGACAGATCAAAGAGACAGAAAATTAACAAGGATATTCAGGACTGGAACTCAGCTCTGGACCAAGCCAACCTAACAGACATCTACAGAACTCTCCACCCCAAATCACCAGAATATACATTCTTCTCGGCAACACATTGCACTTATTCTAAAATTGACCGCATAATTGGAAGTAAAACACTCCTCAGCAAATGCCAAAGAATGGAAATCATAACAAACAGTCTCTCAGATCACAAGGCAATCAAATTAGAACTCAGGATTAAGAAACTCACTCAAAACTGCACAACTACATGGAAACTGAACAACCTGCTCCTGAATGACTACTGGGTAAATAGCGAAATTAAGGCAGAAATAAATAAGTTTTTTGAAACAAATGAGAGCAAAGACACAACATACCAGAATCTCTAGGATGCAGCTAAAGCAGTGTTTAGAGGGAAATTTATAGCACTAAATGCCCACAGGAGAAAGCAGGAAAGATCAAAAATCAACACCCTAACATCACAATTAAAAGAACTAGAGAAGCAAGAACAAACAAATTCAAAAGCTAGCAGAAGACAAGAAATAACTAAGATCAGAGAAGAACTGAAGGAGATATAGACATGAAAAACCCTTCAAAAAATCAATGAATCCAGGAGGTGGTTTTTTGGAAAGATCAACAAAATTGATAGACCACTAGTCAGACTATTAAAGAAACAAAGAGAAGACTCAAATAGACACTATAAAAAATGATAAAGGGGAGATCACCACTGATCCAACAGGAGTACAAACTACCATCAGAGAATACTGTAAACACCTCTACACAAATAAACCTCAAAATCTAGAAGAAACGGATAAATTCCTGGACACACACCCTCCCAAGACTAAACCAGGAAAAAGTCAAATCCCTGAATAGACCAATAACAAGTTCTGAAATTGAGGCAGTAATTAATAGCCTACCAACCAAAAAAAGACCAGGACCAGATGAACTTACAGCCGAATTCTACCAGACGTACAAAGAGGAGTTGGTACCATTCCTTCTGAAACTATTCCAAACAATAGAAAAAAAGGGAATCTCCCTAACTCATTTTATGAGGCCCGCATCATCCTGATGCCAAACACTGGCAGAGACACAACAAACAAAGAAAATTTCAGGCCAACATTGATGCAAAAATCCTCAAAAGGCCTTTGACAAAATTCAACAGCCCTGCATGCTAAAAACTCTCAATAAACTAGGTATTGATGGAACATATCTCAAAATAATAAGAACTATTTATGGGAAACACACAGCCAATATCATACTGAATGGGCAAAAACTGGAAGCATTCCCTTTGAAAACCGGCACAAGACAAGGGTGCCCTCTCTCAGCACTCCTATTCAACATAGTGTTGGAAGTTCTGGCTATGGCAATCAGGCAGGAGAAAGAAATAAAGGGTATTCAATTAGGAATAAAAGAAGTCAAATTGTCTCTGCTTGCAGATGACAGGATTGTGTATTTAGAAAACCCCATCATCTCAGCCCAAAATCTCCTTAAGCTGATAAGCAACTTCAGCAAAGTCTCAGGATACAAAATCAGTTGCAAAAATCACAAGCATTCCTATACACCAATAACAGACAGAGAGTCAAATCATGAGTGAACTCCCATTCACAATTGCTACAAAGATAATAAAATACCTAGGAATACAACTTACAAGGAATGTGAAGGACCTTTTCAAGGAAAACCACAAACCACTGTTCCAGGAAATAGAGAGAACACAAACAAATGGAAAAATATTCCATGCTAATGGATAGGAAGAATCAATATCGTGAAAATAGCCATACTGCCCAAAGTAATTTATACATTCAATGCTATCACCATCAAGCTACCATTGACTTTCTTCACAGAATTAGAAAAAACTACTTTAAATTTCATACGGAACCAACAAAGAGCCTGCATAGCCATGACAATCCTGAGCAAAAAGAACAAAGCTGGAGGCATCATGCTACCTGACTTCAAACTATACTACAAGGCAACAGTAACCAAAACAGCATGGAACTGATACCAAAACAGATATATAGACCAAAGGAACAGAACAGAGGCCTCAGAAATAACGCCACACATCTACAACCATCTGATCTTTGACAAACCTGACAAAAACAAGCAATGGGGAAAGGATTCTCTATTTAATAAATGGTATTGGGAAAACTGGCTAGCCATATGCAGAAAACAGAAATTTGACCCCTTCCTTACACCTTATACAAATATTAAATCAAGATGAATTAAAGACTTAAACATAAGACCTAAAACCGTAAAAACCCTAGAAGAAAACCTAGACAATACCTTCAGGACAGGTATGGGCAAAGACTTCATGACGAAAATACCAATAGCAATGGCAACAAAAGCCAAAATTGACAAATGAGATCTAATTAAACTAAAGAGCTTCTGCACAGCAAAAGAAACTGTCATCAGAGTGAACAGGCAACCTACAGAATGGGAGAAAATTTCTGCCATCTATCCATCTGACAATGGGCTAATATCCAGAATCTACAAAGAATGTAAACAAATTTACAAGAAAAAACAAACAACCCCATCAAAATTTGGGTAAAGGATATGAACAGACACTTAAAAGAAGACATTTATGCAGCCAACAAACATGAATAAAAGCTCATCATCACTGGTCATTAGAAAAATGCAGGTCAAAACCACAATAGATACCATCTCATGCCAGTCAGAATGGCAATCATTAAAAAGTCAGGAAACAACAGGTGCTGGAGAGGATGTGGAGAGAGAGGAATGCTTTTACACTGTTGGTGGGAGTGTACATTAGTTCAACCATTGTGGAAGACAGTGTGGCGATTCCTCAAGGAGCTAGAACAAGAAACACCATTTGACTCAGCAATCCCATTACTGGGTATATACCCAAATGATTATAAATGTTTCTCCTCTAAAAATACATGCACACGTATGTTTATTGCAGCACTGTTCACAATAGCAAAGACTTGGAACCAACCCAAATGCCCATCAATGATAGATTGAATAAAGAAAATGTGGCACATATACACTATGGAATACTATGCATCCATTAAAAAAGATGAGTTCATGTCCTTTGCAGGGACATGGATGAAGCTGGAAACACAAGAACAGAAAACCAACAGCAGACTAACACAAGAACAGAAAACCAAACACCACATGTTCTCATTCATAAGTGGGAGTTGAACATTGAGAAGACATGGACTCAGGGAGGGGAACATCACACCCCGGGACCTGTCAGGGGGTGAGGAGCCAGGGGAGGGATAGGATTAGGAGAAATACCTAATGTAGATGACAGTTTGATAGGTGCAACAAACCACCATGGCACATGTATACCTATTTAACAAATCTGCACGTTCTGCACATGTATCCCAGAACTTGAAGTATAATAATAATAATAAAGCTCTGTAAGAATTTATCCACCGTATGGACTGAATTATGTTCCCCTCCCACTCCACTCTTTCCCCAGCTCCTGCAAATTGATATGAAGCCCTTATCTCAGAATGTGACTGCATTTAGAGATAAAACCTTTATGGGGTGATTAAGTTCGTGTGTGGGCATTATGGTGGGCCCTAATCCAATCTGACTGGTATCCTTATAAGATGAGGAAATCTGGATGCCTCCAAGGACAACAAGCACATAGGAAAGACGGTATGAGGACACAGCAAGAAGGCAGCAAGCCAAGGAGGAAGGCTCCAGGAGACACCAACCCTGCTGGCACCTTGATCTTGGACTTCCAGCCTCCAAAACTGGAGAAAATAAATGTCTGTTTCTTAAGGCACCCAGTCTATGGTATTTTATTATGGCAGCCCAAGCAACATGGGTTTGAATTCTGCAGGTCCACTCATATGAGGATTTTTTTCAGTAAATATATCGGAAAACATTTTGGAGATTTATGACAATTTGAAAAAACTTGTAGATGAGCTTCATAGCCTAGAAGTATCAAAAAAATTAAGAAATAGAAATGTAATGAATGCATAAAATATATGTAGACACTGCTCTATTTTATCATTTATAATCATAAAATACACACAAATTTATTTTAAAGGTTAAAATTTATCAAAAGTTATGCACACAAACACAGATTGTACATGGTGCCATTCAGTTGAGAAAAATATAAACAGAAGCAAAAATGCAGTATTAAATTATAACTGCACAAAATTATCATCCATACTGTACTGCTGTAATAATTCTGTAGCCACGTCCTGTTGTTATTGCATTGAGCTCGTGCTGTGCATATTCCCTTAAAAAGCCATGTGATGATCATTCCCCCTGAACAGTTCATCTCTCCAGTGAATTGCATATCACAGTACAACTTGATCTCTCATAGTTCTTTCATTTTTTTCATCCTGTTTAGTTCTATACTGCAAACCTTGAATAACATCACAGGATTCACAGGAAGTGTAGTGATGCTGGAAGTACTCCCAAGAAGCAGAGAAAAGTCATGACATTACAAGAAGTTGAATTGCTTGATATGTACCATAGATTGAGGTCTGCAGTTTCAGTTTCTGCCATTCCAGACAGATGATTCATCTTGTAAAAAGACGATGTAGGTCTGGGTGTGGTGGCTCACGCCTGTAATCCCAGCACTTTCAGAGGCCGAGGCAGGCGGATCATGAGGTCAGGAGTTCGAGATCACCCTGGCCAATACAGTGAAACCCTGTCTCTACTAAAAATACAAAAATTAGCCAGGTGTGGTGGTGCATGCCTGTAGTCCCAGCTACTCGGGAGGCTGAGGCAGAAGAATCGCTTGAACCCAGGAGGCAGAGGTTGCAGTAAGCCAAGATCACACTAGACTCTGTCTCAAAAAAAAAAAAAAAAATGATGATGTAAACTTATAGTATGGATAAATACGGTACAGTACTGGAAATGTATTTTCTCTTCCTTATGATTTTCTTAATAATATTTTTTCTTTAGCTTGTTCTATTGTAAGAATACAGTATATAACACATATAAGATATGTGTTAATTGACAGTTTATGTTATTGGTAAGGCTTCCGGTCAGCAATGGGATATTAGTAGTTAAGTTTGAGAGGAATCAAAAGTTATATGTGGATTATCCTCTGCAGAGGGGCTTGATACACCCTCACCCCCATGTTGTTCAAGGGTCAACTGTAGACTAGTATACCTGTGGAGATAATTACTTTTCTCTTCCAGAGAGCCAAGTCCTTAGAGGCAGAACTTTAAGAAATTCCAGTTTGTCTGTGTTATCTTATTTCTGCCTTTCCTTCCATGTCATATTTCTTTTCTTCTCTGAGACATCATGCCAAATTTAGGAATACAAGCTGTAGCTCAAGTGAGATGAGTTCTAAAACACATGCAGAAATCCTGACAGCTCTTAAATTTTTAGGAAGGACACTGCTTCAGGATCAGAGTGTCTCTCCAAAGTTAATGGCATCTGAGAGCCACTAGTTTTCATCTTCACCATTTTTATTATAAGTGTAGTTTACATTAATTAATTTTTTTTTTTTTTTTTTTGAGACAGAGTCTCGCTCTGTCGCCCAGGCTGGAGTGCAGTGGCGGGATCTCGGCTCACTGCAAGCTCCGCCTCCCGGGTTCACGCCATTCTCCTGCCTCAGCCTCCCAAGTAGCTGGGACTACAGGCGCCCGCCACTACGCCCAGCTAATTTTTTGTATTTTTAGTAGAGACGGGGTTTCACCGTTTTAGCCGGGATGGTCTCGATCTCCTGACCTCGTGATCCGCCCGCCTCGGCCTCCCAAAGTATTAATTATTTTTAAAAAATAAAACATTCTAACTGGTGTTAGATGGTGTCTCCTTGCGGTTTTGATTTGCATTTCTCTGATGGCCAGTGATGATGAGCATTTTTTCATGTGTTTTTTGGCTGCATAAATGTCTTCTTTTGAGAAGTGTCTGTTCATATCCTTCACCCACTTTTTGATGGGGTTGTTTGGTTTTTTCTTGGAAATTTGTTTGAGTTCATTGCAGATTCTGGATATTAGCCCTTTGTCAGATGAGTAGATTGCAAAAATGTTCTCCCATTCTGTAGGTTGCCTGTTCACTCTGATGGTAGTTTCTTTTGCTGTGCAGAAGCTCTTTAGTTTAATTAGATCCCATTTGTCAATTTTGGTTTTTGTTGCCATTGCTTTTGGTGTTTTAGACATGAAGTCCTTGCCCATGCCTATGTCCTGAATGGTATGGCCTAGGTTTTCTTCTAGGGTTTTTATGGTTTTAGGTCTAACATTTAAGTCTTTAATCCATCTTGAATTTATTTTTGTATAAGGTGTAAGGAAGGGATCCAGCTTCAGCTTTCTACATATGGCTAGCCAGTTTTCCCAGCACCATTTATTAAATAGGGAATCCTTTCCCCATTGCTTTTCTCAGGTTTGTCAAAGATCAGATAGTTGTAGATATGCGGCATTATTTCTGAGGGCTCTGTTCTGTTCCATTGGTCTATATCTCTGTTTTGGTACCAGTGCCATGCTGTTTTGGTTACTGTAGCCTTTTAATATGGTTTGAAGTCAGGTAGCATGATGGCTCTAGCTTTGTTCTTTTGGCTTAGGATTGTCTTGGGGATGCGGGCTCCTTTTTGGTTCCATATGAACTTTAAAGTAGTTGTTTCCAATTCTGTGAAGAAAGTCATTGGTAGCCTAATGGGGATGGCACTGAATCTATAAATTACCTTGGGCAGTATGGCCATTTTCACGATCTTGATTCTTCCTACCTATGAGCATGGAATGTTCCTCCATTTGTTTGTATCCTCTTTTATTTCATTGAGCAGTGGTTTGTAGTTCTCCTTGAAGAGGTCCTTCACATCCCCTGTAAGTTAGATTCCTAGGTATTTTATTCTCTTTGAAGCAGTTGTGAATGGGAGTTCACTCATGATTTGGCTCTCAGCTTGTCTCTTATTGGTGTATAAGAATGCTTGTGATTTTCGTACATTGATTTTGTATCCTGAGACTTTGCTGAGGTTGCTTATCAGCTTAAGGAGATTTTGGGCTGAGACGATGGGGTTTTCTAGACATACAATCATGTCATCTTCAAACAGGGACAATTTGACTTCCTCTTTTCCTAATCGAATACCCTTTATTTACTTCTCCTGCCTGATTGCCCTGGCCAGAACTTCCAACACTATGTTGAATAGGAGTGGGGAGAGAGGGCATCCCTGTCTTGTGCCAGTTTTCAAAGGGAATGCTTCCAGTTTTTGCCCATTCAGTATGATATTGGCTGTGGGTTTGTCATAGATAGCTCTCATTATTTTGAGATACGTCCCATCAATACCTAATTTATTGAGAGTTTTTAGCATGAAGTGCTGTTGAATTTTGTCTAAGGCCTTTTCTGCATCTATTGAGATAATCATGTGGTTTTTGTCTTTGGTTATGTTTATATGCTGGATTACATTTATTTATTTGCGTATGTTGAACCAGCCTTGTATCCCAGGGATGAAGCCCACTTGATCATGGTGGATAAGCTTTTTGATGTACTGCTGGATTCAGTTTGCCAGTATTTAATTGAGGATTTTTGCATCGATGTTCATCAAGGATATTGGTCTAAAATTCTCTTTTTTTGTTGTGTCTCTGCCAGGCTTTGGTATCAGGATGATGCTGGCCTCATAAAATGAGTTAGGGAGCATTCCCTCTTTTTCTATTGTTTGGAATAGTTTCAGAAGGAATAGTTCCAGCTCCTCCTTGTACCTCTGGTAGAATTCGGCTGTGAATCCATCTGGTCCTGGAGTTTTTTTGGTTGGTAAGCTATTAATTATTGCCTCAATTTCAGAGCATGTTATTGGTGTATTCAGGGATTCAACTTCTTCCTGGTTTAGTCTTGGGAGAGTGTATGTGTCGAGGAATTTATCCATTTCTTCTAGATTTTCTAGTTTATTTGTGTAGAGGTGTTTATAGTATTCTCTGATGGTAGTTTGTATTTCTGTGGGATCGGTGGTGATATCCCCTTTGCCATTTTTTATTGCATCTATTTGATTCTTCTCTCTTTTCTTTTTTATTAGTCTTGCTACCAGTCTATCAATTTTGTTGATCTTTTCAAAAAACCAGCTCCTGGATTCATTAATCTTTTGAAGAGTTTTTTGTGTCCTATTTCCTTCAGTTCTGCTCTGATCTTAGCTCTTTCTTGCCTTCTGCTAGCTTTTGAATGTGTTTGCTCTTGCTTTCCTAGTTCTTTTGAAAATGTGGCACATATACACCATGGAATACTAAGCAGCCATAACAAATGATGAGTTCATGTCCTTTGTAGGGACATGGATGAAACTGGAAACCATCATTCTCAGCAAACTATCACAAGGACAAAAAACCAAACACCACATGTTCTCACTCATAGGTGGGAATTGAACAATGAGAACACATGGACACAGGAAGGGGAACATCACACTCTGGGGACTGTTGTGGGGTGGGGGTAGGGGGGAGGGATAGCATTAGGAGATACACCTAATGCTAAATGACGAGTTAATGGGTGCAGTACACCAATATGGCACGTGTATACATTGTAACAAACCTGCATATTGTGCACATGTACCCTAAAACTTAAAGTATAATAATAATAAAATTAAAAATAAATTAATTAAAAAAACAATACAGGTATATATAAAGTTAAAATGGAAGATACACCTACTGACTGAACACCCACAAAATCTTCACCAGGAAATACTCACTGTTGACAATTTGGTGTGTAAAACCCCTGCTCTAAAATTAGGGGAATCTTGGGGGGAGAAGGAAACAGAAAGTTATTCATCAAAAGGTAGAAATGTTATGCAAGATGAAGAAATTCTAGCAATCTACTGTACAGCATAGTGCCTACAGTTAACAATACAGTATTGTGTACTTTAAACATTGGCTAAGAGGACAGATTTTATGTTAAGTGTTCTTATCACAAAAAATAATAATGAAGAATATAAGAAGAAACTGTTGCAGGTGATGGATATGTATATAGCATAGATTTTGGTAATGGTTGCACGAGTGTATACTTACCTCCAAATTCATCAAGTTGTCTACCTTAAATATGTACAGCTTTTTGTATGTCAATCATATCCCAATACAATGGTTTTTAAAATAGATAGAGGAATCTCTGTTAAAACACAGTTGCAGTACTCTATAGGCTGCCTTCTTACTTTGTGAGCACTGCTTCGGACAATTTCTCACACCCTGCAGAAAAAGACACCTCCTTCACTTCTGGAGCAGGAGACCAAACTGTGGCTTAATAACCTTGGTATCCGCCAGCCAGAGGAGAATTTCAGTCTTTGTAGACAGTATTCCATAAAGTTCTAATAAAAGAAGCCCAGAATTGCTTAAACATCAGATGAGTAACTATTCTTATTTATTTGTTCCTGACGCAGTATGCCAATCCTTGCAGTTGAAAATTAAACGATAATATACTTCCCCCTCTGCTCCACAAAGCTATAGCTGTTTTCCTGGTGGATAATCAGAGGCCAAAGGGTGGTAATTTATCACAAAAGAGGAATGGGAGGATCGCCAAGAGTAACAAAGGGACAGTGATATCCCTGTTCCTGCTGTATGGCACTGGTTTAATTAAGGTAAAGCTAATAAACCTTATTCCTGATTCTCAACAGTGTGAGGTCAAATTCAGTCTTCTGTAAGCCAAGATAGCCAGCCAGATCACAGAAAATATGTAGGAAGTAACAGATACAATGTTAATCACCTTTTTTATGGCCAAAAGCTATATTCCTAGGAATCAAAAGACTACTGTGGTATAACCTAGTTGGCTTCTTTAAGAATCTGTGATATTTTATACAGACATGCTAATAATATAGGCTATACTAGCAGGAACTAAAAGAAATTAGAACAACCCTCAGAACAAAGATGCAAAGACATTAAGGAACTTAAGTTCTGTGTCTTTCTAAAAATATAAATATATACAGATTATTTTTCATGACAATTGCATGTGCATGTGTGTATATGTGTATGTGTGTGTGAAACCTCTATGTGCATTCTTAGAATCATGTGCTATCGAAGCCTATTTAAAGACTTTCTGGAAATGGCACTAAGGAAATAAAAAGTAGTATTAGTGAATAGATGAGGCATTAAAGCAAATTTTGTAGCTAATAAATTTTGTTTGCAAGTTCAAACTTATGCAGGTGGAAAGGGTGGCTATGGCTATTTACACGAAATGAAACAAGGGAATTCCAAGTCAGTGCTTAGATAATATGAAAATATGTGTAATTTTATATATAAAGAAGAGATTTATATGGATTAGGAGAGACACATCCTTAAAGAATATAGTAATAACAGGCCAGGTGCGGTGGCTCATGCCTGTAATCCCAACACTTTGAGAGACCGAAGCGGGTGGGTCATGAGGTCAGGAGTTCGAGACCAGCCTGATCAACATGGTGAAACCCTGCCTCTACTAAAAATACAAAAATTAGCCAGGCGCGGTGGCATGTGCCTGTAATCCAGCTACTCAGGAGGTGGAGGCAGGAGAATCACTTGAACCTGGAGGCGGAGGTTGCAGTGAGCCAAGATTTTGCCACTACACTCCAGCCTGGGCGACAGAGCAAGACTCCATCTCAAAAAAAAAAAAGAATGTAGTAATTACAGCTAATATTTATTGAGTGCTCACTAACTATGTACAGGCATTATTGAGTGCTTTACACATATTAATTCACTTAATCCCTACCACAACCCTGTGAGTTAGGTTCTATTAATAATACTGCCTCCATTTTACTGATGGGGAACCCAAGGTACAGAAAGGCTGACTTGCCACATATACATGTATATCTCCATGTTAATTCCAACTAAAATAATCACTTTGGGTCATGGAATCTCAAAGTAGTAAGACATTTTAAAGGTATCCTATTTTAGTCCTCCACCAAAAACTTGAACATGAAGTCTTCCACCTTCCCTTGGGATATCTCTTCAGGGAGAAGAAGCTCACAGAAGAAATCTCTTTAGAACCAGCTCTGACTTCTAGAAACTTCTTCCTTCTTGATTGAGCTGAACTCATTTCGCCTGTAACTTTCACTTACGCATGCGGTGTTTGGTCTGTACTCTGGCCCTAGTGGAGCTAATCCCCCCATTCACAAGACAGCTTTTGGATGTTTGTGGAAGACTCTCACATTATCATTGAGACTTCTCTTTAACATATACTGAAAATAATTTTCTCCTAAAAATAAACCAGATCATGTCACTCTTTATTTGAAATCTCTGTTGACTTTGACTCCTGTTTGCCTGTAAGATAATGCCTAAATTCCTTTGCATGGCATGCATATGCCATGGCTCAAACCCAATCGGGGTATATTTCTCACTTATATTAAATCCAGAATAGGTGGGCCTCATCAGCAGGCACCTATGGTCCAACAGTTGATTCAGGAACTCAGGTCTGTTCAACTTGTGGCTTTGCTGTCCTCAACAAGTGGCTCTAAGGTTGACATACATAGTTTCAGTGAGATGGAGTTTAGTTTATAGGAGATTTTTATGGGCCAGATTGAGAATGGTGTAGATTACTTCTGCACACATTGCAATTGTGAGAACTCAATCACATGGTCTCACCTAACTGCAAGGGAGGCTGGGAAATGTGTGTGCTGAGGAAGAGGAGGAAATAGCTTGAGGAGCAGCTAACCACTTTCTAGTGAGGCCTTAACTTTTCTGCTCTAAGTTTCATCATTTACACTTAAACAACTATACTCAAGTCCAACTCAACTTCCTATTATTCCAAAGCACATCAGCTTCTCACTTTGCCTTGTGCATGTTGTTTGCTACATGTAAATTCCTTTCTTTGTTCTGTGAAATTCTATTCATGCTTCAAGCTTCAGTTCAAATATCACTCCCACTCTGCCCCACCTCTCATTTCCCTGACTAGTGGTATTATTTTTCTGCCTCCAGTGTGTACCTACAAAACTTTACACATTCGTGCATTTTAAATTTTATATATTTATATGATATACTAATATATAAAACCCCCATTGTATCATACTATTTTGTTTAACTTCATTATCTTTAAAACGCTTTAATTTATTTTGCATCTCCATGGGCCTTTAATTTCTCTACTTAGACTACTGCAAAGCCTGCATACTGATCTTTCTTCCTGATCATTTTGCAATCCTCCACACAGATCCCAAAGTAATTGATCTGAAATAATATAAATCTTGCTGTGGTACCTAGCTACTACTGAAAACCTTCTAACATGCATGGCATAGGGCAGCTAATCTTAAAACTCAGGGACCCCTGAGTCCCTCCTCCAGAGAGTTTAATTCAGTAAGTCTATAGTAGGGTCCAAGAAACTGCAGTTTTAATAAGTACCCAAATGATTTGAATATAGGAGGTGGGTAGGCCACATCTTGAGAAATATTGGATTACAGGATAAAATCCAAAAGTCCTGGCATGCCATTAGTTCTGTTAATACCAAACTATGTGTATTTCTCTGTATGAATGCCACAGTTTGAGTCCATTTTACTTCTGCATATGCTCTTCCTATATCTAGATTGCTCTTCTCTGAGTAGTCTTCCTAGTGCATTTCTATTCGTGCTTGAAAATGCTGCTTAGGTATCATCTCTCTTGGAACATTCCCATAGCAAAATGAATCTCTTCCTTCATATAATTTCTGTGCCTTGTAAATAGTTATATTTTTAAATATATCATATTGTCAGAGACTCCATCAGCCTGAAGTGAAAGAGAGTAACAAAATAAGAGGCCTTTCTACCCTAAAACTTCGAAAAGCAGGAAGTAAGCTGCAACACACTACTCAGCTGCAAATACACGCCACCTTTCATGAAAATGCAGTAATGGCTCAGAGGCTGAAAATAAGGGTAGAAGGTGGAGCCAAGAACCATGGAGAATTATTCTCGAGGCTTGACTCCTAATCAAGAATTTCCAACTTCAGATTCCCTAGTGGGAAAGCCCTGAACATAGCTGGCAAGTGAGACTGATGCTGGTAGCCCTGCAGTGGCTACAAATTGGTTTTGACATGAATAGATGCTGACTCTGCAGTAGGCTTTGCTTGCCCAGTGAAAGATGAAAATTCTCACTGTGCCATTAAAACACACACACAGAGAACAGAAGATACTGCAAGGATTTGGATAGCCACTTCCTTTACCCAGGCCAGGGAACACACTGTGCCACCCATAATGTCCAACAACAAGCAGAGAGAATCCTCCTTAGGGTAATAGTTTGATAGAGAAATAGAATAGGCCACTGAAACATTGTTTGTCTAAAACAGAGGGAGATGAAAGCATGAAGGGCTGGCTTACACACCTTCACAAGTGTGTGCTCACACTTACATGAGTGGTACTAAAGAAGTGTCCCTACTAGATCTTTCTCTGTTTTTCTGGTTGATCTAGGAAAGAGCGGGCAGGGAGGATGTTGGTATGGCTATGCAATTCTTGCTAAGGGAAAAATAAACTGATATAGTAACTATGATTTTTTTTCTTTCTTCCCCAACTTACCTCAAAAAAATTTTTTTCTCCCTTATTTGATGCAGTGATCTCAGGGCCAAGACTACAACTCTAAGTACTGGAAGCAGAGAGGATTTCTAAGAAACAAACTGTCACTGTGTTTTTAAACTTAGAATTCCTGAAGCTCTGATGGAGGCAGATTGCACCTTCACCTCATCTGGCAAAACTGGGGTTAAGAATAGATACAGCTCTATTGTCTGGTGATAAAAATGGTTCATTAGTTTGAAACCTATGTAACACTATTCTGTGTGAATGGAATGGACTGAAGGGGAGGCACTTGCTAGACTAGTATTGCTACCAGCAACCTCAACCACCACAGTGGCCGAACCTAACATCCCTTCCAAAGGTGAAAAGATTTGGACAAAAATAAATGACAAATGAAGAAAAGAATGAATAATAGTTAAGGGTAAAGAAATGAATAAATGGGTTATAAATTAAGGGAAATTCAATATTACATTAATAACTCTTAAGAGTCCCAGAACAAAAGATGACATTGTCTCCTAGCTCAATTATTCCACATGCCTGAAAGGCTGAAGCTGTATGTTTGCAATGATCCCTTCTCCTTTTGGAGCCTGACAAGATTGAAAGGAAGCCTACAAACCTGAATGGCCTCATACTGGGAGACATTCATACAATATGATGGGCTGGACTAATTATTAATGGCTGTGTGTATTTTTTTGATGTAAAGAATCTATGGTCAAAAACCAGAGGGTGGCCTGTGATGTTATTTTATACACACACACACATACACTTTTATGGATGAAAACATATACATATGAAACATATGTACATATGAAAATATATGTTTTCAGGAGGAGGTCAGAGAGATTCTGTTACATGAGGCCTCCCGCTGAAACATATATATATGTTTTCATCCATGGTTCCCGGCTAATAACTCTCAGAGCCCTTGTTACCGTCTTTTGTTATAATGTTGGGAGTGTCAGGCCTCAGAGGCAGGCCTCATGAAACAGAATCTCTCTGACCTCCTCCTGCCCTCTTTTCACCTGACTGAAGTGCAGGACTCTACACTTCCACACCCTCCCCTCTCTCACTGTGGGTCTTAAGACCCTCTCCAGAGAGGGTCCTGCTCTATACCCTGGAGGAAGGAATGCTGAGGTTATGAAACTTCCTAAAAACCCAAGAGGAAGGACTGGGTTCAGGGAGCTTCCAAGTAGCTGAACACATGGAGATTCCTAGAGGGTGGCATCCCAAGGAGGGCATGTGTATTAGTCAGGGCTCTCTAGAGGGACAGAACTAATAGTGTGTGTGTATATATATAATATATATATATTTTATATATATAATATATATTTTTATATATATATTATATATATATTTTATATATATAATATATATATATTTTATATATATAATATATATATTTTATATATATTATATATATATTATATATATATATATATAATATATATATAATATATATATAATATATATATATAAAGGGAAGTTTATTAAGTATTAACTTACATGATCACAAGGTCCCACAATAGGCTGTCTGCAAGCTTGAGGAGCAAGGAGAGCCAATTCAATTCTCAAAACTGAAGAACTTGGACTCTGATGTTCTAGGGCAGGAAGCATCCAGGACGGGAGAAAGATGTAGGCTGGGAGGCTAGGCCAATCTCGCTTTTTCACATTTTTCTGCCTGCTTCATATTCGCTGGCAGCTGATTAGATGGTGCCTACCAGATTAAGGGTGGGTCTACCTCTGCCAGCCCACTGACTCAAATGTTAAACTCCTTTGGCAACACCCTCACAGACAAACCCAGGAACAATACTTTGCATCCTTCAATCCAATCAAGTTGACACTCAGTATTAACCATCACAGCATGGAAGCTCCACACCCCTTCCCCTATACCTTGCCCTACACATCTCTTCATCTGTATCCTTTGTAACGTCCTTTATAATAAACCAGTAAATGTTAAAAAAAAAAAAAACCCAGTTTGATTTCAGAATTGCCACAGACCAGTTCCTAATCCTGCCTAACAGGGGACCTCACAGAAGCCTGCCAGCTAACTCAGGCTGTGGCCACGGGTTGAAAGAAGCTCCTAACTGAAATTTGTGATATAATCTTGAGTGAAGACAAACCCCACTGGCCAGAACTGAGGGGTGAGTGGGAAGTGTGCTATAACCATAGGTGCCAGAGCTGGGTGCCCCTACTTCATGGGCGGACCCAGAAGGGCATGGCCTGAAAGTTGAGGTTTCTGTGGCAGTTTTGAGTTCTGAGTACAGCCTGCCATAAATCTAGCTAGCTGCTGCTAGTGGAACACTGCAGGTATGAGACTCACCTTGCCAATTAGTTGGGTGGAGCTTACTGCTTAGTGCTTAGTGCTACTTCCCACTCCCCACACAGACTCTTTTGTACAGCAGAGGCAGCTGCACTCCTCCCTGGAACATTACACCAGCAGCCAGAGAACTGCCCTCCAATCCCCACTGTGGCTGCTGTCTGTGCCCTCACTTGGAAAGCCAGAGCTCGAACTTGCCTGACCCAGCCCACATCTATTTTTGCGCCTCGACCCATTGTGGTAGCTTAACACAAAGGACAGAAAGTTTTTGGAGTTCCATGGCCCCAAAGGCACCAGAGGCACTTAAGGCTTCAGAGTATCTCCCCTGAGTAACATAAGGCAAGCACAAATTCCACCACTACCACCACAGCTGGCGCTTTTGCAAGTGCCACCTCCAGGCTGAAGGCCAACCAGCACAGACATTTCAACGTCTGCAGGAACAACACCACAACTCTAGGAAAGAGAAAACTTTTGCACAACCTCGGCTATCACCATTACCTACATCACCCTGGCTAACCAGGAGGTGTTGAGTCTGTCCATGTGCCCAGAACATCACTACTACAGCTGACATTTGAGAAAGCTAACATAGTAAGGCTATTTATAACCAAGGAAACTTCAGAGTCTTTGTCACTCTCCTCCCACCCCCCATCAGAGCTGGTACTGGTACCTGCTACTGGGAGACTAGAGGACAGGTCACAGCACATTCCCCAGCACCAGCCTGGAGTGTGGCAGCCCCACTGGGTGGCTAGACCCAGAGGAGCAGCAGGATTCACAGTAGTCTGGCCCTCAGGGGCTGCTACTCCTAGGCAGAGTGCACCACATTAACAGAACACCCCGTGGGACAAAAGAAACCAACCTGGGAAACATGGTGAAACCCCATCTCTATAAAAAATACAAAAATTAGCCAGGCATGGCGGTGTATGCCTATAGTAGCTACTCAAAAAGCTGAGGTGGGAGGATCACTTGAGCCTGGGAAGTCAAGGCTCCAATGAGCCATGATCGTGTCACTGCATTCCAGCCTGGGTGACAGCAAGACCCTGTCTCAAAAAAAAAAACAAAAAAAACAAAGTAGACACCACTGGGGAACAAAATAAGCTTCATGAGACCTCTGCCATTCCAGCCCCACAGGAAACAGTGAACCCGCTTACATACCCACCACATCACTACTACAACCAGCATCTGAGAAAGCTGTTACAAAAAGATTCTCTGTAACCAAGGAATTTATACAGTGTTCACCACTGAATGCACCTAGAGCTGAAGCTAGGTGACAATAAACTATAAACATTAAAGTCACATCCTCAAGGGGAAAAAATATTTTAATAAGCCTGTCAAATAAAAAATAAATACAAAAATAATTAGAAGAAATAGTCCCTACCCAAATGAAAAAGAACCAGAAAAATAATCCTGGCAATATGAAATAACAGGGTTCTATAGCACCCCCAAAAGATCACATTAACTTTCTGGAGGAAGGTTAAGCAGAAGAAAAGAAATAAGAAAGATCAGAGCAGAACTAAATGAAATTGAAACCAAAAAATGAGAAAGATTAATGAAACAAAAGGCTGGTTGTTTGAAAAGATAAACAAAATTGATAGACCACTACCTAGATTCACCAAGAAAAGATGAGAGAAGATTCAAATAAGCTTAATTACAAATGAAAATGGAAACAATACAACTGACACTACAGAAAGACAAAAGATCATTCGAGACTAGTATGAACACCTCTATGAACACGAACAAGAAAATCTAGAGGAAATGGATAAATTCCTGAAAATATACAACTCCCCTAGCTTGAATCAGAGAGAAATATAAATCCTGAACAGAGCAATGACAAGCAGTGAAATTGAATGAGTAATTTTAATAACCACCAACAAAGAAAAGCCCAGGGCCAGATGGATTCACAGCCAACTTTTACCAAACATTCAAAGAATTGGTACCAGTTCTACTGACACTATTCCAAAAGATTGAGAAGGAGGGAATCCTCCCTAACTCATTCTAGGAAGCCAGTATTACCCTGATGCCAGAGCCAGGAAAGCACATGATAAATATAGATACAAAAATTCTCAACAAAATACTAGCAAACTGAATCTAACAGCACATAAAAAAAAAAAATTCATCGTGATGAAGTGAGTTTCATCCCAGGGATGCAGGGATGTTTCAACATATGCAAGTCAATAAATATGTTTCATCACATCAAGAGAATTAAAATAAAAATCATATGATCATCTCAATAGACACAGAAAAAGCATCTGATAAAATCCAGCCTCCCACGCAGGATTCAGACTAGAATATAGCTGTTAAGTGCTGTGTTGTCATTCTCCCTGCTTAAAATAAAGTTTTTTTCTTAACTATACCTGTCTGCTATCTGCTGTAGCAGCCAGGGATGCTTGGTTTCATACATGTTGAAAGGAATAAATTTAAGAAAAAAAACAGCATTCCTTTATGATAAAAACTCTCAACAAGCTAAGCATAGAAGGACTTATCTCAAAAAAAAAAAAAAAGCCATATATGACAACACCACGGCCAACATCATGCTGAATGGGGAAAAGTTGAAAGCATTCCCCTTGAGAACTGGAACAAGACAAGTATGCCCATTCAACACAGTACTTACTGTAAGTCTTAGCCAGAGGAATCAGACAAAAGAAAGAAAGAAAGGGCAACCAAATTGGAAAACAGGAAGTCAACTATCACTGTTTGCTGACGATATGATCTCATACCTAGAAAAACCTAAAGACTGCCTCAAAAGACTCCTATATCTGATGAATTAATTCAGTAAAGTCTCAGGTTACAAAATCAATGTACACAAATCAGTAGCACTGCTATACAACAAAAATGACCAAGCTGAGAATCAAATTAAGAACTCAATTTATTTTACCATGGCTGATAAATAAATGAATAAATAAATAAATAAATAAATAAATAAATAAAATAGCTAGGAATATACTTAACCAAAGAGGTAAAAGATCTCTACAACGAGAACTACAAAACAATACCGAAAGAAATCATAGCTGTTACAAACAAACGGAAATACATCCCATGTTCATAGATTGCATGAATCAATGTCGTGAAAATGACCATACTGCCCAAAGCAATCTACAGATTCAATGCAATTCCCATCAAAATACCATCATCATTTTTCACAGAACTAGAAACAACAATCCTAAAATTCATATGGAACCAAAAAACAGCCCACACAGCTAAAGCAATACTAACCAAAAGGAACAAATCTGGAGACATCACATTATCTGACTTCAAATTGTAATACAAGACTATAGTAACCAAAATAGCATGGTACTGGTATAAAAGTAAGCACATAGACCAATGGAACAGAATAGAGAACCCAGAAATAAAGCCAAATGTTTACAATGAATTGATTTTTGACAAAGCATACAGAAACACAAATGGGGGAAAGGACACCCTATTCAGTAAATGGTGCTGGGAAAACTGGCAAGCCACATGTAGAAGAATGAAACTGGATCTCTATATCTCACCAAATATGAAAATTAACTCAAGATGTATTAAAGACTTAAATCTAAGACCTGAAACCATAAAAATTCTAGAAGAAAACCCAGGAAAAACTCTTCTGGACATTGGCCTAGCTAAAGAATTTATGACTAAGATCCCAAAAGCAAATGCAACAAAAACAAAAATAAACACTGAGACCTAATTAAATGAAAAAGCTTCTGCATAGCAAAAGAAATAATCTGCAGAGTAAATGGACAACCTGTAGAATGGGAGAAAATATTTGCAAGTAATGCATCTGACAAAGGATTAATATCCAGAATCTACAAGGAACTCAAACAAATCAGCAAGAAAAACAAATCCCATTAAAAAGTGGACAAAGGATATGAATAGTCATTTCTCAAAAGATACACACACATAATATAATTAACACAAATGTCTTTTAAAAGAGGACTAATTAAATTATTGATTACCAATATAGACTCTAAAGGTCTCTACACTATTATTGTAGGATGAAGTACTTAAGATATATTGCTAATTAAATTACAAAGGAGAGTACTGAAAATGTGGGTCACATACTCCCACTTGTATAAAAATGAAACATACAATTAGGAAAATTTTCTGTACTGATACAAATGACCTTTTTGATAGTGATAATTTTTCAAGAATAAAATTATAAGTCAAGTTAAAAAAAAGATATTATCTCTAAAGATACAGAAATGGCCAAAAAACATACAAGAAAATGCTCAACATTACTAATCATCAAGGAAATGCAAACTAAAACCACAATGAGATAACATCTTACCCTAGCCAGAATGGCCATTATTAAAAAGTCAAAAATAATAGATGTTGGTGTGGATGTGGTAAAAAAAATTAATGCTTACAGTCTGCTCCTGGGAATATAAATTAATACAACCTCTATGGAAAACAGTGTGGAGATTTCTCAAGGAACTCAAAATAGATCTTCCATTCAATCCAGTAATCCCATGACTGGATATCTACTCAAGAGAAAAGAAGTCACTATATCAAAAAGGCACCTGTATGTGGATGTTTATTGCAGCACAATTCACAAAGCAAAGATATGGAATCAAGCTAAGTGTCCATAAACTGATGAGTGGATAAAGAAAATGTGGTATAGATACACCATGGAATACTACTGAGTCATAATAAAGAAAAAAATAATGTCGTGCAGCAACTTGAGTGGAACCGGAGGTCATTATTCTAAGCAAATTAACTCAAGAATCAAAAACCAAATACTGCGTGTTCTCACTTATAAGTAGAAACTAAGCTATGGGTACACAAAGACATGCAGGCTTGTATAATGGACATTGGAGACTCAGAAAGGAGGACGACGGGAGGGGGATGCAGGATGAAACACTACCTATTAGGTAAAATGTACTCTACCCGGATGATGGATGCACTAAAATCCTAGACTTTACTACTATACATTTATCCATGTAACCGAAAACCACTTGTACCACTAAAGCTAGTGAAATAATAAGAAAAGAATTACTATGGACTGATTGCTTCTCTCTATCTTCCATTTTTCCTTTTAAAAGTCTTTTTAAATAAGATTGTCTACCATGGTCACGCCAGGCTTACCCACCATTATAGGTTGCCTATGGAGGAGTAGATAACCTGTTTCTTCACTTCATATGTCTTTAGATTGACAGGAATGGTGTAGTAAAGCTATATTTAAGGCACTACAGCCAAAGAGCCTCATCCACACTTGGACCTGATTTTGAAGCCAACATTCTGGATTTTGAGCTGATAATGTAAATGGATGTGAGTTTGGGGGAGGGGGAGCAGTAGGAAGAGTTTATGGTATTTTTCATGTCAAGGTAATATAAATAATTTGTGGTCAGAGGAAGAACTGTGGTGGTTTTCAAACATGTCCACAAATTCTTTGATAGTCCTCCTTTCAAAAGATGGAGACAATTCCCTCTCCCTTTAAGTGTGGCATTACTTAATGATTTGTTTTTAACAAATAGGATGTTGTTAAATTGACAAGGTGTGATATCTGAAAGTGGGACATAAAGAGTATTGTGGACTCCTCCTTACTCTCTCTGTCTCATTTGGTCAGGCATTCTGGGAGATACCAGCTGCCATGATGTAAGAAGCCCTGTGGAGGAGTCCAAGTGGTACGGAACTGAGGCCTCCAGCAAACAGGCTTGTGAGTGAGCCCTCTTGGAAACAGATACATCAACCCGACTCAATGGTAAAATGATGGCAGCCCTGGCTGACATCTTTACTGTCACTCAATAAGAAACCCTGAACCAGAACCACCCAGACAAGCCACTTCAAAGTCTTGTCTCACTGGAACTACAAGATAAAAACTGTTGGTTGTTTCAAGTAAATGTCTAAGTTTGTGCATGATATGATTCGGATTTGTGTCCCCACTCAAATCTCATGTGGAATTGTAATCCCCAGTGTAATCCCCCAGGAGGAGCCTGGTAGGAGGTGATTGAATCAAGAGGGCGGATTTCCCCCTTGCTGTTCTCCTGATAGGGAGTGAGTTCTCATAAGATCTGGTTGTTTAAAAGTGTGTAGCACCTCACCCTTCTCTCTCTTCCTCCTGCTCTGGTCATGTAAGATGTGCCTGCTTCCCTTTCCGCCAGGATTGAAAGTTTCCTGAGGTCTTCCCAGTCATGCTTCCTGTGCAGCCTGTGGAACTGTGAGCCAATTAAACCTCTTTTCTTTATAAATTATCCAGTTTCCGGTAGTTATTTATAGCACTGTGAGAACGGACTAATACATTGCATTAATTCATTATACAGCAATGGATAACTTATACACTGGGTAATTACAAATATTTCTTTTATTCAGTCAGTACCATGTGCTATGCTAGACACTGGGGATATAGTGATGAACCACACAGCCATAATCTCTTCACTCAACCAGACTGGTGGGAAAGGCAGAAATTAAACCAATAAGCACATGGATCCACATTTACAGACTGAGATAAGTGCTGAGAGAGAAGCATATGCCCATGAGGAGAAAAACAGGAGAGACATAAGTTAGATTTGAAGGATCTCTCTAAGGATGTGGCATTTAAGCATAGCTCTAAATGAGAGACAGGATTTAGCCAGGTGCAAATTGTGGGAAGAGACTTCCAGGCAAAGGGAACAGCTTGCACAAAGCCCAGGAGTTAGGGAAGGACTTGGATGAGTCAAAGAACCAAGGGAGGGCAGGGATAGTGACTTGAGTGTGATGGACAAGAGGGAGCTGGTTGAGTTGAGGTTGGAAAGGAGGCCAGAAGTAGATCAATGCAGGAACTTGGTGGGTGATAATGAGTATATTTTAGCTGAGGGAAGCCTCTGAAACTTTTAAACAGAAGAATAATGAGGTTCAACTTATTTTATTAAAATGACCATTCTGAATGTCATATGGTGAACTGACTGGAAGGGGGCAAGAGTAGAGAAGGGAGCCTCTGGCTGTAGATCAGGAGCAAGAAGAAGGTGGAATGGCTGTGAGAGGTAGAGATGGAGAGAGGTGGATGGATGCAAGCAATATTGATGGGGCAGAATCAACCAACTTTTAATCTATCCAGCCCAAACAGAACAAGCAAAACCTCTAATTAAGATCATTCAAAGCAAAAGCCAGACTCCCTAAAAATTTTTCTGTGGGTTATTATCTAATATTTGACTACTTAATAATCATTCTGCTTTTTCTAAAATGACTCTCCAACATATGAACTCTATTGTTAATGTATAGAGAAACAAAATAGAAAGGTAAGTTTTGAACTTTTGACAAAAATTTGAATTATAAGCCTTTTATAAAGTGACCCACTTATATAGCTGAGCTAAGAGTTATCCTTTGAAAAGCTAGACCCATTGTACCAGGTCAGTTTCAAACATGCTGCAATCAAGGGGTATGTTTTAAGCTAAATATTTCCTGTTCTGATTACACAAACTATACCAGCCCTATGTTAAATACCACATGTCTATGTTTATAGTAGGAAAGCCTAGAATGGAATAAAGAACTAAACATACATTTCTTTGACAGCGGTTTTTTTTGTTTGTTTGTTTGTTTGTTTTTTGAGATAGAGTCTTACTCTGTCACCAGGCTGGAGTATAGTAGCGCAATCTCAGCTCACTGCAACCTCCGCCTCCCGGGTTCAAGCGATTCTCTTGCCTCAGCCTCCTGAGTAGATGGGACTACAGGTGTACGCCACCACGCCCAGTAGTAGAGACGGGGCTTCACCACGTTGGCCAGGATGGTGTCGATCTCTTGACCTCATTATCCTCTTGCCTCAGCCTCCCAAAGTGCTGGGATTATAGGCATGAGCCCAGCCAACAGCATTATTTTTAAAATTAAGGTCATGCCATATAGAAGAATTTTCTTAGGTAACTGCTTCAATTACCAAGGTTGTCAGAATGTTTTTCTTAAAGAAGCATTTATCCTCTACAGAAACATTCCTCAAGGTGTGTCTAGAGACCATTAGCAGGCATCTGCATCACCTGAGGTGCTTCTGACACTGCAAATGCTGACTCAATAAGTCTTACATGGGACCCCTGAACCTGTGTTTTAAATAAGCAAAGAAGTAATCCCTATTTTTATTCACTAGAATTTAAGAACCTGCACTAGAGATACACTATTATGGCTTGCATAAGAACTCTGAGTAAATGCAAAGTTGTGGTTTGATAGAACAAATAACATCAAACTTTTCCTTCTCTTTTTTTTTTTTTTTTTTTTTTTTGAGACAGTCTCACTCGCTGTGTACTCTGTCATCCAGGCTGGAGTGTAATCATGGCTCACTACAATTGTGACCTCCTGGGCTCAAGCAATTCTGGCCCCAGGCTCCTGAGTAGCTGGGACTACAGGCATGCATCACTGCACCCAGCTAGATTTTTTATTCTTTGTAAAAATAAGGTTTCTCTTTGTTGCTTAGGCTGGTCTTAGGCAGCCACCCAAAGTGCTTGGATTACAGGTGTGAGCCACTCTGCCTGGCCTCAGACATCAAACTATTTTAAAAGAAAGGGAGATCGGGGGCCAGAATTATAAATTCACTATCCTACTTTGCGAAGAGAGTAACCATCTTAAATACATATGAACCTTTCCAAATCTTCAAACCTTCATAATCAGAAAACTTACTGCTGACTGTTAAAACTACATTGGTCAAAGCAAAGTCAGTTTTCTTCCTCCAGAGGTTTTAGCCATACAGTTTTTTTAAAATGGTCTTTGAAATGAAGCACAAGGACAGCTTTGGTGTATGGGTAATGTTCTGTTTCTTGATCTAAATGTTAGCTATGAAGCTGTGTTCTATCTGTGAAAATTTCTTAAGCTAAACACTTGTGATAGGTGAACATTTCTGAATGCATAGGATCCTTCAAAAAATATAATTGGTCTTTTAAAAATTCAAACTTATTAGCAGTTATACTAAAATATTTTAGCATGACACTTCTTGCCTTTCAAGTTAATAACCCTCAGTGTTGATGACTGCTGAACTGAAATGGACATTCTCAGATGCACTGCTTTTGGGAAATATAAACTGATATATAAGCCTTTTGGAAAGCAGTTTGACAATCAATAGCTGTCCAAAGCTCTGAAAACAGTCATAACTGTTGACCTAGTAATTTTGTTCTCAGAATCTATCTCAAAGAAATAATCTTCACTATGGGAAAGTCCTATTCCCAACATCAAAAAACATAAACCCACCTAAATAATCACAATAGGGTAATTATTAAGTGGGTTGTAGTATATCTACATCATAATTTGTATACATTGATGGTAAAGCTAAAAAGCAAAGCAAAGAAATGATTGATAAAAAAATTCTCTATGCATCTGGGGAAGAGCACAAACGCACTCCCACATATGTAGTAATATTCTATTTAAGCTGAGTGGTGCATACACAGGTATTCCTATTATTATGATTATTTAAACTATATATATATTTTATATACTAACAAGTGTGAATATATATTTTATAATATATAAGTTTTGGTAAAATTCAGAACAATTAATGTTTACTAAAAGTTTGTCAACATGAAAAATGCTCATGTCATGCTCACTGCAGCAGCATATACAGTAAAATTGGAATGAAAAATGGTCATATCATAATTGTGAGTAAAAAACTGGGGCACCATCAATGGATAGACTGGGTAAAGAAAATGTGGCACAAATACACCATGGAATACTATGCCCCCATAAAAAAGGATGAGTTCATGTCTTTTGCAGGGACATGGATGGAGCTGGAGGCCATCATTCTCAGCAAACTAACACAGGAACAGAAAACCAAGTACCACATGTACTCACTCATAAGTGGGAGCTGAACAATGAGAACACATGGACACAGGGAAGGGAACATCACACACCAGGGCCTGTTGGGGGTGGGGGGTGCCAAGGGGAAGGAGAGCATTAGGACAAATACCAAATGCATGTGGGGCTTAAAACCTAGATGATGGGTTGATAGGTGCAGCAAACCACAATGGCACATGTATACCTATGTAACAAACCTGCACATTCTGCACATGTATCCCAGAACTTAAAGGAAAGTAAAATAAAAATAAAAACTGGGGCACTATGCCTATGTCCTGAACAGTAGTGCCTAGGTTTTCTTCTAGGGTTTTTATGGTTTTAGGTCTAACGTTTAAGTCTTTAATCCATCTTGAATTTATTTTTGTATAAGGTGTAAGGAAGGGATCCAGTTTCAGCTTTCTACATATGGCTAGCCAGTTTTCCCAGCACCATTTATTAAATAGGGAATCCTTTCCCCATTGCTTGTTTTTCTCAGGTTTGTCAAAGATCAGATAGTTGTAGATATGCGGCGTTATTTCTGAGGGCTCTGTTCTGTTCCATTGATCTGTATCTCTGTTTTGGTACCAGTATCATGCTGTTTTGGTTACTGTAGCCTTGTAGTATAGTTTGAAGTCAGGTAGCGTGATGCCTCCAGCTTTGTTCTTTTGGCTTAGGATTGACTTGGCAATGTGGGCTCTTTTTTGGTTCCACATGAACTTTAAAGTAGTTTTTTCCAATTCTGTGAAGAAAGTCATTGGTAGCTTTATGGGGATGGCATTGAATCTATAAATTACCTTGGGCAGTATGGCCATTTTCACGATATTGATTCTTCCTACCCATGAGCATGGAATGTTCTTCCATTTGTTTGTATCCTCTTCTATTTCATTGAGCAGTGGTTTGTAGTTCTCCTTGAAGAGGTCCTTCACATCCCTTATAAGTTGGATTCCTAAGTATTTTATTCTCTTTGAAGCAATCGTGAATGGGAGTTCACTCATGATTTGGCTCTCTGTTTGTCTGTTATTGGTGTATAAGAATGCTTGTGATTTTAGTACATTGATTTTGTATCCTGAGACTTTGCTGAAGTTGCTTATCAGCTTGGACTTCATGTCTAAAACACCAAAAGCAATGGCCACAAAAGCCAAAATTGACAAACGGGATCTAACTAAACTAAAGAGCTTCTGCACAGCAAAAGAAACTACCATCAGAGTGAACAGGCAACCTACAAAATGGGAGAAAATTTTCACAACCTACTCATCTGACAAAGGGCTAATATCCAGAATCTACAATGAACTCAAACAAATTTACAAGAAAAAAACAAACAACCCCATCAACAAGTGGGCAAAGGATATGAACAGACATTTCTCAAAAGAAGACATTTACGCAGCCAAAAGACACATGAAAAAATGCTCATCATCACTGGCCATCAGAGAAATGCAAATCAAAACCACAATGAGATACCATCTCACACCAGTTAGAATGGCAATCATTAAAAAGTCAGGAAACAACGGGTGCTGGAGAGGATGTGGAGAAATAGGAACACTTTTACACTGTTGGTGGGACTGTAAACTAGTTCAACCATTGTGGAAGTCAGTGTGGCGATTCCTCAGGGATCTAGAACTAGAAATACCATTTGACCCAGCCATCCCATTACTGGGTATATACCCAAAGGACTATAAATCATGCTGCTATAAAGACACATGTACACGTATGTTTATTGTGGCAATATTCACAATAGCAAAGACTTGGAACCAACTCAAATGTCCAACAACGATAGACTGGATTAAGCAAATGTGGCACATATACACCATGGAATACTATGCAGCCATAAAAAATGATGAGTTCATGTCCTTTGTAGGGACATGGATGAAATTGGAAATCATCATTTTCAGTAAACTATCGCAAGGACAAAAAACCAAACACCGCATGTTCTCACTCATAGATGGGAATTGAACAATGAGAACACATGGACACAGGAAGGGGAACATCACACTCTGGGGACTGTTGTGGGGTGGGGGTAGGGGGCAAGGATAGCATTAGGAGATATACCTAATGCTAAATGACGAGTTAATGGGTGCAGCACACCAGCATGGCACATGTATACGTGTGTAACTAACCGGCACATTGTGCACATGTACCCTAAAACTTAAAGTATAATAATAATAAAAAAAAACTAGGGCACTAAATTAGTTATAAATTATAGCACACAGATCTTGTAAAAGGAGGTTGGAATAGTCTTACAAAGACACTCATTTCAACTATGACTTAACGTTGTGCTGAGGATCCCAGTCAAGAATTCCTCTCATAAAAACAAAAGAAAGGACCCACTTAAACTGATATTCTTTTTTTATAATTGTGTACCTAGAACATTCAACACAATCAACTGACAATATACCAACACTATCAAGAGTTTAGTAATCTGACCAAGAACTGTCCTAGATGCCAAAAGAGATGACAGCTAACAGTTTTTGAGGGCTATGTACCAGGCACTGAATAAGGTGTTTTTCACGTATTAACTCCTGAGGGAAGCTGCTATTATTATCCTGACTTTTAAATTTAAAAACTCCTAAGAAACAGAGAGGTTAAATTACTTGTGTGATGCCACACAGCTAGCAAGTGACAGAGTTTGGCAGTCTTTGCACATAACCATTACATTACCCCAACAATAAGCAGTTAGAAAATGTAATAAGTAGCCAGGCGAGGTGGCTTATGCCTATAATCCCAGCACTTTGGGAGGCCAAGGCAGGCAGGTCACTTGAGGCCAAGGGTTTGAGACCAGCCTGAGCAACATGGCAAAACCTTGTCTCTACTAAAAAAAATAAAAAATTAGCCAGGCACGGTGGCACATGCCTGTAATCCCAGCTACTTGGGAGGCTGAGAATCACTTGAACCTGGGAGGCGGAGGTTGCAGTGAGCCGAGACTGCGCCACTGCACTCCAGCCTGGGCAACAGAACGAGACTATGTCTCAAAAAAGAAAAGAAAATGCAGTAGATCACAGGATCCCCTTCATAATACAATCAAGAACCACTCAAACAAACAAACAAAAAACACACACTAGGGAAAATGATTTTAAGAGATATATTTTTAAATATTTAAAGCAAGACCAAATTGCAATACTCAAAATTATATTACATGGATGTGAATTCTCCAAAACAACAAAAAAAACTTTGGGGATGGGGTGTGCAAAGGAAGCCTTGCCCTCCAGATAGTCTCATCTTTTGGCCATTTGTCACTTAGGAAATTCTCTGGAGATGGAACTGTGCATGGTGCTCCGGTCATACAAAGATAGCTAAAATTCAGGAATCTGGTTAAGCTACTTTGAGAAAAGGTCTTGCAAAAGAGAAAGGATTAATCAGGAACCCCAAATAATGAATGGTAGGCCATGAAATGAAGGGTTCTGCCACAGCTGTCATCAATGTGACAGCCTGCGGTGGATGAGCAGATCATATCACCACTGTAGCCTTCCACTTACATCAAAGTTGTTGAGCTGAATTCAACATATGCTCCAATCCAACTCTCCTTATTTATAGACAAGGAAACTGAGGTCTAGAACAGGCTTCCCTTCCTAGCTCACAAAATTATTTTAAGGCAGAACCAGAGAGCTAACTAAGCACTCCTCTTCCCCAAGTTTCCTGAAGACCAGTCTGAATATATGTATCCAAATGACTGCACCCATTTAAGCACACTGTATTGAATTTATATTTATAGGCTAAGTCAGCGTTTTCCAACCTTCAGACATTCACCTTCCAGCTTATAATTCTGTCATATTCATATATCTCTACTATTACTCACTTTATATATTTTTTAAATCTATATACTTCTTTACATAAAGTTAGCTTCATCCTAAGCAACAATATTAATAAAATGATACATGAAATGTGTATTTTTCTAACACATTAAGACAAATATGTATCTATTGAAGTTTCAGTGTTTGCATTTGAACCACTCCTCAGAAAAGTAAACCATCCTTTGCTGTATTTGAAAAGATTCTCTCCAGGTGTTCCAAGGAATTCTAATCTGTTTCATGTTAATGGGTGTTATTGATGAAAGAGTGCTTGATCAAATAAATCTGGGGAATGCTACGTTTTTTGTTTGTTTGTCTGTTTGTTTAGAAACAAGGTCTTGCTCTGTCGCCTAGTCTGGAGCGCAGTGTTGTGATCATAGCTCACTGCAGCCTCAAACTGCTGGGCTCAAGTGATCCTCCTGCCTCAGCCTCCCAAGTAGCTGAGACTACAAGCGCATGCCACCATACTGGGCTAATTTTTCTTTTACTTTTTGTAGAAATAGGGTCTTGCTTTGTGGCCCAAGCTAATCTCAAACTCCTGACTTCAAGAGATCCTCCCACCTTGGCCTCCCAAAGTGTTGGGATTACAGGTGTACAGGCATGAGCCACCACAACCCAGAATATTTCTCTGATTATTTAAAAACTCAGAGGTAGGGCATGAAAAAAATGTTCCCTAGTGTGAAACACAGGGTGTTCACAACATTGTGCAATGAGATTCTTCTAACAGGTATAGCACTTATAAGACTTATTTGACCATGAAACCTTTTTTTCTAGACAGTATTAGTAAGGATAACACGTTCTAAGCTGTATTAATTTTCAGAGATTTTGTTTTTCTTTTTGACCCCATAAATGATATAAGTAGATACTGTGTATAATAATTTACACTATATCCCTATTAGCATATTCAGAATATTTTATGGTAGAAAAAAAATGAGTAGAAAAGCATAATATTTCCTCTTGTCATTTTTAAAGTGTCAGCCTCTTGGAGAAAAGTGACACACCTTGTTCAGAATGAAACATCTGCATTAAACTTGGGAATTCTAAAATAATACAAATAAATTTTAATAAGTTATCCAGATAGCCTACATTAGTAAGGCTTTCCATTCATGTTTGTTTTTGTTGTCTTGGGGACTTCTAAACTTCTAGGTGGAACTTTAAGAGTGACATGCCCATAATATCACATTTAATCTGTGGGTGTGACTGGGAGACAATGTATTACTCACCCATTTACAACCCATTAGTTTCCTCTTTCTTTCTCTCTTTTTCTCTCTTTCTCCCTCTCTCTTCCTTTCCTTTCTCCCTTCCCTTCCTCCTTTCCCTTTTCTTTCTCCCTTTCTCTCTTCTCTTTCTTCAATGTTTTGATATAAAAAACTGAAAAGGATATTTATTGCATTTCTATCTTTAAGTATATTTGTGTTATCACAGGAAAAACATCTCATAGTTAACAAACTAATGCTTTAAAGCCAAAATATATGAATATTTCTGTCTAGTGCACTTTTAGTTAAAATTAAGAACTAAGATTCAAGGCAAAGAAATGCTGTAATACTCTTGATTCAGTATTCATGTTAGTGAAACTAAGTACAGTAGTACACTAATAAGGGAGGAAGAATAGTGATGTGTTAAGGACAAAGTGTTTTATCATCCGGCCATACACCAATTTACAGACCATCTCAAGTATGCTACTCTTAAATACTTTTTTTTCCAGCAACCAAAGTTTCAATATATTCTTTTCTACACCTTACAAAAATTATCAAATTTTAGAGCAGATTTTTATTCTTAGAAATGCTTTTTATTCTCTAATTCACAAATATTTATTAATTAAAAAGTTGTGTTCTTCTGAGATTCCTCACCAATCCATGGGGTCAGTTAGATATTTGGGGAGTTGTTCAGCTCTTACAAATACCCACATTTGACACTAATGCACTGCAACAGAATAACCTGAGTAAGCTTGATTCTCTGAAATAGTCAGAGGAACAGAAAAAACAACTATTAGGTACTAGGCTTAGTACCTAGGTGCCGAAATAATCTGTAAAACAAGACCCCGTGACACGAGTTTACCTATATAACAAACCTATGCATGTACCCTTCAACCTAAAAGTTTAAAAAAATAGAGTTTTCTCTCCTCTCTGGTTATAGAGTCAATTGTGCACTGCACTGCATTTATAATGAGGAAATAAACAGCATAGTCTTTTAGTACGGGAGGTAAACAAGAGTTAACTTGTATAAATGTAATTTAAAATGTGTATTCTACTTAATACATGAGAACTATTAAAATACATGTGCATCAAAAACAAAAGAAAAAATAGAAATAATAAATGTCTGATCCTTCAGCAGAATATTTCCCAAAGAGCTCTATTATGTAGCAAACTTCTATGCCATAAGTTTTAAATGATTCCATTTTTCAAATATTCATTTCTGTGTATATTTAAACATCATAGAGTGTCTACTGAATAGAGTTAAGTTTTAATAATTGCAATTCATCTTTTTTAAAAATAATTTACTCTCCATTTGGCTTCTAAAATTTTATTGCAGTATTTAGAAGATTTAGTTAGTTTCTAATAGCTGAAAACCTTCAGACTTCAATGTCACAGTTTGACCCAAATGCACATGGTTCCTGCCCTCTTCAGTTTGTGTCCTGCTGCTTCCAAATGACAAATGTGGGCACTTTGTGTAAAGGCATTGATTACACTGTTAGATAGATTCTAGACATGCTTATTAAAAAGGCATCTTTTATAGGTGAATATGCCTTGCAGGATCTTGTATCCTAGGTGAGGTTATTTTCATAGTTACATATTTAATGATAATAATAACTTGCATCTATGCCACTTTCATATTCTCTTGGCACCAAGTTTGCCTTCCAAAGCAAACTTTGACTAAAGATCTTCAGGGCTCATCCTTAGTTGCATAGGCAAAGAAGTTCTCATACATACAACCATCACACATTTGCAAAACCACCATTTATTAGGGTCTCTTAGAATGAATTCTGTACACATCTATGCTAAAGATGGAAAAGACGTTTCACTTCTTATGCATCAGTAGATGGGTAGTGGGGCCCTCAGAGGAAGCAGTGGGGTTGTTGATCAGCAATACCTACAATGTGTTTAGGAAGAAGGGGAGGGGCAGATGATGTATTGCTCCCTATCCCCATTTGTCATCCCTGAGTTAAAACTTTCTCTCCCATAGCCATTTCCACCCCATCTCCCACAAAAAAAAAAAAAAAAAAAAAAAAAAAATGCACCTAAAGAATGCAGATTTTCTTACTGACTTTACATCCTGATAGAGCAATAGATGATAAAGCTCGTGTTCTTATGGAGCCTAAAAAAGTCTCATAGTATATATACTACTGCCTGTTAGTGCTGAAACCATGAATAAGCATGTGTGAGCTGTTTAGTGATAAAAAGAGAGCAGAGATTTGGGCTATTAGAGGTGATCCTGGCAGTGACATCTGTTGACAGAACTGGGAAGTTAGATTACACCAATAAAAACTGACAGCATAAGGAAAGGGGACCTTCAGGAAGTTACTTTGCCTGATCTTCCACTCATCACACTAGACCACCTCCCTGTAGCTGGGTAGTTAGGCAACCACTCTCTTGTCCTCCTTCCTTCTTTCAAAAGCCCAGTTCATTCCTCTGCAAAATGGAACAATCATGCGTGGAGGTTTACCATAGGCTTAACTAAGATAAATATTAAGGGCTTAGTACAATCCTTGGCAGATAGTTTGCACTTGTTCTGTGTTTTTTCATGATATTGACACAACTGTTCACTTCATCACTATGTACAGGCTCAACCTAAGCAGGAAAGTTGATTTCCGCATGTGTTTGGGAACAGAATAAGCCAAGGCTTCACAAGGAAATATTTAAACATTTAAACGTCATAGAAATTATTACCAATCCCCTTGGCAGTTGCTGCAATGGTAAGTTAACCCCACATGAAATAGAAAATTAAAATAAGTAGCTATAAGATTAAATCAGAAATACTGTGAAACATTTTCTGCTTCCTGTTTCTGGTACCCGCTTCCTGAGGGCACAGGGATGGGCGGTAGGTGGCTAGACTGAATATACCATTATTATTCAGGGAAGTTTCACCTTTATTCCTTTATTGAAATGGGGTGGCTTTTGTTCTTTCGTGTTTTAAGGAATGGGGTGAGGAGTTTAGGAATGGGACAGTATAACTCAGTGGTCAGTAACATACACACTCTGCCATAGCACTTATGAGTTTGTGACCTTAGAAAAATTACTTAACTTCTCTCCATCTCAGTATCCTCATTTGTAAAACAGGCGGAGAAATTCACTAAAAGCCTTTTCACATTGCCTGGTACGTGGTGAGTGCTTAATCATGTTAGCTACTGAAGTTGGTAAACAGTGAGAAATGAAGGAAAGAATGGAAAGAGAGAAAAAAGAAATAGGAGAAGGGAAAGAAGGAGTAAAGCTCTGCTTGGCTTAGCTCTGCAAATCATTTTGGACAGGTGTCTAGAGTCCTGGTTGTCTACATTCCCGGGTTTGCTGATTCAGGGCTCAATACATGACTGCTATTCTAAGGCAGAATGGTGGGGCCACCACTGTCATAGAGCACTTTCTTAAGGAAAGGGCTGTATGAAAAGGAAGTTCCCCATGTCAGGTGCAGTAGCTTATGCCTGTAGTCCCAACATTTTGGGAGGGCAAAGTGGGAGGATAGTTTGAGTCTACAAGTTTAAGATCAGCCTTGGCAACATAGTGAGACCTCGTCTCTACAAATAATAAAAAAAAAATTTAATTAAAAAAAAGGAAGCTCCCAAGAGTGACCCTTGAAATGAATTCTAGGAAAGCTTTTATCATTATCATGGATGGAAAGGAAAATGAGATGTTAGCATCTGCCCCAAGCTTAAAATGTCACCACAATTAACACGGTAGCTCGTTGACACTGGCTCTGCAAAGGAAATTATTCCCCCAAGCCTCTAAAAGCAAACAAGCACCCCCTCACCCTGCAACCATTACACAGAAATCTAGGAATTACCTGGACAGAACTGAACACTTTCTGATAAATATGGTTTTCATAAAGCTACAGAAATCTCAGGTATTTCTCTCCAAAAGTGAATGTGCTTGTTCAAATTTGTAAAAGGTAGACTTGATCCT
This sequence comes from Homo sapiens, assembly GCF_000001405.40. Lineage (NCBI taxonomy): Eukaryota > Metazoa > Chordata > Mammalia > Primates > Hominidae > Homo > Homo sapiens. Next base: position 40,671,286 of record NC_000005.10, read on the forward strand.
CTAACCCTTTTGTACAAATCTCATCTCATAAAAACAGGAAGAAAGTCAAATGCAAAAATATGTTTTGTCAAATTCCAAAGAGAGTAACCTCACCCTGAAAAAAATGCCAAGGGAAAATGTTTAAGATACATAAGTAAAATACTCATGGAAGAACTGACTGCTATCGAAATTTAAGTTGAACACAGTTCAATTCGTTTCAGAGTAAATCACATTTTAGGCAATGTACCGCCTTCGTATTTTTTCAAATCCCTGCAGCAGTGATGGGATATGATCAGAGACTAAGACATATCATTAAGATAGCAAGATAATTTTGAGAAGTGTATGCTGTTCTTTCAGCCACCAAAATTTCACAAATTTATGAGTTCTTAACAACTGACACTTTTACATTAATTCAGGATTGAGAGAAAAAAGTCTACATTTGATTTCTCAGCCCTCAAATTAGATGTCTTCAACAGGCACTTCTATTTGGTTAGATTAAACAAGTTAATCTTTCTACAGATCTGCTTTAGGCAAATTTTATGGCTCTTTTAACATACGATCAATAATTTTCTAGAAAAACATAGTCAAAATAATTTGGCATCAGAAAAACTTATAGTAACAAACATGCTATTCATATGAAAAATCAAATCTCCTTTCTTGTTACATCACTGTAGCTTTTAAAAAGAAAAAAATGCATAAGTTGGCTGGGCGGGGTGGCTTGTGCCTGTAATCCCAGCACTTTGGGAGGCTGAGGCGGGTGGATCACGAGGTCAGGAAATTGAGACTATCCCGGCCAACATGGTGAAACCTTGTCTCTACTAAAAACACAAAAATTAGCCGGGCGTGGTGGTGTGTGCCTGTAATCCTAGCTACTTGGGAGCCTGAGGCAGGAGAATTGCTTGAACCCGGGAGGTGAAGGTTGCAGTGAGCCAAGATTCCACCACTGCACTCCAGCCTGGGTGACAGAGTGAGATTCTGTCTCAAAAAACAAAACAACAACAACAACAAAAAAAAAAAAAACAGCCCATCTAATTCATTTATTTCGAAGGAGCTGACTTTCCTCAGACTTTCATACCTTCAGATCTTCTTAAACTGCAGCAGAGTTTTAACTCTTGAGTTTCCTCTGTGATCTGAACCCATTAACCTGGAAGGCAAGGAGCACACCAGGCCTAAAACTAATTCTTGGCTTGAGTTTCAACAGATGGTGAAGTTAGTATTATCGTCAGAAAACAACCCTACTTCATCTCTCCTCCCCACCAGTTATGAGATTTGGACTTCTGTTGCAGGAGTTCACTATGCAACACGGTTAAGTGACAGATTCTCTTGAGTCATGAGTTCCTCTTTTCAAACTTGAACAGTTTCCCATATTTCAAAGCTCCTCACTCAGACATATTCAGTTCCTAGTTTCCTCAAGATGCACTCTCTGAATTCCCAGAAACGTTCTGTGCTCCAGTTCTTGGCCTGAAGGATCTCAACCGTCTTCTCTGAGGCATCAGACAGAGTAGATATGAGGCCTGGAGCCAGAAAGTGCTTACTGCTTCCTGTTCTTAGGTTGGAAAAGAATCTGTTCTTGTTAACAAGAGAGGTATTTTGAAGAGAAACAAACAATACCCTTCTTCAGAATGTGCCACTTCCTCAGAATGTCCATTCCTAATCTCAAATCTAAAGGAAATCTGTCCTGTTCTTTTCTTTCATGGTATTGATCAGAGTGTTTAAATGTATATTTGTGTGTGTTTATTTGTACATTTGATGTCCGTTTCCCTTTCTGGACTGAAAGCTTTCCCCTATTGCACGGTAAGCTATATGAGGGCAGGGACTGTTTATTTTATTCAATGAGCAAACTCAGAGGCTAGCACAGAGTTATACGCAGTTGACTCTCCATAAACATTTGTTGAATGGATGAATGAATGGAAAGATGAAAGGCAGAAATTTCTGTGGTTGGCCAGTTCAAGCACAATGAGTATACCAGGCAAATGCCCCCTGCTCACTAGAGAATGAAAACATCACGCTTCTCTGTGTTCTAGGTCAACTGGAGAGAACTATGTCTGAAAATGCATGAGGAACATGTTTATTGGTGGGGTGAGGGCAGTGACATGTGCCCATGCCTCTTCAGGTTAGGTGTGTATCTACATGTATATAGGTATTATAGGCAAAGAGATTGTTGTGAGACTAGCTGCAAAATGGAACTTGTATGGAACACAAAGATCCAAGGGGTTAATTTCTTGAATGTTCATGCCACTCTTGCTGTGCCAAGGATTGTGCTAGAGCACTAGCAGTCTTTTCAGGACAGGGTCCCAGATGTGCCCAAGATGAGCTGATGCCAGGGAAATGGACTCCATAGCTATAGTCTCTGACAGGGCAACCTGAGTCCTTTGTCAAAGAGCAGCTTCCTTCCTGAACACATCTTTGCTTACAAAGACACTTGTTCTTTTTCTTTCCACTTTAACTGAAAAAGTCCCCCTCTCAACTCTCCCTCCCACCCCACCCCCTTAATGCCACCATATCCATTCCTTGTTTCCAGGCAAATTCGCATTCATCTCTCCAAATAAATGTGCCTCTGTTTTTCTTACAGACATCTCAAAATAAAAAATTAGCAACATATTCTAGGAGAAAACCAGATGAATTCTGTGTCTGGGGTAAAATTCACTAATTTTCCTCTGTAATAGCTACACTGTAATTACATAGTCAATACTAAATGTGCCCCTAAGCAATCATCTTACTGAATTTATGCAGTATAAGCAGGCAACAGAAATCATCTCACTGAAAGTAATTCTTTCCTTCTCATCAAAAGGAAGGGAGGGGTTGTCTAAGTTATCTAACTAATTATCTTAATTCCTTCTTTGTGGTTATGTCCACAACCAGTCTTTGGATTTCTGGGGTTAGGCCCAGGCAAAAATAAGTTCCATCAAAGTTATATATATTCAATTTATCACAATGCCCTCTAAACACGTTATGGTCAAAAACTAATTATACAATCATAAGAAGTGAATTTTGAAAATATAACTAATAATAGGCTAATATTTTTAATGTTTTAATACGTACTAGACATCTTATTTGTATTACGTTACTTAACCTTTAAAAGGACCCATTTAATGAAAACTCCCTTTTACTAAGCCTTAGGCAACTTACTTACTATGGCCTTGAACCCAGATTATCTCTAGCCCAAAGGCAATGATGTTGAGGGAGAAAAAAGAGGACTAAGAGTTATGTGGCTCAAGGTCTAGTTTGGGTTAAGATACATAGAGGTTAGGGGTACAGGTTTGGGGATCAAAGAGACCTAGATTAAAATCTTTGCTCTGCCATTTATCAGAACTGTGATCTTAGAGAGTTTACTCAATTTCTCTGTCCTAGGTAGGCTTATTATTTGCAAGCAACAGAAACTGAGCATGGTTAATATAAGCAGGAAAGTAATTTATTGGAAAGACAACCAATTACACAAAGAATCAACAGGAAGGCTGCCAGCAGGAAATTCAGGCATGGTCACACCATCCTAACCAAGTAGTAGTTAGCATGCCTCAACCAACAGCCATTATCACTGCAGGACCCTTGACACCACAAACCCCAGACATACTGCTGCTGTGAATGACTTCTGAAATTGCTCTTACGTCTTTGCGCCACTCCTTCAAGATTAAATTTCTAAACAGTGGTATCTGATAAGTCAAGCAAAGGTCATATGCTCAAGCCGTGGCAGAGGATGGAAGGAGAAAATCCAGCCCATTTAGCTTCTCTCATGGCAGGCTAGGTCTTGCCTCCAAATAATATTATGCAATGGAGGATTCTTACTAATAGAAAAGGAGTTCAGCTGCTGGGCAGCCTTTCAAAACTGACAACACCTGGGCTGGGTGTGGTGGCTAACCCCTGTAATCCCATCGCTTTGTGAGGTGGAGGCTTGTGGATCGCCTGAGCCCAGGAGTTCGAGACCAGCCTGAGCAACATGGGGTAACTCCATCTCCACAAAAAAATACAAAAATTAGCCAGGCATAGTGGCACCTGCCTGTAGTCCCGGCTTACTTGGGAAGCTGAGGTTCACTGGACCCCAGGAGGTGGAGGTTGCAGTGAGCCAAGATCGCCCCACTGCACTCCAGTCTGGGGGACAGATTGGGACCCTGCCACAAAAAAAAAGAAAAAAAAAAACACTCCCAGCATTCGTTAACCAAACTTTGATTTGCTCATCTGTGAAATGGGCATCTGACTGCCTAGTACCTTCCTCATAGGTTTGCTGTGAGAATTTGACAGCGTATGCATGTTGCAGTTAGCATGATGTCTCACATAGGCTGAGCATTGGATAAATTTCAGCTATTCTTACTAATTCTTGTGACTCTCAGCAAGCCACATAGAATCTCTGTGCCCACATTCTCACTCACTGAAGGAAGATTACATCAACCATACTAAATTAGTCAGCATAGGCTAACTGCTGAAACAAGGGACCCCTCAAATCTCAGTGCATTATTTCTCATTCACTTCATTGTCCAGTGAGGGTTGCTGGGATTGGAATGAGGTCCATACAGGCACTCAGAGGCCAAGTCACCTTCTATCTAGTGGCTCTGCCATATACCCGGGACCTGTATTATGTTGGCAGAGGACGAACAATAGCACAAAGGACTGGGTTTTATAGGGACCCAGCCTGGAAGTGGCATATATCAATTCTACCTCTATTCCATTGGCCAGAATTCAGTCACATGAGCTGCACCTAACCACAAGAAGTCAGTTTGGGAAATAATACGCAGCTATGTGTTCCAGAGGAAATGGAAACAAGATTTGGTGCAACACAGCAGACTCTGTCACACCTACCTAACCTCCTCAGAGGGTTGCTAATAAAAGCGCATGTGAACGCCAAGTGTGAAACTGCTATGGAAAGTGATAAACTAACATGAGCTACAGGTGATGCTGCTGCTATTGATTAAGCCAGGGAGTTTCTGTGCATCCTCCACATTGCTAAAACATACAGCAATTTGGGTATGAGAAGAAACCGAAATATAATCAGAAGGTCCTTCCTCCTGTAGGGGAGACTCTTTAACTAGTAAGGCTTTATTTCTCCACTTGTATCTTCAAAAATGGGCCACTCTGGGAGCGGTGACTCACGCCTGTAATCCCAGCACTTTGGGAAGCCGAAGGGGGTGGATCACAAGGTCAGGAGTTCGAGACCAGCCTGGCCAATATGGTGAAACCCCATCTCTACTAAAAATACAAAATTAGCCAGGCAAGGTGGCACATGCCTGTAATCTCAGCTACTAGGGAGGCTGAGACAGGAGAATTGCTTGAATCCAGGAGGCGGAGGTTGCAGTGAGCCAAGTTGCACCACTGCACTCCAGCCTGGGCGACAGAGCGAGAATCTGTCTCAAAAAAAAAAAAAAAAAAGGCCACTGCAGGTAAATAATCTCCTTTCTTTGCCCATTGGTCCAATCCACATGGGCGTGTGGTGAAACTGGAGGGAAAAAAAGGGAGCGAGCAGAATAAAAGAGCAGAAAGCTATTACTTTGAGGAGTGTAATTGTCAGAGCAGGCTGTCAGAGCAGCCTGAAGCAATCACTCAGTAGGGGCCAGCCTCCACAGCAGTAATTTATCACCACATGAAGATGTTGGGGAGTTAATCACAGCACTGACATGTGTCAGCTCCAGGCATTGGGCTCAGCATAAACTTCATGCTTAGAAAATGAAAATAATTAAGAGGGCACACATTTGAAATGTACCACTAAAAAGGGAAGGCAGTCATCTTAGGGTCAGGTGAATGCCATGTTTGTAATCCACTAAACCAACTGGAAGAGCCTGTGGAGGGCAAATGTGTCCAAGGGTACTTTGCTATTTGTACCTGATAGATGCCTTTCACACTGTTTTGAGTCTCTGCATGGCCTGTCATGAAAGAGAAAAGCAAACACAATTTGCACAGGCTTTGCTACATGAATATTAGTGCTTCAGGAATGCTCTAAGATCCTGCCAGCTGCGGCTCAGGAAGGGGTCCAGGCCAGATCTGACTCATCCTGCTGCCTTCCTCCTGGAAATGATCCCCTTTCTCACCCCACTCCTGCTGGCTGAGCCCAGGTCCTGTCTGTCCCATATTTCCTTTGATCCAAGGAAAACTAAAAGTGGTTACTAGCTCCCAAGCGGCCTTTGTTTATAAATGGGTTCCCACCTTAATATGTTTACTCAAAAAACTCGTCAAATAATTAGCTATAACAGAGCAATCAAACTGATCAAACAGTTCTTGGAGTAGTTCAAACCTTCAGAGAGTTATTTAATGACAGTTTTAAATAACTGAACTGGGGTCTTCCAGCATAGAGAAGTAGGGATTGTGGCAGAAACTGCGAGGGAGAATTTTTAAAGTGCTTAGAATAAAAATCTTTTCATTGAAAAAAAATGACAAGAATTGCCCACATAATTATGGCAATTTTTCCTTTCCTTTTGCAATGCAAATTCCTGGCAGAGTGTAAGAGAAACTGAGCTCCACTGTCCCAGTTTTTCAAACTAAGAAAATAAAATAATTTGCTACCTAAACTTTCAACTTCTACTTTTGAAAGCTAAATTTAAGTTTTAAGAATCGTACAACAAAAGAGACTACAGATAAACCTCATTACAATTTTTTAGTATTGAGCATTAGGTTATTTATTTTCCTTCTTCCTAAAGCTACTGTAGAAAGAAAATTCAAAGGACTAGTAAGAAAAATAGCTCAATTGATAACAAGTCTGGTTTGTCAATGACATGCTAATACCTGTAACAGTTACTAATTATCTCAGCAGTGTGTCTCAGTTTTTATATTTAATATATTCTTCATCATTCTTAAATTAATAAATAGCAACCAATTGTTTTCTCTTTTACAAGCTTCATATGGAAAGAAAATTGAAAAAAAAAATTTGTATTAGCAGAAAGTGAATATAAGGGACTTCCCAACCTCCCCTCCATATATTTACTGACAAGCAACTGACATGAGTGATAGCAAAGCAATGTGGTTAGTGAGGAATGGCGCAGAGTGTGCAGTTTCCTTTTTTCTAATGTTGATTTGTTTTCTGTGCTGACACAATCCTAGAGGTTACTGTTCAAAGGAAGCATCGACAACAGAAGTGATTAGAGTACTGATTAAAAGAAGATTTTTAAGAAAATGACCAATCACCATCAATCTTAATATTGGCTAACAAATGTGTATTTTTCTTTCTCATATTATTAAGTAAATAGTATAAACAGAATAATTCTTTATTAGTATATCCATATAGTGCCTTTTGCAAGTAAATATGATTCTGGATATTTTATGACCTGTAATTACTTGAAATCGGAAAGCCCTTTTAGTTTCTCTTATTACCCATGTGTTGCTGAGACTAACTGAAGAACCAGTTAGGAGGTTTGTTCGTTCACGAAATAACATTTAAGAAATGGGTACCTGCTTATCACATAAAAGAATCCAGTTATTTACTTACCCTGTGAGGAGACATAATATGTTAGAATGCTTGTACACTGCAGATGGGAAGAGGTTTTTCCAGGAATTTAAATTGTGCAATAAGGCCACACAATCTTACTTAAAAAAAATGGTGAAGGGGTTTTAATTACACCATGAAGTTTTACAATTTTTTAGGTTTTTAGTTCTGGTTTTAGAAAACAGAGTAGAAGGATTACAGAGAAAAACTTCACCATTAGACAAGAAGTCAAAATGATTCTAAGGGCCGCGCAAACAGGCTTTTCCAAGAATTAATCATGAGGTGGTGCTTGGAGAATTCCTTTACTCCAGTGACTTTGAAACCCCCTTCTCACTCTCCACTAGTCTTTCAAAGGATTCATGGTGAATTGGGTCTAACGAGTATAACACGGCCGGCCGAAGGCATGAAGCTCACGCTACCCTTTCAGGGCGGAGAAGTTCCCAGGAGGAAGAATGGAGAAAAAGATCGCAGTTAGGCAGTCCTCCCAACCTCACCAAGGCTCCACCTCTCTCCAAAGCCGCAAGGCTCTGCCACCTGCGCCGGGAGAGGCTGCAATCACTGTCTCCTCCTCTTTCTTTCTCTTTTTTTTTTTTCTTTTTTGCCTGGGGTGCCCGACCAAGCGCAGCCCGCAGTCTGGGCACTGCCAACTGACTCCAACTCCTTTTATGGTGAGAGGATGGATTCTTCGTTATTTCCCCGCCCAATCTGGTACCCACCCACCCACCCACCTACCACGTCCGCTGGGCGCACCCAAGTCTAACCCCGGGGCGCACGCGCTAGCGCAGACACCGTATTTCTTCTCCTTTCTCGGCCAACCCTAGGTAGAATCCTAAAACAACTGCCCTCTCTTCCACGATCTAGATGTTGCGGCCCGCGGACAGGAGGTTCAAGAAATAGTACACTCCGAGCGGCAGGCAGCGAGGCGGAAACGGTCGCCGGTTTCAGTGGTGGCCCCACTGGAAGCCGAGTTCAGGAGCGGCTAAGCGGTCGCCGGGGAAAGCACCGGGGCTTCCCAGGGTCCCCTCCGAGTTCCCACTCCGCACCTCCGAGGGCGTGAAAACCACGGGAGCCGCCCCACCCCGCGCGCCCAGCCCCGCCCCAGCCCAGACACCGCCCCCCGCCAGTCTTCCCTGCGGCGCCCAGGGAGGACGCGCTCCGCCCCCTTCCAATCCGGCCAATGGGCGCCCGGGCAGCGCGCGGTTTGCCTCCGCCTCCGCCAGGGAAACTTGGAGGAGGAGAAAAGTTTGTACAGAGGGTGGAAAGGCGAGAGCGGAGCTCCAAGCCCGGCAGCCCGAGAGGAAGATGAACAGCCCCAGGCCAGAGCCTCTGGCAGAGTGGACCCCGAGCCGCCCCCAGGTAGCCAGGAGCGGCCTCAGCGGCAGCCGCAAACTCCAGTAGCCGCCCGTGCTGCCCGTGGCTGGGGCGGAGGGCAGCCAGAGCTGGGGACCAAGGCTCCGCGCCACCTGCGCGCACAGCCTCACACCTGAACGCTGTCCTCCCGCAGACGAGACCGGCGGGCACTGCAAAGCTGGGACTCGTCTTTGAAGGAAAAAAAATAGCGAGTAAGAAATCCAGCACCATTCTTCACTGACCCATCCCGCTGCACCTCTTGTTTCCCAAGTTTTTGAAAGCTGGCAACTCTGACCTCGGTGTCCAAAAATCGACAGCCACTGAGACCGGCTTTGAGAAGCCGAAGATTTGGCAGTTTCCAGACTGAGCAGGACAAGGTGAAAGCAGGTTGGAGGCGGGTCCAGGACATCTGAGGGCTGACCCTGGGGGCTCGTGAGGCTGCCACCGCTGCTGCCGCTACAGGTGAGATGGCGTTGGGCTGACGTTGGGGTCAACGGGTAGAGAACGCAGGGATGCGGCCCTCGCCGAAGAGAGCCAAGAAGGGAAGAGCGCGCTCTCCAAATTGCTTTTGTAACTTGTTTTCAGTGAGCATTTTATTGATTCAGAATCTATCGAGAATAGCACTAGCGAGCTACTTTTCCCTTGAGATGGGTCTTATTCATCTTGGCAATGGAGTGAGTTGGATTGTGGGGAGGAAGAGGAATGGGAAAATCAGTTTATAAATATTAATGTCAGCAAGAGTGTGCTGTTGGCAGGACGTATCGCGAGCCTGGAGATTTTGGTGGCCGCAGTTGGTAAGTGGCTACAATCCAGAAAGTAGGATCGAGTTGCTCCCCTTGTCTTATCAGTGTATCGTTTCTCGGGCGCGGGTCTAACACCTTACAAGTGGTAATTTCCGCTCACGGCAGCTTTGTCTCTCTTCTACCATCCCCAGACCCAGCCTTGCACTCCAAGGCTGCGCACCGCCAGCCACTATCATGTCCACTCCCGGGGTCAATTCGTCCGCCTCCTTGAGCCCCGACCGGCTGAACAGCCCAGTGACCATCCCGGCGGTGATGTTCATCTTCGGGGTGGTGGGCAACCTGGTGGCCATCGTGGTGCTGTGCAAGTCGCGCAAGGAGCAGAAGGAGACGACCTTCTACACGCTGGTATGTGGGCTGGCTGTCACCGACCTGTTGGGCACTTTGTTGGTGAGCCCGGTGACCATCGCCACGTACATGAAGGGCCAATGGCCCGGGGGCCAGCCGCTGTGCGAGTACAGCACCTTCATTCTGCTCTTCTTCAGCCTGTCCGGCCTCAGCATCATCTGCGCCATGAGTGTCGAGCGCTACCTGGCCATCAACCATGCCTATTTCTACAGCCACTACGTGGACAAGCGATTGGCGGGCCTCACGCTCTTTGCAGTCTATGCGTCCAACGTGCTCTTTTGCGCGCTGCCCAACATGGGTCTCGGTAGCTCGCGGCTGCAGTACCCAGACACCTGGTGCTTCATCGACTGGACCACCAACGTGACGGCGCACGCCGCCTACTCCTACATGTACGCGGGCTTCAGCTCCTTCCTCATTCTCGCCACCGTCCTCTGCAACGTGCTTGTGTGCGGCGCGCTGCTCCGCATGCACCGCCAGTTCATGCGCCGCACCTCGCTGGGCACCGAGCAGCACCACGCGGCCGCGGCCGCCTCGGTTGCCTCCCGGGGCCACCCCGCTGCCTCCCCAGCCTTGCCGCGCCTCAGCGACTTTCGGCGCCGCCGGAGCTTCCGCCGCATCGCGGGCGCCGAGATCCAGATGGTCATCTTACTCATTGCCACCTCCCTGGTGGTGCTCATCTGCTCCATCCCGCTCGTGGTGAGTGACCGGGGCTGGGGCCCTACTCGGCCTTTTTCTCGCATCCACCTCCCGCGTCCATTCCCCGCTCCCTGCTTTCCCTCTGAGTCCTTGGCAGTGAACGTGTCGCCTTTAGGTCGGGGCTGGGATTCCCACACTGTTTCTCAGAGCAGGCCCAACCCTCTTTGAAGTCCCAACCCTAACGAGATTTAGCAGGTGCTTTGCCCCTACATCCCCCAGTTTATGTTCCCGGAAGCCTGGGTTTCTTTCTCCACCGAGACAGCCCTTACCCCTTGCTGCCTGACACTGGCCGAGTCTTCCAAGAAAACCCCCCGCCCCCTCTGTTAGACGTGGAGGGGAGCCTGCTGTAGTGTGACTTAGCCCATTCCTCCGTACTGTGAACTGTGAACTGCAAAACCTGAAATGTCAGGGATGGTGATCTGTTCGTTGTAAACCATTTTTAAGGAAAGTGGGGTTTTTGGTGTTTTGATGTATGCAAGGTTTCTTGAATTTCTTCCCCCGTGGATTGCGTAGAATTTTAAAGCTAGAAGAGATATCAAGAGGTGTTTTAGTCTAACTCCCTCACTTCACTGAGGGAGTGAATGATACGCTTAAAATAATCCAGCCGAACCTACACAGTCAAGCTAGGCTCCCTGCTCTTTACCATGGTGTGCCCTGGGAGGGCAGCTTAAAGCACACAAATTCTAATTCATATACAGGGCAGGGTCCAGACTCAGTTTCTTTCATTCTGTCTAGACCAGGAAAGCAAAGTTTCTCAGGGTGACTAATTATGGACAGGCTGATATACATAGGGTATGGGATTTGAATTCTCGACAACTGTGCGAGGTACAGTACCATTTTAGAGAAACCGAGGTTTAGAGATGGCTGTCTTTGTTTCTTCAAGCCAAAGCTCTACAGCTTGTAATGGACCTTAGGCCGTCTGAGGCCAGACCCAGCTCATGTGTTATTACATCACGTCTCCCTCGTAGAACATTTCTCATTTTGGCGTTTGTAAAGCGTGGGTTGGAGTTTTGGTACACTTCATTTTTAGTTCATCTTTTAAGAATTGCCTTTGGATTAACTTTTAAAATATGATAAACAGAAAGGCTCAAACCCTACCTAGTTTTCTACTTTGCCTGTGGCTAAAATGGAATGCACCAGAAGCAGATGGGCAGAATAATGCAATACTTTATCTAGAGTTTCTCTTGAAAGCAACTAGTTATGAGTTCTTCCATCTTCCAAAACACTGCATTCCTGGAAATTCTAAACTACCAACTCAAAAAGAGATAACTGCTTTTTCTTATGCTTGTTGGGAACAAGAGAATATAAAATGTAATGGGCTATTATTCCTTCCTTTTCCTTATTGATACTGTCCAGGGATCTTTGGTGTAAAAATATATCTTTGATAAAAGTGACTGTAAATGGAAGGAACTTAGAGGGGGCTCAGAGCCAGAATACAGTAGGTTCTTACCAATTTGTATAAACAGAAGTAAATATAATAGGCCATAAGAGCCTTTAAGCCATTCCAGGACCCAATATAATTTACAGAGTTAAGTCACACTTGAGCCACATAAATATATTTTACTGTCTGTAATGGCAACCTAGAATAAAGTGAGATTTTGGAAGAAACAACACTGCTCCTGATGGGGCCCCTGTTCCTGGGCCTCTGCCTTGTGTTTTACAGAACAGTAAATGACAAAGTGAATGGTTGTTATTTTCAGAACATCCACTTAAAGGGACAGAGGAATTAGAGCTAGAAGGTTAGCAACATGCACATACTTTATAAATGTGTTTTGGTTGGAAGTAAGCATGTAAAGCTATGGATTTCTGCACAGCCACGGATGAATTATTTTCTTCCAACATCTAGAGAGACATACAAGGCTTAATTCACCTCATAGGCTGAAGTGGTAGACCTGGACCTAAGATTCAGGGCCCTTACACAAAGCCTTGAAATTATTTGAGGACCTAGAGGCAAGAAATTATAGGAGCTGTATTTGTGGTTTGCAGATTAACCACATTTTAACTAACAAGAAATACTGTCCACCTGTATAATGTTAGTAACGTGTAGTAAATTTTAAGTAATCTTGACCTGAAAATTGAAACTAGCTCAATTAAGAAGTAATCCCATTAGTCAAGTATTTATATAGCTTTGTGAGAAATAAGGAATCCTAAAATAGCAGTGGCATCAGTTTGTCGCCTTTAGTTTTGGCTACTAAAGTCTAATTTCAGAATCAGTTTAATTATAAATTAGTGATAAATGATGGGTTCATTATGCCACCCACCCACCCCCCCCCCCACAATTCAGCAATTACTGAAATAATCAAAAACCCTTCCGCAAATACAGTCTTCCTTGGCTTCCTTTTACAACTTTCTTTTTTCATGTTTTCATATTCATGTTGTAAATTAAGATTAAAGCTCAGAACTCTCTGACATTGAAAGCAGTTGAGCTTATCTTCAGTTCCAAAGAAACTAATGAAGCATCTAATTTTATCAAATCAAGTGGTTGCTAATCCCATTTAAGGAAAATCAAAGCGTTGGAATCATTTTAAATGCTTTGGAAAGGCTAACAAAGCAAATGTAGTTTACTTGGAATTTCAGAAAGCTTGATATAATACCTAAGGAAAACAAGCAGCCACTGAAAAGCAGCCAAGGTTTTGCCTCCTGGACACCAGGGAAGAAAGAGCTACAGCTCTTAGAGGGGGGTTGGTATTGAGTTTAGTATAAAAAATAAATTTTAATTTGCTATCCAAAATATACATATTTCATAAATAGAGTTAAGATTGGAGTGGAAATTTGAGAAAGGTTGGGAAATTAGTTGTGGATATAAGGAACTGTGCTGAACCTGCAGCATTCTTTGAACTGGGTCATAATTAATGATCAGAGAAGGTGTAAGTATGATCTACAAGGAACATCACATGACAAGATTTAGTGGGTAGGTGGTTCTTGTCATTTTGTCCATTCTTCTATTTATAACCAGTCTCATAGTTTTTTTAAATATAGGAGAATTTTGGAAGTGAGAACTTCTAAAATTTTGTGAGAACAAGAAGTGAGAGTCTACATTTAAGATAAACGAAAAGGATTGAATTCTTTAGAAATATGCAAGCAAGACAGCCTCCTAAGGTCCTGGTTTTAAATGCTGTAGCTTGATGAATTACTAGTGCCTAATTTTGCAGTTACTAATGAATATTAAGATGATTATTATAATCAAATATTTTGCCTTAGGGCTAAACAGTTACTATAGGGTTTCGAAGGTCATTTTCCCCCATACACAAGCAACCCAAGACTGTATTTATTGCTTACTTGTTTCTTTTATTTTTTAACTCTGAAGTAACAAATACTCATCTCAGCTAGGGGCAGAACAGCTAATTTGATTAATCTTCTGCCTTGGTGAGGTAAAACTTAGGTCCTTAGGAAAATACTTCCTGTGACTGTTTATTTGGTTCCTTACTATAAACTAGTTGTCTCTATAAAGCTTTCACCAGCATTTGATCAGCAAAAGTTTATAAGGACAGATAAAAACTTTGTAAATAGATATGCTTTTGTTTACTGTAGGCAAACTGGAAGTGGAGTCATAAAACAACTGATGGGATGTCAGATGAGTGTGAAGCACATCTATACATACAAGAGAAATGCCACAAATTTGGGTATGACTATGACAGAATCTAAAAGACTGGATTTGTTCAAATAAATTTGGCTAAGTTTAAAAAATTGCAATGCCTAGAAGGAAGTTTTAAATCATAACATGCAATTGCAGACCCAGTAGTAGTAACCTGAAGACTATTGAGTAACATAAAAGTAAGTTATTTCCACATCTGGCATTTCATTTGAATCTTGAAAAGCTCTAAGGAGAAAGTAGGGCTGACCAGTATTTTCACTCTCTCTACACCTCAGTTTCCCAAGCTGCAAATGAAGAATTTATATCATTCTGCAACTTACAGGGTAGCTATAGGTGAGTCCTCGTCTAATGCTCATTTCACCATGCTTTCTTGACCTGTCAATTTGTTTGTATTGAATATCTCCTAACAAGATTTTTTTTCTCAGCCCTGACGTGATTCTTGTAGTCTCCTATCAGAATATTCAATGTGAGAGCTTTAAAAACAAACAAATAAAAAAAAACAGAAACTTTCAGTGTAGAGGTTGACCTATAAAGCCTGTAGAGATTTAACTTGCCTTCTACAAATGGCCAGAAGAAGAACCAAGCTCTCCTACACACCACCCAGTCAATAATTATTTCCACTATTCTTTACTTGAAAAAAAGAAAGTGATAAGAACTTCTAGTAACAGCTGTGTCAATTTTGGACTCTTAACAAGGCAGTGGGATAACTGAGCCCATACAGATAATTCCTTTTATGTGCTTGGAACAGAACAAGTAGCACACACATTCAAATCCAGCTACAGATCTTGTCACTTATTGGAAAGCGTTACTGTTTTGACAGTCCATTACTAAATCTAATCAAGAGTTCAACATTCTTTCTTCAACATTCCCTGCAAACAAATTATTAAGTAGGAAGTACATGTTTTTGATACCATATTATTAACTATATCCCAAAGCTACCTCTAAGCTACAGTTTTCAAATTATTGATACCTTCCACACTGGGCAAGCTTCCACATATGGGTTGAAAGAAAAAGTAATGAGAGCCAACATATCTGTTATACGATAGGCACTGTACTAAGCACTTTAATAATTTGTACATACGTTATAAGGGCAGAGCCAGGATTTGAACAGAGGCTTGTTTGCTTCCAAAGCTTGGGCATTTATCTCTACAGCATATAGCCTCCTTACAGCTTTCTTGTCACCACATCTTCTTCTGAACTTATTGCATTTCCTCAAAGTTATGTTCCACTGCTCCTGAGCCCTAATCTCTAATCATCCTAAAAAAAAGTGTGAATAACATAATTTAAAAAAAATTAGGTGGGTGTGGTAACATGTGCCTGTGGTCCCAGCAACTTGGAAGGTTGAGGCTGGAGGATTGCTTGAGCCCAGGAGGTTGAGGCTGCAATGAGCCATGTTTGTATCACAGCACTCCAGCCTGGGTGACAGAGTGAGACCCTTTCTAAAAGAAAATAAAATAATTTAGAATACTGTAATATGCCAATATTAACAACAAACCACATGTACACAGCAGGAGCTACTAGAAAAAGACTTAAAATTGGAAGAAAGGAGATACGTTGTTTGTATTCAGTGAGTTTTTTTGTTTTTGTTTTTGTTTTTGTTTTTGTTTTGAGACGGAGTTTCACTTTGTGGCCCAGGCTGGAGTGCAATGGCGCAATCTCAGCTCACCGCAACCTCCACCTCCCGGGTTCAAGTGATTCTCCTGCCTCAGCCTTCCAAGTAGCTGGGATTATAGGCATGCACCACCACGCCCGGCTAATTTTGTATTTTTGGTAGAGACTGGGTTTCTCCATGTTAGTCAGGCTGGTCTCAAACTCCTGACCTCAGGTGATCCGCCTGCCTCAGCCTCCCAAAGTGCTGGGATTACAGGCATGAGCCACCATGCCCGGCCATATTCCCTCCTGACTCGGAGGTTCAGTTTTATCAGCAACACACTCTTCCAACACTGAAAACTGCCTGAACTTGTTTAATTATGTAAAATATAGGGCCTGTTGGACAAGAATTCCGAAAAGTGCTTTCACCCCCTCACGAGACATTGAAGCACTACTCCGGATGTCCCCATCTCAACTGGGGTTGTCCCTGCCCTCTTGGAAACAGCAAATCAAGTAGCCTACTTAAAGTGAAGCAGAGGTTGCTCTATGTTTTCAAACATTGCAAGATGCGTGGAGTTTTTGTTTGTTTTGTCTTTTTTCTTTCCCTACTTGAAGTAAGTCTCAATTGAAATACGCTGCAAAGTAAAACTCATATTGATTCTTTTCAATCTAACCAACTTTTGAGGATGTTTTTACCTGAATTTGGACTTTTGCTTTTTAAACTCATACTTTTACTACCCTGTGAACTCCCCTTTATTGAAAAGACATTGAATGACCAGGTTCAGTGGCTTGTACTAATTGTAAACTTTTCCTCCCCCATGGAAAACTTTAAAATAGAGCATACTTTTAATATAGCCTCCTTTCATTCCCTCCTATACTAGTCGAAATCCATTGCTGCTGTGGATGAGATGAGGCACAGAAATGATTCTTTCCTTGCCTCTCATCACCTTTGATTATGAAAACCTATTATTAATTGTTTTACAACATTCCAACCTTTCTAAAAGGCCACAGAAATTTTAAAATGCTAACTCCTAATGTACTTCTTTGAATGGCTATAAATTCCATTTTAACTATTCAAAAATTTTCTTCCTTTCAGTAGTAGCCATGTTTCCTTTGAGGTTGTGGTAGGAGAAGCAACCAGCAATAAAACATTTTCAGTGTCAAAAATCTCAGAAACGTCAGGTTCAGACTTAACCAAAATTCTGTTCTGCGAGTCTCGGAGATGGCTTTACACAGTGCTTGTTAGGGAGGTAGTATCAGAAACTCTCAAGTGGAGCAACACTGCCACCTGGAGGCTTGAAGGCTCAAGTTCGCATAAACCCGGCCGTAGGTCTTTTCCAGAGACCACACACAGGACTTGATACTAACAGATTTAACGCCATCATTTCTTCTACCCTTAGGAACGTAGTATGTGATGTGAATAAAATATAGACCTCATGCTTTTTACCAACAATTCCATTGTCAGGAAATAATAATTAAACAGAAAGCCAGACTGGTAGAACAGAAAAGGCAACATGGAGGTCCAGACCAGACTCTGCCACCAACAGGGTGGGGGACATCCTAAGTTCCTCAAAACCTCTGGGTCTCAGTAACAAATACCTCATCTGAGAAAAGGCCTGTAGAGTTGAGGGAACTGCTGAGTTTCCAGGCATAGCTGAAGACCTCAAAGCTTATGGAAGGAAGAAACCAAGATGCTTTATTTTACTTTCTGTAAAGATTTTTTTTTAAATCAAGTATGCTTTGCCTTGATACTATCATTTATCCCAGCGTAGTTTCTAAAAGTATTTCAAGAGGCGATATTACACACTGCTGTTCATTCTAGTTCATTCTTGATTTAGCTGTCTTCCATATAGGAAGATATTAATTTCATCTTGGTTAGAGGCATGTCACTATTTTATTCTCTGAGATTTACAGGCCCATAATCCCATATCCAAAATATTTACGGGCAGATGAGTTTCAGAATTCAGAATTTCTTGGCTTTTAGAAAAGTAATCAATAATATATTGCAAAATATGTAATATCCCCATCAGAACTGGAACAGTAATCCTGGACCAGAACATAGGAATATTCACTCTAAGTGGAATAAATTGAACTAAATGGCTTCACAGTCTGTTCAGTTCAGTTTTGCTGCCAAAATAAGTTTAGGTCAGATTTTGCAATGAGTGTAAGTTCTCAAAACAAAACAAGTGAATAACAACAAAACAATAACAAAGGAAATGAACAAAAATCTTTTGAGAGAGGATCAGAGACCTATAGCTAATTAAGATCTAAATTCCAGTTAAGGAAGAAAAAGAAATGCAGTTCTACCTTACTGATCCAGTATCATCCAGGAGTAAGTTTAATATAAGCTTGATTTTGCAGATTAATGAAATGTATTTCTTCGAATATTTTAAAGATTCAAAGAATCTTTAAAGGAAGAAAAAAATAATTCTTCCTTCTTTTACCCAAATTTTACCCAAATTGTTGAAAATCTTTCTATAATATCCTGACCCAAATATTGTTACATCTAGTAAGTGCCAAAGGAACACATGCAAATGGTCAATGAATCGCCTTTTCCGTTGTGAACTGACTCAGCCTCAACTAAACTGTCCCTGTTCCAGGTGATTCATACACCATGAGTCATTCATTGTTACGCTGTATATAGTAAGGCAGCAACATCCTCAAGTCTTGTTAGAGATATTTGCCCCTAGTTAAATGGCTCCAGCTATGCTTTTGTTAGTTCTTTCTCCTTTTTGTGGTTTTTATGTATCTTCCTTGACTGTGAGACTCAACCTCTTCTCCCTAACCTAAAATAATTACTAAAGGCAAGAAATAATTACTAAATAATTACTTAAGATATATGGCAATTATTTTTATTTCTATACTACTATTTCTATTTCTATTTCTATGTGAATTACCACTACTACTATTTCTATATTAATTACAGATGAGATTTTTATATAAATGATCCCAGTGGAATTAGAAGTAATATCTAGGCAAAAAAAAATCATAATACTTTAAGAGTAAATTTGAGGCTGAACATGGTGGCTCACTCCTGTAATTTTAGCACTTTGGGAGACTGCAGCGGGCAGATCACTTGAGCTCAAGAGTTAGAGACCAGCCTGGGCAACATAGAAAGACCTCATCTCTACAAAAATAATAACAGTTAGCCAGGCATGATGGCACACACCTGTAGTCCCAGCTACTCAGGAGGCTACAGCAGGAGGATTGCTGGAGCCTAGGGGGTCAAGGCTGCAGTGAGCAATGATTACACCACTGCACTCCAGCCTGGGCGACAGAGTGAGACCCTGTCTCAAAAATATATATACATGTACATTTAACAAATGCATTTTCCCCTAAGGATTAAAATGATCATGTAAGTTTACACAAATTCATGCTCCATTCGCTGAATCATTTGAAGTTCCCAGATGTTGACATATCATTTCATTCTTCCATGACTTTGCACATGGAGCTACCTCTATTTGAAATGTGATGTCTTTCCTTCTAAATTTAGCAAATTCTCATTCATCCGTTGTGATTACTATAACTGGGGAACAGAGTCATAGAGAAAATAAAAACTATTCTCTGGTCATTCTGGGTAACAGGAGATCCTGCTGTTGGTGTAAAACTTTTCAGCATATTCTTTCTAGACTAGAATAAAAGAATCTTGGCCTTATTCTGGTGATTAGATGGTTAATTGACTTATAAAATGAGTTTCCTTTAAATTATGTAAAATGACAGCTGGAATAAGAAATCAGTAGCTTTTGGGGGAAAAAAGTTACTTCATTAGAATTACAAAAACTTAAAAGCACTCACAGAAATGAAGTTAATAAAGTGCTTCTCAAGAACACTTTATACATATGTGACCTGCACTCACATTGCATTTTTGTATACTGTCTTTGCTCTAGGGAAGATAATCATAAGATAGTTACAAAAATATTAAAGCTATACGAACTCAGAACATGTAATTGCATTTTTGCAGTGACTGGTTTTTATTTTTTTATTTTTTATTTTTAAACAGATTCTTGCTCTGTTGCCCTGGCTGGAGTGCAGTGGCATCATCTCAGCTCACTGCAACCTCCACCCGCCGCATTCAAGCCATTCTCCTGCCTCACCCTCCTGAGTAGCTGGGATTATAGGCGTGTGCCGCCACACCTGGCTAATTTTTGTTTTTTTGAGACGGAGTCTCGCTCTGTCGCCAGGCTGGAGTGCAGTGGTGGGATCTCAGCTCACTGCAACCTCCGCCTCCCAGGTTCAAATGATTCTCCTGCCTCAGCCTCCCGAGTAGCTGGGACTACAGGCGCATGCCACCACACCCAGCTAATTTTTGTATTTTTAGTAGAGATGGGGTTTCACCATGTTGGCCAGGAGGTTCTCAATCTCTTGACCTAGTGATCCGCCTACCTCGGCCTACCAAAATGCTGGGATTACAGGCGTGAGCCACCGCACCCAGCCTAATGTTTGTATTTTTAGTAGAGATGGGGTTTCGCCATGTTGGACAAGTTGGTCTCGGACTCCTGACCTCAAGTGATCCTCCCACCTCGGCCTCCCAAAGTGCTGGGATTACAGGCGTGAGCCACCGTGCCCAGCCCATGACTGGTTTTTCTGAGGCTTATTATGTAGCTTCCTCTTTTCCTGGAACTTGTTACCAGAAATGAAGGCAGCTTCCTAATATTGATAAGGTAGACATAGCATTTATATGTTTTCCCAATTGATTAATGATGAAATCTAAATGTGCGATCTCACTTATGCAGGTGCGAGTATTCGTCAACCAGTTATATCAGCCAAGTTTGGAGCGAGAAGTCAGTAAAAATCCAGATTTGCAGGCCATCCGAATTGCTTCTGTGAACCCCATCCTAGACCCCTGGATATATATCCTCCTGAGAAAGACAGTGCTCAGTAAAGCAATAGAGAAGATCAAATGCCTCTTCTGCCGCATTGGCGGGTCCCGCAGGGAGCGCTCCGGACAGCACTGCTCAGACAGTCAAAGGACATCTTCTGCCATGTCAGGCCACTCTCGCTCCTTCATCTCCCGGGAGCTGAAGGAGATCAGCAGTACATCTCAGACCCTCCTGCCAGACCTCTCACTGCCAGACCTCAGTGAAAATGGCCTTGGAGGCAGGAATTTGCTTCCAGGTGTGCCTGGCATGGGCCTGGCCCAGGAAGACACCACCTCACTGAGGACTTTGCGAATATCAGAGACCTCAGACTCTTCACAGGGTCAGGACTCAGAGAGTGTCTTACTGGTGGATGAGGCTGGTGGGAGCGGCAGGGCTGGGCCTGCCCCTAAGGGGAGCTCCCTGCAAGTCACATTTCCCAGTGAAACACTGAACTTATCAGAAAAATGTATATAATAGGCAAGGAAAGAAATACAGTACTGTTTCTGGACCCTTATAAAATCCTGTGCAATAGACACATACATGTCACATTTAGCTGTGCTCAGAAGGGCTATCATCATCCTACAACTCACATTAGAGAACATCCTGGCTTTTGAGCACTTTTCAAACAATCAAGTTGACTCACGTGGGTCCTGAGGCCTGCAGCACGTCGGATGCTACCCCACTATGACAGAGGATTGTGGTCACAACTTGATGGCTGCGAAGACCTACCCTCCGTTTTTCTACTAGATAGGAGGATGGTAGAAGTTTGGCTGCTGTCATAACATCCAGAGCTTTGTCGTATTTGGCACACAGCAGAGGCCCAGATATTAGAAAGGCTCTATTCCAATAAACTATGAGGACTGCCTTATGGATGATTTAAGTGTCTCACTAAAGCATGAAATGTGAATTTTTATTGTTGTACATACGATTTAAGGTATTTAAAGTATTTTCTTCTCTGTGAGAAGGTTTATTGTTAATACAAGGTATAATAAAATTATCGCAACCCCTCTCCTTCCAGTATAACCAGCTGAAGTTGCAGATGTTAGATATTTTTCATAAACAAGTTCGAGTCAAAGTTGAAAATTCATAGTAAGATTGATATCTATAAAATAGATATAAATTTTTAAGAGAAAGAATTTAGTATTATCAAAGGGATAAAGAAAAAAATACTATTTAAGATGTGAAAATTACAGTCCAAAATACTGTTCTTTCCAGGCTATGTATAAAATACATAGTGAAAATTGTTTAGTGATATTACATTTATTTATCCAGAAAACTGTGATTTCAGGAGAACCTAACATGCTGGTGAATATTTTCAACTTTTTCCCTCACTAATTGGTACTTTTAAAAACATAACATAAATTTTTTGAAGTCTTTAATAAATAACCCATAATTGAAGTGTATAATATAAAAAATTTTAAAAATCTAAGCAGCTTATTGTTTCTCTGAAAGTGTGTGTAGTTTTACTTTCCTAAGGAATTACCAAGAATATCCTTTAAAATTTAAAAGGATGGCAAGTTGCATCAGAAAGCTTTATTTTGAGATGTAAAAAGATTCCCAAACGTGGTTACATTAGCCATTCATGTATGTCAGAAGTGCAGAATTGGGGCACTTAATGGTCACCTTGTAACAGTTTTGTGTAACTCCCAGTGATGCTGTACACATATTTGAAGGGTCTTTCTCAAAGAAATATTAAGCATGTTTTGTTGCTCAGTGTTTTTGTGAATTGCTTGGTTGTAATTAAATTCTGAGCCTGATATTGATATGGTTTTAAGAAGCAGTTGTACCAAGTGAAATTATTTTGGAGATTATAATAAATATATACATTCAATCTGAGTTGCATATCCTCAGTTTGGGAAAACTTGTGGGGGCTTTTTTGTTGTTTCAGGTCATCATCTATATCCTTTTATATATTTTTTTAAAATTTATTGTGAAATAATTTTAAAGAAATATTGCAAGAAAAGTACAAACTCTTGTATACACTTAGTAGAGAATGACACTTTACTCAAAGCCTCCAGTTTGTATGGGTGATGGAGGAGACAGTATTATGCTTAGCTTGTGACATATAAAGGACTCAAATAATTATTACTAAAATGAGCATATTTTAAATTTTGCAGTTTTTTTAACTGCCATTTTTATTTTTATTTTTTTATTTTTTATTTTTGAGACAGAGTCTTGCTCTGTCACCCAGACTAGAGTGCATTGGCACAATCTCAGCTCACTGCAACCTCCACCTCCCAGGTTCAAGCAATTCTCATGCCTCAGCCTCTTGACTAGCTGAGATTACAGGCGTGTACCACCATGCCCAGCTAAATTTTGTGTTTTTAGGAGAGACATGTCATGCCATGTTGGCCATGGTTGGTCTCAAACTCCTGGCTTCAAGCAGCCTGCCCACCTCAGCCTCCCAAAATGCTAGGATTGCAGGCATGAGCCACCATGCCCGGCCATTTTTACATTTTTAAATGCAAATTTTGTTCATTTTTTGAGTGAGTTATATATCTGCATTAGTCAGCTAAGGCTGCCATAAAATACCACAGATGGGTGGCTTAAACAACAGACATTTATTTTCTCACAGTTGTGGAGGCTGGCAGTCCAAGACCAAGGTGTCAGCAGGGTTGGTTTCTCTTGAGCCCCCTCTCCTTGACTTGCAGATGGCTCCCTTCTTTCTGTGTCCTCAGATAGCCTTTTCTCCAGGTGAGCACATCCCTGATGTCTCTCTCTCCTTATAAGGACACTAGTCATACTGGATTAGGGCCCCACCCTTATGACTTCATTTAACCTTAATTACTCTCTTAAAGGCCTTCTCTCCAAATATAGTCACAATGAGGGTTAGGGCTTCAACAAATGAATTTTGGGGGCAAGTGTCCTTTTCATTGTTGAGCCTGATTTATTCTTAAAATAGCAACCAAGAAAAATGAATTCCAGCATTGCTCAGTCATCTATTCCATATTTATTTGTAAAACTTAACAGCTATGCAATGCAAAGATTATTTTTTGTTTCTTGCTATAGGACACTTGTTCCAGACCATTTAGAGAACTTCAAATTTTCTACACAGGAAAGTTCTGATTGTCTAATTGGCTACTATTAAATCCTACCATCTCAAAAGGATATAACAGACAAGAAGGTAATTTTAACACCATATTGTAATCTTTGAGACAATCTAACCGATTAGATCAAGTGTGTTAGAAAAGATAGATTTGCAGGACTATTAAAATGGTACTTTAGGCCAGGTACAGTGGCTCACACCTGTAATCTCAACACTTTGGGAGGCCAAGGCAGTGGATCACTTGAGGTCAAGAGTTCGAGACCAGGATGGCCAACATGGTGAAACTCTGTCTCTATTAAAAATACAAAAATTGGCCAGGCGTGGTGGCTTACACCTGTAATCCCAGCACTTTGGGAGGCTGAGGAGGGCAGATCACGAGGTCAGGAGTTTAAGACCAGCCTGGCCAACGTAATGAAACCTCATCTCCACTAAAAATATAAAAATTAGACAGGCATGGTGGCGGGTGCCTGTAGTCCAGCTACTTGGGAGGCTGAGTGAGGCAGGAGAATCGTTTAAACCCGGGAGGCGGGGGTTGCAGTGAGCCGAGATCGTGCGACTGAACTCTAGCCTGGGCGACACAGCGAGACTGTCTCAAAAAAAATAAAAAATAAATACAAACATTAACTAGGCATGGTGCCGTGTGCCCAGCTACTCAGGAGGCTGAGGCAGGAGAATCACTTGAACCCAGGAGGCGGAGGTTGCAGTGAGCCAAGATCGGCCACTGAACTCCAGCCTGGGCGACAGAGGGAGACTCCGTCGGAAAAAAGAAAAAAATGGTACTTTGTGCGGTCATAAAAAAGAATGAATTCATGTCCATATCCTTTGAACCAATAGAATGAAGGTAAAGACCACTGTCCTAAGTGAACTAACTCAGAAACAGAAAACCAAATACTGCATGTTCTCACTTATAAATGAGAGCTATACAATGGGTACACATGGTCATAAAGATGGAACTGATGCTGGGGACTCCAAAAGTGGGGAGGTGGGGGAGAGCAAGGGTTGAAAAATAACCTACTGGGTACTATGTTCACTATTTGGGTACTGGGTACACTAGAAACCCAATCCCCACCAGTATGCAATATACCCATGTAACAAACACACGTACTCCCCGAATCTAAAATAAAATGATGAAATAAAAAATAAAATGGTACTTTGACCAAGGGACCACAGAATTCAAGAGTTCTTTCCCAAATCATAGCTAGTCCTCTCCACAAGTTTTCTCCTAGGGGCATGAATACAAAAGGGACATGGAAAAATCAAGGCACAGTAATATTTACTGTTAGCTATCCATATGGCCTCAAATGTTAATGCAGAAAAATTTCCATTACACAAACATTCAGTTTTCCTAAAGTACTTGTACTAGTCTCAGAACAAACCATGTTTGGTTTCTTCCAATACTGCCCCCACCTCATGCCCTTCTCCCGTTACATCCAAGCCTGAATCTAAGATGCTGCAATTATGATCTCAAGATTGTCATCCAGACACATGAGAAATAGAACCCAAAAAAACAAGACGCTTACAACAAGAGAGAGCATTTGGTCCCATTGCTTACTGTGGGGTTTCTCTGGGCTACAGCTGGTGCTTTAGCCCCAAACTGGAAGTACCTTGGCAGAAAGGAAGAGAGAAAGATAGCTGGGTCTTTGGTCCTTCTATCAACATCTCTACCATTCAATCATTTATCCATTCCCTTTACCTTGCCAGGCCATCAACCCCATTTCCCACCATGGAAGAGAAGGACAGAAGAGAACACCAGTCACTTTTCCTAAGAACGTTTAACCACAGCAACTCTACACACTAAAATCTGAACAATTAGGTAAGTATTTCTCTTTCTTGAGAAGGGGTGAAACAGGATTTAATACAAAGGAGGAGCAAAAAGAATTCCAAGAACAATGAACAAGAACTCAAGGCAACAGCTCTGCAATAGGGCAAGAGCACAGTGAAACCATACTGAGGCAGGAGGGAAGTCTCTGTGATGTCCCCATGGTAAGAAAGAAGGAAAGAGAGAAAGAGAGAAAGAAAGAGAGAGAGAGAAAGAGAGAAAGAGAAAGGGAAAGAAAGAGAGAAAGAAAGAGAAAACAAAGAAGGAAAGAAAGGAAGGAAGGAAAGAAAGAAAAGAAAGAAAGGAAGGAAGGAAGGAAAGAAAGAGAAAAGAAAGAAAGGAAAGAAAAAAGAAAGAAAGGAAGGAAGGAAGGAAAGAAAGAGAAAGAAAGAAAAGAAAGAAAGGAAGAAAAATTAAGAAAGAAAGAAAAGAAAGAAAGAAAGAAAAAGAAAGAAGAAAAGAAAGAAAGAAAGAAAGAAAGAAAGAAAGAAAGAAAGAAAGAAAGAAAGAAAGAAAGAAAGAAAGAAAAAGAAAGGCCAGGCACAGTGGCTCACGCCTGTAATCCCAGCACTTTGGAAGGCCGAGGCAGGCGGATCACCTGAGGTCAGGAGTTCAAAACCAGCCTAACCAACATGGAGAAACCCTGTCTCTACTAAAAATGCAAAATTAGCCAGGCGTGGTGGCGCATGCCTGTAATCCCAGCTACTCGGGAGGCTGAGGCAAGAGAATTGCTTGAACCCCGGAGGCGGAGGTTGCGGTGAGCTGAGATCATGCCATTGCACTCTAGCCTGGGCAGCGAGCGAAATTCCATCTCAAAAAAAAAACAAAAAAACAAAGAAAAAAGAAAAAGAAGGAAAAGTAATAGATTATTTGATGTTTGGCAAAATCAAAGGGAGTGTTATAGTTCTATTAGAAAAATTAGTAAAAATATACATAGGAAACTAATGAATTTAAAAAAGGCAATTATTGACTCCATGAAAAACAAAGAGAGGTGGAAAAAAGGCAAAATAAACATAATATACAAGGTGAACTAAATTATGTGTAATAAGTATACTCATATCAAATAATGAATATACAGTCAGGTACAGCGGCTCACACCTGTAATCCTAAAGCTTTGGGAGGCTGAGACAGGATTGCTTGCACAAACTCCTTTTGTGCAGCCATAAAAAAGAATGAAATCATGTCCTCTGCAGTAGCACAAATGGAACTAGAGACCATTGTCCTAAGTGAACTAACTCAGAAACAGAAAACCAAATACCACATGGTCTCACTTGCAGAGTTCAAGACCTGTCTGGGCAACACAGTGAGAGACCCTGTCTCTACAAAAAAAAAAAAAAAAAAAAAAAAAAACCATGAAAAATTAGCCAGGCATGGGGGCATGTGCTTGTAGTCCTAGCTACTCGGGAGACTGAGGCAGGCAGATCTCCTGAGCCATGAATTTGAGGTTACAGTGAGCTAAGATGGTGCCACTGGACACCAGCCTGGGCAACAAACCAAGACCCTGTCTCTAAAATTTAATAATAATCATCATCATCATCATAAACATAGATTGAAACCTAAATTATAATTATACTGAGAATGAAGAAAGAAGTAGTAAATATATTGGGGAAATACAAGAGACCTAAGTTATAGTTATACTCATCAGTATACCAGTACTTAATGTCCTAAATTTTTAAAAATGAAGAAATAGCAGTGAAACCACAATAATATACCCTTATACTCCAAACATGTTTGCAAAATATGTAAAGTATGAAAATACCAAGTATGCTTCAAAAAATATACTGTTCTTGGGAATACAAAATTGATACAACCACTTTGAAAAGTGAACTAAAGTTCAGGATGTATATGCCATCAATGAAAACAGTAACTGCCGAGATTGAAACACATCAATTATATCTCAATGCATTACTTTATGATACGACAAAACAAAACACCTCATTGGTCACCTTTGGAGGAGTCTAGGGAGACAACTAATTATTTTGAAAAGTGGTAAGAAGACAAAGAACAAAGCGTTTATTATATAAACGGCCTTTACTCTGTAGTTTTTCCAGCATAAGAAAATAGTTGATGAGGGAAAGTTTTTCTTTAAAGTTTTCTCGTACCAAAAGAGTAACAGAATTATCACGTTTGTAGCCACTAATGAAATAATGGATCTAGACAATCATAGTCAATGGCTTCTGACATTACAAAGAGAAATAAATAGCAAGAAATATTTAACTTCTAGTAATGTACCCATGGCCACCCATGATGTATTCTTGCCGAAAAATTGAATGAATCTGATCAAGCCTCTAGATCTAAGTCCAATTAAGAGGAAATATAGGAACAGAAAAAACAGTAATGACATCAGGTACAATGCCATAGGCAAAATATAAAATGTGGAAAATTCTAAAGGACAAATGAGCCAGTTCCTTTAAAGATAAGTTGGAAAAAAAAAAAAGAGGAATGGGAAGTCACAGATTATAAAGGATGAAAAGACATAGCAATAGATTCAATTAATGGACTTTTTTGGATCCTGATTTAATCAAACCACACTATCAAATGTGATATAATTCATAATATTTACACAATAGCTATTTTTAAAACTGAATTAGTAATTAAAAACTACCCCGCAAAAAAACTGTAGGCCTAAGTGATTTTATTTGTGAGCTCTTTTAAACATTATAGAAAGACATGACACCAAATCTATAGAAACTATATTGAAAAGAGTAAGTGAAAATACTTCTCAACATTTTTTATGAGGGCAACATATCATGACTTGAAAACCAAAGATATTACAAGAAAAGGAAACTATAGGCCAATATCCCTCATGAACACAGACACAAAAATCCTTCATAAAATGTTAACAAATGGAATCAAGCAATATCTAAAATGGATAATCATCATGAGTAAGTAGGGTTTATCCCAGAAATGCAGTTGATTTAGTATCTGAAAAATAAATGTAACTTACCATACAAACAGAATAAAAGAGAAATATTATCTCATAGATGCAGGAACTACAATTAACAAAATTCAACACCCATTCATAATAAACAGGTGTTCAGACTAGTAAGGGAACTTTCTCAATTTAATTAAAAAAAAGTATAAAAATCTACATCAATCTTCACACTTCATGGTGAAAGACTAAAAAGCTGTATATAAAGAATGTTTATTCTCACAGTTTGTGTGTACTGAAAGTTTAGCAAGTGCAATAAGGCAAGAGAAAGATATAAAAGACATACAGTTTGGAAAGGAAGAAAGAAAACTCTCTTTATTCATAAAGACATGTTAGGTATGTAGAACATTCCAAGGAATCTATAATATAGCTAATGTAGCTAACAAATGAATTCATCAAGGCTACAAGGTCAATATATACAAATCAATTGTATTTCTATGTAATAGTTATCAAAATTGGAAGATGAAAATTTTAAAAGACTCCTTATAATTGCATCAAAAATGTGAAATATTTAGGGATAAACTTAAAACATGGGTAAGACTGAGTCATTGAAAACTAAAAAGCAGGTCCACAAGGCCTGGGCCTCCAGCCACCCCCGACCCAGAGCTGTCAAGCCAGTACTAACTCAGCAACTCCCTGGACAGAGCCTCCAGCGGCAGCTGAAAGCCTCTCTGCCACTGCCTCTGCAGTGAAACTGCCCTTGCCACCCTTGGACTAACGAAGGAGCAAAGACCCTAAGTTCCTTATCCACAACTCCAACAAGTGCAGTCGACCCAAGGAGAGGAGGCCAGTCCATCTCCCATGGGTTGCACACACTCCCCATGGCTCGTCACCAGACAGGGAACCCCTGGCTTGGGCTGACTGCACTGAGTGATTCCTGACCTGCATTTCTCTGGGGTGGAGCCCTCAGGAGTCAAGCAAATGACCTTTGGCCACAACCACTAATAAGATATCTTCCTCTGCTGACTCTATGATGGGGAAGGAACATAAACACTGAGATTGCCCCAGAGCTGCAGTAGGCAGCTCAGGAGTGCCAAGTTGTGAATTACAGCCAGCACTCAAGGGGTAGAGGAACCCACACCTTCAGAGCACTGAAAGGGAACATGGCTGCAACTATGAGGAACCATAGGGGAGCCACACAACTGAGCAAGAATCTACCAACTGACCAATAAGCCTAAGTGTCACCTGCTGGATCACACCCCAAAACTTCAACACCAAAAATACCTCACTAACATACCCTGACTCTGAAACCAGAGACAAGAAGTCACTTTCAAATAAAGACCCTACATAAAGCCTCAGCCCAGTGAAAACATCCAGAAAAGAAGCCTATTGACTGTACTCAATCTACACTGCAGTTAAAGAAACATCCACGTGCAGAGATGAGAAAGAACCAATGCAAGAACTCCAGTAACTCCAATGGTCAGAGTGTCCTCCAAACGACTGCACCAGTTCTCCAACAAGAGTTCTTAACCAGGCTTAACTGGCTGGAATGATAGAAATAGAATTCAGAATATGGATAGGAACAAAGATCATCAAGATTCAGTAAGATGGCAAAACCAAATCCAAGGAAAATAAGAATCACAATAAAGTGATACAGGAGCTGAAGGATGAAATAGCTGGTATCAAAACGAACCTAACAGGTCTGACAGAGCTGAATAACACAATACAAGAATTTCACAATGTAATCACAAGTATTAACAGCAGAATAAACCAAACTGAGGAAAGAATCTCAGAACTTGAAGACTGGTTCTCTGAAATAAGACAATCAGACAAAAATAAAGAAAAAAGAATACAAAAGAATGAACAAAACCTCTGAGAAGTAGGGGATTATGCAAAGGGGCCAAATCTATGAATCACTGGCATTCCTGACAGAAAGGGGGAGAAAGCAAACAAATTAGAAAATATATTTCAGGATATCATCTACCAAATTTCTCAATCTTGCTAGGGAGGCCAGCAGTCAAATTCAGGAAATACAGAGAATTCCTATAAAATTCTGCACAAGAAGATCATCCCCAAGACACATAATCATCAGATTTTCCAAGGTTGAAATGAAAGAAAGAATGTTAAAGGCAGACAGAGAGACAGTGCAGGTCACCTACAAAGGGATCCCCATCAGGCTAACAGCAGACCTGTCAACTGAAAGCCTACAAGCCAGAAGAGATTGGGGGCCTATGTTCAACATCATAAAGAAAAAAATCTTCAACCAAGAATTTCATATTCAGCCAAACTAAGCTTCCCAAGTGAAGGAGAAATAAGATCCTTTTCAGATAAGCAAATGTTGAGGGACTTCATTTCCACCAGATCTGCTTACAAGAGATCATGAAAAGGAACACTAAATATAGAAAGGAAAGACCTCTAGCAGCTGGTACAAAAACACAAACACAGAGACCAGTGTCACTATAAAGCAACCACACAAACAAGCCAATATAATAACCAGCTCACAGCACAATGACAGGATCAAATCCACACATGTCAATACTAACCTTGAATGTAAACAGGCCAAATGTCCAACTTAAAAGGCACAGTGGCAAGCTGGATAAAAAAGCAAGACCCAATGGTATGCTGTCTTCAAGAGACCCATCTCACACATAATGACACTCACAGGCTCAAAATAAGGGATGGAGAAAAAGCTACCAAGCAAATGGAAAACAGAAAAAAGCAAGGGTTGCAATCCTAATTTCAGACAAAACAGATTTCAAACCAAAAAAGACAAAGAAGGCATTACCTTAATGGTAAAGGGTTCAATTCAACAAGAAGACCTAACTGTCCTAAATATATATGCACCCAAGACAGGAGCACCCAGATTCATAAAGCAAGTTCTTAGAGACCTACAAAGAGACATAGATTCCAGACAATAATAGTGAGAGACTTCAACACACCACTGATAGTATTAGACAGATCATCAAGGCAGAAAATTAACAAAGATATTCCAGACCTAAATTCAGCACTGGACCAAATGGATCTGATAGACCTTTACAGAAGTCTCCACCCAAAAACAACAGAATATACATTCTTCTCATCGCCACATGGCACATACTCTAAAATTGACCACATAATTGGACATAAAAACAATCCTCAACATATCTAAAAGAACCAAAGTCATACCAAACACACTCTTGGAGTGCAGGGCAATAAAAATTGAAGTCAACACAATGAAAATTGCTCAAAACCATAAAATTACATGGAAATTAAACAACATGGTCCTGAATGACTTTTGAGTAAATAATAAAATTAAGGCAGAAATCAAGAAGCTCTTTGAAAATAATGAGAACAAAGATACAACATACCAGAATCTCTGGAACACAGCTAAGGCAGTGTTAAGGGAAATTCATAGCACTAAATGTCCAAATCAAAAAGTTACAAAGATCTCAAATTAACGACCTAACTTCACAACTGAAAGAAATAGAGAAGCAGAACAAATCAACTGCAAAGCTAGCAGAAGAAATAACAAAAATCAGAGCTGAAAATCAAGAATTCAAAAACATTCAAAAGATCAACAAATCCAGGGGTTGGTTTTTTGCAAAAAAAAAAAATTAATAAAACAGGCCAATCTACACTAATTAAGAGAGAAGATCCAAATAAACACAATTAGAAATGATGAAGAGAATGTTACTACTGAGCTGACAGAAATAAAAACAACCATCAGAAACTACTATGAACACCACTACGCACACAAACTAGAAAATATGGAAGAGATGGATAAATTCCTGGACACATACACCTTCCCAAGACTGAGCCAAGAAGAAATCAATTCCCTGAACAGACCAATAACAAGCTCTGAAATTGAATCAGTAATAAATAGCCTGCCAATCAAAAAAAGCCCAGGACCTGATGGAGTCATAGCCGAATTCTACCAGATATACAAAGAAGAGCTGGTACCATCCCTACAGGAACTATTCTAAAAAATTTAGGAGGAAGAGGCCGGGCACGGTGTGGCTCACGCCTGTAATCCCAGCACTTTGGGAGGCCGAGGTGGACAGATCACAAGGTCAAGAGATCAAGACCATTCTGGCCAACATGGTGAAACCCCATCTCTGTTAAAAGTATAAAAATTAGCTGGGCATGGTGGCAGATGCCTGTAGTCTCAGCTACTCAGGGGGCTGAGGCAGGAGAATTGCTTGAACCCGGGAAGCGGAGGTTGCAGTGAGCTGAGATCACACCATTGCACTCCAGCCCGGGCAACAGAGCAAGACGCCGTCTCAAAAAAAAAAAAAAAAAAAAAAAAAAAAAAAAAAAAAAAAAAAAAATTTAGGAGGAAGGACTTCTCCCCAACTCATTCTATGAGGCCATCATCAGCTTAATACCAAAACCTGGCAGAGACACAACAAAAAAAGAAAACTTCAGGCCAATCAATATCCTTGATGAACATTAATGCAAATATTCTCAACAAAATACCTACAAACCAAATCCAGCAGCAAATCAAAAAGCTAATCCACTATGATCAAGTAGGCTTCACCCTCAGGATGCAAGGTTGGTTCAACATATGAAAATCAATAAACGTGATTCATCACATACAGAACTAAAGACAAAAACCACATGATTATCTCAATAAATGTAGAAAGACTTTTGATAAAATTCAACATCCCTTCATGTTAAAAACTCTCAATAAACTAGGTATTGAAGGAACAAAGCTCAAAATAGTAAGAGCCATCTATGACAAACCCACAGACAACATTAGACCAAATGGGCAAAAGCTGGAAGCATTCCCCTCGAAAACTGGCTCAAGACAAGGATGCCCTCTCTCACCACTTTTATTCAACATAGTATTGGAAGTCCAGGCCAGAGCAATCAGGCAATAAAAAGAAATAAAGGGCATCCAAATAGGAAGAGAGGAAATCAAACTATCTCTGTTTGCAGATTCTATACCTAGAAAACCCCATAGTCTCAGACCAAACACTCCTTCAACTGATAAACAACTTCAGCAAAGTTGCAGGATACAAAATCATTATACAAAAATCACTAGTATTCCTATACACCAACAACAACCAAACTGAGAGCCAAATCAGAAAAGCAATCCCATTCACAATAGCTGCAAAAATAAAATATCCAGGAATACAGCTAACCAGGGATGTGAATGGTCTCTACAATGAGAATTACAAAACACTGCTCAAAGAAATCAGAGAAGACACAAGCAAATAGAAAAACATCTCATGCTCATGGATAGGAAGAATCAATATCATTAAAATGGCTATACTACCCAAAGCAATTTACAGATTCAATGCTATTCCTATCAAACTACCAATGGCATTCTTCACATAACTAGAAAAAAATTTTTTTTAATTTATATGGAACCAAAAAAGAGCCCAAATAGCCAAGGCAATCCTAAGCAAAAAGAACAAAGCTGGAGGAATCACATTACTCGACTTCAAACCATACTATGAGGCTACGGTGACCAAAACAACATGGTGCTGGTACAAAAACAGGCACATAGAACAATGGAACAAAGTAGACAGCCCAGAAATAAGGCCACACATCTATGAGCACCTGATCTTTGACAAAGCTGAAAAAAAGAAGCAATGGGGAAAAGACTTCATATTCTATAAATGGTACTGGGATAACCAGCTAGCCATATGCAGAAGATTGAAGCTGGACCCCGTCCTTACACCATATACAAAAATCAACTCAAGAAGTATTAAAGAGTTACATGTAAAACTCAAAACTATAAATACCCTGGAAGACAATCTAGGCAATACCATCCTGGACCTAGGAATGGGCAAAGATTTCATGACAAAGACACCAAAAGCAATTCCAACAAAAGCAAAAATTGACAAATGGGATCTAATTAAACTTAAGAGCTTCTGCACAGCAAAAGAAACTACCAACAGAGTAAATAGACAACCTAAAGAATGGGAGAAAACATTTGCAAACTGTGCATCTGACGAAGGTCTAATATCCAGCATCTATAAGGAACTTAAACAAATTTACAAGAGAAAAACAAACAACCCCATTAAAACATGGGCAAAGGACATGAACAGACACTTTTCAAAAGAAGACATAAATGCAACCAAAAAGCATATAAAAAAAGCTCAATATCACTGATCATTAGAGAAATGCAAATCAAAACCATGAGATACCATCTCACACTAGTCAGAATGGCTATTATAAGAAAGTCAAAAAATAACAGATGCTAGCTGGCAAGGTTGTGTAGAAAGGGGAACCCTATACACTGTTGGTGGGAGTGTAAATTAGTTCAACCATTGTGGAAAGCAGTATGGTGATTCCTCAAAGAACTAAAAGCAGAACTACCATCCAATCCAGCAATCCCTTTACTGGGTGCCTTTACCCAGAGGAATATAAAGCATTCTACCATAAAAACACATGCATGCAAACGTTCATTGCACACTGTTTACAATAGCAAAGACTTGGAATCAACCTAAAGGCACATCAATGACAGACTGGCTAAAGAAAATATGGTACATATACATCATGGAGTATTAAGCATCCACGAAAGAGAATGAGATCATGTCTTTCATGGGAACACGGATGGAGCTGGAGGCTATCATCCATAGCAAACTAACACAGGAACAGAAAACCAAATACTACATGTTCTCACTTATAAGTGGGAGCTAAATAATAAGAATTTATGAACACAATGAAGGAAACAGCAGACAATGGGGTCTACCTGAGTGGGGAGGGTGGCAGGGGGGAGAAGAGCAGAAAAGATAACTATTGGGTACCAAGCTTAATACCTGAATGATGTAATAATATATACAACAAACCCTCATGACACGTGTTTATCTTTGTAACAAACCTTTACATGTACCCCAAACCTAAAATAAAAGTTAAAAAGTAAAATAACTTAAGCTTAAAACAAAAAGTTAGGGGACCAGGTGAAAATATGAATAACAACAACAAAATTAACATGAAATGGATCATAGGCCTAATCATAAAAGTTAAGCCTATAAAACTTCAGCACAAAGCAGAAAATCTTTGTGATTTGGGAGTAAGGACAGGTTTCTTAGCACACAAAAAGCACAACCAAAAAGGAAAAAAAAAATTGTAAATTAGACATCATGAAAATTAAAAACTTCTGCTCTTTAAAAGGTATCATTATGAAAACAAACAAGCAGCCAGAGAGAAAGGTCAGGTTACCCACAAAGAAAAGCCTATCAGACTCACAGCTGATCTCTCGGCAGAAACTCTACAAGCCAGAAGAGAGTGGGGGCCAATATTCAACATTCTTAAAGAAAAGAATTTTCAACCCAGAATTTAATATCCAGCCAAACTAAGCTTCATAAGTGAAGGAGAAATAAAATCCTTTCCAGACAAACAAATGCTGAGAGGTTTTGTCACAACCAGGCCTGCCCTACAAGAGCTCCTGAAGGAAGCACTAAACACGGAAAGGAACAACCGGTACCAGCCACTGCAAAAACATGCCAAATTGTAAAGACCATCAAGGCTACGAAGAAACAGCATCAACTAACGAGCAAAATAACCAGCTCACATCATAATGACAGGATCAAATTCACACATAACAATATTAACCTTAAATGTAAACGGGATAAATGCTCCAATTAAAAGACACCGGACTGGCAAATTGGATAAAGAGTCAAGACCCATCGGTGTGCCGTATTCAGGAAACCCATTTCACGTGCAGAGACACACATAGGCTCAAAATAAAGGGACGGAGGAAGATCTACCAAGCAAATGGAAAAGAAAAAAAGGCAGGGGTTGCAATCCTAGTCTCTGATAAAGCAGACTTTAAACGAACAAAGATCAAAAGAGACAAAGAAGGCCATTACATAATGGTAAAGAGAGAAATTCAACAAAAAGAGCTAACTATCCTAAATATATATGCACCCAATACAGGAGCACCCAGATTCATAAAGCAAGTCCTTACAGACCTACAAAGAGACTTAGACTCCCACACAAAAATAATGGGAGACTTTAACACCCCACTGTCAACATTAGACAGATCCACGAGACAGAAAGTTAACAAGGATATCCAGGAATTGAACTCAGCTCTGCACCAAGTCGACCTAACAGACCTCTACAGAACTCTCCACCCCAAATCAACAGAATACACATTATTCTCAGCACCACACCACACCTATTCCAAAACTGACCACATAGTTGGAAGTAAAACACTCCTCAGCAAATGTAAAAGAATAGAAATTACAACAAACTGTCTCTCAGACCACAGTGCAATCAAACTAGAACTCAGGATTAAGAAAATCACTCAAAACCGCTCAACTACATGGAAACCAAACAACCTGCTCCTGAATGACTACTGAGTACATAATGAAATGAAGGCAGAAATAAAGATGTTCTTTGAAACCAACAAGAACAAAGACACAACATACCAGAATCTCTGGGACACATTTAAAGCAGTGTGTAGAGGGAAATTTATAGCACTAAATGCCCAAAAGAGAAAGCAGGAAAGATCTAAAATTCACATCCTAACATCACGATTAAAAGAACTAGAGAAGCAAGAGCAAACACATCCAAAAGCTAGCAGAAGGCAAGAAATAACCAAGATCAGAGCAGAACTAAAGGAGATAGAGACACAAAAAAACCTTCAAAAAATCAATGAATCCAGGAGCTGGCTTTTTGAAAAGATCAACAGAATGGATAGACCGCTAGCAAGACTAATAAAGAAGAAAAGAGAGAAGAATCAAATAGACACAATAAAAAATGATAAAGGGGAGATCACCACTGATCCCACAGAAATACAAACTGCCATCAGAGAATACTATAAACACCTCTATGCAAATAAACTAGGAAATCTAGAAGAAATGGATAAATTCCTCGACACATACACCCTCCCAAGACTAAACCAGGAAGAAGTTGAATCTCTGAATAGACCAATAACAGGCTCTGAAATTGAGGCAATAATTAATAGCTTACCAACCAAAAAAACTCCAGGACCAGATGGATTCACAGCCGAATTCTACCAGAGGTACAAGGAGGAGCTGGTACCATTCCTTCTGAAACTATTCCAATCAATAGAAAAAGAGGGAATCCTCCCTAACTCATTTTGTGAGGCCAGCATCATCCTGATACCAAAGCCTGGCAGAGACACAACAAAAAAAGAGAATTTTAGACCAATATCCCTGATGAACATCGATGCAAAAATCCTCAATAAAATATTGGCAAACTGAATCCAGCAGCACATCAAAAAGCTTATCCACCATGATCAAGTGGGCTTCATCCCTGGGATGCAAGGCTGGTTCAACATATGCAAATCAATAAACGTAATCCAGCATATAAACAGAACCAAAGACAAAAACCACATGATTATCTCAATAGATGCAGAAAAGGCCTTAGACAAAATTCAACAGCACTTCATGCTAAAAACTCTCAATAAATTAGGTATTGATGGGATGTATCTCAAAATAATAAGAGCTATCTATGACAAACCCACAGCCAATATCATACTGAATGGGCAAAAACTGGAAGCATTCCCTTTGAAAACTGGAACAAGACAGGGATGCCCTCTCTCACCACTCCTATTCAACATAGCGTTGGAAGTTCTGGCCGGGGCAATCAGGCAGGAGAAAGAAATAAAGGGTATTCAATTAGGAAAAGAGGAAGTCAAATTGTCCCTGTTTGCAGATGACATAATTGTATATCTAGAAAACCCCATCGTCTCAGATCAAAATCTCCTTTAGCTGATAAGCAACTTCAGCAAAGTCTCAGGATACAAAATCAATGTGCAAAAATCACAAGCATTCTTATACACCAATAACAGACAAACACAGAGCCAAATCATGAGTGAACTCCCATTCACAACTGCTTCAAAGAGAATAAAATACCTAGGAATCTAACTTACAAGGGATGTGAAGGACCTCTTCAAAGAGAACTACAAACCACTGCTCAGCAAAATAAAAGAGGATACAAATAAATGGAAGAACATTCCATGCTCATGGATAGGAAGAATCAATATCATGAAAATGGCCATACTGCCCAAGGTAATTTATAGATCCAATGCCATCCCCATCAAGCTACCAATGACTTTCTTCACAGAATTGGAAAAAACTACTTTAAAGTTCATATGGAACCAAAAAAGAGCCCACATTGCCAAGTCAATCCTAAGCCAAAAGAACAAAGCTGGAGGCATCATGCTACCTGACTTCAAACTATACTACAAGGCTACAGTAACCAAAACAGCATGGTACTGGTACCAAAACAGAGATACAGACCAATGGTGCTGGGAAAACTGGCTAGCCATATGTAGAAAGCTGAAACTGGATCCCTTCCTTACACCTTATACAAAAATTAATTCAAGATGGATTAAAGACTTAAATGTTAGACCTAAAACCATAAAAACCCTAGAAGAAAACCTAGGCAATACCATTCAGGACATAGGCATAGGCAAGGACTTCATGTCTAAAACACCAAAAGTAACGGCAACAAAAGCCAAAATTGACAAATGGGATCTAATTAAACTAAAGAGCTTCTGCACAGCAAAAGAAACTACCATCAGAGTGAGCAGGCAACCTACAAAATGGGAGAACATTTTTGCAATCTACTTATCTGACAAAGGGCTAATATCTAGAATCTACAAAGAACTCAAACAAATTTACAAGAAAAAAACAAACAACCCCATCAAAAAGTGGGCAAAGGATATGAACAGACATTTCTCAAAAGAAGACATTTATGCAGCCAAAGGACACATGAAAAAATGCTCATCATCACTGGCCATCAGAGAAATGCAAATCAAAACCACAGTGAGATACCATCTAACACCAGTTAGAATGGCAATCATTAAAAAGTCAGGAAACAACAGGTGCTGGAGAGGATGTGGAGAAATAGGAACACTTTTACACTGTTGGTGGGACTGTTAACTAGTTCAACCATTGTGGAAGACAGTGTGGCAATTCCTCGGGGATCTAGAACTAGAAATACCATTTGACCCAGCCATCCCATTACTGGGTATATAACCAAAGGAATATAAATCATGCTGCTATAAAGACACATGCACATATATGTTTATTGTGGCACTATTCACAATAGAAAAGACTTGCAACCAACCCAAATATCCAACAATGATAGACTGGATTAAGAAAATGTGGCACATATACACCATGGAATACTATGCAGCCATAAAAAAGGATGAGTTCATGTCCTTTGTAGGGACATGGATGAAGCTGGAAACCATCATTCTCAGCAAACTATCACAATGCCAAAAAACCAAACATCACATGTTCTCACTCATAGGTGGGAATTGAGCAATGAGAACACTTGGACACAGGGCAGGGAACATCACACACTGGGGCCTGTTGTGTGGTGGGGGGAAAGGGGAGAGATAGCATTAGGAGATATACCTAATGTAAATGATGAGTTAATGGGTGCAGCACAGCAACATGGTACATGTATACATATGTAACAAACCTGCACATTGTGCACATGTACCCTAGAACTTAATGTATAATAAAAATATGTATATATATATATAGAAAACAAACAAGCAAGCTGCAGATAGGAAGATAATATACACAATACTTACAGCTCATGAAGGACTTCTATCCAGTAGAAAGGAAAACTCTTACAACTCAATAAGAAGATGACTTAAATCAAAAATGGGCAAAATATTTGAAAAGTTACTTTCCAAAAAAGAGAAATGTCAGATAAGCCTATGAAAAGATGCTCAACATTATTAGGGAAATGCATATTAAAACCACAATGAAATACTACTACATATCCACTAAAGTGTCTAAAATTTAAAAGACTGACAATATCAATCATTGACAAGGATATGGAGAAACTGAAATTAATTTAATACATTGCTAGCAGAAATCCCAAATGGTACAGATAATTTGGAAAAGTTTGGCAGTTTCCTTTAAAGTTGTGCATAAACTGGTCATAAGACTCAGCAATTCCATCCCTAGGTATTTACATAAGAGAAATGAACACATATGTCCACACATAGAATTGTGATTTATATATATAGCAGCTTTATTCATAATAGATCAAAACTTGAAACAACCTAAATGTCCATCAATAGGTGAACAGCTAAACAAATTGTGGTATATCTATATACTAGAATACTATTCAGCAATAAAAAGGAACTTATTATTGATACACATGATAACATGGATGAATCTCAACATGGATGGGTTTCAAAAGCATCATGTTAAGCAAAAAAAAAGTCAGACACAAAAAGAGTGCATATTATATGGCCTATTTATTTCAAACTCTAGAATTCTGAAGTCAAATCTAACGTATAGCCACAGAAAGCAGAAAAGTAGTTGACTAGGGATGGCTGTTCAGGTGGAGGGGAACCAACTGCAAAAGGGCTTTAGAGAACTTTTTGGGTGATGGACACACACTATATCAGGATGGTAGTGGTGGTGAAGTGGGTGTTTACATTTGTCAAAACTCTCCCAACTATAACGTTAAAATACTTGCATTTTATTATTTCTAAGTTATACTCATTTAAGAAAGTTAATAGAGGTGAACAGAGGATATCCTAATTCATTTCACATTCTTCCCTTCCAATTCAATCTAGAGTCAACAATGTGGTCTGTCACAATTCCAACTCAGCAGACCTTTTAAATATCCTGAACAAATGTTTACCTGTTGCCTTGTAATTAACACTACTCAATTTCAATAGAATTTCCATTATTTAAAAAAAACCTCTAAAATTAGGAAAGAATTCCCACATGTGGTTTTTAATATATCTCATGCTTACTTCGAAATATAATCTGCACTAGTCTTTGTTAAAGTTTGAGGGAGTCATAAAATAATGTCCCTCTCCTCTCCTGACCTCTGAACCACTTGAGACACAGACAGATGGAGATTCAATATTTTAAGTTTACTGCTGAAAAAGGCTAGGTTAGAGGATGTACTTTAAGTTTATGCCAACAATAGCCACCAGATATTGAACTTAGAATTAGACAGACCTGCTTACTAAGGCATGGGCAGTTCTGCACAAGCACAAATCTCCCTTTGCAGAGGCAAAGAACTTTCACTGCAAGGTTCACAATGTAGCTGGCAAGAGACCACAACATCGGTTCTCTGCAGTTATGACAAATCCACAAAAGGGAAAAAAGAGGCTAGCATGCCCAGTTCTATATCTTAAACTCCCTCCTTTCCTGGTGAAGTGAGAGAAAGAGATTAGAATTCCTTGGTAAATGGATAGCCTAAGAAGCACTGTGAGAGGAAGCCATCCTTACCCGCCGCTGCCTTCTGACCAAAGTAGTTCATATATAGTGCACATTAGGGCATGATTCATGTTACAGTAGCTTTAGGGCCACACTTCTTCTTCCGAAGTAACCATATTTAATTGCAAGTGACTAAGGTAAATGACTTTAGGGATAACCTCCTTTATTTCATTTTATTTCTGTTTTATAATTTATATATTTCAATATCTTATTATTGGTAAGAAAAACTTAACTTTCTCAGTCCTAAAATTCTTTATTATCAAATACATCAGTTTAATAATAATCTCTAAGGAAGAAAAAAACACATTTAAGATATCCATTGATTTGAAGATAATTATTATGGAACTATGGTTCTTATGTCAACTCACAACTCATTTAGATATTAATACATGTATCATGAAATCATAGCTCAGAATTGCTGGTCCAGAGTCACTTTAGAATGGCTCTGATTCAAGGAAATTAAAAGAAATGATTGTTAATTTTCTTAGTGCTGGGAAAGGCAGTGAAACAAGCTTTTGAATCATTATGTAATTTTCAAACAACTAAAAGGGCTATACTGTTCAGTTATAATCTTAAAAATTCTAGCTGAGACAGAGCTTTTAAAAAATCTTTATAGTTTTACCATACGGCATCAATTCAAAAGATTGTCATACTGAAACCACTGCCATAAAATTTTGTATGTAGGCCCCAGTTGCAGTAGATCTGGCTCCTGTGAGCTATAACTTGCATGGCTTTTCAATGTTTATGTAGTGTCTGTTAATATATTTAAGATAAATACTCTATAACCAAACAGCCTGTTTTCTAGAGAATGATATATGATTCTTGTGTTATCAGGCATGGTCTGGATGTCTAGACACTCTGACTAATGAGTGTCTATGCCATACAATTCTCAAACAAGAATAATGTAAATTATAGTCAATATAACTTGAACAGTAAACAGTGTTATTTCAGAAAGTATATTAAACATCTATATCATTATCATGAACATCAATTCTCTTCAGATTCATAAAGATTTGTTATTAAAATTAACAAGCTTAGTCTATGTTTGTATATCAGTATTCACATCCTTGTAAAATAATGGGTGCATTTTTCTCTTCACGCATAGAAGAGTATGAGCTAAAATAAGCATTTTGAGGGGCCTGCAGAAATGAGCTGCCTTCCTTCTCCATAACTTACTGTTTCTTTTTCTCCTCTGTCTTATGTCTAAACTATTTTATGTCTTATATCTGGGTAAGAAAGAGACTAACTTGGCCTACCATGCCAGTACAGAGGAAACACTAGGTTCTTATAACAGGGCCTAGTGGCCACATGCATTCCATCCTGAGTCTTGCCTCTTTGGGACTTGAGCTATAGACCCTGTCAAGAAAAATCCCACTATCTCTCCTATAATACTGGAATCAGAGACTTCTTACTTTCAGATAAGGAAAGGATTACAAAAAAAGTTCTCCTTTTTTAAAATCAGAGGAAATTGAGGTTAAATATCTCCAAACTAACTCAAGTTCTTCATAGAAATAGCTAGCATTTACTGAAATAGCTGGCATTACTTCATGTGTGAGGCACCATGCAAGGTACTTTAAATATATTAAGTTCATATAAGAAAGACACTAAGTAGATCAATCTAATTTTTCAAAAGCTAACAACATAAAATAATAGGAAAATCTTCAAAATGCAGAAAAAAACTATTTATTCACAAATTACACAAAAAACAAACATCCATTACTCAAAACAATATACCAAATGTTGAGTACTCACTTCTCTAGATACCTATTTACGTTTTGAGAATGTTCTTTATTAAACAAAATAAAATAATTAACATATTTTTTGGAGCACTCTGAAACTAACCTCTCTAACCAGAGCTAATTTTCTGATGATATAACTTAAGGAAAGAATATTCTTTTCAAGGCAAGTGCTAATTTCTCCAACCCTGAAAAGAGATATGCATTCCAATAAAACAAAAGTTTTAAAAACCATCTTCATAAAAAATGTAGATCATTACTTATAAGCTCCAACAGTAGTAAGATCTTTAACATAAAGTGGGCTACTTTCATCTCTAACAAAGATAAAATTAATACACCAATAGTATCTTCCTGAGTGTCAGAAGTAACAGAACCCAACAGTTCTATATTATTGTACTACAATATATAGTATAAAAATAATAGTTCAGATTAGCAA
The DNA here is from genome assembly GCF_000001405.40 of Homo sapiens. Lineage (NCBI taxonomy): Eukaryota > Metazoa > Chordata > Mammalia > Primates > Hominidae > Homo > Homo sapiens. Next base: position 40,714,980 of record NC_000005.10, read on the forward strand.
TGACAGTATTGGTTTGTGAATATGACTGTGGACTTTCAATAAAATTTTTTTTAATATAGCCTTTTCATACTCATGAGATTGTACTATAAATCACATTCCAATTTCTATGTATTTTGTGCTTAAGTTATTTATTCATTGGCACTCTAATAACAGCCCTACTTTTTTATTTTTAGAAAGATATAATTAGCTATTTAAAATTGTAATTATTTTTCATTTCACTGAGTAGTTTCAAAAAAAGTTATCTAGAAAAGTAATTCCCAGTCATCAAATGGAAAGACACAAGCAAGAAGTAAGTTGTTTCCAGGGTTTTTAAAGCTTTGTAAAATAAAGAAAAGAAAGTATTGGTTTTGACTGGGATAATATAGCAGTACAATTGTCATTAACCTATCTGTAAAAGCCATTCATTTAAAAATGCATATTTTAAAAATGACTCATTTGTGGTAAGGATTACTTACTGTAACAATTAAAAAATAAAACCATCATTCTCATATTTATCAATACTTTACACTTTTACCAAATACTGAAGGAGACAACTATCATTGTTACAACTTCAAAGTCAAAACAGAAACACAAATCAGAATTAAGAGAAACTTCAGAAAATGTTCAGAATGTACACATTTGTGTGCATTTTCAGCCAAACTTTCAAAGATTCCACATATAACCAAATGACAACTTTGAATCAAAATGAATGTCAAAAATATTCAAGCTTTCTGACAGACTTACTCTAATGAAGCAAGAAAAAGACAGCAAATATTAAGCGCAGTATATTTCTCAGAGGGAGGGAAATCACACACTTCCTTTATCATAAAACAAAAGTTGAGACAGCATTTCAGTAACATTGATCAAATTATTCACTATTCAAGAATACATTTTTCAAGTTTTGTCTTTAAAATGTATTCATTTACATATTCAGATTAAACTAAGTTTATTAATCAAAGACCATTTTACTCAGAATTTTAACCTTGAGAAATATAAATCATAACTTATCAAAGCATATTCCAAACACTATACAATAATCCTGCCATTTTAGTTTTTATATGCCTCATCTGAAAAACATATTTTACAACCAGGCGTTCTCCTATCTATCTCCAGAGTAAATGTCTCTATGTCAAAACTTCAAGAGGCAATCAAAAAGACAGATTCAAATAATCCTATGCATACTGCTTCATCGGGCTTTGATAAAAACAGAGCCATCTGGTGGTGTAGCACCATCCTCCTTTTCAGTTACAGTCTCTATGGCCCCAGAAGCAGACACAATAACCATTGTTTTATTTGCTGAAACTGTCTTCTCTTTCTCAGCAATAGCTGCACAAACAGCAACAATCTCATCACTTTCAAAGTCATAGTCTGGAATTGACTTTGGTGAAAAGTGTGTTACTTCAGCTGGTGCTTCACTTTTTTTAATCCTCTGTGCTACCTTCTGCTGCTCCTGGAGCGTTCTTGCCCAAGAGAGGTCTTCTTTCCATATTTCAGGGTTCATTGGATAGATGTGAAGGGCTACTTGAAAACTTCGAATTGCCTAGAAAATAAGGTCAGAGTTTTTTGTTTTGGTTTTAAAAATTAGTATGTTTAATACAATCCTGTGTGTTTACGTACATATATACTGTACACATACACATCCTAATGCATTATCTTAATGTACTAGAACACAAAAGATGGAAGCTACGGTGTTGCCCTAAACACTGGGGAAAAAAATTATAGAAGTGTGAAAGAAAGTGACTGACAATATGCTTATGGACTAAAAGCCATTAAAATGGGAGTACTCATAATAGGGCTAAAGATAAAGCAAATATATTCTCAGCTTCAGTAGACCAGTAAGTATGTACATTTGGGGATTTCCTGGGCTAACCCACAATCACAAAGGTACCAGGAGTGGATATCTTTGAAGTTAACAGTTTAGATCCTAACAATGTTAACATTTATTGACTGTTTACTACATTCTAGGCACTAAAGATTTACATGTATTTGGCTGGGCACGGTGGCTCATACCTGTAATCCCAGCACTTTGGGAGGCTGAGGTGGGCGGATCACCTGAGGTCAGGAGTTCAAGACCAGCCTGGCCAACACAGTGAAACCCTGTCTCTACTAAAAATACAAAAATTAGCCAGGCATGATGGCGGGTGCCTGTAATCCCAGCTACCCAGGAGGGTGAGGCAGGAGAATCGCTTGAACCCGGGAGACAGAGGTTGCAGTGAGTTGAGATCACGCCATTGCACTCCAGCCTGGGCAAAAAGAGCAAAACTCCATCTCAAAAAAAAAAAAAAAAAAGATTTACATGTATTAACTCATCTATCCTCACAATAATCATATGAAGTAGGTATGGTTATTGTTTTCAGTACTATTTTAGAGAAGCACAGAAAGAGTAGAAACCAAAGGTATCAGCTGGGAATTGGCAGAGCTGGGATGCAAATTCAGGCAGTCTGGCTTCAGAGTCCATTCTCTTATTCATTATATTATACTGCTTAGTCACAAGAACTCCACTACAGTCTGGATAAAGGTCAACCTCAGCACTACTGACATATTTGGCTGAGTAATTCTTTATTTTGGAAGGGCTGTCCTCTATAATGTAGAATATTCAGCAACATCCCTGACCTACACTCACTAAATCCAATACAGCTTCCTTTCCTAGTTGTGATAAACAAAAATGTCTCTAGACATGGCAAATGTTCTCTGGGGGTAAAACTGCCCTCCAAGTGAGAATCATTGGTCTAAATCTATTATATGTTGTTTTCTCTGAGTATACTTAGTCTCTGGATAGAAGATTCTCATGCAAACAGATTAGTTTTAAGATTGCACTTAATCGGCCAGGCACCATGGCTCACGCCTGTAATCCCAGCACTCTGGGAGGTCAAGGCAGGCGGATCACCTGAGGTCAGAAGTTCAAGACCAGCCTGGCCATGGTGAAAACCCGTCTCTACTAAAAATACAAAAAATTAGCCAGGTGTGGTGGTGCACGCCTGTAATCCCAGCTACTCGTGAGGCTGAGGCAGGAGAATCGCTTGAACTCGGGAGGCGGAGGTTGCAGTGAGCCAAGATCGCACAATTATGCTCCAGCCTGGGCAACAAGAGCGAAACTCCGTCTCAAAAAAAAAAAAGATTGCACATAATCTACAGATTTACAATCTAATAGGCCCTTTAGAGAAGTCATAAAGAAGACAGATACATGATGGCTCACGCCTGTAAATCCAACTCTTTGGGAGGCCGAGGCGAAAGCATGGATCACTCAAGACCAGGAGTTCAATGACAAAACCCCGTCTCTACTAAAGATACAAAAAAAATTAGTTGGACATAGTGGTGGTGCCTGTAATCCCAGCTACTTAGGAGGCTGAGGCAGGAAAATTGTTTGAACCCCGGAGGCAGAGGTTACAGTGAGCCAAGATGGTGCCACTGCACTCCAGCCTGGATGAGAGAGCAAGACTCTGTCTCAAAAAAAATAAATAAATAAAAAATACACAGAGATAGGTATATAAAGCAGTATTTGGCCAGGCGTGGTGGCTCACGCCTGTAATCCCATCACTCTGGCAGGCGGAGGTGGGCAGATCACAAGGTCAGGAGTTCAAGACCAGCCTGGCCAAAATGGTGAAACCCTGTCTCTACTAAAAATACAAAAATTAGCTGGGCATGGTGGCACCCTCCACGTGGTGGCTACTCAGGGGGCTGAGGCATGAGAATCGCTTGAACCCAGGAGGCAGAGGTTGCAGTGAGCCGAGATTGCACCACCGCACTTCAGCCTGGGCGACAGAGCAAGATTCCGTCTCGAAAAAAAAAAAAATTAGCTGGGTGTAGTGGTGTATGCCTGTAATCCCAGCTAATTTGGAGGCTGAGGCAGGAGAATCACTTGAACCCAAGAAGCAGAGGTTGCAGTGAGCCAAGATGGTACCACTGCACTCCAGCCTGAGCAACAGAGCGAGACTGTCTCAAAATAAATAAATAAATAAAAATTAAAAATTAAGGTACCATGGGAATTGTGCTTTATGTGTTCTTAATATTCTAATAAAAATCCACCTATATAGAAGTGTTAAAAAATAAATACCTCTTCATGGCATAAAGCTAATGCCTTAGGAAACATTAAAAGGTATTTTATTCATATTTACTAAAATTTTAAAACAGCAATAAAGCTCACCCATTTAAAACATACAATTCAATATTCACAGTCACACAGCCATCACCCATAATCAATTCTAGAACATTTTTATCACCCCCAAAGAAAATTCCATACCTACTGGCAGTTACTCCTCATTTCTCCCCAAAACCCCAGCTCTAGGCAAGCATTAATTTACTTGCTATTGCTATATATCTGTCTATTCTGTATATTTCATATAAATGAAATCATACAGCCTTTTATGTCTGGTTTCTTTCACTTAACATATTGTTTTTAAAGTTCATCCGTGTTGTAACAGGCATCATTTCTTTTTAATGCTGAATAATATTTCATTGTATGGATATACCACATTTTGTTTATCTATTTGTCAGTTGATGGCATTTGAGTTGTTTCCACTTCTTGGCCATTTTAAATGCTGCTGCTATGAAGGTTTATGTAAATGTTTTTGTGTGGACATATGTCTTCATTTCTCTTGGGTATAAAGAGTGGAACTGTTTTGTCATATGATAACTATATGTTTCATTTTTTTGAGGAGCTGCCAGACTGTTTTCCAAAATGGCTATAACATTTTACATTCCCACCAGCAATGGACGAGGACTCCAATTTCTCCACACCCTCACCAACACTTCATATTGTCCATCTTTTTTATGATAGTGAATGTGAAGTAGTATCTCAATGTGGTTTTGATTTTCATTTCCTTGACAAGTAACAATGTTGAGCATCTTTCATGTGCTCATTAGCTGTGTGTGTATCTTCTTTGGAAAAATACCTTTTCAAATCCTTTGTCTATTTTTAAATTACATTATTTGTCTTTTTGTTATTGAGTTGTAAGAGTTTTTTACAGAGTCTACATACTAGACCTTTATCAGATATATGATTTACAAATATTTTCTTCCATTCTGTGAATTGCCTTTTCACTTTCTTGACAGTAACTTTTGAAGCACAAAAGTGTTTAATTTGAAGTCCAATTTTTATCTACTTTTTTCTTTTGTTGTTTGTGCTTCCAATGTCATATCTAAAAAATATTAATATATTGCTGAGTCCAAGGTTACAAAGATTTACACCTATGTTCTCTCCTAAGAGTTTTATAATACTTTTAGTTCTTATGTTTAGGTCTTTGTTTGTTTTTGAGTTAATTTTTACATAAAATGTGAAGTAAGAGTCCAAAGTCATTCATTTGCATGTGGATATCCAACTGCCTCAGCACCATTTGCTGAAGACTATTCCTTCCCCCATTAAATTGTCTTGACACCCTTGTCCAATTAACTGTAAAAATGTAGGTTTATTTCTGTACTTTCAGTTCTATCCCACTGATCTATATGTCTACATTATGCCTATCTAAGTACTATACTGTCTTGATTACTAATGCTTTCATATTTACTAAACTTAAATATACATATGTATTTAAAGTAAATCCAAAGAGCTGCAATTACATTTTCAAATTTAAGATAGTTTAAAATCTCCCAAGGGCACTCCTCTTCAAAGAACTTCACAAAACAAAATGGCAGAGGAGTAGCATCAGCAAGATGGCAGAGTGGGAAGCCCTGGACCCTCCTTCATCCAACAAATACACCAATTCAGCAACAATTCACAAACAAAATTCCTTTGTGAGAAATCCAGAAACTAACTGAAAGGCTCCTGCACCCTGGATGAATAAGAATACACACTCATCAAAGCCAGAAGGGAGATTCAGGACACCCTCTCACCAGAATCCTACTCCCAGCACAGCTCCACAGGATTGGGAAGAACCCTGCAGCTCCAAGCTACCCTCAAGGGAAAGAATGAATTGGTCTGAGTGTCCAATGCCCCAACTTCTACGGTGGCTACAAAAAGTACTGGTTTCTGTCTTGCCTGTTTTTTGGACCACTGTTAAAACAAGTCCTACATAATCTAACCACCTACAGGAGACCAGAGATAACGGAGGTTTGGAAGAGTAGTCACCCTATCTGTTCCCCCAGCTTGGCATACAGTGAGCGAAGAAAATTCCCAGCTCCCAGATTTTGCCTAGGGAAGAAAAGAATTGGTCCACACTGTGTCCAATGCCCCAGTTTTTATGGGGACTACCAAAAGGACTGGCTTCTGTCTTACCTGTAGTGGAGTACTGATGGAATTTGGCAAAATCCAGCTGCCTGGGGGCTAGGAAGAACAGAGAGGGATATTTGGGCTGGAAGTTGCTATCACCCCTTCCCTGAGCTGGGCACAAAGTAAATGGACAAAATCAATTTTAGAAGTAAGAACAAAACTAGGGGCATCATACTCATGAATTTCAAAATATATTACAAAGTGACAGCAAACAAAACAATACGATTCTGGCATAAAGTCAGATATATAGACCAATGGAACAGAATAGACAGCCTACAAATAAATCCACACCCAACATGGTCAGCTGATCTTCAACAAGGGCATTAAGTATACATAATGAGAAAAGTCTAGTTTCTTCAACAAATGATGCTGGGAAAACCGGATATCCGCGTGCAAAAGAATGAAAATGGATCCTCATCTTACACCATAAACAAAAGTCAACTCCAAGTGCATTAAAGACTTAAATGTAAGACCTGAAGCTTACATTGTAGGAGTCTTATGACTCCTACAAAAAAAACAAAAACAAAACAAAACAAAACAAAAAAACAGGGAAAACCTTCATGACATTGGTCTTAAAAATGATTTCCTGAATATAACACCAAAAACATAGGCAACAAAATCAAAAATAGGCAAGTGAGATTACATCAAATTAAAAGGCTTCTGCACAACAAAGGAAACAACCACCAGAGTAAAAGGAAACCTATGGAATGGGAGAAAATATTTGCAAATCATATCTAAGGTTTTAACTTTCAAATATATAAGAAATAACTCAATAGCCAAAAAACCTAGTAACCTGATCTTAAAATGGGCTAAACACTTGAATAGACATTTCTCTAAATGGCTAACAGGTATATGAAAAGATGCTCAATATCACTAATCAGGGAAATGCAAATCAAAACCACCATGAAATATCACCTCATGAGTCCCAGCTACTCGGGAGGTGAGGCAGGAGAACCGCTTAAACCCGGGAGGCGGAGGTTGCAGTGAGCCGAGATCGCACCATGTCACTCCAGCCTGGGTGACAGAGGGAGACTCTGTCTCAACTCGCTCACTCAGTGCTCAATGTTGCCCAGGCGTGATCTCGGCTCGCTGCAACCTCCACCTCCCAGCCGCCTGCCTTGGCCTCCCAAAGTGCCGAGATTGCATCCTCTGCCCGGCCGCCACCCCGTCTAGGAAGTGAGGAGCGTCTCTGCCTGGCCGCCCATCGTCTGGGATGTGAGGAGCCCCTCTGCCCGGCCGCCCAGTCTGGGAAGTGAGGAGCGCCTCTTCCCGGCCGTCATCCAGTCTAGGAAGTGAGGAGCCTCTCTGCCTGGCGGCCCATCGTCTGGGATGTGGGGAGCGCCTCTGCCCCACCTCCCCGTCTGGAATGTGAGGAGCGCCTCTGCCTGGCCGCGACCCCGTCTGGGAACTGAGGAGCGTCTCTGACCGGCCGCCCCGTCTGAGAAGTGAGGAGCCCCTCCGCCCAGCAGCTGCCCCGTCTGGGAAGTGAGGCGTGTCTCCGCCCCACAGCCGCCCAGTCTGGGAAGTGAGGAGCGTCTCCGCCCGGCCAGCGCCCCGTCCGGGAGGTGGCGGGGCAGCCCCTGCCCGGCCAGACGCCCCGTCCCGGAGGTGGCGGGGCAGCCCCCGCCCAGCCAGCCGCCCATCCGGGAGGTGGGGGGCGCAGCCCCCACCCGGCCAGCTGCCCCGTCCGGGAGGTGGGGGGCGCCTCCGCCCGGCTGCCCCATCTGGGAAGTGAGGAGCCCCTCTGCCCAGCCGCCACCCCATCTGGGAGGTGTACCCAACAGCTCATTGAGAGCGGGCCATGATGACGATGGCGGTTTTGTCAAATAGAAAAGGGGGAAATGTGGGGAAAAGGAGAGATCGGATTGTTACTGTGTCTGGGTAGAAAGAAGTAGACATGGGAGACTCCATTTTGTTCTGTACTAAGAAAAATTCTTCTGCCTTGGGATGCTGTTAATCTATAACCTTACCCCCAACCCCGTGCTCTCTGAAACATGTGCTGTGTCCACTCAGGGTTAAATGGATTAAGGGCGGTGCAAGATGTGCTTTGTTAAACAGATGCTTGAAGGCAGCATGCTCCTTAAGAGTCATCACCACTCCCTAATCTCAAGTACCCAGGGACACAAACACTGTGGAAGGCCGCAGGGTCCTCTGCCTAGGAAAACCAGAGAACTTTGTTCACATGTTTATCTGCTGACCTTCCCTCCACTATTGTCCTATGACCCTGCCAAATCCCCTTCTCCGAGAAACACCCAAGAATGATCAATAAATACTAAAAAAATTTAAAAAAATTTCAATTAAAAACCTCAAAGCATAGGTTTAACAATTAAATAAAAGCTAACTCAAATTAAAAAAAAAAAAAAAAGAAATATCACCTCACATCTGTTAAAATGGGTATTATCACACACACAAAAAAGGTGGCCAGATGCGGTGACTCACACCTATAATCCCAGCACTGTGGGAGGCCATGGTGGGCGGATCACCTGAGACCAGGAGTTCAAGACCAGCCTGGCCAACATGGCAAAACCCTGTCTCTACTAAAAATACAAAAATTAGCCAGGCGTGGTGATGGGCACCTGTAATCCCAGCTACTTGGGAGGCTGAGGCAGGAGAATCACTCGAACCCGGGAGGCAGAGGTTACAGTGAGCCGAGATCACACCACTGCACTCCAGCCTGGGCGACAGAGCAAGATTCCCTCTCAAAAAAAAACAAACAAACAAAAAGGCAAGATGTGTCAGTGAGGTTATGGAGAAACTGGAACCCTTGTATATTGTTAGTAAAAATGCAAAATGGTGTAGCCATTATGGAGTTTCTTCAAAAAATTAAAATTAGAACTACCATGTAATAAAGCTATCTCATTTCTGGATATTTATCCAAAAGAATCAAGATCTCAAAGAGATATTAGCACTCCCAGGTTCATGGCAGCACTATTCACGATAGCCAATATGTAGAAACAACCTAAATGTCCATCAAAGGAAGAATGAACAAAGCAAATGGTATACACACAAAATGAAATATTTTTCAGCTTCAAAAAAGAAGCAAATTCTACAATACACAACATGGATGGGACTTTGAGGACATTATGCTAAGTGAAAGAAGCCAGTCACAGAAAGCAAATTCTGCATAATTCCACTTATACGATATCTCTAAAACAGGCAAATTCATAGACTCAAAAAGTAAAATTGTGAGGCAAGGCACAGTGGCTCACGCCTGTAATCCCGGAACATTGGGAGGCTGAGGCAGGAGGATCATGAGGTCAGGAGTTCAAGACCAGCCTGGCCAACACGGTGAAACCCTGTCTCTACTAAAATTACAAAAATTAGCCAGACATGGTGGCACACGCCTATAGTCCCAGCTACTTGGGAGGCTGAGGAACGAGAATGGCTTGAACCCGGGAGGTGGAGGTTGAAGTGAGCCGAGATCACACCAGTGCACTCCAGCCTGGGGAACAGAGCGAGACTCCATCTCAAAAAAACAAAAAACAAACAAACAAAAAAAAACAGAACAATAATAAAGCTCATAAACAAACTTTATTTTTCAAGAAAAAAACTCAATTCTTAAGTGTCAACATACAACATTTATAAAGACTATAATTCAAGAATTTGTACTATTCAATTATAAAAAAGATAATGCAGCTTGACTCAAACAATGTCTACAGTAATTAACTAAACTAAAAATTTACAAGTGGATTTTTTTTTTTTTTTTTGAGATGGAGTCTCACTCTGTCACTCATGCTGGAGTGCAGTGGTGCGATCTCAGCTCACTGCAACCTCCACCTGCCAGGTTCAAGATATTCTCCTGCCTCCTGAGTAGCTGGAACTACAGGCACACACCACCATGCCTGGCTAATTTTTGTATTTTTAGTAGAGACGACGTTTCACCATGTTGGCCAGGCTGGTCTCAAAACTCCTGACCTCAGGTGATCAACCCACCTCAGCCTCCCAACATGCTGGGATTACAGGCATGAGCCACCATGCCCAGCCAAATTTTTTTTTTTTTTTTTTGTAAATATAGGATCTTGCCATGCTACCCAGGTTGGTCCAAACTCCTGGCCTCAAGCAATCCTTCTGCCTCAGCCTCCCAAAGTGCTGAGATTATACGCGTGAGCCAGGATGCCCAGCCCCTCAAGTGAAATTTTAAAAACTCTCAATCATCTTCCTTTTGTCTGGAAATTATCACTTGTCCATCCCATTACTACCATTACAAAAGCGAAACAATAAAAAGAATCAAATGATGCAACTGAAATTTCTAATTAAAGATTTGCTCATGCAAAATATTAAAACCAATGGCTAAAATGAGACTTGGAAAACAGAGAAAACATTAGTAAACAAAATTAGTATTTATTGCACATTGGCATGAAGAAAAGCAAAAGCTGGCAATGAATTACACAGAGCCCGAAGAAGGGAAGCCACAAAGCTAGTTCCAGCACTGAAGGCTGAGAACCCTGGAAAGCCAACAGAAGAATCCTTCCTGATACTGTTACCTCCTGGTATTCATTACCTTTCCCAGTCTCCTTCCCTCTCTACCTTCTTCTTCAGGATAAATCCCTTATGTATTCCTTTCTCACCATCCCCATTCCCTCATACAGAATTTTTAACTCCCAGAACCATTCTCTTCAGCTTTTTTTTTTTTTTTTTTTTGAGACAGGTCTTGCTCTGTCACCCAGGCTGGAGTGCAGTGGCGCGATCTCAGCTCACTGCAAGCTCCGCCTCCCAGGTTCACGCCATTCTCCTGCCTCAGCCTCCCGAGCAGCTGGGACTACAGGCGCCCGCCACCACGTCCAGCTAATTTTTTGTATTTTTAGTAGAGACGGGGTTTCACCGTGTTAGCCAGGATGGTCTCAATCTCCTGACCTTGTGATCCGCCCGCCTCGGCCTCCCAAAGTGCTGGGATTACAGACTTGAGCCACCGCGCCTGGCTTCAGCTTTCTTATTCTCTCATCCTTCCACTTCTTAAAATCTCATTCTCATAAAGTCTTTTATATATATATATATATACACACACACACACGTATATATATATAAAATGTATACCATATACATACATATTTTATATATATATATCTCCTATAAACATTTTCCAATGTTCACATCCAACTCTTACAAAGTTTAAATAATTATTCATGGAGATATACCCAACTACTGACTTTTAATTTACTGCCTGTGCTATTTACATACATAATTTCCTATGGTTTTAGTCCATATGTATATATAGTAAGAATTGTTAGATATTAGAAATTCTAGCTTGCTTTCAATATATTTTACATAGTGTCCCTTCGTTATGACATTTTGAGTCATCTTTTTTTTTTACCATTCTAGTCTTTTAAGAGAACAGCTTAAATCTACATAAAAACAGAGAAGATTCCTAAAAATTACATTTAAATGGCAAAAAAAAAATACTTTCAATTCTTCTAAGAATTTCACAGTATTAATGAATAGAGCCATATCAACAGAAAAAAAAAAAGTCGAACTGGTACTCTTATTCAAAAAAATTTAAATATTAAATTATTTTTATTGGATGATTCAAAGTATCTCCGTCTCACCTGCAGTGTATTTTCTTTCTTTATAAAGGACAATCTTTACTAAATATTATGTCCTAGAGATTTGTTCCATTACCATAGACACTATTGGCAAAAGAGATAGTGATGTATAAATTTTTAATAAGGGAGGCAAGGAAAAAGTATTATATGATAGGGTTTTCTTCCCCTGTTAATGTTAGAAAACTAAATTCTTTGAACTCTTTTTTCCAACTCTGGTATGATTTAAGTCTTCATGTAAAAAGAGAGAAGTTGACAGTGCTAAATGGCAAGAAAAAAACAGTACTTGGTTAAAATGGTTTCTATCACTGTGAATCTCATTTAGATTATCATTAACTTACTTTAATCAAATCAATTATTTTCTCATACAAATTCCTTACTATTTCTGAGAATTTGACAAACACCTTTTTTGGTAAGTAGAAATAATGATACATTTATAAGAATGCCAGAAAAAAAGCTCAGTCATCCACAATTTACTAAAACCACTGTTAGTAAGTTTATATTTTGAATTTATCAGTAATTTTAGTCTTGCAAGAAACTTTTAAAATGTTTTATTTTGAACTGTAAAAAATAAAACCATTTTTAAAATCTTAATTTACTTAATAACAAGGAGGAAATTTGGCACTGTATATTAGATTTGCAAACACTTGTTAGGAAGTTAAATTTCGTTAGCTATCAGGTGTATATAGCCCTGCCAAAAGAAAAACAACAGGACAGCTGTCACAGCTAATTCTTACCTAGATAGCCTCTGCTACTAACAAGGTATAGTCCAGACAAATTGAGAGATGCATTAGGTACCAGTTTACGGTAAACATTACACAATGAGTATTTCATTTGCACACATTTCTACTCTTCCTCTTTATCCCCTCAATAAGCCTAACAACTTTTCAGTCTAAATGTTCATCACCATTACCCTCCCATATTCTACTGTCTTCCTTCCCCTGTATAATCTATCAGCGGTTTTGTCTCCACAGTGATACTAATACCACTTTATAATGTGGTAAATGTAATGATCCAAAGAACTAAGCCAAAAAGTTGCCTATTGTCTATTTAAATAAGGTTTACCAAATGCCAATGTTTTATGTTAAATTTTTTTTAATATCCATGATGTCAAGTAACTGAAAAATATTCTGATCATGATATAATTAGTGTCTATAATAAAAAAGATGTTCAGTAATACCTGTGAACTGTGTTTATGGATTAATACCTTTAAGAAGTAATTTGCTAATTGTTTTTTGTATAGACTTGATAAACGGCTATTCACTTTTGGGTTCAGTTAATCAAAAATATGTCAAAATAGACTGGGCATGTTGGCTCACGCCTGTAATCCCAGCACTTTGGGAGGCCGAGGCTGGAGAATCATTTGAGGTCAAAAGTTAAAGACCAGCCTGACTAACATGGTGACACCCCGTCTCTACTAAAAATACAAAAACATTAGCCAGGCATGGTGGCGCATGCCTATAGTCCCAGCTACACAGGAGGCTGAGACAGGAGAATCGCTTGAACCCAGGAGGCGGAGGTTGCCGTGAGCTGAGATTGCACCACTGCACTGTACCCTGGGTGACATCAAGACTCCATCTCAAAAAAAAAAAAAAGTCAAAATATACTTAAAATTTCTGCATTATAATAATCTGACTTCCTCACCAGGATTATCTCTCCTAAACCAAGTTGAGCACGTCCCAAAGTCTGCCAAGACTCCCATGAATGTGGATTTTGCTGGACGGCCATTTCTGCTGCATGTACTGCTGGGAACATTTCATGAAGAGACATTAGCACCTATAGGCAAAAAAAGACCAAAAAATCTGTCAGTAATATTCATAAACTAGCAACTACATAAAAAACCCTTTTCATTTTTTAAGATATATTTTTAGTCCAGTAAAAATAGCATTTCGGTGATTTTTACCCCTTACTCTGCCATTCAGGGTAAGAAATTATAGTTCTCTTTTCACCCCTTATATAACTATGAAAATGTAAACGATTCCCTTTCCAGTTATTGAATCTTATGTCCATCTGGTCAAAACCAAGTGGTCATATCCTAACTATGGTGGCTCAGAGGTATTTTGAACTCCCAATTCCACTTCCATTTATTCTATTTACAATGTGGTTTTCAGGGAACCCCAGGTATTGCCATTAAACTAGGTGAATTAATTTGTTCAACCAGCCATCCCGTCCCTAATGAACATCTTTATGTTATAAAAAGTATTTAAAACATTCCCTAGGCCTTCTCACTACTGGGCATTTCAAACCATACATACTAGGAAGGTAGGGTTAGGGTTAGGGTTAGGGTTAGGGAGAGTTAGGGTTACCAGAGAGTTCTAGTACCCTCCACTGTGGTCTGTGGGAAGAGGCTGGATTTTATCTATAATCTTTAGGACCATTAACACTTTAAAAGATTTGTGATACAAACATTATTATCAGGTTCCAAATTAAACAAGTCTTCATAAAGCTTGCCACAAACCTGTCATTCATATATACATATTTAAGATTGAAAAAGGAATACAAATGAAGGTCCTCATATCACTTGATTCAGATGACATAATTTATTTGGGTTTTTCCTGGATAAACTAAAGTCAAAGGTGACAAATGTGTGTCCTATATTTGAGATCACGATTTGAAAAATATTTGTTAGGTGTGCAGATTAAGGCTGAATTGCAACAATTCCCTGCCAAAAATATGTTTAATGCTCTGTGTGAGACTTTTAAAATCACTTGGATAACCTATTCAAGTGCTCAAAGGTTTTCTTTACAGACTTTCCTACAAAATATTAGAAACATGTTTTTAAAGTACAAATGTTATTTTTAAGCTATTAATAAAATTGCATCTATGCTGACCTTTTGCTAAGGACTAAGCCATTTTTAGAAATATCTCATCTAGAACCCAATCCATCCTCATTTTTAAGAAAACTGAACTATTTTGCTAAGTCTACTATATTTAATCACAAGGAAAGCGTATGTTTTTCATCTAAGAGCTCAACAGTGACTTTTTATTTATTTTTTATTTACTTATTTATTTTTTTGAGATGGAGTCTCGCTGTGTCACCCAGGCTGGAGTGCAGTGGCACTATCTCAGCTCACTGCAACCTCCGCCTCCCACGTTCAAGTGGTCCTCCTGCCTCAGCCTCTCAAGTAGCTGGGACTACAGGCATGTGCCACCACGCCCAGCTAATATTTGTATTTTTAGTAGAGGCAAGGTTTCACCATGTTGGTCAGGGTGGTCTCGAACTTCTGACCTCAAGTGATCCACCCACCTCGGCCTCCCAAATTGCTGGGATTACAGACGTGAGCCATGGCACCTGCCCACCAGTGACTTTAAAAGATAGCCACCGATTCCTATCTTACAATAGTTAGGCTAAAATAACAGTTAACTTCATTGTAAAGGCAAATGAATTTCCAGTTTTATGCATAAGACAGAACCATAAATAATGGTGAAATATTTTTTCCCAAAGAAACCGTATTTGTAAAAGAAAATGGGAGAAAATGCTATTTTGCTTCATCATTGCTCACTCACCGAACAAACATAGCACAATTTCATAAGGAAAGTGAAATTCTTCATAATTATTACCTGTGATTTCATCTCGTATAGGGTAGCATCATTTGGAGTTAACTGTAGTGCTTCATCCCACTTCTGAATTGCCTCCCGATATCTGTGGTTGTTAAAGTTATATCAATGCCATATTTTCAATATGCTTTTTTGGACTTTCAAAAAAAAATTTTTATTGTAGTAAAATATAAAATTTACCATCTTAACCATTTAAGTGTACAGTTCAGAGGCATTAAGTAGCATTAAGTACATATAGTTCATTCACCTTTGTGTGCAACCACCACCACCATTCATCTCCAGAACTTTTTCATCTTCCCAAACTGAAACTCCATACCCATTAAACAATAACTCCTCATTGCCCCCTCCTCCACCCCCGGGCAAACACCATTCTACTCTTAGACTGCTTTCAGGAGGAGCAGTCATGTACTTTCAGTTCAACAGTTTTTTGGACTACTTTCTAGTCCATGAAATATATGTAAAAATCCAAAATAAAGGATTAGCAAATTAAGTCCAGCAACTTACTAAAGTACAAAATCCACATGATCATGTAGTGTATGCTCAGAAAAACTTAGAAATGGGTTCATATGTAACAGATAAGGGAGAAAAAAGTACATGCCACTAAACAATACTTAGTATAATTTAACACCCATTTCTGATTATTTATAATAATAATAAAAGTATATACAACATTAAATAAATTTAGTACTGTGGTGCCATCATCTACTAAGCTTTAATGATATAACCTCTAAAAGCAGTAACTATATCACCTAAAAAGAAAGTACTTGCACTTCTTTAGGCATATTGTGGGTGATTTCAAGCCTCTCTAAACAATATTTCCAAATGTTATTGTAGATGTGACAGGAAAAACTTTGGAAATTAATTTATTGATGTATTCCTTCATAACAATCCTTCCACTCACAATTTTCTAACAAAGGTAGCAGTAATAAATTCTGCAAGACTTAATAGTAGCAAATGTCTTTCCTCCAGCATTAGAAGGAAAAGGTTGGACTGTTTGTCCAATCTTTTTTCTACCACTCCCTACACATACCTGTGCTCCACTCAGCAGGGTTTTTATAGTCCCTACCCACATATCATGCCTTTGTTAGTATGGATCCCCTGCTACACATACACACACACACATCTGTATTAGTTCACTCTCACGCTGCAATAAAGAACTGCCCAAGACTAGGAAATTTATAAAGGAAAGAGGTTTAATTGACTCAGTACCACAGGGCTGGGGAGGCCTCAGGAAACTTACAAGGATGGCAGAAGGGGAAGCAAACACATCCTTCTTCACATGGAGGCACGAGAGAGAAATGAGCGCTGAGCAAACAGGGAAGCCCCTTATAAATCCATAAGATCTCGTGAGAACTCAGTGTCATGAGACCAGCATGGCAGAAACTGCCGCCATAATTCAATTATCTCCACCTGGTCCCATCCTTGACACGGGGATTATTACAATTCAAGGTGAGATTTGGGTGGGGACACAGAGCCAAACCATATCACATATCTAAGATTGCCTTCCTACTCCTCTTCATCTATTCAAAGGCTCCTCCTCTAAGACCAAGTTAAAATGCTCCGTTCTTCATGAAGACCTCCTCCAGTGGCTCTAGCCCACTAACTATGAGTACCACTTCAGACCACATAGCAACACTTATATTTCCAAAGCATTTTATGTTTTACAAAGCACTTTCAATACAATTATTTAACATACAATTATTTTCCCAAAAAGTTAATTCACTTACTACTCAAAGTAAGTGAATATAAATTTGGTGTTATTTGCTTTTTTAAAAATTATTTTGAGAGACAGAGTCTTGCTCCGTTGCACTGGCATGATCACAGCTCATTGCAGCCTTGAACTCTTGGGCTCAAGGGCCTCCCACCTCAGCCTACTGAGTAGCTAGGACTACAGGCATATGCCACTATGGCCAGCTAATTTTTTTATTTTTTTATTTTTGTAGAGACAGGGTCTCACTATGTTGCTCAGGCTGGTCTCAAACTTCTGGCCTCAAGCAATCCTCCTGCCTTGGCCTCCACAAGTGCTGAGATTACAGGGGTGAGCCACCATGCCTAGCCTCAAGTTTGGCATTACTTGTTCTCACTTTATTGATGAGGAACCAATGGTTGAGAGCAGCTAAAGGACTGTCCAAGTCCTGCAAAAGACAGGATTTAAAGCTAGCTCTTAAAAATACAAGACCAATACTTTCTGTAACTATATCAAGTATGCCTCCCATTTAGTTCTGCTCTAATTCCTCCTTGTATTTTTGTCTTCTCTTCTCTAATGAGTTCAGGAACCAAAGGGTAGATTTGTTTATATGCTCTACAGTACCCAGAACATTTCTGGGAATGTAGAAGGTACTAATATAACAGATTTTTTTTTAGACAGTCTTGCTCTGTCACCCAGGCTGGAGTACATGGAGTACAGTGGCATGATCTCAGCTCACTGCAACCTCCACCTCCCAGGTTCAAGCGATTCTCCTGCCTCAGCCCCCCGAGTGGCTGGGACTACAGGCACATGCCACCACACCTGGCTAATTTTTGTTTTTTCGTAGAGATGGGGTTTCACCATGTTGGCCAGGCTGGTCTTGAACTCTTGACCTCAACTGATCTGCCCGCCTCGGCCTCCCAAAGTGCTGGGATTATAGGCATGAGCCACCGCGCCCGGCCTAATATAACAGATTCTATCTACCTCATTTGTCCTACCTTCTCCAAGTCCTGAAGGCAGCAGAGAGCAGCATATAAAGCAAGAAAAGAGGGGACAGATGTAGCATGCTCTTAACACACAGGAAAAAAAAATGGTAATAAAAACAAATTCTATCCTAAGACAAAAGTGGTAAAAATGTAAATTCTTACTTTGTTCCGTTCATTATTTCATATATAGAAATTATAAGAAATCCCAAGACTAGGGGAATGTGAATATAGGTAGAAAAAAACAAAAACATGAGAATTCTACGTTTAGCAGAGGGACCTTAAGAACCTGGATGTTTGAGGTTTCAGGAGTCTTTGACAGCTTTTGAGGAAGGGGCTGAAGGTCTTTGGTCTCTAGAGCAAGGGGTGGCATAGTAAAGGTCCATATAGTAAACATTTTAGGTTTTGTGAACCATACAGTCTATCACAACTATTCAACTCTATTACTGTATCCCAAAATAAGCCATAAACAATGCATTCAAAAAATGGGCATTGCTGTGTCCCAGTAAAACTTTATTTATAAAAACAGGTTGTTTTTATAAATAAAGTTTGCCAACCCTAGATCTACTTGGCCCAACCACTGTTAAAAGCTTATCATATTTGTCAAATTTACTTTTTACTTCCAGTCCTATTTTCTGCCCAACTCAACCAGAGGAAGTTATCACCCCATAGAAGGCATTTGTGGTCATCACTGTGACTTGGAGGAACTAGTGGCAGAGGGTCAGGGATGTTAACATTCTTCAAGGCAAAGAGCAAGCCTGCACAATAAAGAGCTGTCTTGCTGAAAATACCACTAGCACTACTGCTGAGAACAGGATGGCTTATCCCGTCCCCAACCCCACAAAGCTGCTTATGTTCCTAAGCTTAAGTTGTCCCAAGTACGAAATAAACTAAGAGGTTCAAGGTGACAATGACCATCACTAGTTTTTTCTTTTTATTAGGCAGGTATGCATGTGTGCATATACATACAAACAGACATACACACACACACGTGTAAACACAGGCTTACAGATTTGAGAAAAAAGAAAAATGTCCTCTCTTCTCAACTGCACTGTCTTTTATTTTGAAAGCATAACCATTGCTGCCAGCAGAGGCATCCCTCAATGAAATGTGCTTTGTTGCCAACGAGGCCTATAAAGGTTTAAAGGAACAAGTGAGCTGTTTTCCATGCTAAACAAAGCAAGAAATGGTGGGTATTTACTTCACTATCATCAACTTATTCAATTCTTCCCCCTTCTCATTTCTCTTTGGTTTACTTCTGTTGGCCTGCAAACAAAGGGTGGCACCACTTAGTTCCTCCATTTTTAGATCACAGGAAACTTGGCACTGAACAAATCAATAGTCTCTCATAATTTCTGCAGCATATCTCTTAATTCAACTTCAGTTTGGAACAGACTGAACAGACACAGCCCTACTGCAGCTGTTGGATAGGAAGCATTAAAAGATAAAAACTTGGTTTAAAGTCACTGTGGTTAATAAATGACCAAAGTCTGATTCCGCCAGTTTAAGGACAATCTTAACAGTATGCAACTGAAGTAGCACAAGGAAGGAAGCAAAGGGAATAGTTCCATGGACTACAACAGGGCAGGATGAGATAATGCCCTATACTGAGGTAAAGAACAGCTGGTGATCAAGCTAAATAAGTTAGATAGCACACTCATTTACCAAATAGAAATGTCAATGTGTTTAGCTACTTTACTCCCAATTAGACTTCTAATTTACTGTGGCTTTAAATTTAATGAGCTATATAGTTAACAGCTTATTCACTTTATAAATATTTACTGGGCACCTACCCTGGGACAGGTAGAATTCTAGTAATAAGTACTAAGGATGCAGCACCCAACAAGATATAAAAGGTCCCTACTATTCTTCCAGATCTTACTTTCTAAAGTGTATGCATGTTAGAAGGGGACAGGGAAAGAAAGATAACAAACAGTTAAAATATAAGTGCCGTGATAAAAGACAAATGGAGGAATGTGATAGGGAGTGACCAAGTGGCTATTCGGAATGGGCGGTCAAGAAAGGTCTTCCTAGGAACGCATTCAAGCTGAGACCTGAGTGACAAAACGTGGTCAGACAACTGAAAATCTGGAGAAGGTCCATTCCAGGCAAAGGGAAGAACCTGGGGCAGGACCAAACCATGTTTTGTGGAAAGGAAATAAAACCAGAGGAAAGGAAGTCAGAGGTCAGGGAGGTGGGCCGAAGCCATGATCACAGAGAATACAATAAGCCATAGTTATGCATGTGGATTTAATTGTATGTGTGATGAAGAATCCACAGAGTTTTTATACAACAGTGAGACATGAATTATTGATTTACATTTTTAAAAGATCAGTCAGACCCAGAAGAATAGACAGTAAGGGTACAAAAATGTACACAGGAAGGCTAGATATGAGACAACCAAAGTAATTTAGGTATGAGATAACCCTAGATAAGGATAGAAGTGAAAACAGAAAGAGGAAAAAAGATTTACAACACACTGAAAATGTACAGTTGGCTCAACTTGGACTTGGTATGAGTGAAAAAAAGAAAGAAATCCAGGATAATTTGGGTTACCTGGAAAACAGAGCCTGAGGCCAAAGCTTACTGGCTAAATCTTTATTGAGTGGATAGGATCCCACGCAATCAAGAGTGAGGGAAAAACAGAAGTAAGCCATGAAGAAAGAAGAATAAATACAAGGTCTATGTTAAGCTGGCAACAGCTCCACAAACACAGATGATTGTTGATCTGGAGAGCAAAAGGAAAGGAGCAAGCAAAGATTAAAAAGGAGAGGACATGGAGACAAGGACAAGCATGATAGCATGGTGGTGTGGAAGATGAGAGAGCAGTGTATTTAGGAAGACTGTGGTCACCTGTGCTGAATGATGAGAAGCACAATAAATGACAACAGAGAAGTGATGACTGGATTTGACAACATGGAGGTCACTGATAACCTTTACAAAAGCAGTTTCAGTGGATTCATGGGGACAGAAATATGACTGGATGGTTCATCAAGAAATGGAGTTTGTAGTGCAGTGGGAGCAGAGAAATGGCAGAGCATTTGGAGAGAAGCTTTTTAAATGGATGTTATCAGGGTATGTTTGCATGCCAGCAAGAAGGACCGAGAGAAAAGAAGAAACAGATTATATAAAAATGAGAGGACAATTTCAGAACAACGTTCCTGAGAAGGCACAAGGGGATGGGGTCTAGAGTACAAGTGGAGTGGTGGGCCTTTGATAATTACAATGGAATGATGACAGATCATATAGGCACAAATACAGTAAGGTTGGAAGATGTGCTGGTGAGAAAATAAAGTCATTCTACACTGACTGTATCTATGTTTTTCCACAGAGCATGAGGCAAAACCACTGTCATTAAATATACTGATGTGAGTAATCTGCAGAATGTGGGTCACACAGCAAGATCACCCTCAAATTTACATTAGTAGGTATACTTTCCTAGACAAGAACAAAATGCATGGTAAATTCTAATTTATATTCCTGCTTCATACACATACAACTGATTCTAACAGAAAAATCAGACCAGTTAGCTAGACAGTCAAATATCACCATCTAGTGGCTGAAACTTTAAAAGCCAAGATGTCAAAGTTGGGACTAACACCGTGACTCTTGAGAAGGTATAACCTAGTTTGTAATAATTCTAGAAAAAGCCACTTGAACAAAATAATTTACAAAAATATATATTACTACTACAGGAAATATACCAAGAACATATAAAATCCTAAAATATTATATCTAAAGTACATTCACTTGGTGCTTATTAGGTGCTAGGTAGCATGCTTTTACATGGACTTTGCTCTTTAATCCTCCAAAATTCTATAAGATATGTATCACCATTTGACCTATGAGGTAGAAATTGACAAAAAATAACTACCCAAAGTTTATGCAGATAGAAATGATAAAGTTGGGATTTGAATGGAGGTAATCTGACTTCAAAATCTACACTCTTAACCACTATACTCACTATACCATCTCTATTAAGCACCAAAATTTCTTGGGGGTTGGGTAGAAGAGTAAACCAGATTTTTGTTAAAAAGAATCATGAATACTCTAAGGTAAGACTTCTGAATTTAAAAGCCACTCAAGGTTGAGCATGGTGGCTCAGGCCTGTAATCCCAGCACTTTGGGAGGCCAAGGCAGGAAGATCGCCTGAGCCCAGGAGTTCAAGATCAGCCTGGGCAACATGGCAAAACCCCATCTCTACTAAAAATACAAAAAATCAGCCAGGCATGGTGGCGCACACCTGTAGCCCCAGCTCCTCAGGAGGCTGAGGGACAAGAATCACTTGAACCTGGAAAGTGGAGATTGCAATGAGACAAGATCGTGCTACTGCACTCCAGCCGCCTGGGCAACAGAGTGAGGCTCCACCTCAAAAAAAAAAAAAAGACTGGGGACTTCTGCTACTATCCTACAGGTGATGCACAAGAGTTACTAAAGAAGGCTGACAGAGTGATAAAATAACCAAGACCCGAAAATACATAATATCCAGATTCAAAATTTTACTGAAATCTAAATTATCTGTCAATTAACTTGCAATATAACAGCAAATTCAGAACACAAAGACATCATGAACACATATAAAGATATATGAAACGAATATAGAATTATTTTACATTTGACAAGCACTCAAAACTTTGTTTTTTTAATCAAATTTACTGGTGTGTGATTTATATATCAAAAAACGTACCCACTTGAAGCATACTTTCTGATGAGTTTTGAGAAATGTATATACTCATGTAAATACAACCACAACCATCACAATAAAGAACATTTTTGTCAATCCAAAAAGTTTTCTGTGCCCCTTTCTCGGGAAATCTACCCCAACTGCTGACCCCAGACAACTACTGATTTTTTCTGTCACTATGGATTAATTTGTCTTTAGACAGATTTATAAAATTGGAATCAGACGGTATGTACTCTTCCTGACTTCTTTCCCTTAGCATGTTTCTGAGATGTCAATCATTTCTTTTTACTGCTCAAGAGAATACTATTGTATGGATATACCACAATTTATTCATTCATTCACCTGCTGATGAACATTTAGGTTGTCCCAGTTCATGGACACTATTAATAAAGCTGCTAGAGACATTGTTGGAACAGTCTTTGTGTGGATATAATGTTTTCATTTCTTCTGAATTAGTATCTAGGAATAAAACTGTGAGATTGTACAATAAAGTATATATTTAACTTTATGTGAAACAGGCCAGGCACAGTGGCTCATGCCTGTAATCCCAGCACTTTGGGAGGCCAAGGCAGGCAGATAACCTGAGGTCAGGAGTTTGAGATCAGGCTGGCCAAGACGGTGAAACCCTGTCTCTACTAAAAATTCAAAAATTAGCCAGGCATAGAGTGGTGCGCGCCTGTAATCCCAGCTAGTCGGGAGTGCTGAGGCAGGAGAATTGCTTGAACCCGGGAGGTGGAGGTTGCAGTGAGCTGAGATCATGCCACTGCAGTCCAGCCTGGGCAACAGAGCAAGACTCCATCTCAAAAATAAAATAAAATAAAATATAAAATAAAATACAATACAATACAATACAATACAATACAATACAATACAATACAATACAATACAATACAATAAAATACAATAAAATAAAATACAATAAAATACAATAAAATAAAATAAAATAAAATAAAATATAAAATAAAATAAAATAAAATAAAATAAAATAAAATAAAAAAGTGAAACAACCAGACAGTTTGCCAAAGAGGTAAAGCTATTTTACATTTTCATGAGCAATGTATAAAAGTTTAACTTGCTCCATATCTTTGCCAACACTTGATACTGTCAATCTTTTCAATGTTAGCATTCTAGTAACTAGGTAATAGTATCTCATTGTGGTTTTAATTTGAAATTTCTTGATGACTAATAGTGTTGAGCAGCTTTTTTTATGCTTCTTGGTCATTCATATATTTTCTTTTGTGAAGCATC
Source organism: Homo sapiens (assembly GCF_000001405.40). NCBI lineage: Eukaryota > Metazoa > Chordata > Mammalia > Primates > Hominidae > Homo > Homo sapiens. The sequence continues at coordinate 40,738,861 of NC_000005.10, forward strand.
TGCTCCAACTTTTTACCCATTCTTTACATGAATAGCTTGTCTTCTTCCTACTGAGTTGTAAGAGTTCTTCTATACTCTGGAAACAAGTCCTACGTCAGATATATGGACTGGAAATATTTTCTCCCAGCCTGTGGCCTGACTTTTCATGTTCTCAATTAAGCCTTTTAAAAACCAGAAGTTTTCATTTGTATCAACTGACCACATACATGTGGGTCATTTCTGTATCATATATTATTTTCATTGATCCATGTATGTCTATCTTTACACTAGTACTATAAAGGTATAACATTCAAAAACACAGTTAAGGACTTAAATTAAGTAATATAAGTTCCCTAAGTATGTTTTATTTCATAAAATTCTTTTGGCTAGTCTAGATTCTTTGCATTTCCACATAAACTTTAGAATAAGCTTGTCAATTATCTCAAACGCAAGCTTGCTGGGATTTCGATTGGAATTGCACTGAGTTTACAGATCAATTTCGGGAGAACTGATGTATTAACAAAATACTATCTTCCAATCTATGAGCATTGATATGGTTTGGATCTGTATCCCCACCCAAATCTCATGTCAAATTGTAATCCCCAGTGTTAAAGGTGGGGTCTGGTGGGAGGTGATTGGATCATGGGGGCAGGTTTCCCTCTTGGTACTGTTCTCGTGATAGTGAGTTCTTGCAAGATCTGGTTGCATAAAAGTGTGTAGCACTCCCACTCCCCACACTCTCTCTTCCTCCTGCTCCAGCCATGTGAAGTGCTGGCTCCTACCTTTGCCTTCTGCTATGATTATAGCTTTCCTGAGGGCTCCCCAGAAGCTGAGCAGATGCCAACATTATGCTTCCTATGCAGCCCACAGAACCGTGAGCCAATTAAACCTGTTTTTTTCATAAATTATCCAGTCTCAGGTAGTTGTTTATAGCAGTGTGAGGACAAACTAATACAAGTATAGTGTATATTTATTGATTTATTTAGGTCTTTTAACATTTCAGCAGCATTTTGTAGTTTTCATATAGTTTTTATACATGTTTTGCTGAATTTTTTTCCTAACAATTTTAGATTTGGGAATAATACTACAAATGGTGCTTTTTTTTAAAAATAAAGTATTCAGCTTCTAATTGTTTTATTTTACATCCATTATTGGCTTATAAGCCTTTTATTATTTTTTAATGGTTTCTCTAGGGTCTAGGTTTGAATACAACATAACAGCCTAATAGCAATATAATTCCATTTATCCCTTCATGCTATCTATTACAATTGTTATATATTTACTTCTATATAACTTTGCAAAATGTTGCTGTTGTTATTTAATGTCAATTATCTTTTTAAAGAATTTAAATTTTTTGTTTAAATCAGTCTTCATACTTACCCATGTTTACCACTTCCAGAACCCTTTCATTCTTTACTTAGACACAAATTTCTATCTAGTATGATTTTCCTTCTATGTAAAGAATTTCTTTTAATATTTCTTGAAGTCCAGGCCTACTGGTAATGGGTTATCTCAGCTTTTGTTTGTCCAATAAAGTTATTTTGCCTTCATTTCTGAAAGATATTTTTATAATACAAAGAATTCTAAGTTGGCAGTTTTACTTTCCTTCAAAACTAAATGATGTCATTCCATTATCTTGCATAGACCTCCAGCTGACCTCAGCTTCTACACTCCGAAATCCATGGCCACATATGCAGCAAGGATAAATATCTCATGGCTTTTCTCCACATTAACTGGAAGTAGCAGAAATAAGAAGACCAGCTCATTCCCGAGGGGCATGGGACTCCAATGAGGGACAACTCTGACTTGACGACTATCCAAGGTATTGTCCAACTTTCTTTAGATAATATGACAGCCTAAGACATTTCCATCCAACCTTCCCTCCCTCTCCCCTTCACTGGGGGTTAGACAAGCATAGCTCTCCCAGATTTACTCAGTTCCCACCCCATGTCCTCTCATACAGTGATTCCCCTAATGAAATCTTTGCATGTTTAAGCCGGTCTTAGCATATGCTTCTAGAAGGACCCAGACTAGCATAACTGTTCAGTATATTTTTTATTTCAGATATCGTATTTTTCATTTCTAGATGTTCCTTTTTTTAATATATCTTCCATTTCACTCCTCATTATGTTTGTTTCCCTTTAATTATCTGAATATAGTTGTATTACCATTTTAATCTCTCTGTCCACTACTTCCATCATCTATGTTATTTCTGAATGTTTCTATTGACTGATTTGTCTCCTATTTATGGGTCACAGTTTCCAACTCTTTGGCATGTCCAGTAATTTTTGATTAGATGCTGAATATTTTAAATGTTACACTGTTGACTAAAAATGTTAGGCTCTATTCTGGCAGGCAGTAAAGTTTGAAAGTATCAGTTTGAACCCTTCAAAAACTATTTTTAAAGGTTTTCTAGGGAAGGTCTGAAGTAGCCTTCCCTCTAGGGATAGTGTAGTCATTCTACTAAGAAATAACCCCCTGTGACTCCAGTAAATATTTCTGGTGACCATCAAAGACACTCCATTCTGAATGGCTGAAGCTTGAATAGCTCTCCGCTCTGTATGAACGCTACGAATGGTTCAGCTTACAACTTCTCAGTCATTTTCCCTGGATTTACAGAAATTCCCCAATAGTTGCATGGCCTAATGTTCAACAAAGACTCAAAGGGACCTCATAGACTTCTGGAGCTTTTTCTCTGAGTAGCTTCCTCTTCTCTGGTACTCTACTCTGCAACTTCTAGCTGTGTCAGCCTCTCCAAAGTCCAATCTCCATCTCCTCACGCAGCAAGACCACTGTGGTCTATCTGGTTTCCTCTTCTGTGTGCCCATTCCCTGGAGACTACCTTCAGGTAGAAATTAAGGGAGCTCAGCCACGCACGGTAGCTCACACCTGTAATTCCAGCACTCTGGGTGGCCAAGAACGCCAGATTACCTGACGTCAGGAGTTCAAGACCAGCCTGGCCAATATGGTAAAACCCCATCTCTACTAAAATTACAAAAATTAGCCAGGCGTGGTGGCACACACCTGTAATCCCAGCTACTCAGGAGGCTGAGGCAGGAGAACCGCTTGAGCCTGGGAGACAGAGGTTACAGTGAGCCGAGATCATGCCAATGCACTCCAGCCTGGGCCAACAGAGCGAGACTCTGTCTCAAAAAAAAGAAAAAAAAGAAATTAAGGAAGCTTATAGGGATCATCTTGTTTTTGCCCCTTCTCTCAAAGATAAGAGTCCTATGCTGACTACTGTCCAATGGTTGAAAACAGTTTTTTTTTTATATCTTTTGTCCAATTTTCTAGTTGTTTGGGGCCATCCAGGTCTAGTTCTAGAAACTCTCTCATGGCTGTCAGTAGAAATCCATGCCTACTTTTTAAAGTATTTTTGTATCCGTTATTGGATTTCAGCCTTATAAGAACCCCATGAGGCAATTGCAAGTGAAGAAATATATAGCCAATCAAGGACACAGAATAATTAGGACTACTATAATAGTAATAATAATAATAACTAATATTTATTGAGTATTTACTACATGACAGGCAATATATTAAGTACATTACATACGTAAATTCATGTCACCATCACAACAGCATTGAGGTAGATATTTTCTGCAGAAAAGGAAACTTAAACACAGAGAAGCTGAATAACTTGCCTAATATTGCAAAGCTGGTCAACAGCAGAACTAGGATAAGAAACAAAGCCATCTGGCACTAATGCCAGACCATAATCACTGTATTGTAAAATCTGTTGTTATTTTCCTATTGCATAAACAAAGCCTTCTGTACACAAAACAACAGGGGAATGGGAAGAGTAAGGGTTATGAGAAAAAGAATCCTGCCATCCTTGTGAGATTAAAAAAAGAAGAAAAAGAATAAGACCCAGAATAGAGCAATTATTATCAAGTGCCATATTTTCATTCGGGAGGAGGGTGAGAAAATTTTATTCCCAAAGGTCCTTTGTGGTTTGGGTATGAAATAAAATACATTCTCAGAATACTATATTCTAATTTGGAGTTTTTAAACGTATATTCTATAGATATCATGCAGTAAATGGTAGCTAGCTTATAAAAACGTTTTTAGCCATAATACAGCCAAAAAACATCACAGCTTTATAAATATTTACTGAGGGCCTAGTAAGTGCCACAAATTATTCTAAGAGCTGAAGACACTATACAAGTTAGATAAATTCCTTACTGTCCTGGAGCTTACATTCTTACAAAAGAAAAACAACATATAAACAAAATATTCTAAACACACTAAATAAGTGTATACAGTAACTTCAAAAAGGGAGAAATGCTCAAAAACAAAATGCACTGATGTGATAGAAAAAGGGTGAGTACAGG